>NC_000019.10:54740874-55365874 GCF_000001405.40 Homo sapiens
GAGTGGGGATTAGAGCAGTCCAGTGGAAGTCTTCACCAGCTTTGAAGGTGGAGGAAGGCCAAGATCCATGAATGCAGGTGGCCTATAGAGGCTGGAAAAGTCAAGGAACTGATTCTCCAGAGTCTCCAGAGGGAACAAAGCCCTGCAGATGCCTTGATTTTAGCCCAGGAAAAATAGGGTCCAATTTCTGTCTCCAGTACTGGAAGGTGTCAGTGTGGTCTCTCCTGCTGCCATGCTTCTGATAATTTTCTACAGCAGCAACAGGAAACCAACACTGGAACCCAGGTCAAGGACAAGTTAAGAAACAACCCAAGGAAAGCCAGGCATGGTGGCAGGTGCATGTAATCCTAGCGACTCAGGAGGCTGAGGGCAGGAGAATCACTTGAACCCAGGAGACAGAGGTTGCAGTGAGCCTAGACCACACCACTTCACTCCAGCCTGGGTGAAGGAGTGAGACTCTGTCTCCATAATTAATTAATTAATTAAAGAAACCAAACAAGGAGAAGGTTGGCTACCCTGAGATCAGCAAGGGTGGGATGATGATGCCACCACCAGGCTCCATCCACATAGGGAGGGGTTGATACTCCTCCAACCAGCACCAGGAGCCAGCCTATGGAAGCTGGCACCATGGAGAAGGCACAGGCATGGCAAGAGTGGCTCCCAGTCCCCACCAGGAACAGGGTGTGTGGACACTGGTGCCTGCCTTATTCATCAGTTCATACCTTCTGCCAAGGATTGCAATTCATCCAAAAGAGATTGAACCAGGCTGATAAGAGCCTGGATGTGCAGCCTATCCTGGTTCCTCTTTCACCCCCACATAAACAGCAGGAAATACATTAGTGTGAAATAGATACAACACCCCAAGAGATGAGGCTCAGCCCAGTGGGAAGGGAATCAGAGGCTACTAGAGACAGAGGGACAGAGAAGAGGGAGGGAGACAGATGGAAGGACCTGCACCAGGAGTTAAGGGCACAGAAAAGAACATGAAGACACAGAGAGGAAGGAGAGAGACAGACACCAGCAAGGGGAAGCCTCACTCATTCTAGGTGCCATGGATGGGATGATAAAGAGAGACACCTTCTAAACTCACAACCTCTCTTCCTAGGAGTCCACAGAAAACCTTCCCTCCTGGCCCACCCAGGTCCCCTGGTGAAATCAGAAGAGACAGTCATCCTGCAATGTTGGTCAGATGTCAGGTTTCAGCACTTCCTTCTGCACAGAGAAGGGAAGTTTAAGGACACTTTGCACCTCATTGGAGAGCACCATGATGGGGTCTCCAAGGCCAACTTCTCCATCGGTCCCATGATGCAAGACCTTGCAGGGACCTACAGATGCTACGGTTCTGTTACTCACTCCCCCTATCAGTTGTCAGCTCCCAGTGACCCTCTGGACATCGTCATCACAGGTGAGAGTGTCCGGACATTCTCATTGTCATTGGGATGCAGAGTGAATGATCCACGACTTGGAACCCCCAGGTAGTTGTAAGGAAGATGAGCTTGGTATTCTTATGGAGAGAGACTGACTTGCTGAGGTTTGTACCAACAGAGACAGAGAAACAGGAGACACAAGTACAGACCAGGTGTCATAACAGAGGACAGACACAGGGGCCATACAGGGAGTTAGAAAAGACAGAAAGAGTTAAAAGAGACAGACAGACAGACATGTCCCAGAGAGAGGTGTCCCTCCATGCTGACTTTGCTCACAGACCTGGCACAGGTTAGAAGTTTCATTTCTGTTTTACCTCCACAAAGTGTTCTCTACCAGGAGAACCCAAGGACACCCATATTTATGACCTGAGTTGGGCCCTGTGGCCTCAGGCCTTGTGGCACCTACAGGCCATGTTTATTCTGACACCTCTGCCTTCCATGTAATGGAGAGTAATCGTCCCAGGATATCATGGCCCCAGAACACCAACCCCTGTATGCTGTGTGAACTTGTGGTCTCCAGACTGGATTCTGTGGCTCACATTCCAAATAACCCCACATATGAAAGGATCACTGAGAGGCACAGAGAAAAATCAGGAACACCAAAAAGCAAAGACATAAACACACAGAGAATGAGCCAGAGGAAGGAGATTGAGAGACTCACAGACACATAAAGAGAGAGAAAAGAGGGCAGAGGAGTGGTGAGAATGATGGCAGGGAGCAGAGAAAAGCACTAAAATTAGAGTCCTGAGAGAGAGGCACAAGGACATAGAAACATGGAGATGTGGGGATGAATTGCAGAGATTCCAAAGAGAACTAGAGAGACCGAGAGGCAGAGCAAGACAGATGATAGATGGATAGATATAGATAGATGATAAATAGGTAGATGATAGATAATAGGTTAAAGATACATAGATGATGATTGATTGATTCATTAATAGATAATACATAGAGATGATGATGATGAAGACAGATAATACGTACAGATAGAGAGGCAGACAGAAATCATAGAGAGAGAGATGATACATACATATAAATAACAGATGATTGATGGATAGATAGACAAGTGATAGATACATAGATGATATATAGATATAGATGACAGGTAGAGAATTTGTAGATAGGCACCGAATAGATAAATAGATAGATCGACAGATAATAGATAGAAATATGCAGAAAGTTATGAACAGGACACAACGTGAGAAACTTAGAATTTAAAAAAGTAACATCAAGTCAACCAATCCAAGGAGAGTCAGAGAGAATAAAAGAATCCAAAAAGGGAAAACATATCTAGAGGTGGGGAAGCGAGGTCAGAGACCTAGAGAGACAGAGAAGGTGGAAGAAGGAAATAGACATGAAGAGAGATGGGGTGGAGGGTGAGAGAGAGAGAGAGAGAGAGCATTAGGTCATAGAGCAGGGGAGTGAGTTCTCAGCTCAGGTGAAGGGAGCTGTGACAAGGAAGATCCTCCGTAAGGAAAATGCCTCTTCTCCTCCAGGTCTATATGAGAAACCTTCTCTCTCAGCCCAGCCGGGCCCCACGGTTCTGGCAGGAGAGAGCGTGACCTTGTCCTGCAGCTCCCGGAGCTCCTATGACATGTACCATCTATCCAGGGAGGGGGAGGCCCATGAACGTAGGTTCTCTGCAGGGCCCAAGGTCAACGGAACATTCCAGGCCGACTTTCCTCTGGGCCCTGCCACCCACGGAGGAACCTACAGATGCTTCGGCTCTTTCCGTGACTCTCCATACGAGTGGTCAAACTCGAGTGACCCACTGCTTGTTTCTGTCACAGGTGAGGAAACCCCATATCTGTCTCATGTCCTATGATCCTAGAGCCTTAGCTGAGGAGCTTCCTGCTGATGATGGAGAGAAGCATGGACAGATGCAGAGAGAAGACGAAGCTTGGGTGTGAGGGAGGGATCAGGGCACAGGATGGCAGACAGGGCACCTCCAAACCCTCCTACACGGCCTGCATGAAGGCCCGCGGCCAGGGCTCCAGGCACACAGGCAGATGGAGAAAACGGTCAGGAGAGACCCAGAGGAGAGAGACTGGGCTCAGTTTGGGAAGATCAGAGGTTCCCTCAGCCCCTCAACATTACCCATTTCCCAGAAGCCCATCCTGGCCTCTCACCCACACAGGGATGTCATCACCAGCAACCCCTACACCCTTTACTTTTGTTTGAAGAAATATTTATTGAGGATAAATATACCTATATAGCTTACCACCTTTAACATTTTTTTTTTTTTTGAGGCAGAGTCTAGCTCTGTCCCCTATGCTGGAGTGCAGTGGCACAATCTCAGCTCACTGCAACTTCCGCCTCCTGGGTTCAAGTGATTCTCCTGCTTCAGCCACCTGAGTAGCTGGTGCTACAGGCGCGCACCACCACGCCAGGCTACTTTTTGTATTTTTAGTAGAGAGGGGGTTTCACCATGTTGGTCGAGCTGGTCTCCAACTCCTGACCACGTGATCCACCCGCATCTGCCTCCCAAAGTGCTGGGATTACAGGCATGAGCCACCACGCCCAGCCACATTTACCATTTTTAAGTGTAAAGTCTAGTGGTCATAAATACATTTATATATATATATATATATATATATATACACACACACACACATATATAAACATATATATATATATATATATATATATATATATATTTTTTTTTTTTTTTTTTTTTTTACCCTCCACCCTTTTATTCCTGGCCTCTGGAAGCCACCATTCTACTCTCTACCTTCATGAGATCCACCTTTTAGCTCTGTATATGGGTGAGAAATGGGAATCTTTGTAATGACTTCCAGTTCCATCCATGTGGCTGCAAATATCAGGATGTTATTCTTTCTATGGATGAGTAGTCTCCACTGTGCGTATGTACTACATTCTCTCTATCCATTCATCCACTGATGGGCAGGTAGGTTGACTCCACATCTTGGCTACTGTGAACAGTGCTGCACCAATCATACGAGTGCAGATATCACTTCGATATATTGATTTACTTTCCTTTGGATATAAACCCAGTAGTGAAATTGCTGGATACTATGAAAGTTCTCTTTTTAGTTATTCGTTTGTTGTTTTGTTTTTGTTTTTGAGACAGTTTCCCTCTGTGCCCAGGCTGGAGTACAAGTGAAGTCATCTTGGCTCATTGCAACCTCCGCCTCCTGGGTTCAAATGATTTTCCTGCCTCAGCCTCCCTAGTAGCTGGGATTACAGGTGCACGCCACCATGCCTGGCTACTTTTTGTTTTTTTTAGTATAGATGGGGTTTCCCCATGTTGGCTGGGCTGCTCTCAAACTCATGACCTCAACTGAGGTGCCCGCCTCGGTCTCCCAAAGTGCCGGGATTACAGGCATGATCCACCTCACCCAACCTCTTTTTAGTTCTTTAAAGGACTTCCACACTTTTCTCCGTAAAGGCTGTACTAATTTACACTCCTACCAACAGGGTATTAGGGTTCTCCTTTCTCTACCACTTTGGCAGGATTTCCTTTGCCTGTCTTGCAGCTAAAAGCCATTTTATTTTATTTCATTTTATTTTGAGATGGAGTTTCGCTCTTGTCACCCAGGCTGGAGTGCAGTGGTGCGATCTCGGCTCACCACAACCTCCACCTCCCAGGTTCAAGCGATTCTCCTGCCTCAGCCTCCCGAGTAGCTGGAATTACAGGCACACGCCACCACGCCCAACTAAATTTTGTATTTTTAGTAGAGACAGTGTTTCTTCATGTGGGTCAGACTGGTCTCAAACTCCCGACCTTATGAGGTTCACCCACCTCAGGCTCTCAAAGGTCTAGGATGACAGACGTGAGCCACCACGCCCGGCCTAAAATCCATTTTAATGGGGTGAGATGAAAACTCACTTTGATTTTAATTTGTGTTTCTCTGATGATGAGTGAAACTGAGCACTTTTTAGTATGTGGGGAAATTTCATGTGTTTTGCTCCTTTTTCAATTAAATCGTTTGTTTTATTGAGTTGTTTGAGCTTCTTATATTTCTAGTTATTAATCCCATCTCAGATGCATAGTTTGCACATATTTGCTCCCAATCTGTGGGTTGTCTCTTCACTTTGTTGGTTTATTTTTAGCGGTGCAGAAGTTGCTTAGTTTGAGGTAATCCCAATGGTCTATTTTTGCTTCGATTACTTGTGTTTTGAAGGTTTAAAACAAAATGTCTTCCTTCAGACAAATGTCCTGGAGCATTTCCCCAATATTTTCTTCTACGTGTTTCATAGGTTCAGGCCTTAGACTCACATCTTTAATCCATTTTCATTTGAGTTTTGTGTATAGTGACAGGTAGAGGTGCAGTTTCATTCCTCTGCATGTAGATGTCCAGGTTTCCCTGCACTGTTTATTGAAAAGACTGTCCTTTCCTGATTGTGAGTTCTTGGCACCTTTGTCAAAGTCCATTGGATGGGCTGGGCATGGTGGCTGACACCTGCAATTTCAGCACTTTGGGAGCCCAAGGCGGGTGGATCACCTGAGGCCAGGAGTTCAAGATTAGTCTGGCCGACGTGATGAAACATTGTCTCCACTAAAAATATAAAAATTAGCTGAGCATGGTGGTCAGCACCTGTAATACCACTACTCAGGAGTTTGAGGCCAGAGAATTGATTGAACCCAGGAGGCTGTGGTGGCAGTGAACCGAGATTGCACCTCTGCACTCCAGCCTGGGTGACAGAGCGAGACTCCATCTCAAAAGAAAAAAGAAAAAAACATTGGAGGTAAATGCATGGATTATATCTGTGTTCTTCATTCTGCTCCATTGTTCTACGTGCCTTTCTTTATGCCAATGTGATGCTGTTTTGCTTACTACAGCTCTGTAACATATTTTGAGATCAGGTAGTGTGATGCTCCTGTTTTCTCTTTATACCTTGAAGTCTCAAGACAGTGGGCGTCACATACAAAAATTACGGAAAAAAGGATCCCAGGACTCCCAGGGCCCAATATTAGATAACAGAGTGTTGGCCATGAACCAACCTCAAAGATTTCCATTGAGTAGAGGACAGACACCCTCATTTCCTCACCTCTCTCCTGTCTCGTGTTCTAGGAAACCCTTCAAATAGTTGGCCTTCACCCACTGAACCAAGCTCCGAAACCGGTGAGTACAGAACCCTCTTATATCCGCTTTTGGAAACCTGGGGAGGTAGAAACCTTCGATGCAGGCATTGACTCAGCATCTCGCAGCTCTGACATTGTACGCCTGTCTTCTACCATCTCCGAACTCCAGATACTCCAACAGCGAAAGGGATCTGGGCCCAACCTAGGGCTCAGTGAAATCTCTTAATCTCTCATTTTATGGAGCTGAGACCTCCTACAAGCTAGAAGAATGATTGCCAATCTGACATCCTTCTCAGGAAAAATGCAATGTTTGTTCTGCCTGCATTCCTAACTGGAGGATAAATTCCTGGGGGCTTGAGAGAGGGAAGGGAAGGGAACATCTGATGAGGGCGAGGTGTTTTAGAGAAGTTCCACTTGCCAAGGAATGAATTACTGTTGGTCATGAAGCAACCCTGGCTGACTCAGCAGAGCAACAGCCTTGCCGTAACAGAGAACGGAGCTCATGCACGCACACTTCGACTCACTGACTCATTCAGCCACGGCCCCATGCTCAGGCTGTGCAGTGCGGAACCTTTTCCTATTGTTGCCATAACAAATTTCCACAAGATTCGTGGGTGAAAACAAAACGGTTTTTTAATTATCTTACAGTGCTGTAGCTCAAAGTAGGAAGTGCATCTTACTGGGCTAAAATCAAGGTGACAGCAAGGCTGCCTTCCCTCTGAGGATTCCAGGCAAGAATCTGCTTCTCACTTATCCCAGCTTCTAAAGGCTCCCAGTTCCTTGGCTCCTGTTCCCCTTCCTCCTTCCTCAAAGCCCACAAAGACTGGTCACATCTCACATGGCATCACTCAGTGCCTTCTTCCTTACCACACCTCTTTCTCTGAATGCTGCTCTCCCTTCTTCCTTATCTTTTGAAAACTTGGGGATTCTATTGGGTTCACCAAGATGAAAATCCCTCATAATCTCCTGGAAATCATCCAGGATACCCTTGTTTTAAGTTCAGCTGATTAGCAACCGCAATTCCATCTACAATCTTCATTCCTCCTTTCCATGTAAAATAACATATTCACAAGCTATGGAGGCTAGGACAGGGACATTTTGGGGTGGGACAGCATTCTCCTGCCTTCCACAAACGGTGAACAAGATGCATTTGGCTTCTGCCCTTGGGACACTGATATTGCAGATGGTTAAATGGGAGGGCAGAAAATGAATGCACAAGTGGATCTATAAATGAATGATCCATTGGGAAGCATCTGTGCATGAAATCTATTTTTTGTTTGTTCTTTTGTTTATTGAGACAGAGTCGCCCTCTGTCTTCCAGGCTACAGTGCAGTGTCACGATCTTGGCTCACTGCAACCTGCGTCTCCTGGATTCAAGTGATTCTCCTGCCTCCGCCTCTCGAGTAGCTGGGATTACAGGCAACTGCCACCGTGCCCGGCTAATTCTTTTTGTATATTTTTTGTAGAGAGGATGTTTCACCACGTTGGCCAAGCTTGTCTGAAACTCCCAACCTCAAGTGATCCGACCGTCTCAGCATGCCAAAGTAATGGGACTACAGGCGTGAGCCACTGTGCCCAGCCAGAATTCAAAATCAATAATAGATAATGCTGAGTGTATGATTTCAGGTGACAAAGAAGGTCTCACTATTCAGATATTTGTGACATTAATGAAAAACACGGATTGAACCCCTGAAAGATTGGCGGAAGGATTTTGCACACACAGCTGTCAGCCGTGAAGGCACAAAGGTGAAAACAATCTGATGTGGAAGGAAGAGGCTCTGCCTCAAATGCTGGGAATGATGTGGGGAGAATGACAAGACGACTGTAGAGAGACGGAGAGCACACTGGGTACACAGGAAACTAAGGAGCAACAAGGAGTGTGTGTTTGACACTCACAGCCATTGGATTCACCTCGGGGTAACCAGGAATCCCTACATGATTAATATGACTGACATGAAAATAAGGGAGGCTCAGTTGCATAACTGGAATCTAGGAGACCGTGGAAAAGGCAATTGCCACCCCACTGGTGAAATGTGGTGCTGATTTAGACACTAAATGAATGAAGTAGATGGATATAAGATATGTTTGTGAGGTAGAATCATTGACTGGAAACGCTTACTGGGTTTGATTTTCCTACTTGTTTAATCCTCGCTTAATTAATTTCTTTCTGAGATTTATTCATCCTACACATAAATCAATACCTGGCAAAGGAGTGACAGATATATGAGTGGTGGTGGAAATGAAGAGACTTATTATAGCATAATATACAAGTCTGTGAACAGTGGCTCACGCCTGTAACCTAGCACTGCAGGAGGCCAAGGTGGGTGGATTCCATGAAGTCAGGAGTTCCAGACCAGCCTGGCCAACGTGGTGAAACCCTATCTCTACTAAAAATACAAAAATTAGCCGAGCACGATGGTGCATCCCTGTAATCCCAGCTCCTATTCTGGAGGATGAAGCAGGAGAATGACTTCAACCCAGTAGGTGGAGGTTGCAGTGAGTGGAGATTGCATCACTGCACTCCAGCCTGGGGGACACAAGGAGACTCTATCTCAAAAAATAAAAATAAGAAATACATAAATATAATAAAACACACACGAATGACAAAGGCACCTGAATTCCAATCATCGTTTTTCTATTTCTCTATAATTACTTCTTTGATCCTTTATCTTATCCATTAGGCAATGAGCTTAAAACCTCTTCCCTATTTGGCTTTCTGTGAGAATGAGATCACATAGAAAATGTGAAAGCCCTCAGAATCCTCCAGCACAGATCGTGGAATAGAGAAAGTGCTCTGTTCATCGCAACAAAAAACTTGCCCACTCACCCAAATCCCCCACCTCACCCCTACTTCCAATCACCTGTGGAGATTCAGATAGGCTATGGGGAGGTAAACATTGATACTCCTTGGAGTGAGTCCAGATCTTGGAATCAGAGATCAGTGCCAGCACTAGCTCCTGCTCCCCTTTCCTACTAATTCACAGGAGGACAGGTGGTATTGAAGCAATAGATGGCCGAGGGGGTGGTCCTTCCCCCAGCCTCTCGGGTAGAACAGCAGCCTAACATGTGTCTCCCGAGATCACAAAGAGTAGCACGTTTCACACGGGCTTCAACACTATTTCCTGGCCATTTGACATAAGAGAATTCTACTTAGCTTTTTTTATCTTGATTTCACTTTTGTTTCCTTTTCTTGGAGAATGCAAGTTGTTTGATTCAAGAATGCTGTGGATGTAGAAATCCTAAAGCACATTCGCTGTGTATCAATCCCAGTGCAGTCTTCCCAGAGAAGACTCTAAATACCTCCTGGACTGCACCTGGGCTTATGCCAATTCCTATCACTCACCGTCACTCCAGGGAGACAGAACACACAGAGAATACATTACACAGGCAGGTTCATTACTAACAGATAAGCAGCGAGTGACAACAGAAACCTACATTTCAATGTGAGCCAGTCCCTCAAGGCTCAGAAAAGCTACTCGGGACATATGGAGTCACCCCATTTGCAGTGTAGCTGGGGGAAGCCAGAGAGCAGCCCAGCCTGGGTTTTGTACTGTGGAGCCACAGGAAGCACTCAGCTAAAGCACTGCATGACGTCCTCCTCCAGGAAGAACAGGAAGACAGCCCAGGCTGTTCTGAGACGTTCCTCCTGATCTCAGGACGTTGCTGTCTTAGTCCATTTTTGTTGCTCTAAAGGAACACTTGAGCCTGGGTAACTTCTAGAGAAAAGAGATTGGTTTGCCTCACAGTTCTGCAGGCTGTACTGGAAGCGTGGCACCAGCATCTATTTCTCGTGACGGCCTCAGGCTGCTCCCACTCTGGCAGAAGGGAAGGAGGGTCTGTCTGTGCAGAGACCACAGAGATCACACGGCAAGAGAGGGAGCAAGGGGGAGGGGGAGCGATGGAGCTTCCAAGCTCTTTTGAACAACCAGCTCTCCAGGAACTAATAGAAGGGGAACTTGCTAACCCCGTCTCCTTGGGACAGCATTGGTCTGTTCATGATGGATCCACCTCCATGACCCAAACACCTCTCAAGAGGCCCAACCTCCCACAGTGGGGGTGAAATTTCAATGTGAGGTTTGAAGGGGTCAAACATCTCAACTAAAGTAGTTGTATCCTCAACACGTTCTATGGTTACTATGAGAGCTATAACTGAGAAAGCAGGAGAAAGCTGGGTCTCCCTCCATCTGGGTGCTTGTCCTAAAGGGGTGTTGTATGTGGTTACCTGTCAATCAAGAAATGTGAGACAATTCATAAAGAGGAACTGCTATGATTAGCTTCTTATTGGTGTCTCCTCTTCTTCCAGGTAACCCCAGACACCTGCATGTTCTGATTGGGACCTCAGTGGTCATCATCCTCTTCATCCTCCTCCTCTTCTTTCTCCTTCATCGCTGGTGCTGCAACAAAAAAAGTAAGTCTCACGAAGCAGAGGCCAGAGAGCTCAGGGCCATGTGGGGAAGCAGGATGGGAGCACTCAGGTGTGTGTTCCTCACAGACAGGATGGTCCCTGGCCCAAGGCAGCAGCCACAGAGGGAGGACTTTCTAGAGAGAGCACCAGACTCCCTGTCCCTGCCTTCAGCTCACAGACCATTGCCTGATTCTGAACTGTATCCTCATGTCCCCTGCAGCCACTCACATCCAGGAGAAGGTTCCATGACAGGCAGAAAGTGGGAGACAGAATCAATGGGATGGGAACTCAGAGCTATTCATGGGATGGGTCCTTGAGCTCAGAGAGATAGAATGTCTGAGTCTGCTGTTGGCAACTGAGGGACCTCAGGCTCCTATGGTCTCCCCCTGTATGTTGGTATCTGCTTATGAAATGAGGGCCCAGAAGTGCCCTCTGAGCTGTTTTGTTGACTTCCGTCTTCTACAGATGCTGTTGTAATGGACCAAGAGCCTGCAGGGAACAGAACAGTGAACAGGGAGGTAGGTGCTCCTCGGCCCAGCCTCGTGGCTAGTGTTATTCCCAAAGAGTCCTGGAAAATGTGAGCACCCTCCCTCACTCAGCATTTCCCTCTCTCCAGGACTCTGATGAACAAGACCCTCAGGAGGTGACATATGCACAGTTGAATCACTGCGTTTTCACACAGAGAAAAATCACTCGCCCTTCTCAGAGGCCCAAGACACCCCCAACAGATATCATCGTGTACACGGAACTTCCAAATGCTGAGCCCTGATCCAAAGTTGTCTCCTGCCCATGAGCACCACAGTCAGGCCTTGAGGGGATCTTCTAGGGAGACAACAGCCCTGTCTCAAAACTGGGTTGCCAGCTCCAATGTACCAGCAGCTGGAATCTGAAGGCGTGAGTCTGCATCTTAGGGCATCGCTCTTCCTCACACCACAAATCTGAACGTGCCTCTCCCTTGCTTACAAATGTCTAAGGTCCCCACTGCCTGCTGGAGAGAAAACACACTCCTTTGCTTAGCCCACAATTCTCCATTTCACTTGACCCCTGCCCACCTCTCCAACCTAACTGGCTTACTTCCTAGTCTACTTGAGGCTGCAATCACACTGAGGAACTCACAATTCCAAACATACAAGAGGCTCCCTCTTAACACGGCACTTAGACACGTGCTGTTCCACCTTCCCTCATGCTGTTCCACCTCCCCTCAGACTAGCTTTCAGCCTTCTGTCAGCAGTAAAACTTATATATTTTTTAAAATAATTTCAATGTAGTTTTCCCTCCTTCAAATAAACATGTCTGCCCTCATGGTTTAGGTAATGGGACTCTTTTCTTGCCTAAGGCTTCCGGTGTTATCAGTACCATGTCCATATAATCCCATCTGTTCTCCACCGGGTTCTCACCTCTGGACTCTGAGCTTCTGGAAGCAGTGTGGAGCCTCATTTGTCTCTGGGACTCCAATTTCCATCCAAAGATGCAGCACATAGGAGGTTCCAAGGATCGGGAATCACATGAACAAGTGACATTGTTACTCTCTGCAGACCTGGAAAGCTGGCAGAGTCATTCCACGATGAAACATTTGTAGAGTCATAGGCCTTGTTAGTCTCATCTCCATGGGGACACATATCAACACATCATCTTTCATACTATAAATATACGGTCACTCCTCCGTATCTGTGGGGTTTACAGGTCTTTATTGAACAAAGTATAAATCAAAAATATTCAGAGAAAATATCCACAGAGTTCCAAAACTCATAACTATGTTGAATGGACACAAATGAAGCTGTGTGTAGGCTGTATCAGGAATTATAAGTAATCAAGAGATGATTTCATGTATACAGGAGGATGTGCATATGTTATTTGCAAGCGCTGTGCCATTTCATATAAGAGGCTTGAGCATCTACAGATTTTGGTATCTGAGTGGAGATCTCGAAACCAATCACCCACGAATAGTGAAGGATGACCGTATATGACTTTTATTTCTCAAATTTAAATATAAATCAAAAAATGTACAACTAGATAAAAACTAAGAAGTGTTTTTATAGTGTGAGTTAGATTTATTTTTTACTAGGTGTAACCCATTGGTTTAATATTATTTATTGAGAAGACATTCTATGCCACCTTAAACCACACGGCAGCCTTTGTCAACTCTAAAGGGACTGTGTGTACATGGATGTATTTTAGACAGTTTCTGCTAAGGGGCTGTCTGTGTCCACACACTTGATGATGCTACACTTTATGTAGCCTTATAGAACCCTTTAAATTTAGTAGCCAGAGCCCTCTAATTTGTTATTATAGGCTATTTGCTTTTTTTTTTCTTGAGGCGGAGTCTTGCTCTGTCGCCCAGGCTGGACTGCAGTGACACAATCTCAGCTCACTGCAACCTCCGCCTCCCAGGTTCAAGCGATTCTCGTGCCTCAGCCTCTTGAGTAGCTGGCGTTACAGGTGCCTGCCACCAGGCATGGCTAATTTTTGGATTTTTAGCAGAGACACGGTTTCACTATGTTGGCCAGGCTGCTCTCAATCCCCTCATCTCAGTTGATCCGCCCACCTCGGCTTCCCGACGTGCTGGGGAAACTTGATTTTCTATAGCATTATGTTACTGGATATTTCTGTAAAATTTAAAATGAGGGAGGCAGAGAGACAGAGAGAGATCAAACTCCAGAGTTGGGACTCTGGAATCTTGGGTCATGAGACAAATTTTAGATTAAACTACAAAACTCCAGAATTTACAGGTGTGGTTTTTGCTGATAAAGTACAATTCTAACATTGTAAATAATTGCATAATCCTTCCCTGGGAATTTAAATCATTTTAACTGGTTCTGCTGTAATACTAGAAATACAAGCATGAAAAATTCTAATGGTTTATTAGTCACAATGACTCTGAAAACCTTAATAATACCTATTAAATATTTTGCATATTACACATGAAGAAGAGTTTGAATCTCAGATAAAAACAATAAAAATACATGAAAAGTCTTTCACGTTAGCACAGATTTTAGGCATCTCGTGTTCAGGAGGTTGGATCTGAGACGTGTTTTGAGTTGGTCATAGTGAAGGACGCTAGGTGTAAATTCTAGTGAGAACAATTTCCAGGAAGCCGTGTTCCGCTCTTGAGCGAGCACCCACTGGGCCTCATGCAAGGTAGAATGAGCCTGCGTACGTCACCCTCCCATGATGTGGTCAACATGTAAACTGCATGGGCAGGGCGCCAAATAACATCCTGTGCGCTGCTGAGCTGAGCTGGGGCACGGCCGCCTGTCTGCACCGGCAGCACCATGTCGCTCACGGTCGTCAGCATGGCGTGTGTTGGTGAGTCCTGGAAGGGAATAGAGGAAGGGAGTGTGGGGTTGGAGATCTGGGCCCAGAGGTGGAGATATAGGCCTGGAGGTGGAGTTGTGGGCCTGGAGTGGAGATCTGGGCCTGGAGTGGATATATGGGCCTAGAGATGGAGTGATGGGCCTAGAAGTGGAGATCTGGGCCTGGAGTGCCGATAGGAACCTGGAGGGGAGATAGGAGCCTGGAGTGGAGATATGGGCCTGGAGGTGGAGTTATAGGCCTATAGTAGAGATATGGGCCTGGAGTGGAGATTTGGGCCAGGAGTGGAGATATGGGCCTAGAGGTGGATATCTGGGCCTAGAGTGGAAATATGGGCCTAGGATGGAGATATGGGCCTGGTTGTGGAGATATGGGACTGGAGAGGAGATATGGGCCTAGAGTGGAGATATGGGCTTGGGGTGGAGATCTGGGCCTGGGGTGGAGATATGGGCCTGGAGGTGGAGTTACGGGCCTTCAGTAGAGATATGGGCCTGGGGTGGAGATATGGGCTTGGGGTGGAGATCTGGGCCTGGAGTGGAGATATGGGCCTGGAGGTGGAGTTACTGGCCTTCAGTAGAGATATGGGCCTGGTGTGGAGATATGGGCCTGGATTGGAGATATGGGCCTAGGTTGGAGATCTGAGCCTGGAGTGGAGATATGGGCCTGGATTGGAGATATGGGCTTACAGTGGAGATCTTGGCCTGGATTGGCGATATGGGCCTGGATTGGCGATATGGGCCTATGATGGAAATATCGGCCTGGAGTGGAGATATGGGCCTGGAGTGGAGATACAGGCCTAGGGTGGAAATATTGGCCTGGAGTGGAGATATGGGCTTGTGGTGGGGATATGGGCTTGTGGTGGGGATCTGGGCTTGGAGGCTGGGTCTCTGCACAGCCGACAGCCCTGTTCTTGGGTGCAGGTAGGCACTGAGGGTGAGTTTAACTTCAGTCCAGGAAGGGCCTGCCTACCAAGACTCACAGCCCAGTGAGGGCAGCAAGGGAGGGCTGGTTTGCCTGCAGATGGATCGTCCATCATGATCTTTCTTTCCAGGGTTCTTCTTGCTGCAGGGGGCCTGGCCACATGAGGGTGAGTCCTTCTCCAAACCTTAGGGTGTCATCTCCCCACATAAGAGGATTTTCCTGAAACAGGAGGGAAGTCCTGTCAGGGAGCCTCTCATAAACTAGGAAGAGGGGACCCTGGGGTGCTCGGCCCACAGTTCCGACCTCGCCTCCCTGGCCTTTCATTCCCTTGGCAGAGTCAAGTTCTGTGGGGACCAGGGTTAGACTGGGGTGCTCAAAGCTGGGGTGCGTGGTGGGGAAGTGGTAGGAACAGCAGATCCTCTGAGGACAAAGGTGTTACTCACACTTCAGCGTTTCCATGACGGTAGGGGCTGCAGTGTGGCTGCTGTCACTCCACCAGAAGAGGTGGGAAACCACAGCCATGGCCCTGACATTCCAAATCCTCTGATGGGGGCTCAGTTGCTTATTTTCATTCAGGCATCTGCTGATATTCCATTCTCAAAGACATGCCCTCCACCCCATGTCTACCCTGTGTTGTTTTATGTGAGTAATCTTACAGTATTAAAATCTAGTAGGAGTCTCTTACTCAGCACTTGCTCAAAGTTCTCAGCTGACACTTTTGTTGTAGGGAGACACCTTGTGTTTGCGGGATGGGTCCTTCCTTTAGCCCTGGGCACCAAGGTGTGATAGCAGCCATAGAAACTTGGAAAGCGAGGAGAATCTTCAGAGCACAGGGAGGGAGGGGTGGCTCCACATCCTCCTCTCTAAGGCGGTGCCTCCTTCTCCCCAAGGTGGTCAGGACAAGCCCTTGCTGTCTGCCTGGCCCAGCTCTGTGGTGCCTCCAGGACATGTGATTCTTCGGTGTCATTCTTATCTTGGGTTTAACAACTTCAGTCTGTAAAAGGAAGATGGGGTGCCTGGCACTGAGCTCTACAACAGAATATTCTGGAAGAGCCTTTTCATGGGCCCTGTGACCCCAGCACACACAGGGACGTACAGATGTCGGGGTTCACACCCACACTACCCCAGTGGGTGGTCGGCACCCAGCAACACCCTGGTGATCATGGCCACAGGTCAGAGGGCTCCTGTCTTGGATTCTCCTTTCCCACCTCCTGAATCCCAGAGCTTCTGGTGGGCGTGTCCTTGAGGGTCCCATCACCCAGGCCCTGACTATATTTGGGGTAAAGGGGGATTGAATACAGGGAAATGGGTGCTGTGGTGGGAAGAATAATTGTCCCCAGTGATGACTACATTCTAATCCCTGGAGTCTGTGACTATTTATGTTATAGGGGAAGGAACTGAAGGGGAAGATGGAGCTCAGGTTGTTGATGAGTTGACCTTGAGATGGGGAGACAGCCTGGACTGTCCCGCTGGGCTCAGTGTAATCACAAGGGTCCACATGAAAGGAGGAGGAAGAGGGGAGTGGGGATTAGAGCAGCGCAATGGGAGACTCCACCAGCTTTGAAGGTGGAGGAAGGCCAGGAGCCATGAATGCAGGTGGCCTGTAGAGGTTGGAAAAGTCAAGGAAATGATTCTCCAGAGTCTCCAGAGGGAACGAAGCCCTGCAGATGCCTTGATTTTAGCCCAGGAAAAACAGGGTCCTATTTCTGTCTCCAGTAGTGAAATGGGTCAGTGTGCTCTCTCCTGCTGCCATGCTTCTGATAATTTTCTACAGCAGCAACAGGAAACCAACACTGGAACCCAGGTCAAGGACAAGGTAAGAAACAACACAAGGATAGCCGGGTGTGGTGGCAGGCGCATGTAATCCTAGCGACTTGGGAGGCTGAGGGCAGGAGAATCACTTGAACCCAGGAGACAGAGGTTGCAGTGACCCTAGACCACACCACTTCACTCCAGCTGGGGTGAAGGAGTGAGACTCTGTCTCCATAATTAATTAATTAATTAAAGGAACCAAACAAGGGGAAGGTTGGCTACACCGAGATGAGCAAGTGTGGGATGATGATGCCACCACCAGGCTCCATCCACATAGGGAGGGGTTGATACTCCTCAAACCAGCACCAGGAGCCAGCCTATGGAAGCTGGCACCATGGAGAAGGCACAGGCATGGCAAGAGTGGCTCCCAGTCCCGACCAGGAACAGGGTGTGTGGACACTGGTGCCTGCCTTATTCATCAGTTCATACCTACTGCCAAGGATTCCAATTCATCCAAAAGAGATTGAACCAGGCTGATAAGAGGCTGGATGTGCAGCCTATCCTGGTTCCTCTTTCACCCCCACATAAACAGCAGGAAAGACATTAGTGTGAAATAGATACAACACCCCAAGAGATGAGGCTAAGCCCAGTGGGAAGGGAATCAGAGGCGACTAGAGACAGAGGGACAGAGAAGAGGGAGGGAGACAGATGGAAGGACCTGCACCAGGAGTTATGGGCACAGAAAAGAACATGAAGACACAGAGAGGAAGGAGAGAGACAGACACCAGCAAGGGGAAGCCTCACTCATTCTAGGTGCCATGGATGGGATGATAAAGAGAGACACCTTCTAAACTCACAACCTCTCTTCCTAGGAGTCCACAGAAAACCTTCCCTCCTGGCCCACCCAGGTCCCCTGGTGAAATCAGAAGAGACAGTCATCCTGCAATGTTGGTCAGATGTCAGGTTTCAGCACTTCCTTCTGCACAGAGAAGGGAAGTTTAACGACACTTTGCACCTCACTGGAGAGCACCATGATGGGGTTTCCAAGGCCAACTTCTCCATCGGTCCCATGATGGAAGACCTGGCAGGGACCTACAGATGCTACGGTTCTGTTACTCACTCCCCCATCAGTTGTCAGCTCCCAGTGACCCTCTGGACATCGTCATCACAGGTGAGAGTGTCCGGACATTCTTCTCATTGTCATTGGGATGCAGAGTGAATGATCCACGACTTGGAACCCCCAGGTAGTTGTAAGGAAGATGAGCTTGGTATTCTTATGGAGAGAGACTGACTTGGTGAGGTCTGTACCAACAGAGACAGAGAAACAGGAGACACAAGTACAGACCAGGTGTCATAACAGAGGACAGACACAGGGGCCATACCGGGAGTTAGAAAAGACAGAAGGAGTTAAAGGAGACAGACAGACAGACATGTCCCAGAGAGAGGTGTCCCTCCATGCTGACTTTGCTCAGAGACCTGGCACAGGTTAGAAGTTTCATTTCTGTTTTACCTCCACAAAGTGTTCTCTACCAGGAGAACCCAAGGACACCCATATTTCTGACCTGAGTTGGGCCCTGTGGCCTCAGGCCTTGTGGCACCTACAGATGCCGTGTTTATTCTGACACCTCTGCCTTCCATGTAATGGAGAGTAACCGTCCCAGGATATCATGGCCCCAGAACACCAACTCCTGTATGCTGTGTGAACTTGTGGTCTCCAGACTGGATTCTGAGGCTCACATTCCAAATAACCCCACATATGAAAGGATCACTGAGAGGCACAGAGAGAAATCAGGGACACCAAAAAGCAAAGACATAAACACACAGAGAATGAGCCAGAGGAAGGAGATTGAGAGACTCACAGACACATAAAGAGAGAGAAAAGAGGGCAGAGGAGTGGTGAGAATGATGGAAGGGAGCAGAGAAAAGCACTAAAATTAGACTCCTGAGGGAGAGGCACAAGGACATAGAAAGATGGAGATGTGGGGATGAATTGCAGAGATTCCAAAGAGAACTAGAGAGACCGAGAGGCAGAGCAAGACAGATGATAGATGGATAGATATAGATAGATGATAAATAGGTAGATGATAGATAATAGGTTAAAGATACATAGATGATGATTGATTGATTCATTAATAGATGAGACATAGAGATGATGATGATGAAGACAGATAGATAATACATAGAGATAGAGAGGCAGACAGAAGTCATAGAGAGAGAGATGATACATAGATATAGATAACAGATGATTGATGGATAGATAGACAAGTGATAGATACATAGATGATATATAGATATAGATGACAGGTAGAGAATTTGTAGATAGGCACCGAATAGATAAATAGATAGATCGATAGATAATAGATAGAAATATGCAGAAAGTTATGAACAGGACACAAAGTGAGAAACTTAGAATTTAAAAAAGTAACATCAAGTCAACCAATCCAAGGAGAGTCAGAGAGAATAAAACAATCCAAAAAGGGAAAACATATCTAGAGGTGTGGAAGCGAGGTCAGAGACCTAGAGAGACAGAGAAGGTGGAAGGAGGAAATAGACATGAAGAGAGATGGGGTGGAGGGTGAGAGAGAGAGAGAGAGAGAGCATTAGGTCATAGAGCAGGGGAGTGAGTTCTCAGCTCAGGTGAAGGGAGCTGTGACAAGGAAGATCCTCCGTAAGGAAAATGCCTCTTCTCCTTCCAGGTCTATATGAGAAACCTTCTCTCTCAGCCCAGCCGGGCCCCACGGTTCTGGCAGGAGAGAGCGTGACCTTGTCCTGCAGCTCCCGGAGCTCCTATGACATGTACCATCTATCCAGGGAGGGGGAGGCCCATGAACGTAGGTTCTCTGCAGGGCCCAAGGTCAACGGAACATTCCAGGCTGACTTTCCTCTGGGCCCTGCCACCCACGGAGGAACCTACAGATGCTTCGGCTCTTTCCGTGACTCTCCCTACGAGTGGTCAAACTCGAGTGACCCACTGCTTGTTTCTGTCACAGGTGAGGAAAGCCCATGGCTGTCCCATGTCCTATGATCCTAGAGCCTTAGCTGAGGAGCTTCCTGCTGAGGATGGAGAGAAGGATGAACAGATGCAGAGAGAAGACGAAGCTTGGGTGTGAGGGAGGGATCAGGGCACAGGATGGCAGACAGGGCACCTCCAAACCCTCCTACATGGCCTGCATGAAGGCCTGCGGCCAGGACTCCAGGCACCCAGGCAGATGGAGAAAGCGGTCAGGAGAGACCCAGAGGAGGGAGACTGGGCTCAGTTTGGGAAGATCAGAGGTTCCCTCAGCCCCTCAACATTACCCATTTCCCAGAAGCCCATCCTGGCCTCCCACCCACACAGGGATGTCATCACCTGCAACCCCTACACCCTTTACTTTTGTTTGAGAAATATTTATTGAGGATAAATATACCTATATAGCTTACCACCTTTAACATTTTTTTTTTGAGGCGGAGTCTAGCTCTGTCCCCTATGCTGGAGTGCATTGGCACAATCTCAGCTCACTGCAACTTCCGCCTCCTGGGTTCAAGCGATTCTCTTGCCTCAGCCACCTGAGTAGCTGGTGCTACAGGCGCGCACCACCATGCCAGGCTACTTTTTGTATTTTTAGTAGAGAGGGGGTTTCACCATGTTGGTCAAGCTGGTCTCGAACTCCTGACCACGTGATCCACCCGCATCAGCCTCCCAAAGTGCTGGGATTACAGGCATGAGCCACCACGCCCAGCCACATTTACCATTTTTAAGTGTAAAGTCTAGTGGTCATAAATACATTAATATATATATATATACACATATTTTTTTTTACCCTCCACCCTTTTCTTCCTGGCCTCTGGTAGCCACCATTCTACTCTCTACCTTCATGAGATCCACCTTTTAGCTCCTGTATATGGGTAAGAAATGGGAATCTTTGTAATGACCTCCAGTTCCATCCATGTGGCTGCAAATATCAGGATGTTTTTCTTTCTATGGAAGAGTAGTCTCCACTATGCAAATGTACCACATTCTCTCTATCCATTCACCCACTGATGGGCAGGTAGGTTGACTCCTCATCTTGGCTACTGTGAAGAGTGCTGCACCAATCATACGAGTGCAGATATCACTTCGATATATTGATTTACTTTCCTTTGGATATAAACCCAGTAGTGAAATTGCTGGATACTATGAAAGTTCTCTTTTTAGTTTTTCGTTTGTTGTTTTGTTTTTGTTTTTGAGACAGTTTCCCTCTGTGCCCAGGCTGGAGTACAAGTGATGTCATCTTGGCTCATTGCAACCTCTGCCTCCTGGGTTCAAATGATTTTCCTGCCTCAGCCTCCCTAGTATCAGGGATTATAGGCGCACGCCACCATGCCTGGCTACTTTTTGTTTTTTTTAGTATAGATGCGGTTTCCCCATGTTGGCTGGGCTGCTCTCAAACTCATGACCTCAACTGAGGTGCCCGCCTCGGTCTCCCAAAGTGCCGGGATTACAGGCATGATCCACCTCACCCAACCTCTTTTTAGTTCTTTAAAGGACTTCCACACTTTTCTCCGTAATGGCTGTACTAATTTACACTCCTACCAACAGGATACCAGGATTCTCCTTTCTCTAACACCTTGCCAGCATTTCTTTTGCCTGTCTTGCAGCTAAAAGCCATTTTATTTTATTTCATTTTATTTTGAGATGGAGTTTCGCTCTTGTCACCCAGGCTGAGTGCAGTGGTGCGATCTCGGCTCACCACAACCTCCACCTCCCAGGTTCAAGCGATTCTCCTGCCTCAGCCTCCCGAGTAGCTGGAATTACAGGCACACGCCACCACGCCCGACTAATTTTTGTATTTTTAGTAGAGACAGTGTTTCTCCATGTGGGTCAGACTGGTCTCAAACTCCCGACCTTATGAGATTCACCCACCTCAGGCTCTCAAAGTTCTAGGATGACAGACGTGAGCCACCACGCCCGGCCTAAAAGCCATTTTAATGGGGTGAGATGAAAACTCACTTTGATTTTAATTTGTGTTTCTCTGATGATGAGTGATACTGAGCACTTTTTCGTATGTGGGGAAATTTCATGTCTTTTGCTCCTGTTTCAATTAAATCATTTGTTTTATTGAGTTGTTTGAGCTTCTTATATTTCTAGTTATTAATCCCATCTCAGATGCATAGTTTGCACATATTTGCTCCCAATCTGTGGGTTGTCTCTTCACTTTGTTGGTTTATTTTTAGCGGTGCAGAAGTTGCTTAGTTTGAGGTAATCCCAATGGTCTATTTTTGCTTCGATTACTTGTGTTTTGAAGGTTTAAAACAAAATGTCTTCCTTCAGACAAACGTCCTGGAGCATTTCCCCAATATTTTCTTCTACGTGTTTCATAGGTTCAGGCCTTAGACTCACATCTTTAATCCATTTTCATTTGATTTTTGTGTATAGTGACAGGCAGAGGTGCAGTTTCATTCCTCTGCATGTCGATGTCCAGGTTTCCCTGCACTGTTTATTGAAAAGACTGTCCTTTCCTGATTGTGAGTTCTTGGCACCTTTGTCAAAGTCCATTGGATGGGCTGGGCATGGTGGCTGACACCTGCAATTTCAGCACTTTGGGAGCCCGAGGTGGGTGGATCACCTGAGGCCAAGAGTTCAAGATTAGTCTGGCCAACGTGATGAAACATCGTCTCCACTAAAAATATAAAAATTAGCTGAGCATGGTGGTCAGCACCTGTAATACCACTACTCAGGAGTTTGAGGCAAGAGAAGTGATTGAACCCAGGAGGCTGTGGTGGCAGTGAACCGAGATTGCACCTCTGCACTCCAGCCTGGGTGACAGAGCAAGACTCCATCTCAAAAGAAAAACAAAAAATACATTGGAGGTAAATGCATGGATTATATCTGTGTTATTCATTCTGCTCCGTTGTTCTATGTGCCTTTCTTCATGCCAACGTCATGCTGTCTTGCTTACTACAGCTCTGTAACATATTTTGAGATCAGGTAGTGTGATGCTCCTGTTTTCTCTTTATACCTTGAAGTCTCAAGACAGTAGCCGTCACATACAAAAATTACGGAAAAAAGGATCCCAGGACTCCCAGGGCCCAATATTAGAT
Organism: Homo sapiens; assembly: GCF_000001405.40. Classification (NCBI taxonomy): domain Eukaryota; kingdom Metazoa; phylum Chordata; class Mammalia; order Primates; family Hominidae; genus Homo; species Homo sapiens. Next base: position 54,763,796 of record NC_000019.10, read on the forward strand.
AACAGAGTGTTGGCCATGAACCAACCTCAAAGATTTCCACTGAGTAGAGGACAGACACCCTCATTTCCTCACCTCTCTCCTGTCTCATGTTCTAGGAAACCCTTCAAATAGTTGGCCTTCACCCACTGAACCAAGCTCCAAAACCGGTGAGTACAGAACCCTCTTATATCCGCTTTTGGAAACCTGGGGAGGTGGAAACCTTGGATTCAGGCGTTGACTCAGCATCTCACAGCTCTGACATTGTACGCCTGTCTTCTACCATCTCCAAACTCCAGATACTCCAACAGCGAAAGGGATCTGGACCCAAAACAGGGCTCTGTGAAATCTCTTAATCTCTCATTTTATGGAGCTGAGATCTCCTACAAGCTAGAAAAATGATTGGCAATCTGACATCCTTCTCAGGAAAAATGCAATGTTTGTTCTGCCTGCATTCCTAACTGGAGGATAAATTCCTGGGGGCTTGAGAGAGGGAAGGGTAGGGAACATTTGATGAGGGCGAGGTGTTTTAGAGAAGTTCCACTTGCCCAGGAATGAATTACTGTTGGTCATGAAGCAACCCTGGCTGACTCAGCAGAGCAAGAGCTTTGCCTTAACAGAGAACGGAGCTCATGCACGCACACTTCGACTCACTGACTCATTCAGCCACGGCCCCATGCTCAGGCCGTGGAAAAGGCAATTCCCAGCACTGCAGGAGGCCAAGGCGGGTGGATCACTTGAAGTCAGGAGTTCCAGACCAGCCTGGCCAAAATGGTGAAACCCTGTCTCTATGAAAAATACAAAAATTAGCCGAGCATGGTGGTGCATCCCTGTAATCCCAGCTCCTACTCTTGAGGATGAAGCAGGAGAACGACTTCAACCCAGGAGGTGGAGGTTGCAGTGAGTGGAGATTGCATCACTGCACTCCAGCCTGGGTGACACAAGGAGACTCCGTCTCAAAAAATAAAAATAAGAAATGCATAAATATAATAAAACACACACGAATGACAAAGGCACCTGAATTCCAATCATCATTTTTGTATTTCTCTATAATTACTTCTTTGATCCTTTGTCTTATCCATTAGGCAATGAGCCTAAAACCTCTTCCGTATTTGGCTTTCTGTGAGCATGAGACCATATAGAAAATGTGAAAGCCTGCTGAATCCTCCAGCACAGATCGTGGAATAGAGAAAGTGCTCTGTTCATCACAAAAAAAACTTGCCCTCTCACTCAAATCCCCCACTTCACCCCTACTTCCAATCACCTGTGGAGATTCAGATAGACCATGGGGAGGTAAACATTAATACTCCTTGGAGTGAGTCCAGATCTTGGAATGAGAGATCAGCACCAGCACTAGCTCCTGCTCCCCTTTCCTACTAATTCACAGGAGGACAGGTGGTATTGAAGCAATAGATGGTGGAGGGGGTGGTCCTTCCCCCAGCCTCTCAGGTAGAACAGCAGCCTAACATGTGTCTCCCGAGATCACAAAGAGTAGGACGTTTCACAGGGGCTTCAACACGATTTCCTGGCTGTTGGACATAAGATAACTCTATTTCGCTTTTTTATCTTGATTTCACTTTTGTTTCCTTTCCTTGGAGAACGCAAGTTGTTTGACTCAAGAATGCTGTGGATGTAGAAATCCTAAAGCACATTCGCTGTGTGTCAATCCCAGTGCAGTCTTCCCAGAAAAGACCCTAAACACCTCCTAGACTGCACCTGGGCCTACGCCAATTCCTATCACTCACCGTCACTCCAGGGAGACAGAACACACAGAGAATACGTTACATAGGCAGGTTCATTACTAACAGATAAGCAGCGAGTGAAAACAGAAGCCTACATTTCAATGTGAGCCAGTCCCTCAAGGCTCAGAAAAGCTGCTCGGGACATATGGAGTCACCCCATTTGCAGTGTAGCTGGGGGAAGCCAGAAAGCAGCCCAGCCTGGGTTTTGTACCCTGGAGCCACAGGAAGCACTCAGCTAAAGCACTGCATGACGTCCTCCTCCAGGAAGAACAGGAAGACAGCCCAGGCTGCTCTGGGACGTTCCTCCTGATCTCAGGACGTTGCTGTCTTAGTCCATTTTTGTTGCTCTAAAGGAACACTTGAGCCTGGGCAACTTCTAAAGAAAAGAGATTGGTTTGCCTCACCGTTCTGCAGGCTGTACTGGAAGCATGGCACCAGCATCTATTTCTCGTGATGGCCTCAGGCTGCTCCCACTCTGGCAGAAGGGAAGGAGGGTCTGTCTGTGCAGAGACCACAGAGATCACACGGCAAGAGAGGGAGCAAGGGGGAGGGGGAGCGATGGAGCTTCCAAGTTCTTTTGAACAACCAGCTCTCCAGGAACTAATAGAGGGGGAACTAGCTAACCCCGTCTCCTTGGGACAGCATTGATCTGTTCATGATGGATCCACCTCCATGACCCAAACACCTCTCAAGAGGCCCAACCTCCCACAATGGGGGTGAAATTTCAATGTGAGGTTTGAAGGGGTCAAACATCTCAACTAAAGTAGTTGTGTCCTCAGCACATTCTATGGTTACTTTGAGAGCTATAACTGAGAAAGCAGGAGAAAGCTGGGTCTCCCGCCATCTGGGTGCTTGTCCTAAAGAGGTGTTTTACGTGGTTACCTGTCAATCAAGAAATGCGAGACAATTCATAAAGAGGAACTGCTATGATTAGCTTCTTATTGGTGTCTCATCTTCTTCCAGGTAACCCAAGACACCTGCACGTTCTGATTGGGACCTCAGTGGTCATCATCCTCTTCATCCTCCTCCTCTTCTTTCTCCTTCATCGCTGGTGCTCCAACAAGAAAAGTAAGTCTCACGAAGGAGAGGCCAGAGAGCTCAGGGCCATGTGGGGAAGCAGGATGGGAGCACTCAGGTGTGTGTTCCTCACAGGTAGGATGGTCCCTGGCCCAAGGCAGCAGCCACAGAGGCAGGACTTTCTAGAGAGGGCACCAGACTCCCTGTCCCTGCTTTCAGCTCACAGACCGTTGCCTGATTCTGAACTGTATCCTCATGTCCCCTGCAGCCACTCACATCCAGGAGAAGGTTCCATGACAGGCAGAAAGTGGGAGACAGAATCAATGGGATGGGAACTCAGAGCTATTCATGGGATGGGTCCTTGAGCTCAGAGAGATAGAATGTCTGAGTCTGCTGTTGGCAACTGAGGGACCTCAGGCACCTATGGCCTCCCCCTGTTTGTTGGTATCTGCTTATGAAATGAGGACCCAGAAGTGCCCTCCGAGCTCTTTTGTTGACTTCCGTCTCCTACACATGCTGCTGTAATGGACCAAGAGCCTGCAGGGAACAGAACAGCGAATAGCGAGGTAGGTGCTCCTCGGCCCAGCCTCGTGGCTAGTGTTATTCCCAAACAGTCCTGGAAAACGTGAGCACCCTCCCTCACTCAGGATTTCCCTCTCTCCAGGACTCTGATGAACAAGACCCTCAGGAGGTGACATACGTACAGTTGGATCACTGCGTTTTCACACAGAGAAAAATCACTCGCCCTTCTCAGAGGCCCAAGACACCCCCAACAGATACCAGAGTGTACACGGAACTTCCAAATGCTGAGTCCAGATCCAAAGTTGTCTCCTGCCCATGAGCACCACAGTCAGGCCTTGAGGGGATCTTCTAGGGAGACAACAGCCCTGTCTCAAAACCGGGTTGCCAGCTCCCATGTACCAGCAGCTGGAATCTGAAGGCGTGAGTCTGCATCTTAGGGCATCGCTCTTCCTCACACCACAAATCTGAATGTGCCTCTCTCTTGCTTACAAATGTCTAAGGTCCCCACTGCCTGCTGGAGAGAAAACACACTCCTTTGCTTAGCCCACAATTCTCCATTTCACTTGACCCCTGCCCACCTCTCCAACCTTACTGGCTTACTTCCTAGTCTACTTGAGGCTGCAATCACACTGAGGAACTCACAGTTCCAAACATACAAGAGGCTCCCTCTTAACACGGCACTTAGACACGTCCTGTTCCACCTTCCCTCATGCTGTTCCACCTCCCCTCAGAGTATCTTTCAGCCTTCTGTCAGCAGTAAAACTTATATATTTTTTAAAATAATTTCAATGTAGTTTTCCCTCCTTCAAATAAACATGTCTGCCCTCATGGTTTCGGTAATGGGACTCTTTTCTTGCCTAAGACTTCCATTATCATTACCATGTCCACATAACCCCATCTGTTCTCCACTGGGTTCTCACCCCCGGACTCTGAGTTTCTGGAAGCAGGGTGGAGCCTCATTTGTCTCTGGGACTCCTATTTCCATCCAAAGATGTAGCACATAGGAGGTTCCAAGGATCGTGAATCACATGAACAAGTGATATTCTTACTCTCTGCAGACCTGGAAATCTGGCAGAGTCATTCCAAGATGAAACATTTGTAGAATCATAGGCCTTGTTAGTCTCATCTACACAGGGACACATATCAACACATCATCTTTCACACTATAAATATACAGTCACTCCTCCATATCTGTGGGGTTTACAGTTCTTTATTGAACCGAGTATAAATCAAAAATATTCAGAGAAAGTATCCACAGAGTTACAAAAAGCAGAACTGTGTTGAATGGACACAAATGAAGCTGTGTGTAGGCTGCATCAGGAATTATAAGTAATCTAGAGATGATTTCATGTATACAGGAGGATGTGCATAGGTTATTTGCAAACTCTGTGCCATTTCATATAAGAGGCTTGAGCATCTACAGATTTTGGTATCTGAGTGGAGATCTCGAAACCAATCACCCACGAATAGTGAAGGATGACCGTATATGACTTTTATTTCTCAAATTTAAATATAAATCATAAAAAATGTACAACTAGATAAAAACTAAGAAGTGTTTTTATAGTGTGAGTTAGATTTATTTTTTCCTAGGTATAACCCATTGGTTTAATATTATTTATTGAGAAGACATTCTATGCCACCTTAAACCACACGGCAGCCTTTGTCAACTCTAAAGGGACTGTGTGTACACGGATGTACTTTAGACACTGTTTCTGCTAAGGGGCTCTCTGTGTCCACACTCTTGATGATGCTGCACTTTATGTAGCCTTATAGAACCCTTTAAATTTAGTAGCCAGAGCTCTCTAATTTGTTATTATAGGCTATTTGCTTTTTTTTCTTGAGGCGGAGTCTTGCTCTGTCGCCCAGGCTGGACTGCAGTGACACAATCTCAGCTCACTGCAACTTCTGCCTCCCAGGTTCAAGCGATTCTCATGCCTCAGCCTCTTGAGTAGCTGGCGTTACAGGTGCCTGCCACCAGGCACGGCTAATTTTTGGATTTTTAGCAGAGACACGGTTTCACTATATTGGCCAGGCTGCTCTCAAACTCCTTATCTCAGTTGATCCGCCCACCTCGGCTTCCCAACGTGCTGGGGAAACTTGATTTTCTATAGCATTATGTTACTGGATATTTCTGTAAAATTTAAAATGAGGGAGGGAGAGAGACAGACGGAAAACAAACTCCAGAGTTGGGACTCTGGAATCTTGGGTCATGAGACAAATTTTAGATTAAACTACAAAACTCCAGAATTTACAGGTGGGGTTTTTACTGATAAAGTACAATTCTAAGATTGTAAATAATTGCATAATCCTTCCCTGGGAATTTAAATCATTTTAACTGGTTCTGCTGTAATACTAGAAATACAAGCATGAAAAATTCTAATGGTTTATTAGTGACAATGACTCTGAAAACATTAATAATACCTATTAGATATTTTGCATATTACACAGGAAGAAGAGTTTGAATCTCAGATAAAAACAATAGAAATACATGAAAAGTCTTTCATGTTAGCACAGATTTTAGGCATCTCGTGTTCGGGAGGTTGGATCTCAGACGTGTTTTGAGTTGGTCATAGTGAAGGACACTAGGTGTCAAATTCTAGCGAGAACAATTTCCAGGAAGCCGTGTTCCGCTCTTGAGCGAGCACCCACTGGGCCTCATGCAAGGTAGAAAGAGCCTGCGTACGTCACCCTCCCATGATGTGGTCAACATGTAAACTGCATGGGCAGGGCGCCAAATAACATCCTGTGCGCTGCTGAGCTGAGCTCGGTCGCGGCTGCCTGTCTGCTCCGGCAGCACCATGTCGCTCTTGGTCGTCAGCATGGCGTGTGTTGGTGAGTCCTGGAAAGCAATAGAGGGAGGGAGTGAGGGGATGGAGATCTGGGCCCAGAGGTGGAGATATAGGCCTGGAGGTGGAGTTATGGGCCTGGAGTGGAGATCTGGGCCTGGAGTGGATATATGGGCCTAGAGATGGAGTGATGGGCCTAGAAGTGGAGATCTGGGCCCAGAGGTCGAGATATAGGCCTGGAGGTGGAGTGATGGGACTGTAGTGGAGATCTGGGCCTGGAGTGGAGATAGGAACCTGGAGGGGAGATAGGAACCTGGAGGGGAGATATGGGCCTGGAGGTGGAGATATGGGCCTGGAGTGGAGTCATGGGCCTGGAGGTGGAGTTATGGGCCTGCAGTAGAGATATGGGCCTGAAGTGGAGACATGGGCCTGGAGTGGAGATATGGGCCAGGAGTGGAGATATGGGCCTAGAGGTCGATATCTGGGCCTGGAGTGGAGATATGGGCCAGGAGTGGAGATATGGGCCTAGAGGTCGATATCTGGGCCTGGAGAGGAGATATGTGCCTAGGATGGAGATACGGGCCTGGGTGTGGAGATATGGGACTGGAGAGGATATATGGGCCTGGAGTGGAGATATGGGACTGGAGAGGAGATATGGACCTGGAGTGGAGATAAGGGCCTGGATTGGAGATATGGGCCCAGGGTGGAGATCTGAGCCTGGATTGGAGATATGGGCCTGGATTGGCGATATGGGCTTAGGGTGGAAATATCGGCCTGGAGTGGAGATATGGGCCTGGAGTGGAGATATGGGCTTGAGGTGGGGATATGGACCTGGAGGCTGGGTCTCTGCACAGCCGACAGCCCTGTTCTTGGGTGCAGGTAGGCACTGAGGGTGAGTTTACCTTCAGCCCAGGAAGGGCCTGGCTACCAAGACTCACAGCCCAGTGGGGGCAGCAAGGGTGCCCTGGTTTGCCTGCAGATGGGTCATCCATCATGATCTTTCTTTCCAGGGTTCTTCTTGCTGCAGGGGGCCTGGCCACATGAGGGTGAGTCCTTCTCCCAACCTTCGGGTGTCATCTCCCCACATAAGAGGATTTTCCTGAAATGGGAGGGAAGTCCTGTCAGGGAGTCTCTCATAAACTAGGAAGAAGGGACCCTGGGGTGCTGGGCCCACATTTCTGACCTTGCCTCCCTGGCCTTTCATTCCCTTGGCAGAGTCAAGTTCTGTGGGGACCAGGGTTAGACTACGGTGCTCAAAGCTGGGGTGTGTGGTGGGGAAGTGGTAGGAACAGCAGATCCTCTGAGGACAAAGGTGTTACTCACACACTTCAGCGTTTCCATGACGGTAGGGGCTGCAGTGTGGCTGCTGTCATTCTACCAGAAGAGGTGGGAAAACCACAGCCATGGCCCTGACATTCCAATCCTCTGATGGGGACTCAGTTGTTTATTTTCGTTCAGGCATCGGCTGATATTCCATTCTCAAAGGACATGCCCTCCACCCCATGTCTACCCTGTGTTGTTTTATGTGAGTAATCTTACAGTATTAAAATCTAGTAGGAGTCTCTTACTCAGCACTTGCTCAAAGTTCTCAGCTGACACTTTTGTTGTAGGGAGACACCTTGTGTTTGCGGGATGGGTCCTTCCTTTAGCCCTGGGCACCAAGGTGTGATAGCAGCCATAGAAACTTGGAAAGCGAGGAGAATCTTCAGAGCACAGGGAGGGAGGGGCGGCTCCACATCCTCCTCTCTAAGGCGGTGCCTCCTTCTCCCCACGGTGGTCAGGACAAGCCCTTGCTGTCTGCCTGGCCAAGCCCTGTGGTGCCTCCAGGACATGTGATTCTTCAGTGTCATTCTTATCTTGGGTTTAACAACTTCAGTCTGTAAAAGGAAGATGGGGTGCCTGTCCCTGAGCTCTACAACATAATATTCTGGAACAGCCTTTTCATGGGCCCTGTGACCCCAGCACACGCAGGGACCTATACATGTCGGGGTTCACAACCACACTACCCCAGTGGGTGGTCGGCACCCAGCAACCCCCTGGAGATCACGGTCACAGGTCAGAGGGCTCCTGTCTGGGATTCTCCTTGTCCCACCTCCTGAATCCCAGAGCTCCTGGTGGGCGTGTCCTTGCGGGTCCCATCATGCAAGTCCTGACTGTATTTGGGGTAAAGGGGGATTGAATACAGGGAAATGGGTGCTGTGGTGGGAAGAATAATTGTCCCCAGTGATGACTACATTCTAATCCCTGGAGTCTGTGACTATTTATGATATAGGGGAAGGGACTGAAGGAGAAGATGGAGCTCAGGTTGTTGATGAGTTGACCTTGAGATGGGGAGACAGCCTGGACTGTCCTGATGGGCTCAGTGTAGTCACAGGGGTCCACATGAAAGGAGGAGGAAGAGGGGAGTGGGGATTACAGCAGCATAATGGGAGTCTCCATCAGCTTTGAAGGTGGAGGAAGTCCAGGAGCCATGAATGCAGGTGGCCTATAGAGGCTGGAAAAGTCAAGGAACTGATTCTCCTGAGTCTCCAGAGGGAACGAAGCCCTGCAGGTGCCTTGATTTTACCCACGACAAACAGGGTCCGATTTCTGTCTCCAGAATTGGAAGGGGTTAGTGTGCTCTCTCCTGGTGCCATGCTTCTGATAATTTTCTACAGCAGCAACAGGAAACCAACACTGGAACCCAGGTCAAGGACAAGTTAAGAAACAACACAAGGATAGCCAGGCATGGTGGCAGGTGCATGTAATCCTAGCGACTTGGGAGGCTGAGGGCAGGAGAATCACTTGAACCCAGGAGACAGAGGTTGCAGTGAGCCTAGACCACACCACTTCACTCCAGCCTGGGCAAAGGAGTGAGACTCTGTCGCCAAAATTAATTAATTAATTAAAGAAACCAAACAAGGAGAAGGTTGGCTACACTGAGATCAGCAAGGCTCAGATGATGATGCCACCACCAGGCTCCATCCACATAGGGAGGGGTTGATACTCCTCCAACCAGCACCAGGAGCCAGCCTATGGAAGCTGGCACTGGCATGGCAAGAGTGGCTCCCAGTCCCTACCAGGAACAGGGTGTGTGGCCACTGGTGCCTGCCTTACTGATCAGTTCATACCTCCTGCCAAGGATTCCAATTCGTCCAAAAGAGATTGAACCAGGCTGCTAAGAGCCTGGATGTGCAGCCTATCCTGGTTCCTCTTCCACCCCCACATAGACAGCAGGAAAGACATTAGTTCGAAATAGATACAACAGCCCAAGAGATGAGGCTGAGCCCAGCGGCAAGGGAATCAGAGGCTACTAGAGACAGAGGGACAGAGAAGAGTGAGGGAGACAGATGGAAGGACCTGCACCAGGAGTTATGGGCACAGAAAAGAACATGAAGACACAGAGAGGAAGGAGAGAGATAAGACACCAGGAAGGGGAAGCCTGACTCAATCCAGGTGCCATGGATGGGATGATAAAGAGAGACACCTTCTAAACTCACAACCTCTCTTCCTAGGAGTCCACAGAAAACCTTCCCTCCTGGCCCACCCAGGTCGCCTGGTGAAATCAGAAGAGACAGTCATCCTGCAGTGTTGGTCAGATGTCATGTTTGAACACTTCCTTCTGCACAGAGAGGGGATGTTTAACGACACTTTGCGCCTCATTGGAGAACACCATGATGGGGTCTCCAAGGCCAACTTCTCCATCAGTCGCATGACGCAAGACCTGGCAGGGACCTACAGATGCTACGGTTCTGTTACTCACTCCCCCTATCAGGTGTCAGCTCCCAGTGACCCTCTGGACATCGTGATCATAGGTGAGAGTGTCCAGACTTTCTTCTCATTGTCATTGGGATGCAGAGTGAATGATCCAGGAATTGGAGACCCAGGTGGCTGTAAGGAAGATGAGCTTGGTATTCTTATGGAGAGAGACTGACTTGGTGAGGTCTGTGCCAACAGAGACAGAGAAACAGGAGACACAAGTAGAGACCAGGTGTCATAACAGAGAACAGACACAGGGGCCATACCGGGAGTTAGAAAAGACAGAAAGAGTTAAAGGAGACACACAGACAGACATGTCCCAGAGAGAGGTGTCCCTCCATGCTGACTTTGCTCAGAGACCTGGCACAGGTTAGAAGTTTCATTTCTGTTTTACCTCCACAAAGTGTTCTCTACCAGGAGAACCCAAGGACACCCATATTTCTGACCTGAGTTGGGCCCTGTGGCCTCAGGCCTTGTGGCACCTACAGATGCCATGTTTATTCTGACACCTCTGCCTTCCATGTAATGGAGAGTAATCGTCCCAGGATATCATGGCCCCACAACACCAACCCCTGTATGCTGTGTGAACTTGTAGTCTCCAGACTGGATTCTGAGGCTCATATTCCAAATAAGCCCACTTATGAGAGGATCAGTGAGAGGCACAGAGAGAAATCAGGGACACCAAAAAGCAAAGACATAAACACACAGAGAATGAGCCAGAGGAAGGAGATTGAGAGACTCACAGACACATAAAGAGAGAGAAAAGAGGGCAGAGGAGTGGTGAGAATGATGGAAGGGAGCAGAGAAAAGCACTAAAATTAGACTCCTGAGGGAGAGGCACAAGGACATTGAAAGATGGAGATGTGGGGATGAATTGCAGAGATTCCAAAGAGAACTAGAGAGACCGAGAGGCAGAGCAAGACAGATGATAGATGGATAGATATAGATAGATGATAAATAGGTAGATGATAGATAATAGGTTATAGATACATAGATGATGATTGATTGATTCATTAATAGATGAGACATAGAGATGATGATGATGAAGACAGATAGATAGATAATACATAGAGATACAGAGGCAGACATAGAGAAATCATAGAGAGAGAGAGATGATACATAGATATAGATAATAGATGATTGATGGATAGATAGACAATTGATGGATAAATAGATGATATATAGATATAGATGACAGGTAGAGAATTTGTAGATAGGCACCGAATAGATAAATAGATAGATCGATAGATAATAGATAGAAATATGCAGAAAGTTATGAACAGGACACAAAGTGAGAAACTCAGAATTAAAAAAAGTAACATCAAGTCAACCAATCCAAGGAGAGTCAGAGAGAATAAAACAATCCAAAAAGAGAAAACATATCTAGAGGTGGGGAAGTGAGGTCAGAGACCTAGAGAGACAGAGAAGGTGGAAGGAGGAAATAGACATGAAGAGCGATGGGGTAGAGGGTGAGAGAGAGAGAGAGAGAGCATTAGGTCATAGAACAGGGGAGTGAGTTCTCAGCTCAGGTGAAGGGAGCTGTGACAAAGAAGATCCTCCCTGAGGAAACTGCCTCTTCTCCTTCCAGGTCTATATGAGAAACCTTCTCTCTCAGCCCAGCTGGGCCCCACGGTTCTGGCAGGAGAGAATGTGACCTTGTCCTGCAGCTCCCGGAGCTCCTATGACATGTACCATCTATCCAGGGAAGGGGAGGCCCATGAACGTAGGCTCCCTGCAGGGCCCAAGGTCAACGGAACATTCCAGGCTGACTTTCCTCTGGGCCCTGCCACCCACGGAGGGACCTACAGATGCTTCGGCTCTTTCCATGACTCTCCATACGAGTGGTCAAAGTCAAGTGACCCACTGCTTGTTTCTGTCACAGGTGAGGAAAGCCCATGGCTGTCCCATGTCCTATGATCCTAGAGCCTTAGCTGAGGAGCTTCCTGCTGAGGATGGAGAGAAGCATGGACAGATGCAGAGAGAAGACGCAGCCTCGGTGTGAGGGAGGGATCAGGGCACAGGATGGCCGACAGGGCACCTCCAAACCCTCCTACATGGCCTGCATGGAGGCCCACGGCCAGGGCTCCAGGCACCCAGGCAGATGGAGAAAGCGGTCAGGAGAGACCCAGAGGAGGGAGACTGGGCTCAGTTTGGGGAGATCAGAGGTTCCCTCAGCCCCTCAACCTTACCCATTTCCCAGAAGCCCATCCTGGCCTCTCACCCACACAGAGATGTCATCACCAGCAACCCCTACACCCTTTACTTTTCTTTGAAGAAATATTTATTGAGGATAAATATACCTATATAGCTTACCACTTTTAACATTTTTTTTTGAGGTGGAGTCTAGCTCTGTCCCCTATGATGGAGTGCAGTGGCACAATCTCAGCTCACTGCAACCTCCGCCTCCTGGGTTCAAGCGATTCTCCTGCCTCAGCCACCTGAGTAGCTAGTGCTACAGGCACGCACCACCACGCCAGGCTACTTTTTGTATTTTTAGTAGAGAGGTGGTTTCACCATGTTGGTCGAGCTGGTCTCGAACTCCTGACCACGTGATCCACCCGCATCAGCCTCCCAAAGTGCTGGGATTACAGGCATGGGCCACCAGGCCCAGCCACATTTACCATTTTTAAGTGTAAAGTCTAGTGGTCATAAATACATTTTTATATATATATATATATACATTTTTTTTACCCTCCACCCTTTTCTTCCTGTCCTCCAGTAGCCACCATTCTACTCTCTACCTTCATGAGATCCACCTTTTAGCTCCTGTATATGGGTGAGAAATGGGAATCTTTTTAATGACCTCCAGTTCCATCCATGTGGCTGCAAATGACAGGATGTTATTCTTTCTATGGATGAGTAGTCTCCACTGTGCGTATGTACTACATTCTCTCTATCCATTCACCCACTGATGGGCAGGTAGGTTGACTCCTCATCTTGGCTACTGTGAACAGTGCTGCACCAATCATACGAGTGCAGATATCACTTCGATATGTTGATTTACTTTCCTTTGGATATAAACCCAGTAGTGAAATTGCTGGATACTATGAAAGTTCTCTTTTTTTTTTTTTTTTCTTTTTTGAGAAAGAGTTTCCCTCCTTAGCCCAAGCTGGAGTCAAAGTGGTGCAACCTTGGCTCATTGCAACCTCCGCCTCCTGGGTTCAAATGATTTTCCTGCCTCAGCCTCCCTAGTAGCTGGGATTACAGGTGCACACCACCATGCCTGGCTACTTTTTGGTTTTTTTAGTATAGATGCGGTTTCCCCATGTTGGCTGGGCTGCTCTCAAACTCATGACCTCAACTGAGGTGCCCGCCTCAGTCTCCCAAAGTGCCGGGATTACAGGCATGATCCACCTCACCCAACCTCTTTTTAGTTCTTTAAAGGACTTCCATACTTTTCTCCGTAATGGCTGTACTAATTTACACTCCTCCCAACAGGGTACCAGGGTTCTCCTTTCTCTACCACCTTGCCAGCATTTCTTTTGCCTGTCTTGCAGCTAAAAGCCATTTTATTTTATTTCATTTTATTTTGAGATGGAGTTTTGCTCTTCTCACCCAGGCTGGAGTGCAGTGGCGCTATCTCGGCTCACCACAACCTCCACCTCCCAGGTTCAAGCGATTCTCCTGCCTCAGCCTCCCGAGTAGCTGGAATTACAGGCACACGCCACCACGCCCTACTAATTTTTGTATTTTTAGTAGAGACAGCGTTTCTCTATGTGGGTCAGACTGGTCTCAAACTCCCAACCTTATGAGATTCACCCACCTCAGGTTCTCAAAGTTCTAGGATGACACAAGTGAGCCACCTCACCCGGCCTAAAAGCCATTTTAATGGGGTGAGATGAAAACTCACTTTGATTTTAATTTGCGTTTCTCTGATGATGAGTGATACTGAGCACTTTTTCGTATGTGGGGAAATTTCATGTCTTTTGCTCCTTTTTCAATTAAATCATTTGTTTTATTGAGTTGTTTGAGCTTCTTATATTTCTAGTTATTAATCCCATCTCAGATGCATAGTTTGCACATATTTGCTCCCAATCTGTGGGTTGTCTCTTCACTTTGTTGGTTTATTTTTAGCAGTGCTGAAGTTGCTTAGTTTGAGGTAATCCCAATGGTCTATTTTTGCTTCGATTACTTGTGTTTTGAAGGTTTAAAACAAAATGTCTTCCTTCAGACAAACGTCCTGGAGCATTTCCCCAATATTTTGTTCTACGTGTTTCATAGGTTCAGGCCTTAGACTCACATCTTTAATCCATTTTCATTTGATTTTTGTGTATGGTGACAGGTAGAGTTGCAGTTTCATTCCTCTGCATGTAGATGTCCAGGTTTCCCTGCACTGTTTATTGAAAAGACTGTCCTTTCCTGATTGTGAGTTCTTGGCATCTTTGTCAAAGTCCATTGGATGGGCTGGGCTTGGTGGCTAACACCTGCAATTTCAGCACTTTGGGAGCCCGAGGTGGGTGGATCACCTGAGGCCAGGAGTTCAAGATTAGTCTGGCCAACGTGATGAAACATCGTCTCCACTAAAAATATAAAAATTAGCTGAGCATGGTGGTCAGCACCTGTAATACCACTACTCAGGAATTTGAGGCAAGAGAATGATTGAACCCAGGAGGCTGAGGTTGCAGTGAACCGAGATTGCACCTCTGCACTCCAGCCTGAGTGACAGAGCAAGACTCCATCTCAAAAGAAAAAATAAAAAACCATTGGATGTAAATGCATGGAATATATCTGTGTTATTCATTCTGCTCCGTTGTTCTATGTGCCTTTCTTTATGCCAATGTCATGCTATTTTGCTTACTACAGCTCTGTAACATATTTTGAGATCAGGTAGTGTGATGCTCCTGTTTTCTCTTTATATCTTGAAGTCTCAAGACAGTGGGTGTCATATAAAAAAATTATGGAAAAAAGGATCCCAGGACTCCCAGGGCTCAATATTAGATAAGAGAGTGTTGGCCATGAACCATCCTCAAAGATTTCCACTGAGTGGAGGACAGACACCCTCATTTCCTCACCTCTCTCCTGTCTCATGTTCTAGGAAACCCTTCAAATAGTTGGCCTTCACCCACTGAACCAAGCTCCAAAACCGGTGAGTACAGAACCCTCTTATATCCGCTTTTGGAACCCTGGGGAGGTGGGAACCTTGGATTCAGGCGTTGACTCAGCATCTCACAGCTCTGACATTGTACACTTGTCTTCCACCATCTCCGAACTCCAGATACTCCTACAGCGAAAGGGATCTGGGCCCAACACAGGGCTCAGTGAAATCTCTTCATCTCTCATTTTATGGAGCTGAGACCTCCTACAAGCTAGAAGAATGATTGCCAATCTGACATCCTTCTCAGGAAAAATGCAATGTTTGTTCTACCTGCATTCCTAACTGGAGGATAAATTCCTGGAGACTTGAGAGAGGGAAGGGAAGGGAACATCTGATGAGGGCAAGGTGTTTTAGAGAAGTTCCACTTGCCAAGGAATGAGCTCCTGTAGGTCATGAAGCAACCCTGGCTGACTCCGCAGAGAAAGAGCCTTGCCGTAACAGAGAACAGAGCTCATGCACGCACACTTCGACTCACTGACTCATTCAGCCACGGCCCCATGCTCAGGCTGTGCAGTGTGGAACCTTTTCCTATTGTTGCCATAACAAATTTCCACAAGATTCGTGGGTGAAAACAAAACGGTTTTTTAATTATCTTACAGTGCTGTAGCTCAAAGTAGGAAGTGCATCTTACTGGGCTAAAATCAAGGTGACAGCAAGGCTGCCTTCCCTCTGAGGATTCCAGGCACGAATCTGCTTCTCACTTGTCCCAGCTTCTAAAGGCTCCCAGTTCCTTGGCTCCTGGTCCCCTTCCTCCTTCCTCAAAGCCCACAAAGACTGGTCACATCTCACATGGCATCACTCAGTGCCTTCTTCCTTACCACACCTCTTTCTCTGAGTGCTGCTCTCCCTTCTTCCTCATCTTTTGAAAACTTGGGGATTCTATTGGGTTCACCAAGATGAAAATCCCTCATAATCTCCTGGAAATCATCCAGGATACCCTTGTTTTAAGTTCAGCTGATTAGCAACCATAATTCCATCTGCAATCTTCATTCCTCCTTTCCATGTAAAATAACATATTCACAAGCTATGGAGGCTAGGACAGGGACATTTTGGGGTGGGACAGCATTCTCCTGCCTTCCACAAACAGTGAACAAGATGCATTTGGCCTCTGCCCTTGGGACACTGATATTGCAGATGGTTAAATGGGAGGGCAGAAAATGAACGCACAAGTGGATCTATAAATGAATGGTCCATTGGGAAGCATCTGTGCATGAAATCTATTTTTTGTTTGTTCTTTTGTTTATTGAGACAGAGTCGCCCTCTGTCTTCCAGGCTACAGTGCAGTGTCACGATCTTGGCTCACTGCAACCTGCGTCTCCTGGATTCAAGTGATTCTCCTGCCTCCGCCTCTCGAGTAGCTGGGATTACAGGCAACTGCCACCGTGCCCGGCTAATTCTTTTTGTATATTTTTTGTAGAGAGGATGTTTCACCACGTTGGCCAAGCTTGTCTGAAACTCCCAACCTCAAGTGATCCGACCGTCTCAGCATGCCAAAGTAATGGGACTACAGGCGTGAGCCACTGTGCCCAGCCAGAATTCAAAATCAATAATAGATAATGCTGAGTGTATGATTTCAGGTGACAAAGAAGGTCTCACTATTCAGATATTTGTGACATTAATGAAAAACACGGAATGAACCCCTGAAAGATTGGCGGAAGGATTTTGCACACACAGCTGTCAGCCATGAAGGCACAAAGGTGAAAACAATCTGATGTGGAAGGAAGAGGCTCTGACTCAAATGCTGGGAATGAGGTGGGGAGAATGACAAGACGACTGTAGAGAGACGGAGAGCACACTGGGTACACAGGAAACTAAGGAGCAACAAGGAGTGTGTGTTTGACACTCACAGCCATTGGATTCACCTCGGGGTAACCAGGAATCCCTACATGATTAATATGACTGACATGAAAATAAGGGAGGCCCAGGTGCATAACTGGAATCTAGGAGACCGTGGAAAAGGCAATTGCCGCCCCACTGGTGAAATGTGGTGCTGATTTAGACACTAAATGAATGAAGTAGATGGATATAAGATATGTTTGTGAGGTAGAATCATTGACTGGAAAGGCTTACTGGGTTTGATTTTCCTACTTGTTTAATCCTCGCTTAATTAATTTCTTTCTGAGATTTATTCATCCTACACATAAATCAATACCTGGCAAAGGAGTGACAGATATATGAGTGGTGGTGGAAATGAAGAGACTTATTATAGCATAATATACAAGTCTGTGAACAGTGGCTCACGCCTGTAACCTAGCACTGCAGGAGGCCAAGGTGGGTGGATTCCATGAAGTCAGGAGTTCCAGACCAGCCTGGCCAACGTGGTGAAACCCTATCTCTACTAAAAATACAAAAATTAGCCGAGCACGATGGTGCATCCCTGTAATCCCAGCTCCTATTCTGGAGGATGAAGCAGGAGAATGACTTCAACCCAGTAGGTGGAGGTTGCAGTGAGTGGAGATTGCATCACTGCACTCCAGCCTGGGGGACACAAGGAGACTCTATCTCAAAAAATAAAAATAAGAAATACATAAATATAATAAAACACACACGAATGACAAAGGCACCTGAATTCCAATCATCGTTTTTCTATTTCTCTATAATTACTTCTTTGATCCTTTATCTTATCCATTAGGCAATGAGCCTAAAACCTCTTCCCTATTTGGCTTTCTGTGAGCATGAGATCATATAGAAAATGTGAAAGCCCGCTGAATCCTCCAGCACAGATCCTGGAATAGAGAAAGTGCTCTGGTCATCACAAAAAAAACTTGCCCACTCACCCAAATCCCCCACCTCACCCCTACTTCCAATCACCTGTGGAGATTCAGATAGACCATGGGGAGGTAAACATTAACACTCCTTGAAGTGAGTCCAGATCTTGGAATCAGAGATCAGCGACAGCACTAGCTCCTGCTCCCCTTTCCTACTAATTCACAGGAGGACAGGTGGTTTTGAAGCAATAGATGGCCGAGGGGGTGGTCCTTCCCCCAGCCTCTCGGGTAGAACAGCAGCCTAATATGTGTCTCCCGAGATCACAAAGAGCAGCAGGTTTCACACGGGCTTCAACACTATTTCCTGGCCGTTTGACATAAGAGAATTCTATTTCGCTTTTTTTATCTTGATTTCACTTTTGTTTTCTTTCCTTGGAGAATGCAAGTTGTTTGATTCAAGAATGCTGTGGATGTAGAAACCCTAAAGCACATTCGCTGTGAATCAATCCCAGTCCAGTCTTCCCAGAGAAGACTCTAAACACCTCCTGGACTGCACCTGGGCCTATGCCAATTCCTATCACTCACCGTCACTCCAGGGAGACAGAACACACAGAGAATACGTTACATAGGCAGGTTCATTACTAACAGATAAGCAGCGAGTGACAACAGAAACCTATATTTCAATGTGACCCAGTCCCTCAAGGCTCAGAAAAGCTCCTCGGGACATATGGAGTCACCCCATTTGCAGTGTAGCTGCGGGAAGCCAGAAAGCAGCCCAGCCTGGGTTTTGTACCCTGGAGCCACAGGAAGCACTCAGCTAAAGCACTGCATGACGTCCTCCAGGAAGAACAGGAAGACAGCCCAGGGTGTTCTGAGACGTTCCTCCTGATCTCAGGAAGTTGCTGTCTTAGGCCATTTTTGTTGCTCTAAAGGAACACTTGAGCCTCGGTAACTTCTAAAGAAAAGAGATTGGTTTGCCTCACCGTTCTGCAGGCTGTACTGGAAGCATGGCACCAGCATCTATTTCTCGTGACGGCCTCAGGCTGCTCCCACTCTGGCAGAAGGGAAGGAGGGTCTGTCTGTGCAGAGACCACAGAGATCACACGGCAAGAGAGGGAGCAAGGGGGAGGGGGAGTGATGGAGCTTCCAAGCTCTTTTTAACAACCAGCTCTCCGGGAACTAATAGAGGGGGAACTTGCTAACCCCGTCTCCTTGGGACAGCATTGATGTGTTCATGATGGATCCACCTCCATGACCCAAACACCTCTCAAGAGGCCCAACCTCCCACAGTGGGGGTGAAATTTCAATGTGAGGTTTGAAGGGGTCAAACATCTCAACTAAAGTAGTCGTATCCTCAGCACGTTCTATGGTTACTATGAGAGCTATAACAGAAAAAGCAGGAGAAAGCTGGGTCTCCTGCCATCTGGGTGCTTGTCCTAAAGAGGTGTTTTATGTGGTTACCTGTCAATCAAGAAATGCGAGACAATTCATAAAGAGGAACTGCTAAGATTAGCTTCTTATTGGTGTCTCATCTTCTTCCAGGTAACCCCCGACACCTGCACATTCTGATTGGGACCTCAGTGGTCATCATCCTCTTCATCCTCCTCTTCTTTCTCCTTCATCGCTGGTGCTCCAACAAAAAAAGTAAGTCTCACGAAGCAGAGGCCAGAGAGCTCAGGGCCATGTGGGGAAGCAGGATGGGAGCACTCAGGTGTGTGTTCCTCACAAACAGGATGGTCCCTGGCCCAAGGCAGCAGCCACAGAGGCAGGACTTTCTAGAGAGGGCACCAGACTCCCTGTCCCTGCCTTCAACTCACAGACCGTTGCCTGATTCTGAACTGTATCCCCATGTCCCCTGCAGCCACTCACATCCAGGAGAAGGTTCCATGACAGGCAGAAAGTGGGAGACAGAATCAATGGGATGGGAACTCAGAGCTATTCATGGGATGGGTCCTTGAGCTCAGAGAGATAGAATGTCTGAGTCTGCTGTTGGCAACTGAGGGACCTCAGCCACCTATGGTCTCCCCCTGTATGTTGGTATCTGCTTATGAAATGAGGACCCAGAAGTGCCCTCCGAGCTGTTTTGTTGACTTCCATCTTCTACAGATGCTGCGGTAATGGACCAAGAGTCTGCAGGAAACAGAACAGCGAATAGCGAGGTAGGTACTCCTCGGCCCGGGCTCGTGGCTACTGTTATTCCCAAAGAGTCCTGGAAAATGTGAGCACCCTCCCTCACTCAGCATTTCCCTCTCTCCAGGACTCTGATGAACAAGACCCTCAGGAGGTGACATACACACAGTTGAATCACTGCGTTTTCACACAGAGAAAAATCACTCGCCCTTCTCAGAGGCCCAAGACACCCCCAACAGATATCATCGTGTACACGGAACTTCCAAATGCTGAGTCCAGATCCAAAGTTGTCTCCTGCCCATGAGCACCACAGTCAGGCCTTGAGGGCGTCTTCTAGGGAGACAACAGCCCTGTCTCAAAACCGGGTTGCCAGCTCCCATGTACCAGCAGCTGGAATCTGAAGGCGTGAGTCTGCATCTTAGGGCATCGATCTTCCTCACACCACAAATCTGAATGTGCCTCTCTCTTGCTTACAAATGTCTAAGGTCCCCACTGCCTGCTGGAGAAAAAACACACTCCTTTGCTTAACCCACAGTTCTCCATTTCACTTGACCCCTGCCCACCTCTCCAACCTAACTGGCTTACTTCCTAGTCTACTTGAGGCTGCAATCACACTGAGGAACTCACAATTCCAAACATACAAGAGGCTCCCTCTTAACGCAGCACTTAGACACGTGTTGTTCCACCTTCCCTCATGCTGTTCCACCTCCCCTCAGACTAGCTTTCAGTCTTCTGTCAGCAGTAAAACTTATATATTTTTTAAAATAACTTCAATGTAGTTTTCCATCCTTCAAATAAACATGTCTGCCCCCATGGTTTCGGTAATGGGACTCTTTTCTTGCCTAAGGCTTCCGGTGTTATCAGTACCATGTCCATATAATCCCATCTGTTCCCCACTGAGTTCTCATCCCCGGACTCTGAGTTTCTGGAAGCAGGGTGGAGCCTCATTTGTCTCTGGGACTCCAATTTCCATCCAAAGATGTAGCACATAGGAGGTTCCAAGGATCACGAATCATATGAACAAGTGATACTCTTACTCTCTGCAGACCTGGAAAGCTGGCAGAGTCATTCCACAATGAAACATTTGTAGAATCATAGGCCTTGTTAGTCTCATCTCCATGGGGACACATATCAACACATCATCTTTCATAATATAAATATACGGTCACTCCTCCATATCTGCGGGGTTTACAGGTGTTTATTGAACCAAGTATAAATCAAAAATATTGAGAGAAAGTATCCACAGAGTTTCAAAAAGCATAACTATGTTGAATGGACACAAATGAAGCTGTGTGTAGGCTGTATCAGGAATTATAAGTAATCTAGAGATGATTTCATGTATACAGGAGGATGTGCATAGGTTATTTGCAAACGCTGTGCCATTTCATATAAGAGGCTTGAGCATCTACAGATTTTGGTATCTGAGTGGAGATCTCAAAACCAATCACCCACGAATAGTGAAGGATGACCGTATATGACTTTTATTTCTCAAATTTAAATATAAATCATAAAAAATGTACAACTAGATAAAAACTAAGAAGTGTTTTTATAGTGTGAGTTAGATTTATTTTTTCCTAGGTGTAACCAATTGGTTTAATATTATTTATTGAGAAGACATTCTATGCCACCTTAAACCACACGGCAGCCTTTGTCAACTCTAAAGGGACTGTGTGTACATGGATGTATTTTAGACACTGTTTCTGCTAAGGGGCTCTCTGTGTCCACACTCTTGATGATGCTGCACTTTATGTAGCCTTATAGAACCCTTTAAATTTAGTAGCCAGAGCCCTCTAATTTGTTATTATAGGCTGTTTGCTTTTTTTTTCTTGAGGCGGAGTCTTGCTCTGTCGCCCAGGCTGGACTGCAGTGGCACAATCTCAGCTCACTGCAACCTCCGCCTCCCAGGTTCAAGCGATTCTCGTGCCTCAGCCTCTTGAGTAGCTGGCGTTACAGGTGCCTGCCACCAGGCACGGCTAATTTTTGGATTTTTAACAGAGACACGGTTTCACTATATTGGCCAGGCTGCTCTCAAACTCCTTATCTCAGTTGATCCGCCCACCTCGGCTTCCCAACGTGCTGGGGAAAACTTGATTTTCTATAGCATTATGTTACTGGATATTTCTGTAAAATTTAAAACGAGGGAGGGAGAGAGACAGACAGAGAGCAAACTCCAGAGTTGGGACTCTGGAATCTTGGGTCATGAGACAAATTTTAGATTAAACTACAAAACTCCAGAATTTACAGGTGTGGTTTTTGCTGATAAAGTACAATTCTAAGATTGTAAATAATTGCATAATCCTTCCCTGGGAATTTAAATCATTTTAGCTGGTTCTGCTGTAATACTAGAAATACAAGCATGAAAAATTCTAATGGTTTATTAGTCACAATGACTCCGAAAACATTAATAATACCTATTAGATACTTTGCATATTACACAGGAAGAAGAGTTTGAATCTCAGATAAAAACAAAAAAAATACATGAAAAGTCTTTCATGTTAGCACAGATTTTAGGCATCTCGTGTTCGGATAAAAATACATGAAAAGTCTTTCACGTTAGCACAGATTTTAGGCATCTTGTGTTCGGGAGGTTGGATCTGAGACGTGTTGTGAGTTGGTCATAGTGAAGGACGTGAGGTGCCAATTCTAGTGAGAACAATTTCCAGGAAGCCGTGTTCCGCTCTTGAGCAAGCATCCACTGGGCCTCATGCAAGGTAGAAAGAGCCTGCGTACGTCACCCTCCCATGATGTAGTCAACATGTAAGCTGCATGGGCAGGGCGCCAAATAACATCCTGTGCGCTGCTGAGCTGAGCTGGGGCGCGGCCGCCTGTCTGCACCGGCAGCACCATGTCGCTCATGGTCGTCAGCATGGCGTGTGTTGGTGAGTCCTGGAAAGGAATAGAGGGAGGGAGTGCCACATCCTCCTCTCTAAGGTGGCGCCTCCTTCTCCCCCAGGTGGTCAGGACAAGCCCTTCCTCTCTGCCTGGCCCAGCCCTGTGGTGTCTGAAGGAGAACATGTGGCTCTTCAGTGTCGCTCTCGTCTTGGGTTTAACGAATTCAGTCTGTCCAAAGAAGACGGGATGCCTGTCCCTGAGCTCTACAACAGAGTATTCCGAAACACCGTTTTCATAGGCCCTGTGACCCCAGCACATGCAGGGACCTACAGATGTCGGGGTTCACACCCACACTTCCTCACTGGGTGGTCAGCACCCAGCAACCCCCTGGTGATCATGGTCACAGGTCAGAGGGCTCCTGTCTGGGATTCTCCTTGTCCCACCTCCTGAGTCCCAGAGCTTCTGGTGGGAGTGTCCACCAGCGTCCCATCATCCAGACCCTAACTGTATTTGGGGTAAAAGGGGATTGAATACAGGGAAATGGGTGCTGTGGTGGAAAGAATAATTGTCCCCAATGATGACTGCATTCTAATCCCTGCAGTCTGTGACTATTTATGTTATAGGGGAAGGCACTGAAGGGGAAGATGGAGCTCAGGTTGTTGAGTTGACCTTGAGATGGGGAGACAGCCTGGACTGTCCTGCTGGGCTCAGTGTAATCACAAGGGTGCACATGAGAGGAGAAGGAAGAGGGGAGTGGCGATTAGAGCAGTGCAATGGAAGTCTCCATCAGCTTTGAAGGTGGAGGAAGGCCATGAGCCATGAATGCAGGTGGCCTATAGAGGCTGGAAAAGTCAAGGAACTGATTCTCCTGGGTCTCCAGAGGGAACGCAGCCCTGCAGATGCCTTGATTTTAGCCCTCAAAAAACAGGGTCCGATTTCTGTCTCCAGAAACGGAAGGGGTCAGTGTGCTCTCTCCTGCTGCCATGCTTCTGATAATTTTCCACAGCACCAACAGGAAACCAACACTGGAACCCAGGTCAAGGACAAGATAAGAAAGGACACAAGGATAGCCGGGCGTGGTGGCAGGTGCATGTAATCCTAGCAACTCAGGAGGCTGAGGGCAGGAGAATCACTTGAACCCAGGAGACAGAGGTTGCAGTGAGCCTAGACCACACCACTTCACTCCAGCCTGGGTGAAGGAGTGAGACTCTGACTCCAAAATTAATTAATTAATTAAAGAAACCAAACAAAGAGAAGGTTGGCTACACCGAGATCAGCAAGGGTGGGATGATGATGCCACCACCAGGCTCCATCCACATAGGGAGGGGTTGATACTCCTCAAACCAGCACCAGAAGCCAGCCTATGGAAGCTGGCACCATGGAGAAGGCACAGGCATGGCAAGAGTGGCTCCCAGTCCCCACCAGGAACAGGGTGTGTGGACACTGGTGCCTGCCTTACTGATCAGTTCATACCTTCTGCCAAGGATTCCAATTCGTCCAAAAGAGATTGAACCAGTCTGCTAAGAGCCTGGACGTGCAGCCTATCCTGGTTCCTCTTCCACCCCCACATAGAAGCAGGAAAGACATTAGTTCGAAATAGATACAACAGCCCAAGAGATGAGGCTGAGCCCAGCGGCAAGGGAATCAGGAGCTACTAGAGACAGAGGGACAGAGAAGAGGGAGGGAGACAGATGGAAGGACCTGTACCAGGAGTTATGGGCACAGAAAAGAACATGAAGACACAGAGAGGAAGGAGAGAGATAAGACACCAGCGAGGGGAAGCCTCACTCATTCTAGGTGCCATGGATGGGATGATAAAGAGAGATGCCTTCTAAAGTCACAACCTCTCTTCCTAGGAGTCCACAGAAAACCTTCCCTCCTGGCCCACCCAGGTCCCCTGGTGAAATCAGAAGAGACAGTCATCCTGCAATGTTGGTCAGATGTCATGTTTGAGCACTTCCTTCTGCACAGAGAGGGGAAGTTTAATGACACTTTGCGCCTCACTGGAGAGCTCCATGATGGGGTCTCCAAGGCCAACTTCTCCATCGGTCGCATGACGCAAGACCTTGCAGGGACCTACAGATGCTACGGTTCTGTTCCTCATTCCCCCTATCAGTTGTCAGCTCCCAGTGACCCTCTGGACATCGTGATTACAGGTGAGAGTGTCTGGACATTATTCTCATTGTCACTGGGACACAGAGTGAATGATCCACGACTTGGAGGCCCAGGTGGTTATAAGGAAGATGAGCTTGGTATTCTTATGGAGAGAGACTAACTTGGTGAGGTCTGTACCAACAGAGACAGAGAAACAGGAGACACAAGTACAGACCAGGTGTCATAACAGAGGACAGACACAGGGGCCATACAGGGAGTTAGAAAAGACAGAAAGAGTTAAAGGAGACACAGACAGACATGTGCCAGAGAGAGGTGTCCTTCCATGCTGACTTTGCTCAGAGACCTGGCACAGGTTAGAAGTTTCATTTCTGTTTTACTTCCACAAAGTGTTCTCTACCAGAAGAACCCAAGGACACCCATATTTCTGGCCTGAGTTGGGCCCTGTGGCCTCAGGCCTTCTGGCACCTACAGATGCCGTGTTTATTCTGACACCTCTGCCTTCCATGCAATGGAGAGTAATCGTCCCAGGATATCATGGCCCCAGAACATCAACCCCTGTATACTGTGTGAACTTGCGGTCCCCAGACTGGATTCTGAGGCTCACATTCCAAATAACCCCACATATGAGAGGATCACTGAGAGACACAGAGAGAAATCAGGGACACCAAAAAGCAAAGACATAAACACACAGAGAATGAGCCAGAGGAAGGAGATTGAGAGACTCACAGACACATAAAGAGGGAGAAAAGAGGGCAGAGAAGTGGAGAGAACAATGGAAGGGAACAGAGAAAAGCACTAAAATTAGAGTCCTGAGGGAGAGACACAAGGACATAGAAAGATGGAGATGTGGGGATGAATTGCAGAGATTCCAAAGAGAACTAGAGAGACCGAGAGGCAGAGCAAGACAGATGATAGATGGATAGATATAGATAGATGATAAATAGGTAGATGATAGATAATAGGTTATAGATACATAGATGATGATTGATTCATTCATTGATTAATCGATGATACATAGAGATGATGAAGATGAAGATAGATAGATAATACATAGAGATAGAGAGGCAGACAAAGAGAAATCATAGAGAGAGAGAGACGATACATAGATATAGATAATAGATGATTTTTGGATAGACAATTGATAGATAAATAGATTATATATAGATATAGATGACAGGTAGAGAATTTGTAGATAGGCACCAAATAGATAAATAGATATATCGATAGATAATAGATAGAAATATGCAGAAAGTTATGAACAGGACACAAAGTGAGAAACTCAGAATTTAAAAAAAGTAACATCAAGTCAACTAGTCCAAGGAGAGTCAGAGAGAATAAAACAATCCAAAAAGGGAAAACATATCTAGAGGTGAGAAAGTGAGGTCAGAGACCTAGAGAGACAGAGAAGGTGGAAAGAGGAAATAGACATAAAGAGAGATGGTGTGGAGGGTGAGACAGAGAGAGAGAGCATTAGGCCATAGAGCAGGGGAGTGAGTTCTCAGCTCAGGTGGGAGGGGAGTTGTGACAAGGAAGAACCTCCCTGAGGAAACTGCCTCTTCTCCTTCCAGGTCTATGTGGGAAACCTTCTCTCTCAGCCCAGCCGCGCCCCATGGTTAAGGCAGGAGAGAGCGTGACCTTGTCCTGCAGCTCCCGGAGCTCCTATGACATCTACCATCTATCAAGGGAGGGGGAGGCTCATGAACTTAGGTTCCCTGCAGTGCCCAAGGTCAATGGAACCTTCCAGGCCAACTTTCCTCTGGGCCCTGCCACCCACGGAGGGACCTACAGATGCTTCGGCTCTTTCCGTGACTCTCCCTACGAGTGGTCAGACCTTAGTGACCCACTGCTTGTTTCTGTCACAGGTGAGGAAACCAGTCTGTTCCCCAAATAGTGGGACTCAGATGGACTACAATGGCCACATTCAGGGGAGCCTCAGATGGAGGGGGTGGCCATGGGGGTGTCAGCCAGAGATGCTGGACAGAAGAGACACAAAGCAAACATACAGAAAGAGGCATAGACAGACAGACAGAGCGAGGCAGACAGATCACATTAGGGTTTGGGGTGGTAACTGCAACCCTACCTGAAGCTTGCAGATAGAGCACAGGCCACATAAACCACTTCCCAGTCTTTGTACAGAAGCCCACCTGGGACACATGTAAACAGCATCAATGCTGACTCAGGAGCATGAAAGGCCGGGCTCAGATTGGAAAGACTAGAGGTAGCATTGGCCGCCCGCCATTGCCCATTTCCAGAAGCCCCCACCTCTCACCAAAGAGTGATTTCCACATGGGGGGCACAGATGCAACCATCGTTGGGGGAGCCCCAATGTCTCTTGATGGGAGGCATTTTCCACCCTAGATGTTTTTTGCTCTCTCCACACCTTGGAGACTCAGTGGGGGAGTCTTCTCTGGGGACTCGGGGAGGGCCTCCCTGGGACTCGCAGGATTTCCAAGCTAGATGACAACATGACAGGTGGAAACAGGCCCATTCCTTCGCCAGGGGCCCCAAGCTCCATCCCAGGAGATGAGAAGAGGCTCTTCTCATTGGTCAGTGGATCCCTGAGGGGACAGAGGCTCAGCACTGAAGGCTGAGAAGGATCTGCCACTTCGCTCAGTGGCCTCAAGCCAGACATCTTCCCTACAGACTTGCAGTGATTCTCCATCAGCATTTAGGGCTGTGGCCACCAACCTGGGTGTTGGTCTGTAGGAACTTTTCATTTCTGACCTTCCATAACTGAGTTCTCTTCCTAAATGTGGAATGCCTTGTACTCCATGTTACTCTCTCCCCAGAAAGAATGTGTGGCTTGTCTGCTCTCCAGCCCTGTCATGGAGATTGATAATCCTTAGGGAGCAAGAGGAGAGGGAAAGAACAAAGTATGAGACCACCTAGGTGCTACTGGTTGAGGTTCCATTTGCCAGTGAAGGGACTTCACTCAGCCGAGGGGGCAACTCAGGGAAGTCAGCCGAGGGAGGGCATTAGAGTAGAGAGAACTGAGCTCACCCAGTAAATGACCCCTTCACTAACTCATTCATCTAATATTTATTTCACACCTACCATCAGTTCTCTCTGTTTCACGGCCAGGAGTAGACAGCACGGCCAAGCTCCTGGGTTCATGATGCTCACATTGCTGTGGGGTGGGAGAGAGAGGCAGAACATGAATGAATGAATGAGAGAATGAATGAATGAGTGAATGATGGAATGAGTGAATGAATGAATGAATGAATGTATGAATTAGTGAGTGAATCCTTAGCACTTGGTGAAAGTGCCATGCACAGAATGAAATGAATGAACGTGGAACGTTGTCATTTGGAGTGTACAGGAGGGAACGTCTCACTGAGACCTCATCAGAGAGATCACATTTAAACTCCGATCTTAGAGACAAGAGGGAGTGAGCCCTGGGGAGTGTGTTGAAAGGAACTTTCATGGACTTAGGACATTGGGGATGACCCTAATGTGAGAATGAGCTTGGTGTGTTCCAAGAAGTCCATGGACCTGCCATATGGTGAGGGCTGGTCAGAATCCAGAGAGATTTCTAAATGCCCTTGTGCTTGTAAGGAAAGTGAGTCCTGTGGTTGGGAGTGGACTTATACCTTGGGTCAGGTCCAGCAATTATCTTTCTAAATCCTCTCTAATTGCCTGAACCACTTCTATCAACAACTGAGAAAAGAGGAGTGTTAAACACCCCACTGTGGCCGTGGATTTGCCTACCTGTCCATTTATTTCCGCGACTCTTCCTCCATGTATATTTGCAGGAATATTACTGGGAGTGGTTAAGTGTAAACTGATTATATATTCCTGGTAAATTTAAAATGCTATAAATTTACCTGCTTTTTTCCTACATTTTATGCTTAATGTTTTCCGCTGATTTTTCCCAAAGACTAATTTTGTCTAATTTTAATATAGTTATACCACATTTCTAACAGTGATTGCTTGGTATATTTCTACATTGTTTAATTTCAAACTCCATGAATTGTTAACATTGAGATGTGTCCTTTGTAAATTTCAAACAATTCGCCTTAGAAAGTAAGACTTTCTGACAATCTTTTGTTCATGTTTGAGCAGTTCTTCCAATCATATTTTTGTTATTATTACGTTGTGTTTTCCTGATTCCCTTTTTTTCCCACTGACTTCTGTGGTTTTCTATTTCAAACATTCTATTTTTGATCTATGTCGTTTAGGAATACATATATGGTGTACTCATCCTGAAGTTGTTACATATTTTTAAAATTGAAATTAATCATTTCAGAGATTAAACTGCAAATATAAAAACATATTTCCACTCTTCCTGTGTAAGAACAGGATTTTAGAGCATATTTAGTACATATGTTTGTATTTACTTATATGATGTTTTGTTTTGTGGTATACATAATTCTATCTTTTTCAGAAATTACACAGGGGCGTGTTTTCATACACTATCGTATGGTCCATATTCATTTTTGGCATAGCCATATTTTTAGTTCTTCCTCTGCTCTTAGTTATTGTCAGAATCTTCGACACCCCATCTGGTTTCACTTTCTTTATCTTTGAGGCACGGTCATCAGAATTTCCTTTAGGGTCAGTGAGAAAAGCTTTCTTTGCCCTTTTGTCTTTCAGTTCTGTTTCTTTCCTGCGTTGATCTTGGACAGTAACTGTACTATGTAAGGAATTGTCGGTGGCTGGCGACGGTATCTTAGCTGGGTAAAGATGCTATTCTACTGGCTTATGTTTTCCTTTTTTCTGTGGGGAAGACAATGCTTGGCTCCCTATAAATCCTTACCAGCTGATCCTTTTCCTCTGGCTAATTTTAAGGGTTGGTTGTGCTTTTATGCTGCTTTTCTGTAATGTTGAACGTGAGGTGTGTTTACTTCATTCTGCCTGGCATTCACTGGATTTCTTGAACCTGTGGATTGATGGATGTGTCTACTTCCTCCAAATAATCAACAATTGCCTCTTTAAAGATTGCTTCTGACCTGTTTTCTCGTTCTTTCTTTTTGGAACTCAAGTTAGGAGCATTCTAAAACTGTTGTCAATTTTTACCCTGTCACAAAACTGCTCTTTCTTGTTTCAGTTATTTGCTTTTTCTGTGCATTAATATTGATGGTTTCCTCTGTCATAGAGGATAAATACTCTCTTCACTGTTGTGTACACAACATTTTAACTAGTTATTCTGGTTTAAATTTAATATTGACTTTATCTACATATCACAATTGATTACTGTGTACAGACTTTCTTTTCTATTAGTATAAATTTATGAGGTACACTTGTAATTTTGTGACATGAGTATGTTGCAGAGTAGTGAAGTCAGGACTTTTACTATATCCATCACCCAAATACCGTACATTGTACTCATTAAGCAAATTCTCATCACTCACCCACGTCCCGCCACCCTCCAGCCTTCTAGCCTCCGCTGTCCGTCATTCCACACTCTACGTCCATATGTACACATTACTCCCCTCCCATGTAGAGTGAGAAGATGTGGTATTTGTCTTTCTGAGTGGTTTTATGTAAAATAATGGCGTCCAGCTCCATCTATGTTGCTGCAAAAGACATGGTTTTATTTTTATGACCAAATAGTATTTCGTTGTGTATACACGCATCCTTTTTTTAATCCAATCATTCATTCACAGACACTTAGATTGATTTCATATCTTTGCTATTGCAAACAGTGCTGCAATAAACATACAGGTGCAGGTATTTTTTGAGTAGATACCCAGCAGCGGGACCCCTAGATCGAATGGTGCTTCTATTTTTGGTTCTCTGCCAAATTTCCATACTGTCTTCCATAGAGGCTATACTAATTTACATACCGGCCAACAGTGTATAAGAGTTTCCTTTTCTCTGCATCCTTGCCAACACCTGTTATATGTTTCACTTTTTCTTTTTTTCTTTTTGAGATGGAGTCTTCCACTGTCACCCAGGCTGGAGTGCAGTGCCGCCATCTCCACGCGCTGCAACCTCCACCAACCAGGTTCAAATGATTCTCCTGCCTCAGCCTCCTGAGTAGCTGGGATTACAGAACCACACCACCATGCCCAGCTAATCTTTTGTATATTTAGTAGAGATGGGGTTTCACTATGTTGGTCAGGCTGGTCTCAAACTCCTGACCTCATGATCCACCCGCCTCAGCTTCCCAAAGTGCTGGGATTACAAGCGTGAGCCACCACTCCCCACCAGCATTTTTAGTAATAGCCATTCTGACTACTGTAAGATGATATCTCATTGTGGTTTCAATTTGCATTTCTCTGATGATTAGTGATGTTCATACGCTGTTTGGCCATTCGTATGTCTTCTTTTGAAAAATGTCTATGTATATCCCTTTGCCCACTTTTTAATGCTATTATTTGAGGGGTTATGTTTAGTTGTTTGAGTTGCCTAGAAATTCTGGATGTTAGTCCTCTGTTGGGTGCATAGTTTGCAAACATTTCCATTCATTCTGTGGGTTGTCTGTTCACCCTGCTACTATTTCCTTTGCTTGGCAGAAGCTCTTTCGTTTATTAAGTCCCATTGGTCTAGTTTTATTTTTATTGCCTGTGCTTTTGAGGTCTTAGTGATGAATTCTTTGCCCAGACCAATGCCCAGAAGAGTTTCTCTTTGGGTTTCCACCGGTGATTTTATAGTTCTGGATTTACATTTAAGCTGCTAATTACCTTAAGTTAATTTATGTGTATGATTACAGATACAGGTCCAGTTTTATTCTTCTGCATATGGCTATTTAGTTTTCCCAGCACCTTTTATTGAAAAGGAAATCTTTCTCCAGTGTATGTTTTGTTAACGTCGTCAATGATTATTCACTGTAGATATGAGGCTGTATTTCTGGGCTCTCTATTCTGGTCTATTGATCTCTGTTTCTGTGTCTATACCAGCACTGTGCTATTTAAGTTACTATAGCCTTAGAGCATAGTTTGAAGTCAGATAGCGTGATGCCTCCAGGTTTCTACATTCACCTAGAATTGCTTTCTCTATTAGGATCTTTTTTGGTTCTGTATGAATTTTAGGATTGCTTTTTCTAATTCTGTGAAAACTGGTGTTACTATTTTCATATAAGAATTGCACTGAATCTGTAGATTGCTTTAGGCAGTATGGTCATTTTAACAATATTAATTCTTATGATCCATGAGCGTGGGATTTTTTTTCTTTTTTTTTTTTTGTATTATCTATAATTGCTTTCATTGGTGTCTTACACCTTTCCTGGTACAGATCTTTCACCACCTTGGTTAAATGTATTCCTGAGTGTTTTAATTTTGCGTATCTATTGTAAACGGCATTGCCTTCTTGATTTGGTTCTCAGCTAGATCATTATAGGTGTAGAGAAATGCTACCGGCTTTTACATATTGATTTTGTATTCTGAAACTTTACTTAGTTCATTTATCAATCATAAGAATTTTTGGCAGGGTCTTTAGGATTTTCTAGATTTAAGATCATAGCATCAGAAATAAAAATAATTTTACTTCCTCTTTTCTAATTTGGATTTTTAATTCTTCCTGTTGCCCAATAGCTCTGACAAGGCTTCCAGTACTATGTTGATAGGAAGTGGTGGATGTCCGTGTCCTTGTCTTGTGCCAGTTCTCAGAGGAGTGCTTTTAACTTTTCCTGTTCAGTATGATGTTGACTCTAGATATGTCATCTATGGCTTTTATTATTTTGAGGTATGTTCTTTCTATGCCTAAGTTTTTGAGGGTTTTCATCAGGTAAGGATGTTGAATTTCTTTTCAGATGCTTTTCTTTATGTCTATTGAGATGATCATATGGTTTTTGTTCTGGATTCTGCTCGTTCTTCTAAGTGGATGAGACATGCCAGAAAAGCATTTAGTCAGCCATCTTGGAAACAAGCATCTCAGATGTTTTCTTTCTCTATAGCTCATTCTTTCTTACCAGTGTTTTCAATTTTGTACTTAATTTTGTAAAGAGAGTAAATGATATAATTTCCACATATGTTTCCTCTGCCAAATCAGACTCACTATGCTTCCTTTCCTTGTATACATAACCTACCCAGCAATACACACAAACATTTATTGCTTTGGAGAATTAGTTTGGGAACATTTTTGAAATGTACAAAAAAATGTATATCTTCAAAAGAAATTTCTTTTTGTGGCAAAAGACTTCTGAAGGTGCTCATGATGATATAGGGAGAAGAGGGGTTCTGGACAGGAAGAATTTTATGAAGGTGAGATGGGGAAATAGCTCCATTTCAGAGCTTCTGGGGAGAGAGGGGCCTGGCCCACATGGAAAGGTCTCTGATCTTACCCCCACCCTCCAGCCCCTGTTCTCCAGAACTATACTGTGGAGAGTTCCATCAGGATTGTTGTGGCTGGTCTGGTCTTCCTGGCTCTTTTGGCAATGCTGGCTAAGACCTGGTGGAGACATGAGGGGCCACAGGTGGAAATGGAAGAAACATGACTGAAGCTGGCTGGAGTGAATGGCGCGACATTCTGTCTGTGGGAGATTGGCCAGATGGGTTTCAAGTGTGTTGTATCAGCTGTGACTTTTAGTAATGTTCTTGCTACCACAATATCCACTCGTCCATCCCGAATAATTGTGATGAAATATTGTCCTTGGGATAATATTCATTTGCTAAAGACAGGGATGATACCTCAAGGTGCCACTATATACATCGAGGGGATCCACAAAAGTCCATTCAGTAAAATGTAGTTGGCATCTTAGGGTAGGTTGATTCCACCTCTAAAAAAGTAGGTACAACATCAGGTTGATTTTTCCGAAGAAAAGTGGTGATTGGCCATCTTTAGTCTCAATGTAAACGGTAATACTGATGAGTGTGGAAAAGGCAGGGAAGAGGATTGACAATAAGTGACACTCATTGTTTTCATCTGAGCTTTGAGACTGAAAGAGGAACACAGGAGTGAGATGTATGGGAACAAACCCCTTCTTTTTCCAGCTAAACAGAGTGGAAGTTGGACACTGAGTTTTGGCGTACAGCAAAATCCTAAGTCCATTGTTGGGTTGAACACGGCCATGTTGTACATCCTGGTTTCACAGCAGACACTGGAGGAAAACAGCCTGTATTCATAAGAGGCTGTCCCTCGGGTCACTGCCCAGAATATCCGGAGTTGGTGCTCACAGGGTTGGGAACTCTCCTGGACCAGACAGGCTCTGGATATGGGGGGGTACCAAGCTCCCCGGGGCCATGCCTCCACAGCTCTCTTCTCACCTCATTCTTGACCATTTCCCAAACCTCTGACCTCACCTTCATTCATCCATGGTGAACACGCTAAAACTGGCCTTCAAAGCTTGAGACAGAGGAAAATTGGGCTTCATCTCTGGGAACTAAATTGGGGAGTGGAGACTCAGTTCTGGCCTGACAGGAGGGAGAAGACCCTGGATCCCAGTGTGGATGGGAAGAAGTATGTGTTTCTCTTTTGTGCTTGGACCCTGTGTCCAAGCATGTCTGAGATGTGATGAAGATGAATCTTCCTTTCCTTGTCTATTTTCTCATGCCAGAGAATTGGAATCTTATATTCCATTAACTCTTTCTGTTCTGTTCATCCAGATTCTATGAAGGAGAAAGGAAAAGATGTGATACTGTAATTTTGCTCCATTTGTCTAAAATGAGTAGGCTGCAACTCCTCTTGAAGTGATACCTTTTCTAGCTCTTGTTGGAGGTGTCTCAGGACTCATTACTTCGGGGAACCTGCAACTGTGTCAGTCTGGGGAAACTGCAAATATTCTTGTCTTACATTTGTCTCCAGCCAATTGTGATGGACTCCAGTGACCTGCAATTGCTGTTATTGCAGGTAAAATGTACCTGAGTCAGGCCACAGTTCTCCTGGACTATGAGCCCCTGGCCATGTTCCTGAGGCAATTCTGTTCATCTAAATATAATAATAATAACACACTAAAAATGGCAAGCCATTGTTAATTCCTGAAGTCTCATTTGAAAATTACTAAATGTCTGTTATTTTTTGGTGTTTACATTATATGTAGACAGATAAACTACACACACACACACACACACACATGCACACAGAAGAATGGATTGTTTCATGTAGAAAAGTAAATAATTCAAGATGAAAGGATGAAATGTCATGGCACCTACTATTCTATTTTAGATAAAGGGTCTATGAAAAGATTGATTTCTTTTTATGTTTTATTTGTTGACATTTGAACACAAACTATGTAAGTGAGGGAGTCGATTTGAAAGGGAGAAGAGCAAGTTCAAACACATTCAGGTGAGGTCATGCTTTACATGTTTTAATTGAAATGATCCATCTTGGGAGTAGATCAATAACTGAGATGGTGCCAGGAATGTTAAAAAGCTTTTGTCAGTCCTAAATATTGACAAATAAAATTTAATTAAAGTCTTAGAAGAAAACACAAAGGAAAACTTCACAACATCGGATTTGGCAGTGATTCTTTAGATGTGACAACAACGGCACAGGCTACTACAGAAAAAATAAACAAGTTAGACTTTATGAAAATTTTGAAATATTGTGACTCAAAAGACAACATCAGTTACTTCACATGGCAAGGAAAAAGAACTTTTAAGACGATATTATCAAAGTAAAAAGACAACCCACAGAATGGGAGAAAATGTTTTCAAACCACACCACCTGTAAGGGATTAACATCCAGAATATACAGACAACTCCTAAAACTCAATCACAATAAACTCAATTCAAAAATGGGCAAAGTACTGAAACAGACATTTCTCCAAAGAACATACGCATGAAAAGATATTCAGCATCACGAATCATTAGGGAAATACTAACTAAAACTACACCAGATGCCATTTCATACCCCTTAGGATGGGTATCATCAAAACAACAACAACAACAACAACAAAGTTTCTATACATTAACAACAAACTATCCAAAAAAGTTTACAAGAAAATAAGCCCATTTGCAATAACTACAGAAAACAAAACATGCAGGAATAAATTCACCCAAGGAGTAGAAAGATCTGTATGCAAAAGCTATAAAACATTGATGAAAAAACTCAAGAAATAAACAAATAAATCGAAAGATATTCCATGTTCACGGATCAGAAGGATTAATGTTGTTAAAATGTCCATTCTATCCAAAGTGATTCAATGCAACCATTATCAAAAATCCAATGACATTTTTTTTACAGAAATAGAAAAAACAGTCCTAAAATTCATGTGGAACCACAAAAGATCTCAAATAACCAAAGCCATCTAGAGGGAAAGGAACAAAGTTGGAAGCATCACATTACCTAAACACAAACTACATTACAAAATTACAGTAATTAAAACAACACAGTACTTGCATAAAAACAGACACATAGACCAATGGAAGTGATTCATAGCCCAGGAAAAAAATGCATGCATTTAGGGTCAAACAATTTTTGGGATGTGTCAAGAACACACAATGGAGAAGGAACAGTCTCTTTAATAAATGGGATTGGGAGACTGCATGTCCACATGCAGAAGAATGGAAGTGGACATTTGCCTCACAAAACATACAAAGTCAACTCAAGATAGATTAATGACTTAAATGTAAGATGAAAGACTATAATCCCAGCAATTTGGGAGGCCAAGGTGGGCAGATCACCTAAGGTCAGGATTCCAAGACCAGCATGGCCAACATGGTGAAATCCCGCCTCTACTAAAAATACAAAAACAGCTGGGTGTGGTTGTGGGTGCCTGTAATCTCAGCTACTCGGGAGGTTGAGACAGGAGAATCACTTGAACCCAGGAGGTAGAGGTTGCAGTGAGCCGAGATCGCACCACTGCACTCCAGCCGGGGCAACACAGTGAGACTCCATCTTAAAAAAAAAAAAAAAACTACTAAAAGAAATCAAGGGAAAACTCCACTGGCTTGGGCAAAACCATTTTGGATATTAACCCAAAGGCCCAGGCAACAAAAGCAAAAGTAGACAAATAACATTATATCAAATTGAAAGTTTCTGCAAAGAAAAAAAAAACTCAACAAGTGGAAAGACAACCTATGGAATGGGAGAATATATTTGCACCCATACATCTAATAAGGAATTAATATCCAAAATATATAAGAAACTCAAACAACTCAATGGTAAGAAATCAAATAACCCAACTTAAAAAAATGGGCAAAGTATCTGAATAAACATTTCTAAGAATAAGACAAATCACCAAAAGGTATATGAAAAAATGATTAGCATTACTAAACATCAGCTAAATAAAAATTAAAACTAGAATGAGATATCACCTCACACCTCTTAGAATGACCATTAACAGTCTGGGCATGGTGGCTCATGCCTGTAATTCAGGCACTTTGGGAGGCCGAGGCAGGGAGATTACCTGAGGTCAGCAGTTCGAAACCAGCCTGGCCAATATGGTGAAACCCCATCCCTACTAAAAATACAAAAATTAGCAGAGTTTGGTGGCGCACACTTGTAGTCCCAGCTACTCTGGAGACTGAGGCAGGGGAATCGCTTGAACCCAGGAGGCAGAGGTTGCAGTACACCGAGATTGTGCCACTGCACTCCAGCCTGGGTGACAGAGCAAGACTGAGTCTCAAAAAAAAAAAAAAAAAAAAGACCATTATCAAAAACATAAAAAATAACAAGGGTTAACGAGGATGTGGAGAAAAGGGAACATTTGTATGCAGTTGATGGGAATGTAAATTAGCACAACCATTATGGAAAACAGTCTGGAAGTTCCTGAAAAAATTAAACATAGAATTCCCATATGTGTCTGCAATCCAACTACTGCGCATGTATCCAAAGGAAGTGGAATCAGTATGTTGAAGAGATATCTGCATTCCCATGTTTACAGCCGCATTATTCATAACAGCCAAGATGTGGAATCACCCTTACTGCCCATCTATGGGTGCATGGACAAAGAAAACGTGGTATACGATAGGAACGTAATGAAGTACTATACAACCTTTACAACAAAGAAGGAAGTCCTCTCATTTGTGACAATGTGAAAAAACTTAGAGGACATTATGTTAAGGGAAACAATCCAGGCACAGAAAGACAAATGCCACATGATCTCATGTGTGGAGTGTAAGAAGTGGAACCTAGAGGAACAGTAAAATGGTCGTCGAAAGAACCTGGGATGGAGAGAGATTGAAGAGATGTTGGTCAAAGGATGCAAAATTTCAGTTAGAAGAAATCGGTTCAAGAGATCTATTGTATGTCTTGGTGACTCCAGTTAATAGCAACATATGGTGTATTGAACATTACTAAGAGATTAGATTTTACATGTTCTCACCACACACACAAAACATACAAGTATGTGAAAAAATAAATATGATAAAGAGGTTGTTTCATCCATTCCACAATGTGTACCTATATGAAAACATCATGATGGACACCACAAATACCCTTTTCCTCATTAATTAAATTTGTTTTGGTTTTTTTTTTGAGATGCAGTTTCACTGTTGTTGCCCAAGCTGAGGTGCAATGGCGTGATCTCCGCTCACTGCAACCTCTGCCTCCCAGGTTCAAGCGGTTCTCCTGACTCAGCCTCCCAAGCAGCTGGGACTACAGTTGCGTACCACCCCGTCCGGCTATATTTGTGTTTCTAGTAGAGACAGGGTTTCGCCATGTTGGCCAGGCTGGTCTCGAACTCCAGACCTCAGGTGATCCACCCGCTTCGCCCTCCCAAAGTGCTAGATTTCAGGCTGAGACACCACACCCAGCCTGTACATTGACTTTCTGCCCTTAAACTGTGCTGAAGTTTGTTTCTCAGATGTAGGAGCCTTTGGGCAGAGACTATGGGGTTTCTAGGTATAGAAATTATCTCATCTTCAAACAGAGGTAATTTGACTACCTCTCTCTGCTACTCTCTTCTTACTTGGATGCCTTATAATTCTTTCTCTTTCCTGATGGCTCTGTCTAGGACTTCAAGTACTATGTTGAATAGGATGGTGAGAGTGGGCATTCTTGTCTTGTTTCACTTATGAAGGGAACTTCTTCCAGCTTTTACTCATTCAGTATGATGTTGGTTGTGGGTTTGTCACAGGCGGCTCTTATTATATTGAGTTATGTTTCTTCAATGCTTAGCTTGTTGAGGGCTTTTAACATGAAGAAATGCTTAGTAAAAAGTATGTTCTACATGTGTGTTGAGAAGATCATGTGGTTTTTGTTTTTAGTTTTGTTTAGGTGATGAATCACATGTATTGATTGTGTATGTTCAACCAACCTTGCACCCTAAGAATAAAGTTGACTTGATCATGGTGGATTCACTTTTTGATATGCTGCGGGATTCAGTTCTTAGTATTTTTTGTGGATTTTTGCCTCTATGTTCATCAGGAATATTGGCATGTAGTTTTCTTTTGTTTAATGTTCTTTTCTGTCTTTAGTATCAGGGTGATGCCAGCCTTATAGAATGAGTAAAGGCCACCCTGGGCAAACAGTGAGACCCATCCCTTTTTAAAAATTATGAGTTTTACAAATTTAAAATGCATAGTGAAAAAGTTCTTACAAACTCCAGAAAGATAGGTGTAAATAAGAGACATTTGTAAGAATGACAGCACATTAAATGTGTAGATTTCAACCTTCAGTTATTGCAATATTCCAGTATCAAGTTGGAGGATGTTATCAGTCTGATATTTTTTCCTCAAATGAGAGAGAGAAAGAAAGACACACAAACAACACAGGGAGAAAAAAAGCACACGTTACAGAGAGACAAAAAGGGAGACAGGGAACTGTGAATTTGGACTCTTGTGTCATAAGACAAATTCTAGATAACACGACCAGACCTTCAATTGACATATTGTGTTTTTGCTAATAAGGTGGAATTCTATGATGCGAAATAACTATATAGTCTTTTCTACTGGGATTTAAATCATTTTATCTGTTTCTGGCTTAACAGGAAAAATACAACCATGGAAAATTATGATGATTTATTTAATACGATTGCTCTATAGTGTTAATAAAACCTATTAGGTATTTTGCATATTACATATCAAGGAGAGTTTGAATCTCAGGTAGAAACAAAAAAAAATACATCAAATTTCCTCATGTGAGTGCAGAATTCAATCGTCCCGTGCAGGGGTAAGTGAGTCTGAGATGTGTTTTGAGCCTGGCCGTTGCGCATGATGTGAAGTGACAAGTCTAGTCTGCAGTTTTCAGAAACCCTCATTCCTCCCTTGACTGATTCACCACTTGAACCTCATATGACGTAGAAGAAGCCTACCTATGTCCCCTTCACATGTTGTGGTCAATGTGTCAACTGCACGATCCGGGCCCCTCACCACATCCTCTGCACCGGTCAGTCGAGCCGAGTCACTGCGTCCTGGCAGCAGAAGCTGCACCATGTCCATGTCACCCACGGTCATCATCCTGGCATGTCTTGGTGAGTCCTGGAAGGGAAGGAGCACCAGGGTTACACTATGGGCCTGCAGATTGGGTGTCTCCCCAGCAGAGAGCCATGTTCTGAAGCAAGTGAGTGGTGAGGATGAGTTAATTTTCAGTCCAGCGTGGCGCCCAGTGGCTCAGGAGGAAAGGGTAGGTTGCTGCCGAGATGAATAGTTCATCATGATCTTTCTTTGCAGGGTTCTTCTTGGACCAGAGTGTGTGGGCACACGTGGGTGAGTCCTTCCCCAAATGATGGGTTGCCATCTTCACCCCAATACAAGTGAATTTTCCAGAAATGGGAGGGAGGCAGCACAGAGGGTGGGCTGATGGGCTGACCATGGGAAGGCCTGGGGGGAGTCTCTCATGAACTAGTAAGAGGAGATCCTGGGAGTCTCTCATGAACTAGTAAGAGGAGATCCTGGGAGTCTCTCATGAACTAGTAAGAGGAGATCCTGGTATGCTCAGCCCTCTGTTTTGTCTTAGCCCTCCCCAGCCTTTCTTCCCCATGGCTGAGTTGAGCTCTGTGTGGCCCAGGCGGGATACTGAGGTGCTCAAAGCTGGGGTGTGTGGGGGGATGTGGTGTCACCGACAGAGGAGGGAAGGGTAGCAGTGTTAGGAACAGCAGGTCCTCTGAGGACAAGAGGGTAACTCACACCCTCCAGCGTTTCCATGACGGTAGGGGCTGCAGTGTGGCTGCTGTCATTCTGCCAGAAGAGGTGGGGGAACCACAGCCACGACCCTGCCATTCCAAATCCTCTGATGGAGCTCAGTTGTTTATTGTGGTTCAGGCATTAGCTAATATTCCATTCACAAAGGTCATACCCTCCACCCCATGTCTACTTTGTGTTCTTTGGTGTAACTAATCTTGCAGTATTAAAATCTAGTAAGAGTCCCTTACTCAGCACCTGCTCAGTTCTCAACTGACACTTTTGTTGTAGGGAGACGCCACGTCTATGCGGGATGGGTCCTTCCTGTAGCCCCAGGCACCCAGGTGTGGTAGGAGCCTTAGAAAGAAGAAATGGGGAGAATCTTCTGAGCACAGGGAGGGAGGGGCAGCTCAACATACTCCTCTCTGAGGCGGCATCTCCTTCTCCCCAAGGTGGTCAGGACAAGCCCTTCTGCTCTGCCTGGCCCAGCGCTGTGGTGCCTCAAGGAGGACACGTGACTCTTCGGTGTCACTATCGTCGTGGGTTTAACATCTTCACGCTGTACAAGAAAGATGGGGTCCCTGTCCCTGAGCTCTACAACAGAATATTCTGGAACAGTTTCCTCATTAGCCCTGTGACCCCAGCACACGCAGGGACCTACAGATGTCGAGGTTTTCACCCGCACTCCCCCACTGAGTGGTCGGCACCCAGCAACCCCCTGGTGATCATGGTCACAGGTCAGAGGGCTCCTGTCTGGGCTTCTCCTTGTCCCACCTCCTGAGTCCCAGAGCTTCTGGTGGGGGTGTCCACCAGAGTCCGATCATCCAGGCCCCAACTATATTTGGGGTAAAGGGGGATTGAATACAGGGGAATGGGTGCTGTGTTGGAAAGAATAACTGTCCCCATCGATGGCCACATTGTAATCCTTGGAGCCTGTGACTATGTTATAGGGCAGGGGACTGAAGGGGAAGATGGAGCTCAGGTTGTTGATGAGTTGACCTTGAGATGGGGAGATGGCCTGGACTCTCCCACTGGGCTCAGTGTAATCACAAGGGTCCATATGAGTGGAGAAGGAAGAGGAGAATGGGGATTAGAGCAGCATCGTGGGATACTCCACCAGCCACTGTGGGCTTTGAAGGTGGAGGAAGACCACGAGCCACGAAGGGGCTGGAGAAATCAATGGAACTGATTCTCCCGAGTCTCCAGAGGGAATGCAGCCCTGCAGATGCCTTGATTGTAGCCCAGGAAGAACAGGGTCTGATTTCTGTCTCCAGAAGTGGAAGGGGTCAGTGTGTTCTCTCCTGCCGCCATGTTTGTGATAATTTTCTCCAGCAACAACAGGAAACCAACACAGGAACCCAGGTGAAGGACAAGTTAAAAAACCAAACAAGAAGGTTGGCTACCCTGAGATCAGCAAGGGTGCACTGCTGATGCCACCACCAGGCTGGAACCACATAGGGAGGGATCGACAGGAAGAGTTGGGGGTGGAGGGTGAGAGAGAGAGAGAGAGCACTAGGCCATAGAGCAGGGCAGTGAGTTCTCAGCTCAGGTGGGAGGGGAGCTGTGACAAGGAAGAACCTCCCTGAGGAAACTGCCTCTTCTCCTTCCAGGTCTATATGAGAAACCTTCGCTTACAGCCCGGCCGGGCCCCACGGTTCGCGCAGGAGAGAACGTGACCTTGTCCTGCAGCTCCCAGAGCTCCTTTGACATCTACCATCTATCCAGGGAGGGGGAAGCCCATGAACTTAGGCTCCCTGCAGTGCCCAGCATCAATGGAACATTCCAGGCCGACTTCCCTCTGGGTCCTGCCACCCACGGAGAGACCTACAGATGCTTCGGCTCTTTCCATGGATCTCCCTACGAGTGGTCAGACCCGAGTGACCCACTGCCTGTTTCTGTCACAGGTGAGGAAAGCCAATGTCTGTCCCATGTCCTATGGTCCTAGAGCCTTAGCTGAGGAGCTTCCTGCTGATGATGGAGAGAAGCATGGACAGATGTGGAGAGAAGATGCAGCATGGTGTGAGGGTGGGATCAGGGCACAGGATGGCAGACAGGGCACCTCCAAACCCTCCTGCATGGCCTGCATGGAAGCTTGCAGTAAGGGCTCCGGGTACCCAGGCAGATGGAGAAAGTGGTCAGGACAGACCCAGAGGAGGGAGACTGGGCTCAGTTTGGGGAGATCAGAGGTTCCCTCAGCCCCTCAACCTTACCCATTTCCCAGAAGCCCACCCTGGCCTCTCACCTACACAGAGATGTCATCACCAGCAACCCCTACACTTTTTC
This sequence comes from Homo sapiens, assembly GCF_000001405.40. Classification (NCBI taxonomy): domain Eukaryota; kingdom Metazoa; phylum Chordata; class Mammalia; order Primates; family Hominidae; genus Homo; species Homo sapiens. Next base: position 54,806,624 of record NC_000019.10, read on the forward strand.
TTTTCCTTTGAAAAAATGCTGATTGAGGTTAAATATACCTATATAATTTATCAACTTTACCATTTTTAAGTGTAAAATCTAGGGATCATAAATACCTTTATATGCTGTGTGCGGTGGCTCATGCCTGTAATCTCAGCATTTTGAGACGCCAAGGCAGGTGGATCATTTAAAATCAGGGGCTGGAGACCAGCCTGGCCAACATGGGGGAACCAATCTTTACTAAAAAGACAAAAAAAATAAAATTAGCCAGGCATGGTGCCAGGCGCCTATAATCCCAGCAACTTGGGAGGCTGAGGCGGGAGAGTGGCTTAAACCCAGGAGGAGGAGGTTGCAGTGAGCTGAGATCATGCCACTGCACTGCAGCCTGGTGACACAGAGAGACTCTGTCTCTAAATAAATAAATAAATACTTTTATATTCTTCTTTTGTTACCCTCCACCCCTTCCTTCCTAACCTCTGGTATCCACCATTCTACTCTCTACCTTCATGAGGTCCACCTTTTACATCCTGCATGTGAGTAAGAAATGGCAATCCTTGTAATGACCTCCAGTCCATCCATGTGGCTGCAAATGACAGGACGTTACTCTTTGTATGGATGAGTTGTCTCCATTGTGTGTATGTACTACTTTCTCTCTATCCATTCATCCACTGATGGGCAGGTAGGTTGACTCCACATCTTGGCTACTGTGAACAGTGCTGGAACAGTCATGGGAGTGCAGATGTCACTTCAATACACTGAAGTCCTTTTCTTTGCATTTACACCCACTAGTGGAATTGCTAGATCCTCTGGATGTTCTCTTTTTAGGTTTTGTTTTATGCTTTTTGTTTTTTTGACATAGCGTTTCACTCTTGTTGCCCAAGCTGGAGTGCAATGGCACCACCTGGGCTCACTGCAACCTCTACCTCCAGGATTCAAGTGATTCTCCAGCCTCAGCCTCCCGAGTAGTTGGGATTACTGGTGCCCGCCACCACGCCTGGCTGATTTTTGTATTTTTAGTAGAGACGGGGTTTCACCATGTTAGCCAGGCTGGTCTCGAACTCTTGACCTCCAGTGATCTGCCCACTTCAGCCTCCCAAGGTGCTGGGATTACAAGCGTGAGACACAGTGCCTAATCTCTTTTTAGTTTTTAAGGAACTTCCATATTCTTCTCCTCTGTAATGGCTGTATTAATTTACATTCCTATCAACAGTGTATTAGGGTTCTCCTTTCTCCACCACCTTGCCAACATTTGTTTTGTCTGTCTCTGAGATAAAACCCATTGTAATGGGGTGAGATGATAGCTCATTGTGACTTCATTTGCATTTCTCTGATGATTAGTGATACTGAGCACTTTTTCATATATGCAATGTATATATGTTCATTTGTATGTTTTGTTCATTGAGAAATGTCTGTTCAGGTCTTTTACTAATTTTATAATTAAATTATTAGTTTTATTGAGGTGTTTGAGCTTCTTTTATATTCTAGTTATTAATCCCATCTCAGATGCATAGTTTGCAAATATTTGCTCCCATTCTGTGGGTTGTCTCTTCTTCACTTCATTGGTTGCTTCCTTTGCGGTGCAGAAGCTGCTTGATTTGATATAATCCCAATGGTCTATTTTTTTGTTGTTGTTGTGATTACTTGTGTTTTTGAGGTTTTAAACAAAATGTCTTCCCTCAGACAAATGTCCTGGAGCATTTCTCCAGTGTTTCCTTTTAGACATTTAATGGATTCAGGTCTTAAGTCATTAATCCATTTTCATCTGATTTTTGTGTATGGTGAGAGGTAGAGGTGCAGTTTCATCCCTCTGCATGTAGATATCCAGTTTTCCCTGCACCATTTATTGAAATGACTGTCCTTTCCAGATTGTAGATTCTTCGAACCTTTGTCAAAGTCCATTGGATGTAAATGGGTGGATTACATCCGTGTTCTTCATTCTGCTCCATTGTTTTATGTGCTTTTCTTTATGCCAATGTCATGTTGTTTTGCTTACTACAGCTCTGTAACATATTTTTAAGTCAGGTAGTGTGATGCTCCTGTTTTCTCCTTATACCTTGAAGTCTCAAGATAGTTGGTGTCACCTACAATGATTATGGAGAATGGGATGCCAGGACTCCCAGGGCCCAACATTAGATAATAGAATGTTGGCCATGAACCAACCTCAAAGATTTCCATTGAGTAGAAGACAGGCATCCTCATTGCCACACCTCTCTCCTGTCCCGTGTTCTAGGAAACCCTTCTAGTAGTTGGCCTTCACCCACTGAACCAAGCTTCAAAACTGGTAAGTGAAGGACCCCTCTTATCTCTGCTTTTGGAAACCTGGGGAGGTAGAAGCCTTGGATTCAAGCGTTGGCTCAGCACCTGCCAGCTCTGTGATTGTGGGCCTGTCTTCCATTGTCTCTGAACCCCAGACACTCCAACAGCGAAAGGGATCTGGGCCCAGCACAGGGCTCAGTGAAATCTCTTAATCTCTAATTTTCTGCTGCTGAGACCTCAGGGTAGAAGGATGAGTGCAAATCAGACATTCTTCTCAGGAAAAATGCTGTGTTTGTTCTGCCTGCATTCCTAACTGGGAGGACAAATGCCTGGGGGCTTGAGAAGGGGAAGGAAGGGGAACATTTTTGAGGGTGGTGTATTTGTAGAGAAGTTCTACTTGCCAAGGAATGAGCTCCTGTCTGTCATGATCCAACCCTGGTTGACTTAGTGGAACAAGAGCTTTGCGGTAAGAGAGAACGTAGTTCATCCGTGCACATGACACTTCCACTTACTCGTTCAGCCACTGCCCCATGCTCAGACTGTGCAGTGTGGAACCTTTTCCTATGTTGCCATAACAAATTTCCACAAGCTTCGTGGATGGAAACCACATTTTTAAAAAATATCTCATGGTGCTGTAGCTCAGAAGTATGAAATGCATCATCTCACTGGGCTAAAATCAAGGTGACAGCAAGGCTGCCTTCCCTCTGAATGTTCCAGGCAAGAATCTGCTTCCTCACTTTTCCCAGCTCCTAGAGGCTCCCACATTCCTTGGCTCCTGGTCCCCGTCTTCCTCCCTCAAAGTCCACAAAGGCTGGTCACGCCTCTCACACGGCATCACTCAGACCCTTCTTCCTTGTCCACACCTCTTTCTCTGAATGCTGCTCTGCCTTCTTCCTCATCTTTTAAGGACTTTGGCATTCTATTGGAAACACCAAGATAATCCATCATAATTTCCCTAAAATCATCTAGGATACCCTCCTTTTAAGGTTAGCTGATTAGCAACCGTAATTCCATCTGCAATCTGCATTCCTTTTTTCCATGTAAAATAACATATTCACAAGATATGGCGACTAGGACAGGAATATTTTGGGGTGGGGCGGCATTCTTATCCTTTCCACAAATGGTAAACAAGGTGCATTTGGCCTCTGCTCTTGGACACTGATATTGCAAAGGATTAAATGGGAGGGCAGAAAATGAATGCACCAGTGGACCAATAAATGAATGATCCATTGGGAAGCATCTGTGCATGAGAATGATTGATTGATTGGTTGTTTTTATGAGACAGTGTCTCCCTCTGTGCCCCAGGCTGGAGTGCAGTGGCGGGATCTCGGCTCACCGCAACCTCCACCTCCCAGGTTAAAGCGATTCTCTACACTCAGCTTCCCGAGAGGCTGGGATTACACCCATGTCCCACCACGCCTGGCTAATTTTTTTTTGGTATTTTTTTTTAGTACAGACAAGGTTTTACCATGTTGCCCAGGCTATCTCAAACTCCCAACCTTAAGGGATCCGCCCGTCTCAGCCTCCCAAAGTGCTGAGATTAGAGGCGTGAGCCAAGGCGCCGAGCCGTATTTTAAAAGAAATAATAGATAATGCTGAGTGTATAATTTCGGGTGACAGAGAAGTTCTCACTGATCAAATAATACTTGTGACCTTAATGAAAAAAATAGATCAACCCCTGGAAGATTGGCGGAAGGATTTTCCACACAGCTGTCAGCCGTGAAGGCACAAAGGTGAAAACAATGTTATGTGGAAGGAAGAGGCTCTGCCTGAAATGCTGGGAATGACATGGGGAGAATGACAAGACGACTGTGGAGAGACAGAGAGCACACTGGGTACACAGGAAACTAAGGAGCAACAAGGAGCGTGTGTTTGATACTCACAGCCATTGGACTTACCTCGGGGCTAACTGGGAATCCCTACATGATGAATAGTGACTGACATGAAAATAAGGGAGGCCCAGGTGCATAACTGGAATCTAGGAGACTGTGGAAAAGGCAATTCCCGCCCCCCTGGTGAAATGTGGTGCTGATTTAGACACTAAATGAATGAAAGATGGACACAAGATGTGTTTGTGAGGTAGAGTAATTTGCAGGGAGGGCTTGCCTGGTTTGATTTTTCCTAATTGTTTAATCTTCACTTCATTGATTTCTTTCTGAGATTTATTTTTCCTACATGTAAATCAATACTTGGCAGAGGAGTGAGAGATACATGAGGGGTGGTGCAAAGGAAGAGACCTATTATAATATAACACACAAGGTTCTGAACGGTGGCTCACACCTGTAACCCAACATTTTGGGAGGCTGAGGAGGCTGGATCAAGTGAGATCAGGAGTTCGAGATCAGCCTGGACAACATGGTGAAACCCCATCTCTACTAAATATACAAAAACTAGCTGGGGGTGGTGGCGCGTGCCTGTAATACCAGCTATTCGGGAAGTTGAAGAAGGAGAATGGCTTCAACCAGGGAGGGAGAGGTTACAGTGAGCCAAGATCGCGTCATTGCACTGCACCCTAGGTGACAGAGTGAGACTCCATGGCAAAAAATAAAAATAAAGAATACATAAATATAATATAACATACACGAATGACAAAGGCACACCAATTCCAATCATCATTTTTCTATTTCTCTATAATGACTTCTTTGATCCTTTATCCTATCCGTAAGAAAATCAGGCGAAAACATCTTCCTTATTTGGCTTTCTGTGAGCATGAGATCATATGGAAAATGTGAAACCCACCAGCACAGGTCCTGGAATAGAGAACGTGATCTGTTCATGGCACAAAACTTGCCCCTTCACCCAAATCCCCCACCTCACCCCTACTTCCAATCACATTAATGATACAGATAGATCATGGGGAGGTAAAAACTAATATTCTTTGGAGTTCAGATCGTAGACTCAGAGACCAGTGCCAGCACTATCTCCTGGTCACCTTTTGGAGTAATTCACAGAAAGACAGGCTGTATTGAAGCAACAGATGATGGAGGGGGTGGTCTTTCCCCCAGACTCTCGGGTGGAACAGCAGCCTAATATCTGACTCCCAAGATGACAAAAGTAGCATGTTGCCCACGAGCTTCATCATTATTTCCTGGCTGTTTGATATAAGACAGCTCAACCTCACTTATGTTGATTTCAATGTCACTGTTTTTTCCTTTTCTTGGAGAATGTAATTTGTTTGAGTCAAGAGGGTTGTGGATGTAGAAACTGTAAAGCACATTCACTGTGTATCAATCCCAGTCCAGTCTTCCCAGAGAAGACTCTAAACACCTCCCATACTGCACCTGGGGCTGTGCCAATTTCTATCACTCACCATCACTCCAGGGAGACAGAACACACAGGGAATACATTACATAGGCAGGTTCATTACTTATAGATAAGCAGCGAGTGACAACAGAAACCTTCCTTTCAGGGTGAGCCAGTCCCTCAAGGCTCAGAAAAACTGCTCAGGACACATGGAGTCACTTCATGTGCACTGTAGCTGGGGGAAGCCAGAAAGCAGCCCAGCCTGGGTTTTGTACCCTGGAGCCACAGGGAACACTCAGCTAAAGCACTGCATGATGTTCTCCTCCAGGAAGAACAGGAAGACAGCCCAGGCTGTTCTGAGACGTTCCTCCTGATCTCAGGATGTTGCTGTCTTAGCCTATTTTTGTTGCTATAAAAGAACACTTGAGCCTGGGTATCTTCTAAAGAAAAGAGATGTGTTTGGCTCACTGATCTGCACGCTGTACTAGAAGCAGGACACTACCATCTATTTCTGGCTGCGGCCTCAGGCTGCTCCCACACTGACAGAAGAGAAGGGGGTCCTGCGTGTGCAGAGACCACAGAGATCACATGGCAAGAGAGGGAGAAAGGGGGTGTGATGGAGCTTCCAAGCTCTTTTTAAGAATCAACTCTCCAGGGTACTAATAGAGGGAGAACTTGCTAACCCCGTCCTCTGGGGACAGCATTAATCTATTCATGATGGATCCACCCCCATGACCAAAACACCCCTCCCAATAGGCACAACTCCCACACTGGGGATTAAATTTCAAAGTGGGGTTTGGAGGGGTCAAACATTGAAACAATAGCAGTTGTATCATCAGCACATTCTATTGTTATTATGAAAACTATAACGGAGAAAGCAGGAGAAAGCTGGGTCTCCCGCCTCGTGGGTGCTTGTCTTAAAGAGGTGTTTTATGTGGTTGCCTGGCAACCAAGAAATGAGAGACAATCCACAAAGAGGAACTGCTATGGTTAGCTTCTTATTGGATTCCCATCTTCCTCCAGGTATCGCCAGACACCTGCATGCTGTGATTAGGTACTCAGTGGCCATCATCCTCTTTACCATCCTTCCCTTCTTTCTCCTTCATCGCTGGTGCTCCAAAAAAAAAGTAAGCCTCACGAAGCAGAGGCCAGAGAACTCAGGGCCCTGTGCGGAAGCAGGATGGGAGCACGCAGGTGTGTGTTCCTCACTGGCAGGAAAGTCTCTGGCCCAAGGCAGGAGCCAGAGGCAGAGCTTTCTAGAGAGAGCACCAGACACCCTGCCCCTGCCTTCAGCTCACAGACCGTTGCCTGATTGTGAACTGTATCCTCACGTCCCCTGCAGCCACTCACATCCAGGAGAAGATTCCATGACAGGCAGAAAGTGGGAGATAGAATCAATGGGATGGGAACTGACAGCTATTCATGGAATGGGGTCTTGCACTCAGAGAGATGGAATGTCTGAGTCTGGCTGTTGGCAGCTGAGGGACCTCAGGCACCTATGGCCTCCCCCTGTGTGTTGGTATCTGTTCATGAAATGAGGACCCAGAAGTGCCCTCCCAGCTGTTTTGATTGCTTCCGTCTCCTACAGATGCTGCTGTAATGAACCAAGAGCCTGCGGGACACAGAACAGTGAACAGGGAGGTAGGTCCTCCTAGCCCAGCCTCATGGATACAGTCTTATTCCGAAATAGTCCTGAAAAATGTGAACACCCTCCCTCACTCAGGATTTCCCTCTCTCCAGGACTCTGATGAACAAGACCCTCAGGAGGTGACATACGCACAGTTGGATCACTGCATTTTCACACAGAGAAAAATCACTGGCCCTTCTCAGAGGAGCAAGAGACCCTCAACAGATACCAGCGTGTGTATAGAACTTCCAAATGCTGAGCCCAGAGCGTTGTCTCCTGCCCATGAGCACCACAGTCAGGCCTTGATGGGATCTTCTAGGGAGACAACAGCCCTGTCTCAAACCCAGCTTGCCAGCTCTAATGTACCAGCAGCTGGAATCTGAAGGCGTGAGTCTCCATCTTAGAGCATCACTCTTCCTCACACCACAAATCTGGTGCCTGTCTCTTGCTTACCAATGTCTAAGGTCCCCACTGCCTGCTGCAGAGAAAACACACTCCTTTGCTTAGCCCACAATTCTCTATTTCACTTGACCCCTGCCCACCTCTCCAACCTAACTGGCTTACTTCCTAGTCTACTTGAGGCTGCAATCACACTGAGGAACTCACAATTCCAAACATACAAGAGGCTCTCTCTTAACACGGCACTTAGACACGTGCTGTTCCACCTTCCCTCGTGCTGTTCCACCTTTCCTCAGACTATTTTTCAGCCTTCTGGCATCAGCAAACCTTATAAAATTTTTTTGATTTCAGTGTAGTTCTCTCCTCTTCAAATAAACATGTCTGCCTTCATTCTTTAGGTGACTCTTTTTTTGGCTGAAAGTTTCCAGTGTTATCATTACCATGTCCAAATAACTCCAACTGTTCTCCACTGGGTTCTCACCCCTGGACTTGGAGCTTCTGGAAGCAGGGTGGAGCCTGATTTGTCTCTGAGACTCCAATTTCCATCCAAAGATGCAGCACATAAGAGGTTCCAAGGATCGTGAATCACATGAACAAGTGATATTCTTACTCTCTGCAGACCTGGAAAGCTGGCAGAGTCATTCCATGATGAAACATTTGTAGAGTCATAGGCCTTGTTAGTCTCATCTCCACGGGGACACATATCAACACATCATCTTTCATACTATAAATATACAGTCGGTCCTCTGTATCTGTGGGATTTACAGGTGTTTATTGAACCAAATATAAATCAAAAATATTCAGAGAAAAAATCCACAAAGTTTCAAAAAGCAAAACTATGTTGAATGGACACAAATGAAGCTGTGTGTAGGCTGTATCAGGAATTATAAATAATCAAGGGATGATTTCATGTACACAGGAGGATGTGCATGGGTTATTTGCAAATGCTGTGCCATTTCATGTAAGAGGCTTGAGCGTCTGCAGATTGTGCTATCTGAGTGGAGATCCTGAAACCAATCACCCACGAATAGTGAGGGATGACTGTATATAATTTTTATTTCTCAATTTTAAATATAAAACATAAAAAAATTACAATAACAAGATAAAATAAACAAGTGTTTTATAGTGTGAGAATACGTTTAGATATATTTTTCTCTATGTGTAACCCTTGGGCCCATGTTATTTATTGAGAAGACATTCTATTCCACCTTAAACCACATGGCAGCCTTTGTCAACTATAAAGGGACTGTGTGTACACGGATGTATTTTAGACACTGTTTTCTGCTCAGTGGCTCTCTCTCTGTCCACTCTCTTGAGAATGCTGCATTTTATGCAGCCTTATACAACCCCTAAAATTTGGTAGCTGGAGTCCTCTAGTTATTTATTATAGGCTATTTGCTATGCTTTTTTTATTTTTCTTGAGGCAGAGTCTCGCTCTGTTGCCCAGGCTGGAGTGCAGTGGCACGATCTCGGCTCACTGCAACTTCCGCCTCCCAGGTTCAAGGGATTCCGTGCCTCAGCCTCTTGAATAGCTGGCATTACAAGTGCCTGCTACCAGGCATGGCTAATTTTTGTATTTTTAGCAGAGACATGGTTTCACTATATTGGCCAGGCTGGTCTCAAACTCCTGACCTCGGTTGATCACTCACCTCGGCTTCCAAAGTGCTGGGGAAATTGATTTTCTATAGCATTATGTTACTGGATATTTCTGTAAAATTTAAAATGAGGGAGGCAGAGAGACAGAGAGAGAGCAAACCATGAGTTGGAACTCTGGAATCTTGGGACATGAGACAAATTCTAGATAAATCTACAAAAATCCAGAATTTACATGTTGTGATTTTTGCTGATAAAGTACAATTCTAAGATTGTAAATAATTGCATAATCCTTCCCTGGGAGTTTAAATCATTTGAACTGGTTCTGCTGTAATACTAGAAATACAATCATGAAAAATTCTAATGGTTTATTGTCACAATTGCTCTGAAAACCTTAATAATACCTATTAGATATTTTGCATATTACACAGGAAGAAGAGTTTGAATCTCAGATAAAAACAATAAAAATACATGAAAAGTCTTTCATGTTAGCACAGATTTTAGGCATCTCGTGTTCGGGAGGTTGGATCTGAGACGTGTTTTGAGTTGGTCATAGTGAAGGACGCGAGGTGTCAATTCTAGTGAGAGCAATTTCCAGGAAGCCATGTTCCGCTCTTGAGCGAGCACCCACTGGGCCTCATGCAAGGTAGAAAGAGCCTGCGTACGTCACCCTCCCATGATGTGGTCAACATGTAAACTGCATGGGCAGGGCGCCAAATAACATCCTGTGCGCTGCTGAGCTGAGCTGGGGCGCAGCCGCCTGTCTGCACCGGCAGCACCATGTCGCTCATGGTCGTCAGCATGGCGTGTGTTGGTGAGTCCTGGAAGGGAATCGAGGGAGGGAGTGCGGGGATGGAGATCTGGACCTGGAGGTAAAGATATGGGCCTAGAGGTGGAGTTATGGGCCTAGAGGTGGAGTTATGGGCCTGAAGTGGAGATCTGGGCCTGGAGTGGAGATCTGGGCCTGGAGTGGAGATAGGGGCCTGGGGTGGAGATATGTGCCTGGAGTGGAGATCTGGGCCTGGAGTGGAGATATGGGCCTGGGGTGGAGATATGTGCCTGGGGTGGAGAGATGGGCCTGGAGGGGAGATATGGGCCTGGAGGGGAGATGTGGGCCTAGAGGTGGAGTGATGGGCCTAGAAGTGGAGCGATGGGCCTGGAGTGGAGATATGGGCCTGGAGGTGGAGTTATGGGCCTGCAGTAGAGATATGGGCCTGAAGTGGAGATATGGGCCTGGAGTGGAGATATGGGCCTAGAGGTGGAGTTATGGGCCCGGAGGTGGAGTTAAGGGCATGAAGTGGAGATCTGGGCCTGGAGTGGAGATATGATCCTGGAGTGGAGATATGGGCCTGGGGTGGAGATACGGGCCTGGAGCAGACATACAAGCCTGGAAAGGAGATATGGGCCTGGAGAGGAGATAGAAGCCTGGAGTGGAAATATGGGCCTGGAGTGGAGATATGAGCCTGGAGTGGATATATGAGCCTGGAGTTGAGATAGGAGCCTGGAGTGGAGATATGGGCCTGGAGTGGACTTACCAGCCTGGAGAGGAGATATGGGCCTGGAGTGGAGATACGGACCTGGAGTGGAGATCTGGGCCTGTTGTGTAGATCTAGGCCTGGAGGTAGAGATCTGGGCCTGGAGGCTCAGTCTCTGCACAGCCGAGATCCTTGTTCCTGGGGGCAGGTAGGCAGCGAGGGTGAGTTTACCTTCAGCCCAGCAAGGGCCTGGCTGCCAAGACGCACAGCCCAGTGGGGGCAGCAGGGTGCCCTGGTTTGCCTGCAGAGGGATGGTCCATCATGATCTTTCTTTCTAGGGTTGTTCTTGGTCCAGAGGGCCGGTCCACACATGGGTGAGTCCTTCCCCAAACCTTAGGGTGTCATCTCCCCACATAAGAGGATTTTCCTGAAATGGGAGGGAAGTCCTGTCGGGGAGTCTCTCATACACTAGGAAGAGGGGACCCTCGGATGCTCGGCCCACATTTCTGACCTTGCCTTCCCCGGCCTTTCATTCCCTTTCCTGAGTCAAGCTCTGTGAAGACTGGGGTGAGACTAGGGTGCTCCAAGATGGGTGTGCAGGGAGGAAGTGGTGTCAGCAGCAGAGAAAGAGAGGGAAGCAGTGCTAGGAACAGCAGGTCCTCTGAGGACAAAGGTGTAACTCACACCCTCCAGCGTTTCCGTGATGGTAGGGGCTGCAGTGTGGCTGCGGTCTTTCTACCAGAAAAGGTGAGGAAACCACAGCCATGGCCCTGACATTCCAAATCCTCTGATGGGGGCTCAGTTCATCAATTGGCTGATATTCCATTCACATAGGACTTGCCCTCCATGCCGTGTCTACTTTGTGTTGTTTTATATGAGTAATTTTGCAGTATTAAAATCTAGTAAGAGTTGCTTCTCCAGCAACTTGCTCAAAGTTCTCAGCTGACACTTGTTGTAGGGAGACGCCAAGTCTATGCAGGATGGGTCCTTCCTGTAGCCCTGGGCACCCAGGTGTGGTAGGAGCCTTAGAAAGTGGAAATGGGGAGAATCTTCTGGGCACTGGGAGTGAGGGGCGGCTCCACATCCTCCTCTCTAAGGCAGTGCCTCCTTCTCCCCCAGGTGGTCAGGACAAACCCTTCCTGTCTGCCTGGCCCAGCGCTGTGGTGCCTCGAGGAGGACACGTGACTCTTCGGTGTCACTATCGTCATAGGTTTAACAATTTCATGCTATACAAAGAAGACAGAATCCACATTCCCATCTTCCATGGCAGAATATTCCAGGAGAGCTTCAACATGAGCCCTGTGACCACAGCACATGCAGGGAACTACACATGTCGGGGTTCACACCCACACTCCCCCACTGGGTGGTCGGCACCCAGCAACCCCGTGGTGATCATGGTCACAGGTCAGAGGCTTTCCGTCTGGGCTTCTCACTGTCCCACCTCCTGAATCCCAGAGCTTCTGGTGGGGGTGTCCGTCAGGGTCCCATCACCCAGGCCCTGACTGTATTTGGGGTCAAGGGAGATTGAATACAGGGGAAATGGGTGCTGTGGTGGGAAGAATCACTGTCCCCAATGATGGCTACATTGTAATCCCTGGAGCCTGTGACTATTTATGTTACAGGGCAGGGGACTGAAGGGGAAGGTGGAGCTCAGGTTGTTGATGAGTTGACCTTGAGATGGGGAGACAGCCTGGACTGTCCCACTGGGCTCAGTGTAATCACAAGGGTCCACATGAGAGGTGGAGGAAGAGGGGAGTGGGGATTAGAGCAGTGTAGTGGGAGGGAGACGCTATCAGCCACTGCGGGCTTTGAAGGTGGAGGAAGACCACTAGTCACAGAATGCAGGTGGCCTCTAAGGGCTGGAGAAGTCAAGAGAACTGATTCGCTGATTCTCCAGAGGGAACGCAGCCCTGTAGACACCTTGATTTCAGCACAGGGAGAACTGGATCCAATTTCTGTCTCCAGAAGTGGAAGGGGTCAGTGTGTTCTCTCCCGCTGCCATGTTTGTGGTAATTTTCTGCAGCAGCAACAGGAAACCAACACAGGAACCCAGGTCAAGGACAAGTTAGGAAACCAAACAAGGATAGCCAGATGTGGTGGTGGGCACGAGTAATCCAACGACTGGGGAGGCTGAGGCAAGAGAATCACTTGAACTGGGGATTTGTTCAAAAGAGATTGATTCAGGCTGCTAAGAGCCTGGACATGCAGCCTGTCCTCTTCCACCCCCACATAGACAGCAGGAAAGAGATTAGTGGGAAACAGATACAACAGCCCAAGAGATGAGGCTGTCTTCACAGTGGCAAGGGAGTCAGGGGCTACTGGAGACAGAGGGACAGAGAAGAGGGAGGAAGACAGATGGAGGCACCTGCACCAGGGGATATGGGCACAGAAAAGACACGGAGATGCAGAGAGGGAGGAGAGAGACAGACACGGGGAGGGGAACCCTCACTCATTCCAGGTGCCATGGATGGGATGATAAAGAGAGATGCCTTCTAAACTCACAACTTCTCTTTCTAGGAAACCACAGAAAACCTTCCCTCCTGGCCCACCCAGGTCCCCTGGTGAAATCAGGAGAGAGAGTCATCCTGCAATGTTGGTCAGATATCATGTTTGAGCACTTCTTTCTGCACAAAGAGGGGATCTCTAAGGACCCCTCACGCCTCGTTGGACAGATCCATGATGGGGTCTCCAAGGCCAATTTCTCCATCGGTCCCATGATGCTTGCCCTTGCAGGGACCTACAGATGCTACGGTTCTGTTACTCACACCCCCTATCAGTTGTCAGCTCCCAGTGATCCCCTGGACATCGTGGTCACAGGTGAGAGTGTCTAGACATTGTTCTCATTGTCACTGGGACACAGAGTGAATGATCCAGGACTTGGAACCCCCAGGTGGTCATGAGGAAGATAAGTGTGGGATTCTTATGGAAAGAGAGTGACTTGGTGAGGTCTGTACCAACAGAGACAGAGAAACAGGAGACATAAGTACAGAACAGGTGTCATAACAGAGGACAGACACAGGGGCCATACAGGGAGGTAGAAAAGAGAGAAAGAGGTAAAGGAGACACTCAGACAGACAGACATGTCCCAGAGAGAGGTGTCCTTCCATGCTGACTTTGCTCAGAGACCTGGCACAGGTTAGAAGTTTCATTTCTGTTTTACCTCCACAAAGTGTTCCTACCAGAAGAACCCAAGGACACCCATATTTCTGACCTGAGTTGGGCCCTGTGGCCTCAGGCCTTGTGCCACCTACAGATGCCGTGTTTATTCTGACACCTCTGCCTTCCATGCAATGGAGAGTAATCATCCCAGGATATCATGGCCCCTGAACACCAACCCCTGTATGCTGTGTGAACTTGGGGTCCCCAGACTGGATTCTGAGGCTCATATTCCAAATAATCCCACATATGATAGGATCGCTGAGAGACACAGAGAAAAATCAGGGACACCAAAAAGCAAAGACATAAACACACACAAAATGAGCCAGAAGAAGGAGATTAAGAGATTCACAGACACATAAAAAGAAAGAAAAGAGGGCAGAATGGAGAGAATGATGGAAAGGAGGAGAGAAAAGCCCCAAAATCAGAACCCTGAGGGAGGGACACAAAGACAGAGAAAGATAAATATGTGGGGATGGATTGCAGAGATTCCAAATAGAACTAGAGAGACTGAGAGGCAGAGAAAGACAAGGAGACGGAGAGAGAGAGATGATAGATGGATAGATAGACGTAGATAGATGATAAATAGGTAGATGATAGATAATGGATTGGTTATAGATACATAGATGATGACTGATAGATGATACATAGAGATGACGATGATGATGATAGACACATAGATATATACATAGATGATACATAAATAGAGACAGAGAGGCAGACAGAGAGGTAATAGAGAGAGAGATAGATGATACATATATAGATAATAGATGATTGATGGATAGATAGACAGACAGACAATTGATAGAGAGATAGATAAGTGATACATAAATATAGATGATAGATAATTTGTAGATAGACACAAAATAGATAAATAGATAGAAATGTGCAGAAAGTTATGAACAAGACAGAAAGTGAGAGACTCAAAATTAAAGAAAAAGGAAGATCAAGTCAACCAATCCAAGGAGGGTCAGAGAGAATAAAACAATCCAAAAAGGGAAAACATACCTCAGGGTGGGGAAGTGAGGTCATAGACCTAGAGAGACAGAAAAGGTAGAAGGAGGAAACAGATATGAAGAGAGATGGGGTGGAGGGTGAGAGAGAGAGAGAGAGCATTAGGTCATAGAGCAGGGGAGTGAGTTCTCAGCTCAGGTATGAGGGGAGCTATGACAAGGAAGAACCTCCCTGAGGAAACTGCCTCTTCTCCTTCCAGGTCCATATGAGAAACCTTCTCTCTCAGCCCAGCCGGGCCCCAAGGTTCAGGCAGGAGAGAGCGTGACCTTGTCCTGTAGCTCCCGGAGCTCCTATGACATGTACCATCTATCCAGGGAGGGGGGAGCCCATGAACGTAGGCTCCCTGCAGTGCGCAAGGTCAACAGAACATTCCAGGCAGATTTCCCTCTGGGCCCTGCCACCCACGGAGGGACCTACAGATGCTTCGGCTCTTTCCGTCACTCTCCCTACGAGTGGTCAGACCCGAGTGACCCACTGCTTGTTTCTGTCACAGGTGAGAAAAGCCCATATCTCTCTCATGTCCTATGATCCTAAATCCTTAGCTAAGGAGCTTCCTGCTGATGATGGAGAAAAGCATGGACAGATGCAGAGAGAAGACACAGCAGGTGTGAGGGCGGAGTCAGGGCGCAGGATGGCAGACAGGGCACCTCCAAACCCTCCTTCATGGCCTGCATGGAGGCCTCCGATCAGGGCTCCAGGCACCCAGGCAGATGGAGAAAGCGGTCAGGACAGACCCAGAGAAGGGGAGACTGGGCTTAGTTTGGGGAGATCAGAGGTTCCCTCAGCCCCTCAATCTTATCCATTTCCCAGAAGCCCATCATGGCCTCTCACCCACACAGAGAGATATCATCACCAGCAACCCCTACACCCTTTTCTTTTCATTTTCAAAAATATTTATTGAGGTTAAATGTAACTATATAATTTACCACCTTTACCATTTTTAAAAGTAAAATCTAGTGGTCATAAATACCTTTATATGCTGGGTGTGGTGGTTCACGGTTGTAATCTCGGCGCTTTGAGAGGCCAAGGAAGGTGGATCATTTAAGATCAGGAACTCGAGATCACCCTGGCCAACATGTGGGAAATTCATCTTTACTAAACAGACAAGAAAAATTAGCCGAGCATGCTGGCATGCACCTGTAGTCCTAGCTACTTGGGAGGCTGAGGCAGGAGAAGCACTTAAACCCAGGAGGCAGAGGTTGCACTGAGCCGAGATCATGCCACTGCACTGCAGCCTGGGAGACAGAGAGAGACTCTGTTTCTAAATAAATAAATACATCTATATTCTTTTTTTTGTTACCCTCCACCCTTCCCTTCCTGGCCTCTGGTGTCCACCATTGTATTCTCCACCTTCATGAGATCCACCTTTTATCTCCTGCATGTGGGTGAGAAATGGGAATCTTTGTAATGACCTCCAGTTCCATCCATGTGGCTGCAAATGACAGGATGTTATTGTTTCTATGGATGAGTAGTCTCCACTGTGTGTGTGTACCACAGTTCTCTATCCATTCACCCACTGATGGGCAGGTAGGTTGACTCCACATCTTGGCTACTGTGAACAGTGCTGGAACAGTCATATGAGTGCAGATATCACTTCGATACACTGATGTCCTTTCCTTTGGATATAAACCCAGTAGTGAAATTGCTGGACACTATGAAAGTTCTCTTTTTTTTTTTTTCTTTTTTGAGAAAGAGTTTCCCTCCTTAGTCCAAGCTGGAGTCTAAGTGGTGAGATCTTGGCTCATTGCAACCTGTGCCTCCTAGGTTCAAATGATTGTCCTGACTCAGCCTCCCTAGTAGCTGTGATTACAGGTGCACGCCACCATGCCTGGCTAATTTTTGTATTTTTTTAGCACAGACGGGATATCCCAATTTTGGGCAGGCTGCTCTCAAACTCCTGACCTCAAGTGAGGTGCCTGCCTCGGTTTCCCAAAGTGCTGAAGTTACAGGCATAAGCCACTATGCCCAGCCTCCTTTTAGTTTTTTAAAGAATTTCCATACTTTTCTCCATAATAGTTGTACTAATTTACATTCCTACCAACAGGGTACCAGGGTTCTCCTTTCTCTACCATCTTGCCAGCATTTGTTTTGCCTGTCTTGCAGTAAAAGCCATTTTACTTTACTTTATTTTATTTATTTATTTATGTTGAGATGGAGTTTCACTCATAGTCTCCCAGGCTGGAGTGCAAGGGTGTGATCTCAGCTCACTGCAACCTCCGCCTCCCGCGTTCAACTGATTCTCCTGCCTCAGCCTCCAAAGTAGCTGGGATTACAGGCATGTGCCACCACGCCTAGCTAATTTTTGTATGTTTAGTAGAGAGGGAGTTTCTCCATGATGGTCAGGCTGGTCTCCCGACCTCAGGTGATCCGCCCACCTCCGCCTCCTGAAGTGCCGGAATTACAGGCGTGAGCCACCGGCCTAAAAGGCATTTTAATGGGATGAGATGAAAACTCATCGCGATTGTAATTTACATTTCTCTGATGATGAGTGATGCCGAGTACTTTTTCATATACGTGATCGCCATTTCTATGTTTTGTTTGTGGAGAAATGTCTCCTCATGTCTTTTGCTCGTTTTTTAATTAAATTGTTTTATTGAGTTGTTTGAGCTTCTTATATTTCCAGTTATTAATCCCGTCTCAGATGAATAGTTTGCAAATATTTGCTCCTATTTTGTCGGTTGTCTCTTCACTTTCTTGGTTTATCTTTTGTGGTGCAGAAGTTGCTTGGTTTGATGTAATCCTAATGGTCTATTTTTTGCTTTGATTACTTGTGTTTTGAAGGTTTTAAACAAAATGTCTTTCGTCAGACAAATGTCTTCCCCATTATTTTCTTCTACATGTTTCATAGGTTCAGGCCTTAGACTCATGTTTTTAATCCATTTTCATTTGATTTTTGTGTATGGTGACAGGTATAGATGCAGTTTTATTCCTCTGCATGTAGATATCCAGTTTTCCCCACACCATTTATTGAAAAGACTGTCCTTTCCTGATTGTAAGTTCTCGGCACCTTTGTCAAAGTCCATTAAATGGGCTGGGTATGGTGGCTCACACCTGCAATTCCAGCACTTTGGGAGGCCGAGGCGGGTGGATCACCTGAAGCCAGGAGTTCAAGACCAGGCTGGCCAACAGAGTGAAACCTCGTCTCTACTAAAAATACAAAAATTAGCTGAGCATGGTGACCAGTGCCTGTAATACCACTACTCGGGTGTTTGAGGCAAGAGAATTGCTTGAATCCAGGAAGTGGAGGTTGCATTGAGCTGAGATTGCACCTCTGCACTCCAGCCTGCATGACAGAGCAAGATTCTATCACACACACACACAAAAAAAGCCATTGGATGTAAATGCATGGATTATATCTGTGTTCTCCATTCTGTTTCATTTTTTATGTGCCTTTCTTTATGCCAATGTCATGCTGTTTTGCTTACTACAGCTCTGTAACATATTTCTAAGTCAGGTAGTGTGATGCTCCTGTTTTCTCTTTATACCTTCAAGTCTCAAGACAGTGGGCATCGCACACAAAAATTATGGAGAAGAGGATCCCAAGACTCCCAGGGTCCAACATTAGATAACAGAGTGTTGGCCATGAACCAACCTCAAAGATTTCCATTGAGTAGAGGACAAGCACCCTCATTTCCTCACATCTCTCCTGTCCCATGTTCTAGGAAACCCTTCAAGTAGTTGGCCTTCACCCACAGAACCAAGCTCCAAATCTGGTGAGTAAAGGACCCCTCTTATCTCTGCTTTTGGAAACCTGGGGAGGTGGAAGCCTTGGATGCAAGTGTTGGCTCAAACCTCCCAGCTCTGTGAATGAGGGCCTGTCTTCCACCATCTCTGAACTCCAGACACTCCAACAGTGAAAGGGATCTAGGGCCACCAAAGGGCTCAGCGAAGTCTCTTAACCTTTAATGTCCTGCAGGTGAGACCTCCTACAAGCTAGAAGAATGATTGCCAATCTGACATCCTTCTCAGGAAACATGCAGTGTTTTTTCTTCCTGCATTCCTAACTGGAGGATAAATTCCTGGGGACTTGAGAGAGGGAAGGGAAGGGAACATCTGATGAGGGCGAGGTGTTTTAGAGAAGTTCCACTTGCCAAGGAATGAATTACTGTTGGTCATGAAGCAACCCTGGCTGACTCAGCAGAGCAAGAGCCTTGCCGTAACAGAGAACAGAGCTCATGCACGCACACTTCGACTCACTGACTCATTCAGCCACGGCCCCATGCTCAGGCTGTGCAGTTGGAATCCTTTCCTATTGTTGCCATAACAAATTTCCACAAGATTCGTGGGTGAAAACAAAACGGTTTTTTAATTATCTTACAGTGCTGTAGCTCAAAGTAGGAAGTGCATCTTACTGGGCTAAAATCAAGGTGACAGCAAGGCTGCCTTCCCTCTGAGGATTCCAGGCAAGAATCTGCTTCTCACTTGTCCCAGCTTCTAAAGGCTCCCAGTTCCTTGGCTCCTGGTCCCCTTCCTCCTTCCTCAAAGCCCACAAAGACTGGTCACATCTCACATGGCATCACTCAGACCCTTCTTCCTTACCACACCTCTTTCTCTGAATGCTGCTCTCCCTTCTTCCTTATCTTTTGAAAACTTGGGGATTCTATTGGGTTCACCAAGATGAAAATCCATCATAATCTCCCGGAAATCATTCAGGATACCCTTGTTTTAAGTTCAGCTGACTAGCAACCGTAATTCCATCTGCAATCTTCATTCCTTCTTTCCATGTAAAATAAGATATTCACAAGCTATGGAGGCCAGGACAGGGACATTTTGGGGTGGGACAGCATTCTCCTGCCTTCCACGAACGGTGAACAAGATGCATTTGGCCTCTGCTCTTGGGACACTGATATTGCAGATGGTTAAATGGGAGGACAGAAAATGAGTGCACAAGTGGACCAATAAATGAATGATCCATTGGGAAGCATCTGTGCATGAAATCTATTTGTTTGTTCGTTCATTTATTTATTGAGACAGAGTCTCCCTCTGTCTTCCAGGCTACAGTGCAGTGTCACGATCTTGGCTCACTGCAACCTGCGTCTCCTGGATCCAAGTGATTCTCCTGCCTCACCCTCTCGAGTAGCTGGGATTACAGGCAACTGCCACCATGCCCGGCTAATTCTTTTTGTATATTTTTTGTAGAGAGGATGTTTCACCATGTTGGCCAAGCTTGTCTGAAACTCCCAACCTCAAGTGATCCGACCATCTCAGCAACCCAAAGTACTGGGATTACAGGCGTGAGCCACTTTGCCCAGCCAGAATTCAAAATAAATAATAGATAATGCTGAGTGTATAATTTTGGGTGACAGAGAAGGTCTCACTAATCAGATATTTGTGACATTAATGAAAAACACGGATTGAACCCCTGAAAGATTGGCGGAAGGATTTTCCACACACAGCTGTCAGCCGTGAAGGCAGAAAGCTGAAAACAATCTGATGTGGAAGGAAGAGGCTCTGCCTGAAATGCTGGGAATGAGGTGGGGAGAATGACAAGACGACTGTGGAGAGACGGAGAGCACACTGGGTACACAGGAAACTAAGGAGCAACAAGGAGTGTGTGTTTGACACTCACAGCCATTGGATTCACCTCGGGGTAGCCAGGAATCCCTACATGATTAATAGTGACTGACATGAAAATAAGGGAGGCCCAGGTGCGTAACTGGAATCTAGGAGACAGTGGAAAAGGCAATTGCCGCCCCACTGGTGAAATGTGGTGCTGATTTAGACCCTAAGTGGATGAAGCAGATGGATATAAGCTATGTTTGGGAGGTAGAATCATTTGCAGGGAGGGCTTGCTGGGTTTGAGTTTCCTAGTTGTTTAATCCTTGCTAAATTAATTTCTTTCTGAGATTTATTCCTCCTACACATAAATCAATACCTGGCAAAGGAGTGACAGATATATGAGGGGTGGTGGAAATGAAGGGACCTATTATAGCATAGTATACAAGTCTGTGAACGGTGGCTCACTCCTGTAACCCAGCACTGCAGGAGGCTAAGGCCAGTGGATTCCAAGAAGTCAGGAGTTCGAGACCAGCCTGGCCAACATGGAGAAACCCTATCTCTACATGGTGAAACCCTATCTCTCCTAAAAATACAAAAATTAGCCGAGCATGGTGGTGCATCCCTGTAATCCCAGCTCCTGCTCTGGAGGATGAAGCAGGAGAATGACTTCAACCCAGGAGGTGGAGGTTGCAGTGAGTGGAGATCGCATCACTGCACTCCAGCCTGGGTGACACAAGGAGACTCCATCTCAAAAAATAAAAATAAGAAATGCATAAATATAATAAAACACACACGAATGACAAAGGCACCTGAATTCCCATCATCATTTTTCTATTTCTCTATAATTACTTCTTTGATCCTTTATCTTATCCATTAGGCAATCAGCCTAAAACCTCTTCCGTATTTGGCTTTCTGTGAGCATGAGATCATATAGAAAATGTGAAAGCCCGCTGAATCCTCCAGCACAAATCCTGGAATAGAGAAAGTGCTCTGGTCATCACAAAAAAAACTTGCCCCCTCA
Organism: Homo sapiens; assembly: GCF_000001405.40. NCBI lineage: Eukaryota > Metazoa > Chordata > Mammalia > Primates > Hominidae > Homo > Homo sapiens. The sequence continues at coordinate 54,827,886 of NC_000019.10, forward strand.
CCCAAATCCCCCATCTCACCCCTACTTCCAATCACCTGTGGAAATACAGATAGATCATGGGGAGGTAAATGCTAATACTCCTTGGAGTGAGTCCAGATCTTGGAATCAGAGATCAGTGCCAGCACTAGCTCCTGCTCCCCTTTCCTACTAATTCACAGGAGGACAGGTGGTATTGAAGCAATAGATAGTCGAGGGGGTGGTCCTTCCCCCAGCCTCTGAGGTAGAACAGCAGCCTAACATGTGTCTCCCGAGATCACAAAGAGTAGCACATTTCACACGGGCTTCAACACTATTTTCTGGCTGTTTGACATAAGAGAATTCTACTTCGCTTTTTTTATATTGATTTCACTTTTGTTTCCTTTTCTTGGAGAATGCAAGTTGTTTAACTCAAGAATGCCGTGGATGTAGAAATCCTAAAGCACATTCGCTGTGTATCAATCCCAGTCCAGTCTTCCCAGAGAAGACTCTAAACACCTCCTGGACTGCACCTGGGCCTATGCCAATTCCTATCACTCACCGTCACTCCAGGGAGACAGAACACACAGAGAATACGTTACATAGGCAGGTTCATTACTAACAGATAAGCAGCGAGTGACAACAGAAGCCTACATTTCAATGTGAGCCAGTTCCCCAAGGCTCAGAAAAGCTGCTCGAGACATGTGGAGTCACCCCATTTGCAGTGTAGCTGGGGGAAGCCAGAAAGCAGCCCAGCCTGGGTTTTGTACCCTGGAGCCACAGGAAGCACTCAGCTAAAGCACTGCATGACGTCCTCCTCCAGGAAGAACAGGAAGACAGCCCAGGCTGTTCTGGGACAATCCTCCTGATCTCAGGACTTTGCTGTCTTAGTCCATTTTTGTTGCTCTAAAGGAACACTTGAGCCTGGGTAACTTCTAAAGAAGAGATTGGTTTGCCTCACCGTTCTGCAGGCTGTACTGGAAGCATGGCACCAGCATCTATTTCTTATGATGGCCTCAGGCCGCTCCCACTCTGGCAGAAGGGAAGGAGGGTCTGTCTGTGCAGAGACCACAGAGATCACACGGCAAGAGAGGGAGCAAGGGGGAGGGGGAGCAATGGAGCTTCCAAGCTCTTTTTAACAACCAGCTCTCCAGGAACTAATAGAGAGGGAACTTGCTAACCCCGTCTCCTTGGGACAGCATTGATCTGTTCATGATGGATCCACCTCCATGACCCAAACACCTCCCAAGAGGCCCAACCTCCCACACTGGGGGTTAAATTTCAATGTGAGGTTTGAAGGGGTCAAACATCTCAACTAAAGTAGTTGTATCCTCAGCACGTTCCATGGTTACTATGAGAGCTATAACTGAGAAAGCAGGAGGAAGCTAGATCTCCCGCCATCTGGGTGCTTGTCCGAAAGAGATGCTGTAAGTGGTTACCTGTCAATCAAGAAATGCAAGACAATTCATATAGAGAAACTGCTATGATTAGCTTCTTACTGGTGTCTCCTCTTCTTCCAGGTAACCCCAGACACCTGCACATTCTGATTGGGACCTCAGTGGTCATCATCCTCTTCATCCTCCTCCTCTTCTTTCTCCTTCATCTCTGGTGCTCCAACAAAAAAAGTAAGTCTCACGGGGCACAGGCCAGAGAGCTCAGGGCCATGTGGGGAAGCAGGATGGGAGCACACAGCTGTGTGTTCCTCACTGGCAGGATGGTCCCTGGCCCAAGACAGGAGCCACAGAGGCAGGACTTTCTAGAGAGAGCACCAGACTCCCTGCCCCTGCCTTCAGCTCACAGACCGTTGCCTGATTCTGAACTGTATCCTCATGTCCCCTGCAGCCACTCACATCCAGGAGAAGGTTCCATGACAGGCAGAAAGTGGGAGACAGAATCAATGGGATGGGAACTCAGAGCTATTCATGGGATGGGTCCTTGAGCTCAGAGAGATAGAATGTCTGAGTCTGCTGTTGGCAACTGAGGGACCTCAGGCACCTATGGCCTCCCCCTGTTTGTTGGTATCTGCTTATGAAATGAGGACCCAGAAGTGCCCTCCGAGCTCTTTTGTTGACTTCCGTCTCCTACAGATGCTGCTGTAATGGACCAAGAGCCTGCAGGGAACAGAACAGCCAACAGCGAGGTAGGTGCTCCTCGGCCCAGCCTCGTGGCTAGTGTTATTCCCAAACAGTCCTGGAAAACGTGAGCACCCTCCCTCACTCAGCATTTCCCTCCCTCACTCAGCATTTCCCTCTCTCCAGGACTCTGATGAACAAGACCCTGAGGAGGTGACATACGCACAGTTGGATCACTGCGTTTTCACACAGAGAAAAATCACTCGCCCTTCTCAGAGGCCCAAGACACCCCCTACAGATACCATCTTGTACACGGAACTTCCAAATGCTAAGCCCAGATCCAAAGTTGTCTCCTGCCCATGAGCACCACAGTCAGGCCTTGAGGACGTCTTCTAGGGAGACAACAGCCCTGTCTCAAAACCGAGTTGCCAGCTCCCATGTACCAGCAGCTGGAATCTGAAGGCGTGAGTCTTCATCTTAGGGCATCGCTCCTCCTCACGCCACAAATCTGGTGCCTCTCTCTTGCTTACAAATGTCTAGGTCCCCACTGCCTGCTGGAAAGAAAACACACTCCTTTGCTTAGCCCACAGTTCTCCATTTCACTTGACCCCTGCCCACCTCTCCAACCTAACTGGCTTACTTCCTAGTCTACTTGAGGCTGCAATCACACTGAGGAACTCACAATTCCAAACATACAAGAGGCTCCCTCTTGACGTGGCACTTACCCACGTGCTGTTCCACCTTCCCTCATGCTGTTTCACCTTTCTTCGGACTATTTTCCAGCCTTCTGTCAGCAGTGAAACTTATAAAATTTTTTGTGATTTCAATGTAGCTGTCTCCTCTTCAAATAAACATGTCTGCCCTCATTGCTTCAGGTAATGTGACACTGTATTCGCTGAAAGAAACCGCTGTTATCATTACCATGTCCACATAACCCCATCTGTTCTCCGCTGGGTTCTCACCCCTGGACTCTGAGCTTCTGGAAGCAGGGTGGAGCCTCATTTGTCTCTGGGACTCCAATTTCCATCCAAAGATGCAGCACATAGGAGGTTCCAAGGATCGTGAATCACATGAACAAGTGATATTCTTACTCTCTGCAACCTGGAAAGCTGGCAGAGTCATTCCACGATGAAACATTTGTAGAGTCATAAGCCTTGCTAGTCTCATCTCCACGGGGACACATATCAACACATCATATTTCATACTATAAATATACAGTCGCTCCTCCATATCTGTGGGGTTTACAGGTGTTTATTGAACCAAGTGTAAATCAAAAATATTCAGAGAAAATGTCCACAAAGTTTCAAAATGCAAAACTATGTTGAATGGACACAAATGAGGCAGTGTGTAGGCTGTATCAGGAATTATAAGTAATCAAGAGATGATTTCATGTATACAGGAGGATGTGCATGGGTTATATCCAAATGCTGTGTCATTTTATGTAAGAGGCTTGAGCATCTGCAGATTTTGGTACCTGAGTGGAGATCCTGAAACCAATCACCCACGAATAGTAAAGGATGACCGTATATGACTTTTATTTCTCAATTTTAAATATAAATCATAAAAAATGTACAATAACTAGATAAAAAGTAAGAAGTGTTTTTATAGTGTGAGAATAAGTTTAGATTTATTTTTTCCTACGTGTAACCCTTTGGTTTAATATTATTTATTAAGAAGACATTCTATGCCACCTTAAACCACACGGCAGCCTTTGTCAACTCTAAAGGGACTGTGTGTACACGGATGTATTTTAGACACTGTTTCTGCTAAGGGGCTCTCTGTGTCCACACTCTTGAGGATGCTGCACTTCATGTAGCCTTATAAAACCCTTTAAATTTAGTAGCCAGAGCCCTCTAATTTGTTATTATAGGCTACTTGCTATTTTTTTTTCTTGAGGCGGAGTCTTGCTCTGTCGCCCAGGCGGGACTGTAGTGGAGCAATCTCAGCTCACTGCAACTTCCGCCTCCCAGGTTCAGGCGATTCTCGTGCCTCAGTCTCTTGAGTAGCTGGCGTTTCAGGTGCCTGCCACCAGGCATGGCTAATTTTTGAATTTTTAGCAGAGACGCGGTTTCACTGTGTTGGCCAGGCTGCTCTCAATCTCCTCATCTCAGTTGATCCGCCCACCTCGGCTTCCCGACCTGCTGGGGGAAACTTGATTTTCTATAGCATTATGTTACTGGATATTTCTGTAAAATTTAAAATGAGGGAGGCAGAGAGACAGAGAGAGAGCAAACTCCAGAGTTGGGACTCTGGAATCTTGAGTCATGAGACAAATTATAGATAAAACTACAAAAATCCAGAATTTACATGTGTGGTTTTTGCTGATAAAGTACAATTCTAAGATTGTAAATAATTGCATAATCCTTCCCTGGGAATTTAAATCATTTGAACTGGTTCTGCTGTAATACTAGAAATACAAGCATGAACAATTCTAATGGTTTATTAGTCACAATGACTCTGAAAACACTAATAATACCTATTAGATATTTTGCATATTACACAGGAAGAAGAGTTCGAATCTCAGATAAAAACAATAAAAATTCATGAAAAGTCTTTCATGTTAGCACAGATTTTAGGCATCTCATGTTTGGGAGGTTGGATCTAAGACATGTTTTGAGTTGGTCATAGTGAAGGACGCGAGGTGTCAATTCTAGTGAGAGCAATTTCCAGGAAGCCATGTTCTGCTCTTGAGCGAGCACCCACTGGGCCTCATGCAAGGTAGAAAAAGCCTGCGTACGTCACCCTCCCATGATGTGGTCAACATGTAAACTGCATGGGCAGGGCGCCAAATAACATCCTGTGCGCTGCTGAGCTGAGCTGGGGCGCGGCCGCCTGTCTGCACCGGCAGCACCATGTCGCTCATGGTCATCATCATGGCGTGTGTTGGTGAGTCCTGGAAGGGAATAGAGGGAGGGAGCGTGGGGATGGAGATCTGGGCCCAGAGGTGGAGATATGGGCCTGGAGGTGGAGTTATGGGCCTGGAGTGGAGATCTGGGCCTAGAGATGGAGTGATGAGCCTAGAAGTGGAGATCTGCGCCTGGAGTGGAGATCTGGGCCTGGAGTGAAGATCTGGGCCTGGAGTGGAGATATGGGCCTGGAGTGGGGATAGGAACCTGGAGTGGAGAGAGGAACCTGGAGGAGAGATAGGAACCTGGAGGGGAGGTAGGAGCCTAGGGTGGAGATATGGGACTGGAGTGGAGATATGGGACTGGAGTGGAGATATGGGCCTGGAGTGGAGTTATGGGCCTGGAGTGAAGTTATGGGCCTGGAGGTGGAGATACGGGCCTGGAGTGGAGATATGAGCCTGGAGTGGAGATATGGTCCTGGAGTGGAGATATGGGCCTGGAGTGGAGATATGGGTCTGCAGTGGAGTTATGGGCCTGGAGTGAAGTTATGGGCCTGGAGGTGGAGATATGGGCCTGGAGTGGAGATATGGGACTAGAGTGGAGATAGGGGCCTGGAGGTGGAGATCTGGGCCTGGAGTGGAGATCTGGGCCTGGAGTGGAGATCTGGGCCTGGAGTGGAGATATGGGCCTGGAGTGGAGATATGGGTCTGCAGTGGAGATATGGGCCTGGAGGTGGAGATATGGGCCTGGAGTGGAGTTATGGGCCTGGAGTGAAGTTATGGGCCTGGAGGTGGAGATATGGGCCTGGAGTGGAGATATGGGACTAGAGTGGAGATAGGGGCCTGGAGGTGGAGATCTGGGCCTGGAGTGGAGATATGGCCCTGGAGTGGAGATATGGGCCTGGAGTGGAGATATGAGCCTGGAGTGGAGATATGGCCCTGGAGTGGAGATATGGGCCTGGAGGTGGAGATATGGGCCTGGAGTGGAGTTATGGGCCTGGAGTGAAGTTATGGGCCTGGAGGTGGAGATATGGGCCTGGAGTGGAGATATGGGACTAGAGTGGAGATACGGGCCTGGAGGTGGAGATCTGGGCCTGGAGTGGAGATATGGCCCTGGAGTGGAGATATGGGCCTGGAGTGGAGATATGAGCCTGGAGTGGAGATATGGCCCTGGAGTGGAGATATGGGCCTGGAGTGGAGATATGAGCCTGGAGTGGAGATATGGCCCTGGAGTGGAGATATGGGCCTGGAGTGGAGATATGGGCCTGGAGTGGACATATGGGTCTGGAGTGGAGATACGGGCCTGGAGGTGGAGATATGGGCCTGGAGTGGAGATATGGGCCTGGAGGTGGTGATATGGGCCTGGAGTGTAGACATGGGCCGAGTGGAGATATGGGTCTGGAGTGGAGATATGGGCCTGGAGTGGAGATATGGGACTGGAGTGGAGATATAGGCATGGGGTGGAGACATGGGCCGGGAGTGGAGATATGGGACTGGAGTGGAGATACGGGCGTGGGGTGGAGATATGTGCCTGGAGGTGGAGATATGGGCGTGGGTTGGAGATATGGGCCTGGAGTGGAGATATGGGCGTGGGGTGGAGATATGGATCTGGAGTGGAGACATGGGCATGGGGTGGAGATATGGGCCTGGTGTGTAGATATGGGCCTGGAGTGGAGATATGGCCCTGGAGTGGAGATATGGGCCTGGAGTGGAGATCTGGGCCTACGGTGGAGATATGGGCCTAGGATGGGGATATGGGCCTGGAATGGAGATATGGGCCTGGGTGTGGAGATATGGGACTGGAGTGGAGATATGGGCCTGATGTGGAGATATGGGCTTGGAGTGGAGATATGATCCTGGAGTGTAGTTATGGGCCTGGAGGTGGAGATCTGGGCCTGGGGTGGAGATATGGGCCTGGAGTGGAGATATGGGACTGGAGAGGAGATATGGGACTGGAGTGGAGATATGGGCCTGGAGTGGAGATATGGGCCTGGATTGGAGATATGGGCCGAGGGTGGAGATCTGAGCCTGGATTGGAGATGTGGGCCCGGATTGGCTATATGGGTCTAGGGTGGAAATATCGGCCTGGAGTGGAGATATGGGCCTGGAGTGGAGATATGGGCTTGGGGTGGGGATATGGGCCTGGAGGCTGGGTCTCTGCACAGCCGAGAGCACTGTTCTTGGGTGCAGGTAGGCTCTGATGGTGAGTTTCCCTTCGGCCCAGGAAGGGGCTGGCTATCAAGACTCACAGCCCAGTGGGGGCAGCAAGGAAGGCCTTGTTTGCCTGCAAATGGATCTTCCATCATGATCTTTCTTTCCAGGGTTCTTCTTGCTGCAGGGGGCCTGGCCACAGGAGGGTAAGTCCTTCTCCAAACCTTAGGGTGTCATCTCCCCACATAAGAGGATTTTCCTGAAACGGGAGGGAAGTCCTGTCAGGGAGTCTCTCATAAACTAGGAAGAGGGGACCCTGGGGTGCTCGGCCCACAGTTCCGACCTTGCCTCCCTGGCCTCTCAACCCCTTGGCAGAGTCAAGTTGTGTGGGGACCAGGGTTGGACTAGGGTGTTCAAAGCTGGGTTGTGTGGTGGGGAAGTGGTAGGAACAGCAGATCCTCTGAGGACAAAGGTGTTACTCACACACTTCAGCGTTTCCATGACGGTAGGGGCTGCAGTGTGGCTGCTGTCATTCTACCAGAAGAGGTGGGAAACCACAGCCATGGCCCTGACATTCCAAATCCTCTGATGGGGGCTAAGTTTTTTATTTTCATTCAGGCAACTGCTGATATTCCATTCTCAAAGGACATGCCCTCCACTTCATGTCTACCCTGTGTTGTTTTATGTCAGTAATCTTACAGTATTAAAATCTAGTAGGAGTCTCTTACTCAGCACTTGCTCAAAGTTCTCAGCTGACACTTTTGTTGTACGGAGACACCTTGTCTTTGTGGGATGGGTCCTTCCTTTAGCCCTAGGCACCAAGGTGTGATAGCAGCCATAGAAATGTGGAAAGTGGGGAGAATCTTCTGAGCACAGGGAGGGAGGCACAGCTCCACATCCTCCTCTCTAAGGCGGCGCCTCCTTCACCCCAAGGTGGTCAGGACAAGCCCTTGCTTTCTACCTGGCCCAGCCTTGTGGTGCCTCCAGAACATGTGACTCTTCAGTGTCACTCTAATCTTGGGTTTAACAACTTCAGTCTGTACAAGGATGATGGGGTGCCTGTCCCTGAGCTGTACAACAGAATATTCTGGAAAAGCCTTTTCATGGGCCCTGTGACCACGTCACATGCAGGGACCTATACATGCCGGGGTTCACACACACACTCCCCCAGTGGGTGGTCGGCACCCAGCAACCCCCTGGTGATCGTGGTCACAGGTCAGAGGGCTCCTGTCTGGGATTCTCCTTGTCCCACCTCCTGAATCCCAGAGCTTCTGGTAGGCATGTCCTTGAGGGTCCCATCACGCAGGCCCTAACTGTATTTGGGGTAAAGGGGGATTGAATACAGGGAAATGGGTGCTGTGGTGGGAAGAATAAGTGTCCCCAGTGATGACTGCATTCTAATCCCTGGAGTCTGTGACTATTTATGTTATAGGGGAAGGGACTGAAGGGGAAGATGGAGCTCAGGTTGTTGATGAGTTGACCTTGAGATGGGGAGACAGCCTGGACTGTCCCGGTGGGCTCAGTATAATCACAAGTGTCCACATGAAAGGAGGAGGAAGAGGAGAGTGGGGATTAGAGCAGCGTAGTGGGAGACTCCATCAGCTTTGAAGGTGGATGAAGGCCATAAGCCATGAATGCAGGTGGCCTATAGAGGCTGGGAAAGTCAAGTAACTGATTCTCCTGAGTCTCCAGAGGGAACACAGCCCTGCAGATGCCTTGATTTTAGCCCTCGAAAAACAGGGTCCGCTTTCTGTCTCCAGAATCGGAGGGGGTCAGTGTGCTCTCTCCTGCTGCCATGCTTCTGATAATTTTCTACAGCAGCAACAGGAAACCAACACTGGAACCCAGGTCAAGGACAAGTTAAGAAAAGACACAAGGATAGCCAGGCATGGTGGCAGGTGCATGTAATCCTAGCGACTCGGGAGGCTGAGAGCAGGAGAATCGCTTGAACCCAGGAGACAGAGGTTGCAGTGAGCGTAGACCACACCACTTCACTCCAGCCTGGGTGAAGGAGTGAGACTCTGTCTCCAAAATTAATTAATTAATTAAAGAAACCAAACAAAGAGAAGGTTGGCTACACCGAGATCAGCAAGGGTGGGATGATGATGCCACCACCAGGCTCCATCCACATAGGGAGGGGTTGATACTCCTCAAATCAGCACGAGGAGCCAGCCTATGGAAACTGGCACCATGGAGAAGGCACAGACATGGCAAGAGTGGCTCCCAGTCCCCACCAGGAACAGGGTGTGTGGACACTGGTGCCTGCCTTACTGATCAGTTCATACCTCCTGCCAAGGATTCCAATTCGTCCAAAAGAGATTGAACCAAGCTGCTAAGAGCCGGGACGTGCAGCCTATCCTGCTTCCTCTTCCACTCCCACATAGACAGTAAGAAAGACATTAGTGTGAAATAGATACAACAGCCCAAGAGATGAGGCTGAGCCCAGTGGGAAGGGAATCACAGCTACTAGAGACAGAGGGACAGAGAAGAGGGAGGGAGACAGATGGAAGGACCTGCACCAGGAGTTATGGGCACAGAAAAGAACATGAAGACACAGAGAGGAAGCAGAGAGACAGACACCAGCGAAGGGAAGGCTCACTCATTCCAGGTGCCATGGATGGGATGATAAAGAGAGACACCTTCTAAACTCACAACCTCTCTTCCTAGGAGTCCACAGAAAACCTTCCTTCCTGGCCCTCCCAGGTCACCTGGTGAAATCAGAAGAGACAGTCATCCTGCAATGTTGGTCGGATGTCATGTTTGAGCACTTCCTTCTGCACAGAGAGGGGAAGTTTAACAACACTTTGCACCTCATTGGAGAGCACCATGATGGGGTTTCCAAGGCCAACTTCTCCATTGGTCCCATGATGCCTGTCCTTGCAGGAACCTACAGATGCTACGGTTCTGTTCCTCACTCCCCCTATCAGTTGTCAGCTCCCAGTGACCCTCTGGACATGGTGATCATAGGTGAGAGTGTCCAGACATTCTTCTCATTGTCATTGGGATGCAGAGTGAATGATCCAGGACTTGGAGACCCAGGTGGTTGTAAGGAAGATGAGCTTGGTATTCTTATGGAGAGAGACTGACTTGGTGAGGTCTGTGCCAACAGAGACAGAGAAACAAGAGACACAAGTACAGACCAGGTGTCATAACAGAGGACAAACACAGGGGCCATACAGGGAGTTAGAAAAGACAGAAAGAGTTAAAGGAGACAGACAGACATGTCCCAGACAGAGGTGTCCTTCCATGCTGACTTTGCTCAGAGACCTGGCACAGGTTAGAAGTTTCATTTCTGTTTTACCTCCACAAAGTGTTCTCTACCAGGAGAACCCAAGGACACCCATATTTCTGACCTGAGTTGGGCCCTGTGGCCTCAGGCCTTGTGGCACCTACAGATGCCATGCTTATTCTGACACCTCTGACTTCCATGCAATGGAGAATAATCGTCCCAAAATATCATGGCCCCAGAACACCAACCCCTGTATGCTGTGTGAACTTGTGGTCTCCAGACTGGATTCTGAGGCTCACATTCCAAATAACCCCACATATCACATATGAGAGGATCACTGAGAAGCACAGAGAGAAATCAGGGACACCAAAAAGCAAAGACATAAACACACAGAGAAAGAGCCAGAGGAAGGAGATTGAGAGACTCACAGACACATAAAGAGAGAGAAGAGGGCAGAGAAGTGGAGAGAATGATGGAAGAGAGCAGAGAAAACCACTAAAATTAGAGTCCTGAGGGCGAGGCACAAGGGCATAGAAAGATGGAGATGTGGGGATGAATTGCAGAGATTCCAAAGAGAACTAGAGAGACCGAGAGGCAGAGCAAGACAGATGATAGATGGATAGATACAGATAGATGATGGATAGATATAGATAGATGATATATAGGTAGATGATAGATAATAGGTTATAGATACATAGATGATGATTGATTGATTCATTAATAGATGATACATAGAGATGATGATGATGAAGATAGATGGATAGATAATACATAGAGATAGAGAGGAAGACAAAGAGAGAAATAATAGAGAGAGAGAGATGATACATATATATAGATAATAGATGATTGACGGATAGACAATTGATAGATAAATAGATGATATATAGATATAGATGACAGGTAGAGAATTTGTAGATAGGCACCGAATAGATAAATAGATGGATTGATAGATAATAGATAGAAATATGCAGAAAGTTATGAACGGGACACAAACTGAGAAACTCAGAGTTAAAAAAAGTAACATCAAGTCAACCAATCCAAGGAGAGCCAGAGAGAATAAAACAATCCAAAAACGGAAAACATAACTAGAGGTAGGGAAGTGAGGTCAGAGACCTACAGAGACAGAGAAGGTGGAAGGAGGAAATAGACATGAAGAGAGATAGGGTGGAGGGTGAGACAGAGAAAGAGAGCATTAGGCCATAGAGCAGGGGAGTGAGTTCTCAGGTCAGGTGTGAGGGGAGCTGTGACAAGGAAGATCCCCCCTGAGGAAACTGCCCCTTCTCCTTCCAGGTCTATATGAGAAACCTTCTCTCTCAGCCCAGCCGGGCCCCACGGTTCAGGCAGGAGAGAATGTGACCTTGTCCTGCAGCTCCATCTATCCAGGGAAGGGGAGGCCCATGAACGTAGGCTCCCTGCAGTGCGCAGCATCAACGGAACATTCCAGGCCGACTTTCCTCTGGGCCCTGCCACCCACGGAGGGACCTACAGATGCTTCGGCTCTTTCCGTGACGCTCCCTACGAGTGGTCAAACTCGAGTGATCCACTGCTTGTTTCCGTCACAGGTGAGGAAACCCCATATCTGTCCCATGTCCTATGATCCTAGAGCCTTAGCTGAGGAGCTTCCTGCTGATGATGGAGAGAAGCATGGACAGATGCAGAGAGAAGACGCAGCATGCCTGTGAGGGAGGGATCAGGGCGCAGGATGGCACACACAGCACCTCCAAACCCTCCTGCATGGCCTGCATGGAGGCCTCCGATTAGGGCTCCAGAAACCCAGGCAGATGTAGAAAGCGGTCAGGAGAGACCCAGAGAAGGGGAGACTGGGCTCAGTTTGGGGAGATCAGAGGTTCCCTCAGCCCCTCAACCTTACCCATTTCCCAGAAGCCCTTCCTGGCCTCTCACCCACACAGAGATGTCATCACCAGCAACCCCTACATCCTTTTCTTTTTGTTTGAAAAAATATTCATTGAGGTTAAATATACCTATATAGCTTACCACTTTTAACATTTTTTTTTTTTTGAGGTGGAGTCTAGCTCTGTCTCCTATGCTGGAATGCAGTGGCACAATCTCAGCTCACTGTAACCTCCGCCTCCTGGGTTCAAGCGATTCTCCTGCCTCAGCCACCTGAGTAGCTGGTACTACAGGCGCCCATCACCACGCCGGGCTACTTTTTGTATTTTTAGTAGAGAGGGGGTTTCACCATGTTGGTCGAGCTGCTCTGGAACTCCTGACCACGTGATCCACCCGCCTCAGGCTCCCAAAGTGCTGGGATTACAGGCATGAGCCACCGCGCCCGGCCACGTTTACCAATTTTAAGTGTAAGGTCTAGTGGTCATAAATACATACATATAAATTTTTTGTTTGTTTGTTTTATCCTCCACCCTTTTCTTCCTGGCCTCTGGTAGCCACCATTCTACTCTCTATCTTCATGAGATCCACCTTTTAGCTCCTGTATATGGGTGAGAAATGAGAATATTTGTAATGACTTCCAGTTCCATCCATGTGGCTGCAAATATCAGGATGTTATTCTTTCTATGGATGAGTAGTCTCCGCTGTGCGTATGTACTACATTCTCTCTATCCATTCATCCACTGATGGGCAGGTAGGTTGACTCCACATCTTGGCTACTGTGAAGAGTGCTGCACCAATCATACGAGTGCAGATATCACTTCGATACATTGATTTACTTTCCTTTGGATATAAACCCAGTAGTGAAATTGCTGGATACTATGAAAGTTCTCTTTTTAGTTTTTCGTTTGTTGTTTTGTTTTTGTTTTTGAGACAGTTTCCCTCTGTGCCCAGGCTGGAGTACAAGTGATGTGATCTTGGCTCATTGCAACCTCCGCCTCCTGGGTTCAAATGATTTTCCTGCCTCAGCCTCCCTAGTAGCTGGGATTACAGGTGCACGCCACCATGCCGGGATACTTTTTGGTTTTTTTTAGTGTACATGGGGTTTCCCCAGGTTGGCTAGGCTGCTCTCAAACTCATGACCTCAACTGAGGTGCCCGCCTCGGTCTCCCAAAGTGCCGGGATTACAGGCATGATCCACTTCATCCAACCTCTTTTTAGTTCTTTAAAGGACTTCCATACTTTTCTCCGTAATGGCTGTACTAATTTACACTCCTACCAACAGGGTACCAGGGTTCTCCTTTCTCTACCACCTTGCCAGCATTTGTTTTGCCTGTCTTGCAGCTAAAAGCCATTTTATTTTATTTCATTTTATTTTGAGATGGAGTTTCGCTCTTGTCACCCAGGCTGGAGTGCAGTGGTGCGATCTCGGCTCACCGCAACCTCCACCTCCCAGGTTCAAGCGATTCTCCTGCCTCAGCCTCCCGAGTAGCTGGAATTACAGGCACACGCCACCACGCCCGACTAATTTTTGTATTTTTAGTAGAGACAGCGTTTCTCCATGTGGGTCAGACTGGTCTCAAACTCCCGACCTTATGAGATTCGCCCACCTCGGGCTCTCAGAGTTCTAGGATGACAGACGTGAGCCACCTCGCCCGGCCTAAAAGCCATTTTAATGGGGTGAGATGAAAACTCACTTTGATTTTAATTCGCGTTTCTCTGATGATGAGTGATACTGAGCACTTTTTCGTATGTGGGGAAATTTCATGTCTTTTGCTCCTTTTTCAATTAAATCATTTGTTTTATTGAGTTGTTTGAGCTTCTTATACTTCTAGTTATTAATCCCGTCTCAGATGCATAGTTTGCACATATTTGCTCCCAATCTGTGGGTTGTCTCTTCACTTTGTTGGTTTATTTTTAGCGGTGCAGAAGTTGCTTAGTTTGAGGTAATCCCAATGGTCTATTTTTGCTTCGATTACTTGTGTTTTGAAGGTTTAAAACAAAATGTCTTCCTTCAGACAAATGTACTGGAGCATTTCCCCAATATTTTCTTCTACGTGTTTCACAGGTTCAGGCCTTAGACTCACATCTTTAATCCACTTTCATTTGATTTTTGTGTATGGTGACAGGTAGAGGTGCAGTTTCATTCCTCTGCATGTAGATGTCCAGGTTTCCCTGCACTGTTTATTGAAAAAACTGTCCTTTCCTGATTGTGAGTTCTTGGCACCTTTGTCAAAGTCCATTGGATGGGCTGGGCATGGTGGCTAACACCAGCAACTTCAGCACTTTGGGAGGCCAAGGCTGGTGGATCACCTGAGGACAGGAGTACAAGATTACTCTGGCCGACGTGATGAAACCTCGTCTCCACTAAAAATATAAAAATTAGCTGAGCATGGTGGTCAGCACCTGTAATACTACTACTCAGGAGTTTGAGGCAAGAGAATTGATTGAACCCAGGAGGCTGAGGTTGCAGTGAACCGAGATTGCACCTCTGCACTCCAGCCTGGGTGACAGAGCGAGACTCCATCTCAAAAGAAAAAATAAAAAAAATTGGATGTAAATGCATGGATTATATCTGTGTTCTTCATTCTGCTCCGTTGTTCTATGTGCCTTTCTTCATGCCAACATCATGCTGTTTTGCTTACTACAGCTCTGTAACATATTTTGAGATCAGGTAGTGTGATGCTCCTGTTTTCTCTTTATACCTTGAAGTCTCAAGACAGTGGGCGTCACATACAAAAATTATGGAAGAAAGGATCCCTGGACTCCCAGGGCCCAATGTTAGATAACAGAGTGTTGGCCATGAACCAAACTCAAAGATTTCCACTGAGTAGAGGACAGACACCCTCATTTCCTCACCTCTCTCCTGTCTCATGTTCTAGGAAACCCTTCAAATAGTTGGCCTTCACCCACTGAACCAAGCTCCAAAACCGGTGAGTACAGGACCCTCTTATATCCGCTTTTGGAACCCTGGGGAGGTGGAAACCTTGGATTCAGGCGTTGACTCAGCATCTCACAGCTCTGACATTGTACGCCTGTCTTCTACCATCTCCGAACTCCAGATACTCCAACAGCGAAAGGGATCTGGGCCCAACACAGGGCTCAGTGAAATCTCTTCATCTCTCATTTTATGGAGCTGAGACCTCCTACAAGCTAGAAGAATGATTGCCAATCTGACATCCTTCTCAGGAAAAACGCAATGTTTGTTCTGCTTGCATTCCTAACTGGAGGATAAATTCCTGGGGGCTTGAGAGAGGGAAGGGAAGCGAACATCTGATGAGGGCGAGGTGTTTTAGAGAAGTTCCACTTGCCAAGGAATGAGCTCCTGTTGGTCATGAAACAACCCTGGCTGACTCAGCAGAGCAAGAGCCTTGCCGTAACAGAGAACAGAGCTCATGCACGCACACTTTGACTCACTGACTTATTCAGCCACGGCCCCATGCTCAGGTTGTGCAGTGTGGAAGCTTTTCCTATTGTTGCCATAACAAATTTCCACAAGATTCGTGGGTGAAAACAAAACGGTTATTTAATTATCTTACAGTGCTCTAGCTCAAAGCATGAAGTGCATCTCACTGGGCTAAAATCAAGATGACAGCAAGCCTGCCTTCCCTCTGAGGATTCCAGGCAAGAATCTGCTTCTCACTTGTCCCATCTTATAAAGGCTCCCAGTTCCTTGGCTGCTGGTCCCTTTCCTCCTTCCTCAAAACCCACAAAGACTGGTCACATCTCACATGGCATCACTCAGACCCTTCTTCCTTACCACACCTCTTTCTCTGAATGCTGCTCTCCCTTCTTCCTCATCTTTTGAAAACTTGGGGATTCTATTGGGTTCACCAAGATGAAAATCCGTCATAATCTCCCGGAAATCATTCAGGATACCCTTGTTTTAAGTTCAGCTGATTAGCAACCATAATTCCATCTGCAATCTTCATTCCTCCTTTCCATGTAAAATAACATATTCACAAGCTATGGAGGCTAGGACAGGGACATTTTGGGGTGGGACAGCATTCTCCTGCCTTCCACAAATGGTGAACAAGATGCATTTGGCCTCTGCTCTTGGGACACTGATATTGCAGATGGTTAAATGGGAGGACAGAAAATGAATGCACAAGTGGACCAATAAATGAATGATCCATTGGGAAGCATCTGTGCATGAAATCTATTTGTTTGTTCGTTCGTTTGTTTATTGAGACAGAGTCTCCCTCTGTCTTCCAGGCTACAGTGCAGTGTCACGATCTTGGCTCACTGCAACCTGCGTCTCCTGGATCCAAGTGATTCTCCTGCCTCACCCTCTCGAGTAGCTGGGATTACAGGCAACTGCCACCATGCCCGGCTAATTCTTTTTGTATATTTTTTGTAGAGAGGATGTTTCACCATGTTGGCCAAGCTTGTCTGAAACTCCCAACCTCAAGTGATCCGACCATCTCAGCAACCCAAAGTACTGGGATTACAGGCGTGAGCCACTTTGCCCAGCCAGAATTCAAAATAAATAATAGATAATGCTGAGTGTATAATTTTGGGTGACAGAGAAGGTCTCACTAATCAGATATTTGTGACATTAATGAAAAACACGGATTGAACCCCTGAAAGATTGGCGGAAGGATTTTCCACACACAGCTGTCAGCTGTGAAGGCACAAAGGTGAAAACAATCTGATGTTGAAGGAAGAGGCTCTGCCTGAAATGCTGGGAATGAGGTGGGGAGAATGACAAGATGACTGTAGAGAGATGGAGAGCACTCTGGGTACACAGGAAACTAAGGAGGAACAAGGAGTGTGTGTTTGACACTCACAGCCATTGGATTCACCTCGGGGTAACCAGGAATCCCTACATGATTAATAGTGACTGACAAGAAAATAAGGGAGGCCCAGGTGCGTAACTGGAATCTAGGAGACTGTGGAAAAGGCAATTGCCGCCCCACTGGTGAAATGTGGTGCTGATTTAGACACTAAATGAATGAAGTAGATGGATATAAGATATGCTTGTGAGGTAGAATCATTGGCTGGAAAGGCTTGCTGGGTTTGATTTTCCTACTTGTTTAATCCTCGCTTAATTAATTTCTTTCTGAGATTTATTCATCCTACACATAAATCAATACCTGGCAAAGGAGTGACAGATATATGAGGGGTGGTGGAAATGAAGGGACCTATTATAGCATAATATACAAGTCTGTGAACGGTGGCTCATGCTTGTAACCCAGCCCTGCAGGAGGCCAAGGCGGGTGGATTCCATGAAGTCAGGAGTTCCAGACCAGCCTGGCCAACATGGTGAAACCCTATCTGTACTAAAAATACAAAAATTAGCCGAGCATGGTGGTGCATCCCTGTAATCCCAGCTCCTACTCTGGAGGATGAAGCAGGAGAATGACTTCAACCCAGGAGGTGGAGGTTGCAGTGAGTGGAGATTGCATCACTGCACTCCAGCCTGGGTGACACAAGGAGACTCCGTCTCAAAAAATAAAAATAAGAAATGCATAAATATAATAAAACACACACGAATGACAAAGGCACCTGAATTCCAATCATCATTTTTCTATTTCTCTATAATTACTTCTTTGATCCTTTATCTTATCCATTAGGCAATGAGCCTAAAACCTCTTCCCTATTTGGCTTTCTGTGAGCATGAGATCACATAGAAAATGTGAAAGCCCGCTGAATCCTCCAGCACGGATCCTGGAATAGAGAAAGTGCTCTGGTCATCGCAAAAAAAAACTTGCCCACTCACCCAAATCCCCCACCTCACCCCTACTTCCAATCACCTGTGGAGATTCAGATAGACCATGGGGAGGAAACATTAATACTCCTTGGAGTGAGTCCAGATCTTGGAATCAGAGATCAGCGACAGCACTAGCTCCTGTTCCCCTTTCCTACTAATTCACAGGAGGACAGGTGGTATTGAAGCAATAGATGGTCGAGGGGGTGGTCCTTCCCCCAGCCTCTCGGGTAGAACAGCAGCCTAACATGTGTCTCCCGAGATCACAAAGAGTAGCACATTTCACACGGGCTTCAACACTATTTCCTGGCTGTTTGACATAAGAGAATCTTGCTTCGCTATTTTTAATCGTGATTTCACCTTTGTTTCCTTTCCTTGGTGAATGCAATTTGTTTGACTCAAGAATGCTGTGGATGTAGAAATCCTAAAGCACATTCGCTGTGTATCAATCCCAGTGCAGTCTTCCCAGAGAAGACTCTAAACAAATCCTGGACTGCACCTGGGCCTATGCCAATTCCTATCACTCACCGTCACTCCAGGGAGACAGAACACACAGAGAATACGTTACATAGGCAGGTTCATTACTAACAGATAAGCAGCGAGTGACAACAGAAGCCTGCATTTCAATGTGAGCCAGTCCCTCAAGGCTCAGAAAAGCTGCTCGGGACATATGGAGTCACCCCATTTGCAGTGTAGCTGCGGGAAGCCAGAAAGCAGCCCAGCCTGGGTTTTGTACCCTGGAGCCACAGGAAGCACTCAGCTAAAGCACTGCATGACGTCCTCCTCCAGGAAGAACAGGAAGACAGCCCAGGCTGTTCTGAGACATTCCTCCTGATCTCAGGATGTTGCTATCTTAGTCCATTTTTGTTGCTCTAAAGGAACACTTGAGCCTGGGTAACTTCTAAAGAAAAGAGATTGGTTTGCCTCACAGTTCTGCAGGCTGTACTGGAAGCATGGCACCAGAATCTATTTCTCGTGACGGCCTCAGGCTGCTCCCACTCTGGCAGAAGGGAAGGAGGGTCTGTCTGTGCAGAGACCGCAGAGATCACACGGCAAGAGAGAGAGTAAGGGGGAGAGGGAGCGATGGAGCTTCCAAGCTCTTTTTAACAACCAGCTCTCCAGGAACTAACAGAGGGGGAACTTGCTAACCCCGTCTCCTTGGGACAGCATTGATCTGTTCATGATGGATCCACCTCCATGACCCAAACACCTCTGAAGAGGCCCAACCTCCCACAATGGGGGTGAAATTTCAATGTGAGGTTTGAAAGGGTCAAACATCTCAACTAAAGTAGTTGTATCCTCAGCACGTTCTATGGTTACTATGAGAGCTATAATTGAGAAAGCAGGGGAAAGCTAGGTCTCCCGCCATTTGGGTGCTTGTCCTAAAGAGACGTTGTATGTGGTTACCTGCCAATCAAGAAATGCGAGACAATTCATAAAGAGGAACTGCTATGATTAGCTTCTTATTGGTGTCTCCTCTTCTTCCAGGTAACCCCAGACACCTACATGTTCTGATTGGGACCTCAGTGGTCAAAATCCCTTTCACCATCCTCCTCTTCTTTCTCCTTCATCGCTGGTGCTCCGACAAAAAAAGTAAGTCTCACGAAGCAGAGGCCAGAGAGCTCAGGGCCATGTGGGGAAGCAGGATGGGAGCACGCGGATGTGTGTTCCTCACCAGCAGGATGGTCCCTGGCCCAAGACAGGAGCCACAGAGGCAGGACTTTCTAGAGAGAGCACCAGATTCCCTTCCCCTGCCTTCAGCTCACAGACCATTGCCTGATTCTGAACTGTATCCTCACGTCCCCTGCAGCCACTCACATCCAGGAGAAGGTTCCATGACAGGCAGAAAGTGGGAGATAGAATCAATGGGATGGGACCTCAGAGCTATTCATGGGATGGGTCCTTGAACTCAGAGAGATAGAATGTCTGAGTCTGCTGTTGGCAACTGAGGGACCTCAGGCACCTATGGCCTCCCCCTGTTTGTTGGTATCTGCTTATGAAATGAGGACCCAGAAGTGCCCTCCGAGCTCTTTTGTTGACTTCCGTCTTCTACAGATGCTGCTGTAATGGACCAAGAGCCTGCAGGGAACAGAACAGTGAACAGCGAGGTAGGTGCTCCTCCGCCCAGCCTCGTGGCTAGTCTTATTCCCAAAGAGTCCTGAAAAATGTGAGCACCCTCCCTCACTCAGCATTTCCCTCTCTCCAGGATTCTGATGAACAAGACCATCAGGAGGTGTCATACGCATAATTGGATCACTGTGTTTTCACACAGAGAAAAATCACTCGCCCTTCTGAGAGGCCCAAGACACCCCCAACAGATACCAGCATGTACATAGAACTTCCAAATGCTGAGCCCAGATCCAAAGTTGTCTTCTGTCCACGAGCACCACAGTCAGGCCTTGAGGGGATCTTCTAGGGAGACAACAGCCCTGTCTCAAAACCGGGTTGCCAGCTCCCATGTACCAGCAGCTGGAATCTGAAGGCATCAGTCTTCATCTTAGGGCATCGCTCTTCCTCACACCACGAATCTGAACATGCCTCTCTCTTGCTTACAAATGTCTAAGGTCCCCACTGCCTGCTGGAGAGAAAACACACTCCTTTGCTTAGCCCACAATTCTCCATTTCACTTGACCCCTGCCCACCTCTCCAACCTAACTGGCTTACTTCCTAGTCTACCTGAGGCTGCAATCACACTGAGGAACTCACAATTCCAAACATACAAGAGGCTGCCTCTTAACACAGCACTTAGACACGTGCTGTTCCACCTCCCTTCAGACTATCTTTCAGCCTTCTGCCAGCAGTAAAACTTATAAATTTTTTAAATAATTTCAATGTAGTTTTCCCGCCTTCAAATAAACATGTCTGCCCTCATGGTTTCGGTAACGAGACTCTTTTCTTGCCTAAGGCTTCCGGTGTTATCATTACCATGTCCACATAACCCCATCTGTTCTCCATTGGGTTCTCAGCCCTGGACTCTGAGCTTCTGGAAGCAGAATGGAGCCTGATTTGTCTCTGAGACTCCAATTTCCATCCAAAGATACAGCACATAGGAGGCTCCAAGGATCGTGAATCACATGAACAAGTGATATTCTTACTCTCTGCAGACCTGGAAAGCTGGCAGAGTCATTCCACGATGAAACATTTGTAGAGTCATAGGCCTTGTTAGTCTCATCTCCACGGGGACACATATCAACATATCATCTTTCATAATATAAATATACAGTCGGTCCTCCATATCTGTGGGGTTTACAGGTGTTTATTGAACCAACAATAAATCAAAAATATTTTCAGAAAAAAATCCCCGAAGTTTCAAGAAGCAAAAAACTATGTTGAATCGACACAAATTGAGTGGCGTGTAGGCTGTGTCAGGAATTATAAGTAATCAAGGGATGATTTCATGTATACAGGAGGATGTGCATGGGTTCTATGCAATTGCTATGCTATTTTTTTTTTTTTTTTGAGACAGTCTCACTCTCTCACCCAGGCTGGAGTGCAGTGGCATGATCTCAGCTCACTGCAACCTCCGCCTCCCAGGTTCAAGCGATTGTCTTCCCTCAGCCTCCCCAGTAGCCTCCCCTAGGATTACAGGCACGTGCCACCATGCACAGATAAATTTTTTTGTGTGTGTATTTTTAGTAGAGACGGGGTTTCAGAATGTTGGACCAGCTGGTCTTGAACTCCTGACCTCGTGATCTACCCAACTCAGCCTCCCAAAGTGCTGGGATTACAGGCGTGAGCCACGGTGCCCAGCTTCGCTATGCCATTTCATGCAAGGGGCTTGAGCATCTGCAGATTTTGGTATCTGAATGGGGATCCTGGAACCAATCACCCAGGAATAGTGAAGGACCACAGTATATAATTTTTATTTGTCAATCTTAAAAATAAAGCATAAAAAGTTTACAACAACAAGATAAAAAATAAGAAGTGTCTTTATAGTGTGAGGATAAGTTTAGATTTATTTTTTCCTACGTGTAACCCTATGGTCCTGTGTTATTTGTTGAGAAAATATTCTATTCCACCTTAAACTACATGGCAGCCTTTGTCAACTATAAAGGGACTGTGTATCCACAGATGTATTTTAGACACAGTTTTCTGCCCAGTGGTTCTCTGTATCCCCTCTCATGAGGATGCTGCATTTCATATAAACTTATAGAACCCCTTAAAATTTGGTAACCTGAGTTCTCTGATTTGTTATTATAGGTTATTTAGTTTGCTTTTTTTTTTCTTTCTTGAGACAGACTCTTCCTCTGTCACCCAAGCTGGAGTTCAGTGGCTTGAGCTCAGCTCACTGCAGCCTCCGCCTCCCAGGTTCAAGCAATTCTCGTGCCTCAGGTTTAGTACTAGAAACTCATCAGGAAAATTAGAATGGCTTTTTGTCACAATTACTCTGATAATGTTAATAATACCTCTTAGATATTTTGCACATTACACATGAAGAAAAGTTTGAATCTCAGATAAAAACAAAAATACATCAAAAGTCTTTAATGTAAGCACAGAATTCAATCACCTCATGTGTGAGAGGTTGGATCTGAGACGTCTTTTGAGTCTGGTCATAGTGAAGGATGCAAGGTGGCAATTGTAGTCACAACAATTTCCAGGAAGCCATGTTCCGCTCTTGAGCGAGCACCCACTGGGCCTCATGCAAGGTAGAAAGAGCCTGCGTACGTCACCCTCCCATGATGTGGTCAACATGTAAACTGCATGGGCAGGGCGCCAAATAACATCCTGTGCGCTGCTGAGCTGAGCTGGGGCGCGGCCTCCTGTCTGCACCGGCAGCACCATGTCGCTCACGGTCGTCAGCATGGCGTGCGTTGGTGAGTCCTGGAAGGGAATAGAGGGAGGGAGAGTGGGGATGGAGATCTCGGCCTAGAGGTAAAGATATGGGCCTGGAGTGGAGATATGGGCCTGGAGTGGAGATATGGGCCTGGGTGTGGAGATATGGGCCTGGAGGTGTAAATATGGGCCTGGAGTGGAGATATGGGCCTGGAGGGGAGATATGGGCCTGGGTGTGGAGATATGGGCCTGGAGTGGAGATACGGGCCTGGAGTGGAGATATGGGCCTGGAGTGGAGATATGGGCCTGCAGGTGGAGATCTGGGCCTGGAGTGGAGATATGGGCCTGGAGTGGAGATATGGGTCTGATGTGGAGATATGGGCCTGGAGTGGAGATATGGGCCTGGAGTGGAGATATGGGCCTAGAGGGGAGATCTGGGCCTGGAGTGGAGATATGGGTCTGATGTGGAGATATGGGCCTGGAGTGGAGATATGGGCCTGGAGTGGAGATAGGGGCCTGGAGTGGAGATATGGGCCTGGAGTGGAGATCTGGGCCAGGAAGTGTTGATCTGGGCCTGGAGCCTGGGTCTCTCCACAGCTGAGAGCCCTGTTCTTGGCAGCAGGTAGCAGGGAGGCTAAGTTTACCTTCAGCCCAGCAAGGGCCTGGCTGCCAAGACACACAGTGCAGTGGGGGCAGCAGGGTGCCCTGGTTTGCCTGCAGTTGGATCGTCTATCATGATCTTTCTTTCCAGGGTTCTTCTTGCTGCAGGGGGCCTGGCCACTCATGGGTGAGTCCGTCCCCAAACCTTAGGGTGTCATCTCCCCACATAAGAGGATTTTTCTGAAACAGGAGGGAAGTCCTGTCGGGGAGTCTCTCATAAACTAGGAAGAGGGGACCCTTGGATACTCGGCCCACATTTCTGACCTCGCCCTCCCTGGCCTTTCTTTCCCTTTCCTGAGTCAAGCTCTGTGAAGACTGGGGTGAGACTGGGGTGCTCCAAGCTGGGGTGTGCAGGGAGGAAGTGGTGTCAGCAGCAGAGAAAGAGAGGGAAGCAGTGCTAGGAACAGCAGGTCCTCTGAGGACAAAGGTATAACTGACACCCTCCAGCGTTTCCGTGACGGTAGGGGCTGCAGTGTGGCTGCGGTCTTTCTACCAGAAGAGGGGGGAAACCACAGCCATGGCCCTGACATTCCAAATCCTCTGAGGGGGCTCAGTTCATGAATTGGCTGATATTCCATTCACATAGGACATGCCCTCCATGCCGTGTCTACTTTGTGTTGTTTTATGTGAGTAATTTTGCAGTATTAAAATCTAGTAAGAGTCACTTATTCAGCACTTGCTCAAAGTTCTCAGCTGACACTTGTTGTAGGGAGACGCCATGTCTATGTGGGGTGGGTCCTTCCTGTAGCCCTGGGCACCCAGGTGTGGTAGGAGCCTTAGAAAGCGGAAATGGGAGAATCTTCTGAGCACAGGGAGGGAGGGGTGGCTCCACATCCTCCTCTCTAAGGCAGTGCCTCCTTCTCCCCCAGGTGGTCAGGACAAACCCTTCCTGTCTGCCCGGCCCAGCACTGTGGTGCCTCGAGGAGGACACGTGGCTCTTCAGTGTCACTATCGTCGTGGGTTTAACAATTTCATGCTGTACAAAGAAGACAGAAGCCACGTTCCCATCTTCCACGGCAGAATATTCCAGGAGAGCTTCATCATGGGCCCTGTGACCCCAGCACATGCAGGGACCTACAGATGTCGGGGTTCACGCCCACACTCCCTCACTGGGTGGTCGGCACCCAGCAACCCCCTGGTGATCATGGTCACAGGTCAGAGGCTTTCTGTCTGGGCTTCTCACTGTCCCACCTCCTGAATCCCAGAGCTTCTGGTGGGGGTGTCCATCAGGGTCCCATCACCCAGGCCCCAACTGTATTTGGGGTCAAGGGAGATTGAATACAGGGGAAATGGGTGCTGTGGTGGGAAGAATAACTGTCGCCAATGATGGCTACATTGTAAACCCTGGAGCCTGTGACTATTTATGTTATAGGGCAGGGGACTGAAGGGGAAGGTGGAGCTCAGGTTGTTGATGAGTTGACCTTGAGATGGGGAGACAGCCTGGACTGTCCTGCTGGGCTCAGTGTAATCACAAGGGTCCGCGTGAGAGGTGGAGGAAGAGGGGAGTGGGGATTAGAGCAGTGTAGTGGGAGGGAGACGCTATCAGCCACTGTGGGCTTTGAAGGTGGAGGAAGGCCACTAGTCACAGAATGCAGGTGGCCTCTAAGGGCTGGAGAAGTCAAGAGAACTGATTTGCTGAGTCTCCAGAGGGAACGCAGCCCTGCAGATGCCTTGATTTCAGCACAGGGAGAACTGGATCCAATTTCTGTCCCCAGAAGTGGAAGGGGTCAGTGTGTTCTCTCCTGCTGCCATGTTTGTGATAATTTTCTGCAGCAGCAACAGGAAACCGACACAGGAACCCAGGTCAAGGACAAGCTAGGAAACCAAACAAGGATAGCCAGGTGTGGTGGTGGGCACGAGTAATCCAACGACTGGGGAGGCTGAGGCAAGATAATCACTTGAACCGGGGAGGCAGAGGTTGCAGTGAGCCAAGACAACACCACTGCACTCCAGCCTGGGTGAAAAAGTGACTGTCTCAAAAATAAATTAATTAATCAATTAATTAAAGAAACCAAACAAGGAGAAGGTTGGCTACCGTGGGATCAGCAAGGGTGGGATGCTGATGCCACCACCAGGCTCCATCCACATAGGAAGGGGTTGATGCTCCTGGAACCAGCACCAGGGACCACCCTATGGAAGCTGGGGCCATGGAGAAGGCACAGACATGGCAGGAGAGGCTCCCAATCCCCATCAGGAACAGGGTGTGTGGACACTGATGTCTGCCTTACTGATGAGTTGATACCTCTGCCAGAGACTCCAATTTGTTCAAAAGAGATTGATTCAGGCTGCTGAGAGCCTGGACATGCAGCCTGTCCTCTTCCACCCCCACATAGACAGCAGGAAAGAGACTAGTGGGAAAGAGATACAACAGCCCAAGAGATGAGGCTCTCTTCACAGTGGGAAGGGAGTCAGGGGCTACTGGAGACAGAGGGACAGAGAAGAGGGAGGAAGACAAATGGAGGGACCTGCACCAGGGGATATGGGCACAGAAAAGACACGGAGACACAGAGAGGGAGGAGAGAGACAGACCTCTGGGAGGGGAACCCTCACTCATTCCAGGTGCCATGGATGGGATGATAAAGAGAGATGCCTTCTAAACTCACAACTTCTCTTTCTAGGAAACCACAGAAAACCTTCCCTCCTGGCCCACCCAGGGCCCCTGCTGAAATCAGGAGAGACAGTCATCCTGCAATGTTGGTCAGATGTCATGTTTGAGCACTTCTTTCTGCACAGAGAGGGGATCTCTGAGGACCCCTCACGCCTCGTTGGACAGATCCATGATGGGGTCTCCAAGGCCAACTTCTCCATCGGTCCCTTGATGCCTGTCCTTGCAGGAACCTACAGATGTTATGGTTCTGTTCCTCACTCCCCCTATCAGTTGTCAGCTCCCAGTGACCCCCTGGACATCGTGATCACAGGTGAGAGTGTCCAGACATTCTTCTCATTGTCATTGGGACACAGAGTGAATGATCCAGGACTTGGAACCCCCAGGTGGTCATGAGGAAGATAAGCGTGGGATTCTTATGGAGAGAGACTGACTCGGTGAGGTCTGTACCAACAGAGACAGGGAAACAGGAGACATAAGTACAGACCAGGTGTCATAACAGAGGACAGACACAGGGGCCATACGGGGAAGTAGAAAAGAGAGAAAGAGGTAAAGGAGACACTCAGACAGACAGACATGTGCCAGAGAGAAGTGTCCTTCCATGCTGACTTTGCTCAGAGACCTGGCACAGGTTAGAAGTTTCATTTCTGTTTTGTCTCCACAAAGTGCTTCTACGAGGAGAACCCAAGGACACCCATATTTCTGACCTGAGTTGGGCCCTGTGGCCTCAGGCCTTGTGGCATCTACAGATGCCATGTTTATTCTGACACCTCTGCCTTCCATGCAGTGGAGCCATAATTATCCCAGGATATCATGGCCCCAGAACACCAACCCCTAAATACTGTGTGTACTTGGTGTCCCCAGACTAGATTCTGAGGCTCATATTCCAAATAATCCTACATATAATAGGATCACTGAGAGACACAGAGATAAATCAGGGACTTCAAAAAGCAAAGGCATAAACACACAGAGAATGAGCCAGAGGAAGGGGATTGAGAGACTCACAGACACACAAAAAGAAAGAAAAGAGGGCAGAGGAGTGGAGAGAATGCTGGAAGGGAGGAGAGAAAAGCCCCAAAATCAGAACCCTGAGGGAGGGGCACAAAGACAGAGAAAGATAAAGATGTGGGGATGGATTGCAGAGATTCCAAATAGAACTAGAGAGACTGAGAGGCAGAGAAAGACAAGGAGATGGAGAGAGACAGATGATAGATGGATAGATAGATATAGATAGATGATAAATAGGTAGATGATAGATAATGGATAGGTTATAGATACATAGATGATGATTGATAGATGATACATAGAGATGATGATGATGATGATGAAGATAGATAGAAGACACATATATAAATATATAGATACATAGATGATACATAGAGACTGACAGGCAGACAGAGAGGTAATAGAGAGAGAGAGAGATGATACATAGATACAGATAATACATAGATGATTGATGGATAGACAGATAGACAATTGATAGATAAATGATACATAGATATAGATGACAGATAATTTGTAGATAGACACAAAATAGATAGATAGATAATAGATAGAAATATGCAGAAAGTTATGAACAAGACAGAAAGTGAGAGACTCAGAATTATAGAAAAAGGAAGATCAAGTCAACCAATCCAAGGAGAGTCAGAGAGAATAAAACAATCCAAAAAGGGAAAGCATACCCAGGGGTGGGGAAGTGAGGTCAGAGACCTAGAGAGACAGAGAAGGCGGAAGGAGGAAATAGACATGAAGAGAGTTGGGGTGGAGGGTGAGAGAGAGAGAGAGCATTAGGTCATAGAGCAGGGGAGTGAGTTCTCAGCTCAGGTATGAGGGGAGCTGTGACAAGGAAGAACCTCCCTGAGGAAACTGCCTCTTCTCCTTCCAGGTCTATATGAGAAACCTTCTCTCTCAGCCCAGCCGGGCCCCACGGTTCAGGCAGGAGAGAACGTGACCTTGTCCTGTAGCTCCTGGAGCTCCTATGACATCTACCATCTGTCCAGGGAAGGGGAGGCCCATGAACGTAGGCTCCGTGCAGTGCCCAAGGTCAACAGAACATTCCAGGCAGACTTTCCTCTGGGCCCTGCCACCCACGGAGGGACCTACAGATGCTTCGGCTCTTTCCGTGCCCTGCCCTGCGTGTGGTCAAACTCAAGTGACCCACTGCTTGTTTCTGTCACAGGTGAGGAAAACCCGTGTCTGTCCCATGTCTTATGATCCTAGAGCCATAGCTGAGGAGCTTCCTGCCGATGATGGGGAGAAGCATGGACAGATGCAGAGAGAACACGAAGACTGGGTGTGAGGGGGGGGTCAGGGTGCAGGATGGCAGACAGGGCACCTCCAAACCCTCTTGCATGGCCTGCATGGAGGCCCATGGTCAGGGCTCCAGGCACCCAGGCAGATGGAGAAAGCGGTCAGGACAGACCCAGAGAAGGGGAGACTGGGCTCAGTTTGGGGAGATCAGAGGTTCCCTCAGCCCCTCAACCTTACCCATTTCCCAGAAGCCCATCCTGGCCTCTCACCCACACAGAGAGATGTCATCACCAGCAACCCCTACACTCTTTTCTTTTCATTTTCAAAAATATTTATTGAGGTTAAATGTAACTATATAATTTACCAACTTTACCATTTTTAAAAGTAAAATCTAGTGGTCATAAATACCTTTATATGCTGGGTGTGGTGGTTCACGGTTGTAATCTTGGCGCTTTGAGAGGCCAAGAAAGGTGGATCATTTAAGATCAGGGACTCGAGATCAGCCTGGCCAACATGCGGGAAATTCATCTTTACTAAACAGACAAGAAAAATTAGCCAAGCATGCCGGCATGCACCTGTAGTCCTAGCTACTTGGGAGGCTGAGGCAGGAGAAGCACTTAAAGCCAGGAGGCAGAGGTTGCACTGAGCCGAGATCATGCCACTGCACTGCAGCCTGGGAGACAGAGAGAGACTCTGTTTCTAAATAAATAAATACATCTATATTCTTTTTTTTGTTACCTTCCACCCTTCCCTTCCTGGCCTCTGGTATCCACCATTCTATTCTCTACCTTCATGAGATCCACCTTTTATCTCCTGCATGTGGTGAGAAATGGGAATCTTTGTAATGACCTCCAGTTCCATCCATGTGGCTGCAAATGACAGGATGTTATTGTTTCTATGGATGAGTAGTCTCCACCGTGTGTGTGTACTACAGTTCTCTATCCATTCACCCACTGATAGGCAGGTAGGTTGACTCCACATCTTGGCTACTGTGAACAGTGCTGGAACAGTCATATGAGTGCAGATATCACTTCGATACACTGATGTCCTTTCCTTTGGATATAAACCCAGTAGTGAAATTGCTGGACACTATGAAAGTTCTCTTTTTTTTTTTTTCTTTTTTGAGAAAGAGTTTCCCTCCTTAGTCCAAGCTGGAGTCAAAGTGGTGCGATCTTGGCTCATTGCAACCTCTGCTTCCTAGGTTCAAACGATTCTCCTGACTCAGCCTCCCTAATAGCTGTGATTACAGGTGCACGCCACCATGCCTGACTAATTCTTGTATTTTTTAGCACAGACGGGATATCCCAATTTTGGGCAGGCTGCTCTCAAACTCCTGACCTCAAGTGAGGTGCCTGCCTCGGTTTCCCAAAGTGCTGAAGTTACAGGCATAAGCCACTATGCCCAGCCTCCTTTTAGTTTTTTAAAGATTTTCCATACTTTTCTCCATAATAGTTGTACTAATTTACATTCCTACCAACAGGGTACCAGGGTTCTCCTTTCTCTACCATCTTGCCAGCATTTGTTTTGCCTGTCTTGCAGATAAAAGCCATTTTACTTTACTTTATTTATTTATTTATTTATGTTGAGATGGAGTTTCACTCATAGTCGCCCAGGCTGGAGTGCAAGGGTGTGATCTCGGCTCACTGCAACCTCTGCCTCCCGCGTTCAACTGATTCTCCTGCCTCAGCCTCCAAAGTAGCTGGGATTACAGGCATGTGCCACCACGCCTAGCTAATTTTTGTATGTTTAGTAGAGAGGGAGTTTCTCCATGTTGGTCAGGCTGGTCTCCCGACCTCAGGTGATCCGCCCACCTCCGCCTCCCAAAGTGCTGGAATTACAGGCGTGAGCCACCGGCCTAAAAGGCATTTTAATGGGATGAGATGAAAACTCATCGCGATTGTAATTTACATTTCTGTGATGATGAGTGATGCTGAGCACTTTTTCATATACGTGATCGCCATTTCTATGTTTTGTTTGTGGAGAAATGTCTCCTCATGTCTTTTGCTCGTTTTTTAATTAAATTGTTTTATTGAGTTGTTTGAGCTTCTTATATTTCCAGTTATTAATCCCATCTCAGATGAATAGTTTGCAAATATTTGCTCCTATTTTGTGGGTTGTCTCTTCACTTTGTTGGTTTATCTTTGGTGGTGCAGAAGTTGCTTGGTTTGATGTAATCCTAATGGTCTATTTTTTGCTTTGATTACTTGTGTTTTGAAGGTTTTAAACAAAATGTCTTTCATCAGACAAATGTCTTCCCCATTATTTTCTTCTACATGTTTCATAGGTTCAGGCCTTAGACTCATGTTTTTAATCCATTTTCATTTGATTTTTGTGTAAGGTGACAGGTATAGATGCAGTTTTATTCCTCTGCATGTAGATATCCAGTTTTCCCCACACCATTTATTGAAGACTGTCCTTTCCTGATTGTAAGTTCTCGGCACCTTTGTCAAAGTCCATTAAATGGGCTGGGTATGGTGGCTCACACCTGCAATTCCAGCACTTTGGGAGGCCGAGGCGGGTGGATCACCTAAAGCCAGGAGTTCAAGACCAGGCTGGCCAACAGAGTGAAACCTCGTCTCTACTAAAAATACAAAAATTAGCTGAGCATGGTGATCAGTGCCTGTAATACCACTACTCAGGAGTTTGAAGCAAGAGAATTTCTTGAATCCAGGAAGTGGAGGTTGCATTGAGCTGAGATTGCACCTCTACACTCCAGCCTGCATGACAGAGCAAGATTCTATCACACACACACAAAAGAAAGCCATTGGATGTAAATGCATGGATTATATCTGTGTTCTCCATTCTGTTCCATTTTTTATGTGCCTTTCTTTATGCCAATGTCATGCTGTTTTGCTTACTACAGCTCTGTAACATATTTCTAAGTCAGGTAGTGTGATGCTCCTGTTTTCTCTTTATACCTTCAAGTCTCAAGACAGTGGGCATCGCACACAAAAATTATGGAGAAAAGGATCCCAAGACTCCCAGGGTCCAACATTAGATAACAGAGTGTTGGCCATGAACCAACCTCAAAGATTTCCATTGAGTAGAGGACAAGCACCCTCATTTCCTCACATCTCTCCTGTCCCGTGTTCTAGGAAACCCTTCAAGTAGTTGGCCTTCACCCACAGAACCAAGCTCCAAATCTGGTGAGTAAAGGACCCCTCTTATCTCTGCTTTTGGAAACCTGGGGAGGTGGAAGCCTTGGATGCAAGTGTTGGCTCAAACCTCCCAGCTCTGTGAATGAGGGCCTGTCTTCCACCATCTCTGAACTCCAGACACTCCAACAGTGAAAGGGATCTAGGGCCACCAAAGGGCTCAGCGAAGTCTCTTTACCTTTAATTTCCTGCAGGTGAGACCTCCTACAAGCTAGAAGAATAATTGCCAATCTGACATCCTTCTCAGGAAAAATGCAGTGTTTTTTCTGCCTGCATTCCTAACTGGAGGATAAATTCCCGGGGGCTTGAGAGAGGGAAGGGAAGGGAACATCTGATGAGGGTGGGTGTTTTAGAGAAGTTCCACTTGCCAAGGAATGAATTACTGTTGGTCATCAGGCAACCCTGGCTGACTCAGCAGAGCAAGAGCCTTGCCGTAACAGAGAACAGAGCTCATGCACGCACACTTCGACTCAGTGACTCATTCAGCCACAGCCCCATGCTCAGGCTGTGCAGTGTGGAAGCTTTTCCTATTGTTGCCATAACAAATTTCCACAAGATTCGTGTGTGAAAACAAAACGGTTATTTAATTATCTTACAGTGCTGTAGCTCAAAGCATGACGTGCATGTCACTGGGCTAAAATCAAGGTGACAGCAAGGCTGCCTTCCCTCTGAGGGTTCCAGGCAAGAATCTGCTTCTCACTTTTCTCAGCTTCTAGAGGCTCCCATGTTCCTTGGCTCCTGGTACCCTTCCTCCTTCCTCAAAGCCCACAAAGACTGGTCACATCTCACATGGCATCACTCAGACCCTTCTTCCTTACCACACCTCTTTCTCTGAATGCTGCTCTCCCTTCTTGCCCTTCTTTTGAAAACTTGGGGATTCTATTGGGTTCACCAAGATGAAAATCCATCATAATCTCCCGGAAATCATCCAGGATACCCTCCTTTTAAGTTCAGCTGACTAGCAACCATAATTCCATCTGCAATCTTCATTCCTCCTTTCATGTAAAATAACATATTCACAAGCTATGGAGGCTAGGACATGGACATTTTTGGGGTGGGACAACATTCTCCTGCCTTCCACAAACAGTGAACAAGATGCATTTGGCCTCTGTTCTTGGGACACTGATCTTGCAGATGGTTAAATGGGAGGGCAGAAAATGTAGGCACAAGGGGACCAATAAATGAATGATCTATTGAGAAGCATCTGTGCATGAAATCTATTTATTTATGTATTTACCTACTTGTTTATTGAGACGGAGCCTTGCTCTGTCGTCCAGGCTAGAGTGCGGTGGCATGATCTCGGCTCACTGCAACCTCCACCTCCTGGGCTGAACTGATCTCCTCCCTCAGCCTCTCCAGTAGCTGGGATTACAGACCACAACCACCACGCCCGGCTAACTCTTTTTGCATATTTTCTGTAGAGAGGATGTTTCACCATGTTGGCCAGGCTGGTCTCAAATTCCCAACCTCAGGTGATCCAATAGCCTCTGCCTCCCAACACGCTGGGATAAGAGGCATGAGCCACGGGGCCAAGCCAAATTTTCAAATCAATAATAGATAATGCTGAGTGTATTATTTCAGGTGACAGAGAAGTTCTCACTAATCAGATATTTGTGACATTAATGAAAAACACGGATTGAACCCCTGAAAGATTGGCGGAAGGATTTTGCACACACAGCTGTCAGCCGTGAAGGCACAAAGGTGAAAACAATCTGATGTGGAAGGAAGAGGCTCTGACTCAAATGCTGGGAATGAGGTGGGGAGAATGACAAGATGACTGTAGAGAGACGGAGAGCACACTGGGTACACAGGAAACTAAGGAGCAACAAGGAGCGTGTGTTTGACACTCACAGCCATTGGATTCACCTCGAGGTAACCAGGAATCCCTACATGATTAATATGACTGACATGAAAATAAGGGAGGCTCAGTTGCATAACTGGAATCTAGGAGACCGTGGAAAAGGCAATTGCCGCCCCACTGGTGAAATGTGGTGCTGATTTAGACACTAAATGAATGAAGTAGATGGATATAAGATATGTTTGTGAGGTAGAATCATTGGCTGGAAAGGCTTGCTGGGTTTAATTTTTCCTGGTAGTTTAATCCTCGCTTCACTAACTTATTTCTGAGATTTATTTCTCCTGCATCTAAATCAATACCTGGCAGAGGAGGGAGAGCTAGATGAGGGGTGGTGCAAATGAAGGGACCTAGTATAGCATAATATACAAGGCTGTGAACGGTGGCTCACGCCTGTAACCCAGCACTTCAGGAGGCCAACGCGGGTGGATCACATGAAGTCAGGAGTTCGAGACCAGCCTGGCCAACATGGAGAAACCCTATCTCTACTAAAAATACAAAAATTAAACAGGCATGATGGTGGTGCATGACTGTAATCCCAGCTACTCTGGAGGAGGAAGCAGGAGAATGACTTCAGCCCTGGAGGCAGAGGTTGCAGTGAGTGGAGATCGCATCACTGCACACCAGCCTGGGCTACACAGGGATACTCTGTCTCAAAAAATAAAAATAAAAAATACATAAATATAATAATATACACAAATGATGCAGGCACCTGAATTCCAATCATCATTTTTCTATTCCTCTATAATTACTTCTTTGATCCTTTATCTTATCCATTAGAAAATCAGCCTAAAACCTCTTCCATATTTGGCTTTCTGTGAACATGAGATCATATGGAAAATATGAAAGCCCCCTGAACCCACCAGCACAGGCCCTGAAATAGGGAAAGTGCTCTGTTCATCACAAGAAACTTTCCCCCTCACCCAAATCCCCCACCTCACCCCTACTTCCAATCACCTGTGGAGATACAGATAGATCATGGGGAGGTAAACGCTAATACTCCTTGGAGTGAGTTCAGATCTTGGAATCAGAGATCAGCACCAGCACTAGCTCCTGCTCCCCTTTCCTACTAATTCACAGGAGGACAGGTGGTTTTGAAGCAATAGATGGTGGAGGGGGTGGTCTTTCCCCCAGCCTCTCAGGTGGAACAGCAGCCTAACATGTGTCTCGCGAGATCACAAAGAGTAGCACGTTTCACATGGGCTTCATCATTATTTCCTGGCTGTTTGACATAAGAGAATTCTACTTTGCTTTTTTGATCTTGATTTCACTTTTGTGTCCTTTTCTTGGAGAATGTAATTTGAGTCAAGAGGGTTGTGGATGTAGAAACTGTAAAGCACATTCACTGTGTATCAATCCCAGTCCAGTCTTTCCAGAGAAGACTCTAAACACCTGCTGTACTGCACCTGGGCCTATGCCAATTTCTATCACTCACCGTCACTCCAGGGAGACAGAACACACAGAGAATACGTTACATAGGCAGGTTCATTACTAACAGATAAGCAGCGAGTGACAACAGAAGCCTACATTTCAACGTGAGCCAGTCCCTCAAGGCTCAGAAAAGCTGCTCGGGACATATGGAGTCACCTCATTTGCAGTGTATCTGGGGGAAGCCAGAAAATAGCCCAGCCTGGGTTTTGTACCCTGAAGCCACAGGAAGCACTCAGCTAAAGCACTGCATGACGTCCTCCTCCAGGAAGAACAGGAAGACAGCACAGGCTGTTCTGAGACGTTCCTCCTGATCTCAGGACGTTGCTGTCTTAGTCCATTTTTGTTGCTATAAAAGAACACTTGAGCCTGGGTTACTTCTTTTTTTTTTTTTTTTTTTTTTGTATAGTGCTTCTGATGAGCTTTTTTTTAAAATTTTTATTATTATTATACTTTAAGTTTTAGGGTACATGTGCACAATGTGCAGGTTAGTTACATATGTATACATGTGCCATGCTGGTGTGCTGCACCCATCAACTCGTCATTTAGCATTAGGTATATCTCCTAATGCTATCCCTCCCCCCTCCCCCCACCCCACAACAGTCCCCAGAGTGTGATGTTCCCCTTCCTGTGTCCATGTGTTCTCATTGTTCAATTCCCACCTATAAGTGAGAACATGCGGTGTTTGGATTTTTGTCCTTGTGATAGTCTACTGAGAATGATGATTTCCAATTTCATCCATGTCCCTGCAAAGGACATGAACTCATCATTTTTTATGGCTGCATAGTATTCCATGGTGTATATGTGCCACATTTTCTTCATCCAGTCTATCATTGTTGGACATTTGGGTTGGTTCCAAGTCTTTGCTATTGTGAATAGTGCCACAATAAACATACGTGTCCATGTGTCTTTATAGCAGCATGATTTATAGTCCTTTGGGTTTATACCCAGTAATGGGATGGCTGGGTCAAATGGTATTTCAAGCTCTAGATCCCTGAGGAATCGCCACACTGACTTCCACAATGGTTGAACTAGTTTACAGTCCCACCAACAGTGTAAAAGTGTTCCTATTTCTCCACATCCTCTCCAGCACCTGTTGTTTCCCGACTTTTTAATGATCGCCATTCTAACTGGTGTGAGATGGTATCTCATTGTGGTTTTGATTTGCATTTCTCTGATGGCCAGTCATGGTGAGCATTTTTTCATGTGTTTTTTGGCTGCATAAATGTCTTCTTTTGAGAAGTGTCTGTTCATGTCCTTTGCCCACTTTTTGATAGGATTGTTTGTTTTTTTCTTGTAAATTTGTTTGAGTTCATTGTAGATTCTGGATATTAGCCCTTTGTCAGATGAGTAGGTTGCGAAAATTTTCTCCCATTTTGTAGGTTGTCTGTTCACTCTGATGGTAGTTTCTTTTGCTGTGCAGAAGCTCTTTAGTTTAATTAGATCCCGTTTGTCAATTTTGGCTTTTGTTGCCGTTGCTTTTGGTGTTTTAGACATGAAGTCCTTGTCCATGCCTATGTCCTGAATGGTAATGCCTAGGTTTTCTTCTAGGGTTTTTATGGTTTTAGGTCTAACGTTTAAGTCTTTAATCCATCTCAAATTAATTTTTGTATAAGGTGTAAGGAAGGGATCCAGTTTCAGCTTTCTACCTATGGCTAGCCAGTTTTCCCAGCACCATTTATTAAATAGGGAATCCTTTCCCCATTGCTTGTTTTTCTCAGGTTTGTCAAAGATCACATAGTTGTAGATATGTGGCATTATTTCTGAGGGCTCTATTCTGTTCCATTGATCTATATCTCTGTTTTGGTACCAGTACCATGCTGTTTTGGTTACTGTAGCCTTGTAGTATAGTTTGAAGTCAGGCAGCATGATGCCTCCAGCTTTGTTCTTTTGGCTTAGGATTGACTTGGCAATGCAGGCTCTTTTTTGATTCCATATGAACTTTAAGGTAGTTTTTTCCAATTCTGTGAAGAAAGTCATTGGTAGCTTGATGGGGATGGCATTGAATCTATAAATTACCTTGGGCAGTATGGCCATTTTCACGATCTTGATTCTTCCTACCCATGAGCATGGAATGTTCTTCCATTTGTTTGTATCCTCTTTTATTTCATTGAGCAGTGGTTTGTAGTTCTCCTTGAAGAGGTCCTTCATATCCCTTGTAAGTTGGATTCCTAGGTATTTTATTCTCTTTGAAGCAATTGTGAATGGGAGTTCACTCATGATTTGGCTCTCTGTTTGTCTGTTATTGGTGTATAAGAATGCTTGTGATTTTTGTACATTGATTCTGTATCCTGAGACTTTGTAGAAGCTGCTTATCAGCTTAAGGAGATTTTGGGCTGAGACAATGGGGTTTTCTATATATACAATCATGTCATCTGCAAACAGGGACAATTTGACTTCCTCTTTTCCTAATTGAATACCCTTTATTTCCTTCTCCTGCCTAATTGCCCTGGCCAGAACTTCCAACACTATGTTGAATAGGAGTGGTGAAAGAGGGCATCCCTGTCTTGTGCCAGTTTTCAAAGGGAATGCTTCCAGTTTTTGCCCATTCAGTATGATACTGGCTGTGGGTTTGTTATAGATGGCTCTTATTATTTTGAGATACGTCCCATCAATGCCTAATTTATTGAGAGTTTTTAGCATGAAGCGTTGTTGAATTTTGTCAAAGGCCTTTTCTGCATCTATTGAGATAGTCGTCCGGTTTTTGTCTTTGGTTCTGTTTATATGATGGATTACATTTATTGATTTGCATATATTGAACCAGCCTTGCATCCCAGAGCCTGGGCAACTTCTAGAGAAAACAGATTTGTTTGCCTCACAGTTCTGCAGGCTGTACTGGAAGCATGGCACCAGCATCTGTTTCCTGTGACGGCCTCAGGCTGCTCCCACTCTGGCAGAAGGGAAGGAGGGTCTGTCTGTGCAGAGACCACAGAGATCACATGGCAAGAGAGGGAGCAAGGGGGAGGGCGAGCGATGGAGCTTCCAAGCTCTTTTTAACAACCAGCCCTCCGGGAACTAATAGAGGGGGAACTTGCTAACCCCATCATGTGGGGCAGCATTAATCTATTCATGATGGATCCACCTCCATGACTCAAACACCTTCCCATAGGCCCAAACTTCCACACTGGGGGTTAAATTTCAATATTTCAGTGTGAGGTTTCAAAGGGTCAAACATCTAAACTAAAGCAGCTGTATCCTCAGCATGTTCTATGGTTTCTATGAGAGCTGTAACTGAGAAAGCAGGAGAAAGCTGGGTCTCCCGCCATCAGGCTGCTTGTCCTAAGGAGATGTTCCATGTGGTTACCTGTCAATCAAGAAATGAGACAATCCATAAAGAGGAACTGCTATGATTAGCTTCTTATTGGATTCCCATCTTCCTCCAGGTATCTGCAGACACCTGCATGTTCTGATTGGGACCTCAGTGGTCATCTTCCTCTTCATCCTCCTCCTCTTCTTTCTCCTTTATCGCTGGTGCTCCAACAAAAAGAGTAAGTCTCACGAAGCAGAGGCCAGAGAGCTCAGGGCCATGTGGGGAAGCAGGATGGGAGCACGCGGGTGTGTGTTCCTCACTGGCAGGATGGTCCCTGGCCCAAGGGAGGAGCCACAGAGGCAGGGCTTTCTAGAGAGAGCACCAGACAACCTGCCCCTGCCTTCAGCTCACAGACCATTGCCTGGTTCTGAACTGTATCCTCACATCCCCTGCAGCTACTGACATCCAGAAGCTTCCATGACAGGCAGAAAGTGGGAGACAGAATCAATGGGATGCCAATTGAGAGCACTTCATGGGATGGGGTCTTGAACTCAGAGAGATAGAATGTCTGAGTCTGGATGTTGGCAGCTGAAGAGCCTCAGGCACCTACAGCCTCCCCCTGTGGGTTGGTGTCTGCCCATGAAATGAGGACCCAGAAGGGCCCTCCAAGCGGTTTTGATGACTTCCGTCTCCTACAGATGCTGCTGTAATGGACCAAGAGCCTGCGGGGGACAGAACAGTGAATAGGCAGGTAGGTCCTCCTCGGCCCAGCCTCACGGATACAGTCTTATCCCTAATAGTCCTGAAAAATGTGAGCACCCTCCCTCACTCAGCATTTCCCTCTCTCCAGGACTCTGATGAACAAGACCCTCAGGAGGTGACGTACGCACAGTTGGATCACTGCGTTTTCATACAGAGAAAAATCAGTCGCCCTTCTCAGAGGCCCAAGACACCCCTAACAGATACCAGCGTGTACACGGAACTTCCAAATGCTGAGCCCAGATCCAAAGTTGTCTCCTGCCCACGAGCACCACAGTCAGGTCTTGAGGGGGTTTTCTAGGGAGACAACAGCCCTGTCTCAAAACCAGGTTGCCAGATCCAATGAACCAGCAGCTGGAATCTGAAGGCATCAGTCTGCATCTTAGGGGATCGCTCTTCCTCACACCACGAATCTGAACATGCCTCTCTCTTGCTTACAAATGCCTAAGGTCGCCACTGCCTGCTGCAGAGAAAACACACTCCTTTGCTTAGCCCACAAGTATCTATTTCACTTGACCCCTGCCCACCTCTCCAACCTAACTGGCTTACTTCCTAGTCCTACTTGAGGCTGCAATCACACTGAGGAACTCACAATTCCAAACATACAAGAGGCTCCCTCTTAACACGGCACTTACACACTTGCTGTTCCACCTTCCCTCATGCTGTTCCACCTCCCCTCAGACTATCTTTCAGCCTTCTGTCATCAGTAAAATTTATAAATTTTTTTTATAACTTCAGTGTAGCTCTCTCCTCTTCAAATAAACATGTCTGCCCTCATGGTTTCGATAATGTGACTCTTTATTCGCCAAAAGTTTCCAGTGTTATCATTACTATGTCCATATAACCTGATATGTTCTCTACTGGGTTCTCAGCCCTGGACTCTGAGCTTCTGGAAGCAGGGTGGAGCCTCATTTGTCTCTGGGACTCCAATTTCCATCCAAAGATGCAGCACATAGGAGGTTCCAAGGATCGTGAATCACATGAACAAGTGATATTCTTACTCTCTGCAGACCTGGAAAGCTGGCAGAGTCATTCCAAGATGAAACATTTGTAGAGTCATAGGCCTTGTTAGTCTCATCTCCACAGGGACACATGTCAACACATCATCTTTCATACTATAAATATACAGTCGCTCCTCCATATCTGTGGGGTTTACAGGTGTTTATTGAACCAAATATAAATCAAAAATATTCAGAGAAAAAATCCACAAAGTTCCAAAAAGCAAAAATACTATATTGTGTGGACACAAGTGAGGTGGTGTGTAGGCTGTATCAGGAATTATAAGTAATCTAGAGATGATTTCATGTATACAGGAGGATGTGCATGGGTTATATGCAAACGCTGTGCCATTTCATGCAACAGGCTTGAGCATCTGCAGATTTTGGTGTCTGGTAGGGAGGGGGGTTTCCTGGAACCAATCACCCATGAATAGTGAAGGACAACTGTATATAATTTTCATTCATCAATTTTATAAATAAATCATCAAAATGTATGATAATAAGATAAAAAATTAGCAGTGTTTTTATGGTGTGAAAATAAGCTTAGATTTATTTTTTCCTGCTTGTAACCCTCTGGTCCAATGTTATTTACTGAGAAGACATTCTATTCCACCTTAATCCGCATGGCAGCCTCTGTCAACTATAAAAGGACTGTGTGTACACAGATGTATTTTACACACTCTTTTCTGCTCAGTGGCTCTCTGTGTCCACTCTCATGAGGATGCTGCACTTTATGTGGCCTTATAGAACCCCTTAAAATTTGGCAGCCTGAATCCTCTAATTTCTCCTTCCTCTTTAAGATTGCCATTATTATTATTATTGGCTATTTGCTTTTCCATGTAAATTTGTAATCATTTTTCTCATTTCCACCAAAAACAATGCTTGTAATTTTGTTGTGACTCCCTTACATCTACAGGTAAGTTCTGTCCTATAGAAACATAATGCAAACCACATGCATTCTTTCAAACTTGCTAGTATCCAAATTAAAAAGCTAACAAGAAACAGATAAAATTAATTTAAGTTAACCCAATGGACCCAAAATATTATTAACCCAACAGACCCAAAATATTAACCTAATAGATCCAAAATATTATTTTATTATACAAGTAGACTCAAAATATTATCATTTCAACATGTAATCATGTGTCATCTTGGAAAACATCAGATCCCTGTCTAGGTGGGCAAAGATTTTTCTTCGTAATATCTCATTTCCACATTTCCACTTGGCACAGAAACTGCCCCCAAGGCTCAGGATACTAAGATGCAGTAGGAATGGGTAGATGTATCTGGAGGAAAGTGACTGAATGAAATTGAGACATCAGAGTCTGGGAAACTCACTAGAACTACAGGGACAGTGTGGGGGAGGGAATTGGGAGATGTTGATCAAAGGATACAAACTATCAGGTATTCAGGAGGAATGGGTCTGAAGATCTCTTGTACAGCTTTGCCACTATGGTTGACAATACTGTACTCTATACTTGAAATTTACCAGGAAAGTAGATTTTTTTTTTTAAATATGGAACACTTCACGAATTTGCGTGTCATTCTTGCGCAGGGGCCATGCTAGTTTTCTCTGTATCGTTCCAATTTTAGTATATGTGCTGCCGAGGCAAGCATGGGAGAGTAGATTTTTTTTTTTTTTTTTTTTTTTTTTGAGCTGGAGTCTTGCTCTGTCACCCAGGCTGGAGTGCAGTGGCGCGATCTCGGCTCACCGCAAGCTCCGCCTCCTGGGTTCACGCCATTCTCCTGCCTCAGCCTCCCGAGTAGCTGGGACTACAGGCGCCCGCCACCACGCCCTGCTAATTTTTTGTATTTTTAGTAGAGACGGGGTTTCACTGTGTTAGCCAGGATGGTCTCGATCTCCTGACCTCGTGATCCGCCTGCCTCGGCCTCCCAAAGTACTGGGATTACAGGCATGAGCCACCACGCCCGGCTGGGAGAGTAGATCTTAAGGGTCCTCACCACAAAAAAAAAAAAAAGAAAGAAAGAAAAAGAAACCATAGGCCGGGCGCGGTGGCTCACGCCTGTAATCCCAGCACTTTGGGAGGCCAAGACGGGCAGATCACTTGAGGTCAGGAGTTCAAGACCAGCATGGCCAACATGGTGAAACCCTGTCTCTACTAAAAATGCAAACATTAGCCAGGCGTGGTGACACAAGCCTGTAATCCCAGCTACTCAGGAGGCTGAGGCACGAGAATTGCTGGAACCTGGGAGCGGAGGTTGCAGTGAGCCAAGATGGCACCACTGCACTCTAGCCTGGGGGACAGAGTAAGACTTCCTCTCAAAAAAAAAAAAAAAAAAAAAACAATAACCCTGCGAGATGATGGATATAACTAGCTTGACTATGATGATCATGTCACCATGTATACATACATCAAAACATCAAGTGTAATACACCTTAAATATATACAATTTCCATTTGTCAATCATATCTCAATAAAGCTAAAAGAAACCTCTAAGTTTCAACTTTATTTTCAGAAAGCTGTGCCATGCTTACCTCAGTGCCTAAGTATACTCTAATTCATGGAAATGGCCTTTAAAACTGCAGAGAGTGGCTGGGTGCAGTGGCTCACGCCTATAATCCCAGCACTTTGGGAGGCGGAGGTGGGCAGATCACGAGGTCAGGAGTTCGAGATCAGCCTGGCCAACATGGTGAAACTCTGTCTCTACTAAAAATACAAAAAATAGCTGGGCATGGTGGCAGGTGCCTGTAAATCTGAGATACTCAGGAGGCTGAGACAGGAGAATCGTTTGAACTGGGGAGGCAGAGGTTGCAGTGAGCCGAGATCCTGCCATTGCACTCCAGCCTGGGCGACAGGGTGAGACTCCATCTCAAAAAAAAAAAAAATACTGCAGAGAGTTAAGGCCCTCACTGGACACTCTCCGGTACCTCTGAGGTCAGTGGATAGAGAAGCAGCTCCCCTTCTTCTTCCTCGAAACAAAGGCCTCCTTCCTTCTTAGGTGTTTGAGACAAATTCTCCACACAGGTGCAGCTGAGTGCTGTAAAGTCCCACTGAGAGTTGAAGGTCCCCACTGCCAGTCACAGTTCGGTCCCACTGAGGGTTGAAGGTCCCCACTGCCAGTCACAGTTTGGTCCCATTGAGGGTTGAGAGTCTCCACTGCCAGTCACAGTTTGGTCCCATTGAGGGTTGAGAGTCTCCACTGCCAGTCAGTTTGGGCTTATTAGGGTTTATGCTGTGCACGGAGAATGGAACCTACCAATCA
Organism: Homo sapiens; assembly: GCF_000001405.40. Lineage (NCBI taxonomy): Eukaryota > Metazoa > Chordata > Mammalia > Primates > Hominidae > Homo > Homo sapiens. Next base: position 54,870,654 of record NC_000019.10, read on the forward strand.
ACTCTTAGTGACCAGTTAGACAGATTCAAGGCAAATTTCCCTGCTGGGAAATCCCAAATCCCAAAATATGCAGAGACCAATAGATGCCTCAATTCTTCCGTGTCTCCGTCTAAATCCTTGGGTCACTGTGACTCCTGTAGTTATGTGGCTTGTAATTCCTTGGGCCGTAGAATGGCTATGATAGGCCCTGTGCTAAGGGGACTGGTGACAGTTGAGACAGGAACATGGAAGCTATAGTAGTCAGGGTTCTCCAGAAAAAAAAATAATCAACACTAATAATGATAGATATATAGATAATGATTGATAGACAAATAATGATAGATATATAATGATATCACAAATAATGATAGACATATAGTTGGATAATGACAGATATATAATGATTGATACACAGATAGGGTATTTATATATTGGCTTATGCAACTATGTAGACTGACAGGTCCCATGATCTGCCATCTGCAAGCTGGAGACCCAGGGGAGTCCACGTGTAGTTCCAGTCTACGTGCAAAAGTCTGAGAACCAGTAGAGTTAGTGGTATACGTAACAGTCCAAAAGCTAGCAGGCTCATGCCGGGCATGATGGCTCACGCCTGTAATCCCAACACTTTGGGAGACCAAGGCAGGCAGATCACCTGAGGTCAGAGTTCAAGACCAGCCCGGCCAACATGGTGAAACCCCATCTTTACTAAAAATACAAAAATTAGCCGGGCATAGTGGCATTCGCTTGTAATCCCAGCTACTCAGAGGCTGAGGTACGAGAATTGCTTGAACCCAAGAGGTGAAGGTTGCAGTGAGCCGAGATCATGCCACAGCACTCCAGCCTGGGTGACAGAGTGAGACTCTATCTCAAAAAAACAAACAAACAAAAAAAGCTGGCAGGCTTAACATCTAAAGAGTCAATGTTTTAGTGAGAGTTCAAGAGCCAGAAAAGACTGATGTCCAGGCAAAAGGAACTTCATCTTACATTACCAGTTCAATGTTTTGTTCTATTCAGGTCCCACCTGATTGAATGAGGCCGACTCACATTAGGGAGAGCAATCTGCTTTATAAATTACACTAATTCCATTGATAATCTCATTCAGCAACACCCCCACAGACACACACAGAATAATGTTTAACCAAATATCTCAGCACCCCATGGCTACGTTACCATTCCTGTTCCACAAAAGGAGGAAACAAAAGAACAAAACCACACCAAATGTTGTGGTAAGTTGACAAAATCTGTTCCAGCCCATTAGTAAATATTGGCCACTGAAGTTCCTGAAATTCAACAATTAGTAAGTATCTCTCTCCCAATAGAAAGCCACGTCATTTGTAAACCATAACAATAGCTTTTGTTTTTTTGAGACACAGTCTCGCTCTGTGTTGCCCAGGCTGGAGTGCAGTGATCTTGGCTCACTGCAACCTCTGCCTCCTGGGTTCAAGTGGCTCTCCTGCCTCAGCCTTCCGAGTAGCTGGAATTACAGGCACCCGCCACCACACCCAAGTAATTTTTTATATTTTTAGTAGAGACTGGGTTTCACCACATTGACCAGGCTGGTCTTAAATTCCTGAACTCAAGTGATTCACCTGCCTTGGCCTCCCAAAGTGCTGGGATTACAGGCATGAGCTACTGCACCCAGCCAACAATAGTATTTTTAATTAGGTCATCCTGCCTTTACAATCTCTGCATTTTAAATACTCAACTAAGAGTACAGCCATTATTTGTCTTTCACCCAAAGTCCCATTCAAGTGAGAACAAAGGAATGAATAAATAAGGCATAAGTAACAAAACAACAAAAAAAGAAAATTAGAATGCGGTCAATTTCATGCAATCATCAACACCAAATTTCCAGAACGTAGTATTTCCAAATTTCCCGAACGTAAATATGTATGTGGAAATTAACAAAATGTGGCAAAACAAAAGGTCACTTAAATTTGCACAAATGAAACAGTCAACATGGAAGCTGATCGGCTTTCTGAAATATGGGACAAGCTCAGGACTTCAAAATACTTCGGCGTTGGAAGGGCTAAGTTATGATGTATTAAAATGAAAATAAAGTGGGGCGCGGTGGCTCACGCCTGTAATCCCAGCACTTTGGGGGACCGAAGTGGGTGGATCACGAGGTCAGGAGATCGAGACCATCCTGGCTAACACGGTGAAACCCCGTTTCTACTGAAAATACAAAAAAAATTAGCCGGGCGTGGTGGCGGATGCCTGTAGTCCCAGCTACTCGGGAGGCTGAGGCAGGAGAATAGCATGAACCCAGGAAGTGGAGCTTGCAGTGAGCTGAGATCACGCCACTGCACTCCAGCCTGGGCGACAGAGCAAGACTCCGTCTCAAAAAAAAAAAAAGAATAAATAAAATAAAATAAAATAGTAGAAGGTTTAATTAGGAATATTTCACTCTCCATACCTGAAGAATTCGTGATAGCCAGGAGTCTACAATCAAAATAACATAAATAATAAGATAAAAATAAAATTAATTTGAAGCCATAAAAAAAGAATGAGTTCATATGTTTTGTGGAAACATGGATGGAGCTGGAGGCCATTATCCTTAGCAAACTATACAAGAACAGAACACCAAATACAGCAGGTTCTCACTTATAAGTGGAAGCTAAATAATAGAACTCATGAACACAAAAAAGGGAAAAACAGACAATGGGGTCTCCTTTAGGGTGGAGGGTGGGAGGCGGGAAAGGAGCAGGCAAAGTAACTATTAGGTACCAAGCTTATTACCTAGGTGATGAAATAATCTGTACAACAAACCCCCATGACACAAGTTTACCTGTATAACAAACCTTCCCATGTACCCTTGAACCTAAAATAAAAGTTAAAAAAATACTCAATGAGCAACAATGTACATTATTTGAGGATAATTATATTAAAAGCCCAGACTTCACCACTACACAAAATATCCACGTAATAAAATTTCACTTGCGCTCCTTAAATTTATACAAATAAACAAAAAAGTATAATAAAATAGTAGATTCTTTCTTTAGAGATGACAAATAGTGCCAGAGAAAATGCCTCCACACTCTGGCATTGAGATCATCTCCAGGATAAGGGTATACTGCATGCCTGGTCAAGTCCAAGTAAATATACTCAGACCATGAATCTCAGAGATGAAACATAGGTTCAGAACAGACAAAGCCACAGAGCTTTTGACTAATGGCCCAGTGAAGGCAATGTCTGCCTGTATGGTATCCACCACCTTATATTCTGTCCCAAGCCCGTCTATTTGGATGTAGCATCTGGTTCAAAGATGAATTTGAACACCATTAGACACTGGCTTAATGAAAATTCACTTCTCATTCGTTTCTCATCTGAAACATAAATAGAAATATAGGTCTTAGGCAGGAGGATTTCTTGATGCCAGAAGTTAGAGACTACCCTGGCCAACATAGAAAGACCCCATCTCTATTTAAAAAAATATACATATATATGTCTTCTCTTGGGCTCCACCCAAGAGCAACCTGGAACTAAGTTATTCGGCAACGAACTGTTCCACTTTGTTGTGAGGCAATAGATGTGGAAATTCCCTGACGAGGGGCTCTGTCCTCATACTTCCTGCGGAGCTTATTGTCGTAAGAATATCTGTCATCCTGCTAATGTGCATTGAAAGGAGAGCAACGGGGCTGAGGCCGTGTCAGCACGATGGACCCCAAACAGACCACCCTCCTGTGTCTTGGTGAGTTTCAGAGTAAAAGTGGGTTAGAGGGGAAGATAGAGAAATCCCAAAATAATCAGGGTGTCTCTTAACAGTGTGACTAGGAGATTTTAGTGGCTGCCAAGGAGATTCTGATCTCCTTAGTGGAAAGGCCGTCTTTGTCAATGTATCTATAACTTTGTCTCTACCCAAGCCCAAGCTAGCTTGTGGGGCTCAAGGTTTAATATTTGTATTAAACCTATAGTGTGTTATCTGGGATTCATGATGGTCCCAAGGTTCTTATCAAGGAGAGACTTAGAGGCTGGAATCTGAAAGGTAAAAATAAAGAATGAACCTCAAAACTGTGATTGTTGTGGAAGGAAAACATATGATAGAACCCCATATAGAAATATGGTTACTAGTATTTTGTTGAAGATTTTTGCATTTATGTTCAACAAAGATATTATCCAGAAGTTTTCTGTTTTTGTTGTATCTCTGCCACATTTTGTTATCAGGATAATGTTGGCCTCATAGAATGAGTTGGGGAGGAGTCCCTCCTCCAGGATTTTTTTCAATAGTTTCAGTAGGAATAATACTAGCTCTTCTTGGCCGGGCGCAGTGGCTCACACCTGCAATCCCAGCACTTTGGGAGGCCAAGGCAGGCGGATCACAAGGTCAGGAGATCAAAACCATCCTGGCCAACATGGTGAAACCCTGTCTCTACTAAAAATACAAAAAAATTAGCCAGGCGTGGTGGCGGGCGCCTGTAGTCCCAGCTACTCGTGCGGCTGAGGCAGGAGAATGGCATGAACCTGGGAGGCAGAGCTTGCAGTGAGCCAAGATCATGCCACTGCACTCCAGCTTGGGCGACACAGCGAGACTCTGTCTCAAAAAAAAAAAAAAATGCCAGCTCTTCTTTATATATCTGGTGGGATTGAGCTGTGAATCCATCTGGTACTGGTCTTTTTCTGGTCTGTCATTACAGAGGGTGATTTGTCGTAAAGGTTGGAAATGGAAGCTTGATTTTTCATAAATCTCTCTCTTCCAGTGCTCTGTCTGGGCCAGAGGATTCAGGCACAGGAAGGTAAGTGTCCTGTAAATCTCTCCCAGCCCCTTTAGACCCTCTTGGGAGCTCTAGGATAAAGAAATTGAAGAATAGCCTGAAGCACCATTCTTATTTTAATCCCCATTCTAGTTGTTTCTGCTGTGCTTCTCTTGCATAATTTCTATCTCACTTTGTTATCTCCAAACCCTTCAGACTCATTAATGCTCAGGCCTGGATTTATAGTTAGTCCTTGCCTGTGTTAGACTGTCCATGAAGGATCTGTAATTTACTGAATGCTCAAACTGCAAGAATGAGGAAGTCAGGAGTCATCTGCCCAATATCCTTCCTTATGCTGATTCTATTTTGTTTTAGCAACCCACTTCCTCCCGTCACTTCATTTAAAAGGATGCTGCCATAGTCTAACCCTACTGAACACTCTAGCATTCTGTAGTACTACTGCAGTACTAAGCATGAGGCAGTCTTAGTGTACTACTGAATATTCTGCCACCCCAACTACTACTGCCTTAGCCTCCTAATGGGTGTGAGCCCCACGTCCATCCATGTCTTCTCTCTTCCAGCTCCTTCTAAAGCCTGAATTATTTGTGTGTTGAACAATACTCATTCTTCCTATCCATGAGCATGGAATGTTTTTCCATTTGTTTGTGTCATCTATGATTTCTTTGACCAGTGTTTTGTAGTTCTCCTTGCAGAGATCTTTCACCTCCCTGGTTAGCTGTATTCCCAGGTATTTTATTCTTTTTGCAGTAATTGTGAATGGATTCTATTCTTGATTTGGCTCTCAGCTTAGATGTTTTTGGTGTATAGGAATGCTACTGATTTTTATATATTGATTTTGTATCCTGGAACTTTGCTAAAGTTGTTTATCAGATTAAGAAGTGTTTGGGCAGAGACTGTGGTTTTCTAGGTATAGAATCATATCACCTGCAAACAGGGATAGTTTGACTTCCTTTCTTCCTATTTGGATGCCTTTTATTTCTCTCTTGCCTGATTGCTCTAGCTAGGACCTCCAGTACTATGTTGAACAGAAGTAGTGAGAGACGGCATCCATGTCTTTTGCCAGTTTTCAAGGGGAATACTTCCAGCTTTTGCCCATTCAATATGATGTTGACTGTGAGTTTGTCATACATCATTCTTATTATTTTGAAATATGTTTCTTCAATGCCTAGTTTGTCGAGGTTTTTTAGCATAAAGGGATGTTGAATTTTATCAAAAGCTCTATTGAGAGGATTATGTGTGTGGGGAGGGTTGTTCTATTTATGTGATGAATCATATTTAAGATTTGTGTATATTGGCCGGGCACTGTGGCTCATGCCTGTAATCCCAGCACTTTGGGAAGCCAAGGCTTGTGGATCATGAGGTCAGGAGATCGACACCATCCTGGCTAACACGGTGAAACCTCGTCTATACTAAAAAACACAAAAAAATTAGCCAGGCGTGGTGGTGGGCACCTGTAGTCCCAGCTGCTCGGGAGGCTCAGGCAGGAGAATGGCGTGAATCCAGGAGGCGGAGCTTGCAGTGAGCCAAGTTCACGCCACTACACTCCAGCCTGGGCAACAGAGCGAGACTCCTATATCGAATCAACCTTGCATCCCAGAAATAAAGCCTACCTGATGGTGGTGGATTAGCTTTCTGATGTGCTGCTGGATAGTTTGCTAGTATTTTGTTGAGGATTTTTGCATTTATGTTCAACAAGGATATTGTCCTGAAGTTTTCTGGTTTTGTTGTGTCTCTGCCATGTTTTTGCATCAAGATGATGCTGGTCTCATAGAATGAGCTGGGGAGGCATTCCTCCTCCTGAATATTTTTGGAACGTTTCAGTAGGTATAGTACCAGCTCTTCTTTATATATCAGATGGGATTCAGCTGTGAGTCTGTCTGGTACTGGGCTTTTTCTGGTCTGTAGGATTTTTATTACTGATTCAATTTTGGAGCTCATTATTGGTCTGTTCATGTATTCAATTTATTCTTGGTTTGATCTCAGGAGGGTGTATGTGTCCAGGAATTTCTCCATTTATTCTGGATTTTCTAGTTTGTGTGCATAGAGGTGTTCATAATATTCTCTGATGATTGTATTTCTGTGGGGTGAGTGGTAATATACCCTTTGTTGTTTCTAATTGTGTTTATCCGGATCATCTCTCTTTTCTTCTTTATTAGTCTAACTAGTCATCTGTCTTACTAATTTTTTCAAAAATTCTACTCCTCGATTTGCTGATCTTCTGAATGCTTTTTCGTGTCTCAATCTCCTTCAGCTCAGCTCTGATTTTGGTTATTTCTTGTTTCCTATGAGCTTTGGGGTTGATTTCCTCTTGGTTCTCTTAGTTCCTCTTGTTATGATGTTAGGTTGTTAATTTGAACTTTTTCTAGCTTTTTGAAGTGGGAGTTTAGTGCTATAAACTTCCCCCTTAACACTGCCTTAGCTGTGTCCCAGAGATTCTGCTATATTTACCCAAAAATTCCAGAACAGACTGCTTAATTTCCATGCATTGTACAGTTTTGAGTGGTTTTCTTAGTATTTATTCCTATTTTTATTCCACTGTGCTCTGATTTCGCTTTTCTGGATTTGCTAAGGATTGTTTTTTTTTTTTTTGAAATGGAGTCTTGCTCTGTCGCCCAGGCTGGAGTGCAGTGGCGCAATCTAGGCTCACTGCAAGCTCCGCCTCCCAGGTTCACACCATTCTCCTGCCTCAGCCTCCTGAGTAGCTGAGACTACAGGTGCCCGCCACCCCGCCCGGCTAATTTTTTTTGTATTTTTAGTAAAGACGGGGTTTCACTGCGTTAGCCAGGATGGTCTCGATCTCCTGACCTCATGATCCGCCAGCCTTGGCTTCCCAAAGTGCTGGGATTACAGGTGTGAGCCACCGTGCCCAGCCTGCTAAGGATTGCTGTATGTCTGATTGTATGATTGACTTTAGAGTATGTGCCATGAGGCAATGAAAACAATGTAGATTCTGTTGTTTTGGGGGTGGAGAGTTCTGTAGATGTCTGTCAGGTCCATTTGATCCACTGCTGAGTTCAGGTCCTGAATATCTCTGTTTGCCTCAATGATCTAATACTGTCGGCGGGATGTTAAAGTCTCCCCCTATTATTGTGTGGTTGTCTAAGTCTCTTCGTTGGTCTCTCAGAACACGCTTTATGAATCCGGGTGCTTCCATGTTAGGTGCATATATATTTAGGATAGTTAGGTCTTCATGCTCTTTTTTTAATTTTTTTTTTCTTTTTCTTTTTGATTCAGCAGTTGGGCTATTACACACTCCTTAGCAGATTCCGACTTCCGTGGCCACTGTCCTGCTATGGTCTTCATGTTGAATTGAACCCTTTACCATGATTTAATGCCCTTCTTTGCCTTTTTTGATCTTTGTTGGTATAAAGTCTGTTTTGTCTGAAATTTTAATAGCAGCTCCTGCATTTTTTTTTTTTTTTGGCTTTCCATTTGCTTGGTAGATTTTTCTCCATTTCTTTACTTTGAGCCTATGGATGTCATTGCATATGAGATGGGTTTCTTATAGGCAGCATAATGTTGAGTCTTGCTTTTTTTTTTTTTTTTTTTTTTGAGATGGAGTCTCACTCTGTCACCCAGGCTGGAGTGCAGTGGTATGATCTTGACTCACTGCAACTTCTGCCTCCCAGGTTCAAATGATTCTCCTGCCTCAGCCTCCCAAATAGCTGGGATTACAGGTGTGTACCACCACGCCCAGCTATTTTTTTTTTTTATTAGAGATGGGATTTCATCACATTGGCCAGGCTAATGTCGAACTCCTGACCTCAAATGATCCACCCACCTCAGCCTCCCAAAGTGCCAGGGTTACAGGCGTGAGCCACTGCACCTGGCCTCTTGCTTCTTTATCCAACTTGCCACTCTCTGCATTTTAATTAGGACAATTAGTCCATTTACATTCAAAGTTAGCATTTACATGTGCAGATTTTTTCCTGTCATCATGTTGTTAGCTGGTTTGGTTATTATGCAGACTTGTTTGTGTGGTTGTTTTATAGTGTCACTGGTTTATGTACGTAAGTGTGTTTTCTATTGGCTGGTGATGGTCTTTTCTTTCCATATTTAGCGTTCCTCTTAGGACCTCTTGTAAGGCAGGCCTGATGGTAATAAATTCCCTCAGCATTTGCTTGTCTGTAAAGGATCTTATTTCTCCTTCACTTATGAAACTTAGTTTGGCTGGGAATGAGATTCTTGGTTGGAAATTCTTTTCATAAGAACATTAAATATAGGCCCCCAATCTCTTCTGGATTGTAGAGTTTCTGCTGAAAGGTCTGCTGTTAGCTCGATGGCATTCCCTTTGTAGGTGACCTGCCCCTTCTTTTTTGCTGCCTTTTCACATTTTTTTTTTTTTTTTTGAGACTGAGTCTTGCTCTGTTGCCCAGGCTGCCAGGCTGGAGTGCAATGGCGTGATCTCGGCTCACTGCAAGCTCCGCCTCCCGGATTCACGCCATTCTCCTGCCTCAGCCTCCCCAGTAGCTGGGACTACAGGTGCCCACCACCACGCCCAGCTAATTTTTTATATTTTTTTAGTAGAGATGGGGTTTCACCATGTTAGCCAGGATGGTCTCAATCTCCTGACCTCGTGATCCGCCCGCCTTGGTCTCCCAAAGTGCTGGGATTACAGGCGTGAGCCACCGCGCCCGGCCGACATTTCTTTCTTTCATTTCTACCTTGAAGAATCTGATGATTTTGTGTCTTGGGGATGCTCTTCTTGTGTAGTATTTTGCAGGGGTTCTCTGTTTCCTGCATTTGATTCTTGGCCTCTCTAGTGACGTTGGGGAAGTTTTCATGAACAATACACTGAAATATGTTTTCCATGTTCCTTGCTTTCTCCCCATCTCTTTCGGGGATGCCAATGGGCTATTTGGTCTCTTTTCATGATCCCATATTTCTTAGAGGTTTTGTTCATTAATTTTTATTCTTTTTCTTCATTTTTGTCTGACTGAATTAGTTCAGAGAGCCAGTATTCATGCTCTGAGATTCTTTCCTTATTTTGCTTTATTTTGCCATTAATACTTGTGATCGCATTATGAAATCTCGTAGTGTGTTTTTCAGCTCCATCAGATCCGTTTGGTTCTTTCAAAATGACCATCTCATAGATTAGCCCCTCTGTCATTTTATTGTAATCTTTAGGTTCCTTGCATTGGGTTTCAACTTTCTCCTGAATCTTGATGACCTTAATTTCTATCCATATTCTGAATTCTATTTCTGTCATTTCAGCCAGGTAAAGAGCCCTTGCTGGGAAGCTTGTGTGGTAATTTGGAGGAAGGAAGACACTGTTGCTTTTTGAGTTGATGGAGTTCTTGCTCAGTTCTTTCTCATCCATGTGGGCTAATGTTCCTTTGAGTGTGCTGCAATTTGAATTTTTTTCTTTTTTCTTTTAACCGTGATGTAATTTGAGCACAGTCAGTAGACTTCTTTTCTGGATGGTTTCAGAGGGCTGGGGCTTCGCACAGGGTCTTTATTTATAGCTAAATTCTTGTCCTTGGTTTCACAGGGAGGTATATTAGCGAGCATTTTTGGTGTTGAAGTTTGGGCTGCAATCCGGTAAATGATGCTTCAGCACAACGGCCAGTAGGTCATTCCTCATGATTGCCGCTGTGCTCCCTCTCACGCTCTGAAAGTGCGGGCTCCTCTCCCACCCAAGTGCTGGCTGCAGATCTGGGCTCGGCACTCCCAGGCTGCACATCACAGCTCTGGGGTGAGCTCAGACTTTATGTTCCCTCCGTGGCTTGGGGGCAGCAGGGGAAGGGACCTTAGCAGCGGTTGTGGCAGACGGCCTTTCACTTGTCCCTTGGAACTCCACCCCAGAGAGATGTGGAGCCACTATCAGTGCGATGAGCCAAGAGTGAGGCGACTGCACTGTGGGTCCAAGCTAGGGGCCCTGCCTAGTGATGAGCAGGGGGGACAGGTGGGTCACAGGGGTGACAGACTGGCCTCTTCTCCTTAGGGCAGTTTGCCGGAGGTGTGGTTGAAGCACTCAGAGTCTTTGCTCCTTCCCCAGTCTGAGGGCAGCAAGGCCAGTACCACCGCAGTGGCAGCGGCAGAGTGACCTTCCGTTGCCTCTGGGAGCTCCGCCACAGAGAAACGCAGACTCACAGCTGCTGGGAACGCTCCGCCAGAGGGTGGGGCTGTTGTGCCGCGGAATCAAGCTGGGGCTTGTTGAAGAGCAGGGGGTTGAGGGCTCACAGGGAGAGGAGACTGAGCTCCTCTCCGTATGGCGACTGCGGTGTGCTGGAAGCATGAATGAAGGCCGGGCGCGGTGGACTCACGCCCGGAATCCCAGCACTTTGGGAGGCCGAGGCGGGCGGATCACGAGGTCGGGAGATCGAGACCATCCTGGCTAATCTGGTGAAACCCCGTCTCTACTGAAAACACAAAAAATGAGCCGGGCGTGGTGGCGGGCGCCTGTAGTCCCAGCTACTCGGGAGGAGGATGAGGCTGAGGCAGGAGAATGGTGTGAACCCGGGAGGCGCAGCTTGCAGTGAGCCGAGATCGGGCCACTGCACTGCAGCGTGGGCGACAGAGCGAGACTCCGTCTCAAATAAATAAATAAATAAATAAATAAATAAATAAATAAATAAATAAATAAATTGAAGCATGAATGAAGGCCCCAGGCTCCTTGCTTCTTCCCCAGATCACGGGCAGCAGAGGCAGAACCCTTGCCATGGCAGTGGCAGAGGGGCTGTCAGTTGCCTCTGGGAGCCACTCCCCAGGGAAACACGAGCCACCACCAGTGAGTGTGCTGAGGGCGGGGCAGCTGCTCTGCACTCCCGAGCTGGGGGCTCTGCCTGGTAAAGTGGGGGTGGGAGCTCACGGGGAAGAGAGACTGGACTCCTCTCTGTCTGATGGCTGTGGCATAATGACCGGGCCCCCACACATGAAAAAGAATTCTGGGAACTCAAAAAGCCAGTGTGTCCCCACCATGGACCCCTTGGATTGTGTTTCAAATTTCTCCTCAATTTCGAAGAGCGTCCTGGCCATCCAGATTCTGAATTCTATAACCCTCGTTTCATTCATCTCAATGTAGCTAAGAACCAGATTTCTGGGGAACTATCGAGTTGCCAGAGTTCTTGTGTTGATTCTTTTTTTTTTTTCTTTTTTTTTTCTTTTTTGTGGCAGAGTCTTACTCTGTCGCCCAGGCTGGAGTGCAGTGGCACGATCTCAGCTCACTGCTGCAACCTTCACCTCCCGGGTTCAAGCGATTCTCCTGTCTCAGCCTCCTGAGTAGCTGGGATTACAGGTGTGTGCCACCACGCCCGGCTAATTTTTGTATGTTTAGTAGAGCCCGGGTTTTGTCACGTTGGTCAGGCTGGTCTCAAACTCTTGACCTCCGGTGATCTGCCCACTTCAGCCTCCCAAAGTGCTGGGATTACAGGTGTGAGCCACCGCGCCCGGCCTTGGTGTTGATTCTTTCTCTTGTGTGAGGGCTGGTGTTCCTTTAACTGTGATGTCGGTTGAGTACAGTCGCTTGGCTTCATTTCTGGGTGTTTTCAGATGCCAGGACTCTGCACAGGATCTTTATTTGTGGCTGAATTTTTCCCTTCATTGTATACTGGCAAAATTTTTCAGTGTTGTATTTTGAAGTGTGATCCAGTAGGTGGCACTTAAAAGGGTTGGCCAGCATACAGGATCTTAGCCACAAGGCTCTTTTGTAGTTTTGTTTCGTTTTTTGTTTCGTTTTTTGACACAGGGTCTTGTTCTGTCGCCCAGGCTGGAGCACAGTGGCACAATCTCGGCTCACTGCAGCCTCTACCTATCAGGCTAAGTGATCCTCCTGCCTCAGCCTCCTGAGTAGCTGGGACTACAAGCACGCAGCACCATAAAGAGAAAATTTTTGTAATTTTTTTTTTTTTTTTGTAGAGATGGGGTTTCACCATGTTTACCAGGCTGGTCTCAAACTCCTGGGCTCAAGCAATCTGCCTGCCTTGGCCCCCTAACTCTTGTATTTTGACAAAGTCGGCAGTAGTGCTCTGTGGTTGTGAGGAGGGGTGACTCCCTCGCCTGGTCCATTCTTGGGCCTTGGAGGAGCCTCCTACAGTCACTGGCTCTGCACCCACTGTTTCCTTTGTTAGGATTGTTCTGCCCACGGGGCTCCCTCAGGCAGGGCATGGTGGGCAGACAGGCTGTATCCTTCCCCGGCCAGCCCTATGGAGGGAGGACCACCCCGCACCTCTGCAGGCTGATGAAATCAGGTGTTTCACCCCTCTGAACGTTCTGAGAATGAGGGCTCCTCACGGCTTGGTCGCCACCTAACGTGGTGAGTCCTTCTCAGCAAGGGTGATTGGAGCCACATGATCTGCCATCTCAGTGCTTCCCAGGGGAACACAGAGCTACTGGGCATGGTGGCTCACACGTGTAATCCCAGTACTTTAGGAGGCCGAGATGGGCAGATTGCGAAGTCAGGAGACTGAGACCATCCTGGATAACATGGTGAAACCCCGTCTCTACTAAAAATACAAAAAAAAATTAGCCAGGCGTGGTGGCGGGCGCCTGTAGTCCCAGCTACTCGGGAGGCTGAGGCAGAAGAATGGTGTGAACCCGGGAGGCGGAGCTTGCAGTGAGCCAAGATCACACCACTGCACTCCAGCCTGGGCAACAGAGTGAGACTTCATCTCAACAAAAAAAGAAAAGAAAAGAAAAACACAGAGCTGCACACCCCACAGAGTTCAGGCAGAAGGGGGTCTGCAGCGCTGGAAGACCCAGCAAGCCTGGCCCGTCTGGCTGCAAGTGGCAGGGGTGGGTGGAGTCACCCACTTCACCATCTGGGTGCTTTCCAGGGAAGCATGCAGCCACGACCCCGGGCAGAGTTCAGGCAGAAGCTGGGCCACTATGCTGGAAACTGGCCTTGAGCCTTGTGGAGTAACGGCAGGTGGAGCCATCTCACTGCTCCCACGCACCATGCCCGTGGCCTCTGCGGGGGCTGTGGTAACGGCACCCGACTGCTCTGGGGTCAATGCCTGCGGAGGTCCCCCTGGCTTCAGTGTTGCCTCTGCAAAAACCCCAGTTGCAGCCAGGTGCGGTGGCTCACGCTTGTAATCCCAGCACTTTGGGAGGCCGAGGCAGGTGGATCACTTGAAGTCAGGAGTTCAAGACCAGCCTGGCCAACATGGTGAAACCCCGTTTCTACTAAAAATACAAAAATTATCCAGGCATGGTGGTGGGCACCTGTAATCCCAGCTACTCGGAAGGCTGAGGCAGCAGAATTGCTTGAACCCGGGAGGCGGAGGAGCTGAGATTGCACCACTGCACTGCAGCCTGGGCGACAAAACAAGACTCTGTCTCGAAAAATAATAACAATAAAAAATAAAGATGGCAACCATAGACACTGGAGACTACTAGATGGGGGGGAAGAAAGGGGGTTGAAAAACTGCCTATTGGGTACTATGCTCAGTACCTGGGTGACAGGATCAATCGTACTCCAAACCTCAGCATCACAAATTATTTAAATTTTTCTCTTTTTTTAATTTTTTTGTTGTTGTTGTTGAGACGAAGTCTCACTCTGTTGCCCAGGCTGGAGTGCAGTGGTGTGATCTCGGCTCACTGCAAGCTCTGCCTCCCAGGTTCACGCCATTCTCCTGCCCCAATCTCCCGAGTAGCTGGGACTACACGCGCCCGCCACCACGTCCTGCTAATTTTTTGTATTTTCAGTAGACACGGGGTTTCACCGTGTTAGCCAGGATGGTCTTGATATCGTCACCTTGTGATCCACCCGCCTCGGCCTCCCAAAGTGCTGGGAATACAGGCGTGAGCTACCGCACCCGGCCTAAATTTTTTTTTAAATAAAGAATGGTAGGTTCTTCACACCCTAATGTATTTTTACTTCTCCCACAGAGAAGGAAAGGAATGGCTTCCCCATGGCAAGCCACCTCAGTCTGGGCTTTCTTTTCTTCCAGGGGACTTTCCCATGCCTTTCATATCTGCCAAATCGAGTCCTGTGATTCCCTTGGATGGATCTGTGAAAATCCAGTGCCAGGCCATTCGTGAAGCTTACCTGACCCAGCTGATGATCATAAAAAACTCCACGTACCGAGAGATAGGCAGAAGACTGAAGTTTTGGAATGAGACTGATCCTGAGTTCGTCATTGACCACATGGACGCAAACAAGGCAGGGCGCTATCAGTGCCAATATAGGATAGGGCACTACAGGTTCCGGTACAGTGACACCCTGGAGCTGGTAGTGACAGGTAAGGAAACATCCAGGGTCCACAGCCCTGGTGTGATTTTTTTCTTATTTTTAATAGAGTATTTTTCAAGAAGTTTTAGATTTACAAACAAAAAAAAATTGATGATTGCTTCAGAGAGTTCTCAGCCATCTGGCACCCCACTTCCCCCAGAGTTAACATCTTACATTAGTATGGCACATTTCTTACCATTAATGAACAAATATCGACACATTCCCAGCTACAGTCTACAGTTTATTTACATTTTCTTAGTTTTTACCTGATAGTCTTTCTCTGTTCCAGGATCCCATTCAAGATTTCACATTGCGGCTGGGAGTGGTGGCTCACGCCTGTAATCCCAACACTTAGGGAAGCCGAGGCGGGTGGATCACCCAAGGTCAGGAGTTCGAGACCAGCCTGGCCAACATGGTGAATTCCCCGTCTCTACTGAAAATGCAACAATCGCTGGGCGCGGTGGCTCACGCCTGTAATCCCAACACTTTGGGTGGCTGAGGTGGGTGGATCACCTGAGGTCAGGAGTTCGAGACCAGCCTGGCCAACACAGTGAAACCTCGTCTCTACTAAAAATGGAAAAAATTGGCCAGGCCTGGTGGCACACGCCTGTAATCCCAGCTACTTGGGAGGCTGAGGCAGGAGAATCGCTTGAACCCAGGAGGCAGAGGTTGCAGTGAGCCAAGATCACACCACTGCACTCCAGGCTGGGCGACAGGGCGAGACTCCATCTCACACACACACACACAAAAAGATTTCACATTGCATTCAGGTGTCATGTATCTTTATTTTTTTTTTTTTTTTTTTTTTTGAGATGGAGTCCCGCTGTGTTGCCCAGGCTGGAGTGCAGTGGCACAATCTCGGCTCACTGCAAGCTCCAACCTCCCGGGTTCACGCCATTCTCCTGCCTCAGCCTCCCGAGTAGCTGGGACTACAGGCGCCCGCCACCACGCCTGGCTAATTTTTTGTATTTTTAGTAGAGATAGGGTTTCACTGTGTTAGCCAGGATGGTCTCAATCTTCTGACCTCGTGATCCGCCCGCCTGGCCTCCCAAAGTGCTGGGATTACTGGCGTGAGCCACCACGCCCGGCCCCCGAAAATGCTGGGATTACAGGCATGAGCCACCGCACCTGGCCTCCCAAAGTGCTGGGATTCCAGGCGTGAGCCACCGTGCCCGGCAGGTGTCATGTATCTTTAGGTTTGTCTTGGCTGTCACAGCTTCTCAGATGTTGCTGGTTTTCCATGACCTTGTCAGTTTTGAGGGTAGTGGTCCATTATTTTCAAGGGTACTCCCACTACTGGAAATTGTCCGATGTTTTGCTCATGACTAGACTGAGTTATGGGTCATTGCAGGCAAGACCACAGAAGCAAAGTGCCATTTCATCTCCTCATAGCAAAGGTTTAAACTGTCCATGGGAACATGACTGTGGATGTTGAGCTGGCTGTTGTTGAAAGCCTGGCTGAAGTAGTAACTGTGGCCAGACACCGTGGCTCGTGCCTGTAATCCCAGCACTTTGGGAGGCTGGGCGCCGTGGCTCACGCCTGTAATCCCAGCACTTTGAGAAGCCGAGATGGGCAGATCACTTAAGCCCAGGAGACCAGCCTGGGCAACATAGTAAGACCCCATCTGTACAAAAAATCAAAAAATTAGCTGGGCATGGTGGCACCCACCTGTAGTCTCAGTTACTTGAGAGGCTGAGATGGTAGGATCACCTGAGCCTGGGAGGTCGAGGCTGCAGTGAGCCGTGATTATGCCACTGCCCTCAGCCTGGGCGACAGAGTGAGACCCTCTCTAAAATAAATAAATTCTAAAAAAGAAAAAAGAGGCTGGGCACTGTGGTTCACGCCTGTAATCCCAGCACTTTGGGAGGCTGAGGCAGGTGGATCACCTGAGGTCAGGGATTCAAGACCAGCCTGACCAACATGGAGAAACCTCATCTTTACTAAAAATACAAAAATTAGCTGGGCGTGGTGGCGGGTGCCTGTAATCCCAGCTACTCGGGAGGCTGAGGCAGGAGACTCACTTGAACCTCGGAGGTGGAGGTTGCAGTGAGCTGAGATCGTGCCACTGCACTGCAGCCTCAGTGACAGAGTGAGACTCCATCTCAAAAAACAATAATAGGCTGGGCACAGTTGCTCATGCCTGTAATCCCAGCACTTTGGGAGGCCAAGGTGGGCAAATCACCTGAGGTCAGGAGTTCGAGACCAGCCTGACCAACATGGAGAGACCCCGTCTCTACTAAAAATACAAAAATTAGCTGGGCGTGGTGGTACGCACCTGTAATCCCAGTTTCTCGGGAGGCTGAGGCAGGAGAATTGCTTGAACCCGGGAGACGGAGGTTGCAGTGAGCTGAGATCACGCCACTGCACTCCAGCTTGGGCAATAAGAGCGAAACTCCATCTCAAAAAAATATATAATAATAACAATAATAAGAAGAAGAAAAGAATAAAGGAGAAAAGGTCTTTCTAATAGCTCACTCTTTTCTCTCTTAGGCTTGTATGGCAAACCCTTCCTCTCTGCAGATCGGGGTCTGGTGTTGATGCCAGGAGAGAATATTTCCCTCACGTGCAGCTCAGCACACATCCCATTTGATAGATTTTCACTGGCCAAGGAGGGAGAACTTTCTCTGCCACAGCACCAAAGTGGGGAACACCCGGCCAACTTCTCTTTGGGTCCTGTGGACCTCAATGTCTCAGGGATCTACAGGTGCTACGGTTGGTACAACAGGAGCCCCTACCTGTGGTCCTTCCCCAGTAATGCCTTGGAGCTTGTGGTCACAGGTAGGTACCGCCCAGTCCAGCCCTGTGTCTGGGTTGGCTGTCCAGGGCCTTGCCACCGGGCAGGAATATGAAGACGTGCACTGAGAGTGAAGTGAAGAGAGGCAAAGGCTCTCACTCCAGGACAGTGGAGAGAGAAAGGCTTCCCCACCACACTTTCCGCTTTCACTTCCTCGCTAGAGTTCTCCAGACAGGGTTCATTGAAAACTTAGTCTGTGGAGAACAGAAGGGCTAACTCAGTTTGTTTCATTTTATTTATTTCATTTTATTTTCCGGGATAGAGTCTTGCTCTTTCGCCAAGGCTGGAGTGCAGTGGCACGATCTCGACTCACTGCAACCTTCGCCTCCCAGGTTCAAGCAATTCTCCTGCCTCAGCCTCCTGAGTAGCTGGGACCACACAGACAGGGTTTCACCATGTTGGCCAGGCTGGTCTCGAACTCCCGACCTCAGGTGATCCACCTGCCTCGGCCTCCCAAAGTGCTGGGATTACAGGCGTGAGCCACCGCGCCTGGCCAGGCTGCACACATTCTTATTAGGATTCCACCTTGTTCTGGTGTTGTAGAGATGTGATTAGGTATTTAGTGAATTCACCAAGTGAGGAGAGAATGAAAAGAAAACACAACCTGCCTGGCCGGGCGTGGTGGCGTGAGCCTGTCGTCCCAGCTACTCAGGAGGCTGAGGCAGGAGAATCACTTGAACCCAGGAGGCAGCTGTTGCAGTGAGCCAAGATCACGCCATTGCACTCCAGCCTGGGTGACAGAACGAGACTCCACCTCAAGAAAAAAAAAAAAAACATGGTTGGGCACGATGGCTCACGCCTGTAATCTGAGCACATTGGGAGGCTGAGGCAGGTGGATCACCTGAGGTCGGGAGTTCGAGACCAGCCTGGCCAACATAGTGAAACCCCATCTCCACTAAAAATACAAAAATTAACCAGGCGTGGTGGTGGTGGGCGCCTGTAATCCCAGCTACTTGGGAGGCTGAGGCAGGAGAATCACTTGACCAGGGAGGCGGAGGTTGCAGTGAGCCGAGATCACGCCACTGCACTCCAGCCTGGGCAACAGAGTGAGACTCCATCTCAAAAAAAAAAAAAAAAAAAAACACACACAACCTGCCCATAATCACCTCCTTCCCAGTTTATAGCACTTCCCTGGGAAGCACAGTTCCTTGCCCGTGAACACAGTCTTGCTGACTGATCAGTGTGGTGCTGGCGAAGCATGAGCTCATTGAGGGGATGCTTGAGGGAGTCCCATTTTGGCAAGCGAAAAGGAAAATGAGCTCCCGTTTCAGGGCTCTGGGGTTGGGATGGAATGGAACACAACCACCAACCATTCATCTCCTTGAATTGTGTCTCCAGACTCCATCCACCAAGATTACACGACGCAGAACTTGATCCGCATGGCCGTGGCAGGACTGGTCCTCGTGGCTCTCTTGGCCATACTGGTTGAAAATTGGCACAGCCATACGGCACTGAACAAGGAAGCCTCGGCAGATGTGGCTGAACCGAGCTGGAGCCAACAGATGTGTCAGCCAGGATTGACCTTTGCACGAACACCAAGTGTCTGCAAGTAAACACCTGGAGGTGAAGGCAGAGAGGAGCCAGGACTGTGGAGTCCGACAAAGCTACTTGAAGGACACAAGAGAGAAAAGCTCACTAAGAAGCTTGAATCTACTTTTTTTTTTTTTTGAGACAGAGTCTGGCTCTGTCACCCAGGCTGGAGTGCAGTGGAGCAATCTCGGCTCATTGAACCTCTTGGGTTCAAGTGATTCTTGTGCCTCAGCCTCCCAAGTAGCTGGAATTACAGGCACATACCACTGCACCCAGCTAATTTTTGTATTTTTAGTAGAGATGGGGTTTCACTGTGTTGGCCAGGCTGGTCTCGAACTCCTGACCTCAGGTGATCCACCCACCTTGGCCTCCCAAAGTGCTGAGATTATAGGCATGAGCCACCACGCCTGGCCAGATGCATGTTCAAACCAATCAAATGGTGTTTTCTTATGCAGGACTGATCGATTTGCACCCACCTTTCTGCACATAAGTTATGGTTTTCCATCTTATCTGTCTTCTGATTTTTTATATCCTGTTTAATTTCTTCCTTCATTGTTCTTCTCTTTTTTTATTTATTTTATTTATTTTTATTTTTATTTTTATTTGAGACAGAGTCTCACTCTGTTGCCCAGGCTGGAGTGCAGTGGCACGATCTCGGCTCACTGCAACCTCTGCCTCCTGGGTTCAAGTGATTCTCCTGCCTCGGCCTCCCAAGTAGCTGGGATTGCAGGCTCCCACCATCACGCCCAGCTACTTTTACAGTATTTTTAGTAGAGACGGGGTTTCATCACATTGGCCAAGCTGGTCTCAAACTTCTGACCTCGTGATCTGCCCGCCTCGGCCTCCCAAAGTGCTGGGATTACAGATGTGAGCCACTGCGCCCAGCCTTCTTTTTATATTTTTAAATGTGTCTTCCCCAAATATAAATGGTTGGTAAGCATGCCAAATATATTCAATAACCCCCCTCCTTTATTTTTTTTTGTTGAAGTGAGGCTCTCCCTATGTTGCCTAAGCTGGTCTTGAACTCCTGGTCTCAAGCAATCCTCCTACCTCAGCCTCCTGCTGTGTTCATCTACAAATTGATAAGAGTGAAAGTCATAATCCTACAGGAGGATTACCCTATTTATTTCACAAACCCTATTTCTACCGGATTTTCATACAAGGAATACAGGCATGTGTTTCACCTCATTAATTTATTTTTTCACTTAGTTTTGATGATATTCACATATATTATCAAGTGTGCAAACATTAAATTCTTGTGTACAAAACTCAAATGGTCTTCCAAATAATTCCCCATTCTTTTTTCTTATAAACTTTCACAGCTTTACCCTTGACAGACTTTACTCAAGGAAATCTAAGTTGGTCATATGTGGCTCTTTCACTGATTGCTATTTACTTCATTGTCCAGTAGCTTATGTATGAAAATATAATTATAAAATGTAAGGGTCCTACTTCCAGTGAAACTGAAGGGA
Source organism: Homo sapiens (assembly GCF_000001405.40). Taxonomy (NCBI): domain Eukaryota; kingdom Metazoa; phylum Chordata; class Mammalia; order Primates; family Hominidae; genus Homo; species Homo sapiens. The sequence continues at coordinate 54,891,313 of NC_000019.10, forward strand.
CTTAGGCCCACTTTTATCCTTTACTGAGAGCTTATCTCTACTTGATAAAATTTCTACTGTATTCTTGGCTTAACTCAGGTCCTGTGATTAAAAAAAAAATGCAAAGTATTTCTAACTTTCTTTATTGACTGCTTTTCACACTTTATACAAGTTCTGGCCCATATCTTCAGTTTGTTCTGATTTTTTTCACCAGGTGTGGTGGCAGGTGCCTGTAGTCCCAGCTACTCCAGGGGCTGAGGCAGGAGAATGGCGTGAACCTGGGAGGCGGGGCTTGCAATGAGCTGAGATCACGCCACTACACTCCAGCCTGGGCCACAGAGCGAGACTCCGTCTCAAAAGTAAACAAACAAATAAATAATAAATAAATAAATAAAGGGAAAGTGCCACAATTTTGGATGAAGGGGGTTGAGGGACTTTACGTCAGGTCCAGGACTTGGATTACAGAGACACAATGGGGCTAGATTCCCAGAGATGGATAAGATTAAACTCATATAAGTCGTTTTGCTGACAGAAGGACCTTGTTTGGAAAAAGCGTTTTCAGAATAATAAAGTTCCTGAGCTCTTCAGAAAAGTATTTTATTGTCCTGTAACCACAGTAACAAGTAGCCACCAAAACTGATTTTTAACCCATCATCAATGACAACTCATCTCTGTGAAGATGCTCTTTTTTTTTTTTTTTTTTTTTGAGACGGGGTCTTGCTCTGTCACCCAGGCTGGGGAGCAGTGACGTGACCTCGGCTCCCTGCAACCTCTCTTTCCCGGGTTCAGCAATTCTCCTGCCTCAGCCTCCCCAGTAGCTGGGATTATAGGCACCTGCCACCACACGCAGATAATTTTTGTATTTTTAGTACAGACGGGTTTCGCCATGTTGGCCAAGCTGGTCACAAACTTCTGACCTCAGGGTGATCTGCCTGCCTCAGCCTCTCAAAGTGCTGGGATTACAGGAGTGAGCCACAAAGCCCGGCCACTCCATACGTTTTATATTGTTATGTTACCATCAGTCAGGCAGCTCCTTGCTTCTAAAAGTCATCCAATCAGACTCATTTCAGTAAACACCCAAGCATGAGTGACAACCAATCAAAGTAATATCTTCCCAATGACCACACTTTTCCAGATGACGTCAAGCCACAGAAGGCCCTGAAAATCCAACAATCTCTGAAGTATACATTTCCCAGGCTGAGCGCAGTGGCTCACACCTGAAATCCCAGCACTTTGGGAGGCTAAGGCAGGCAGATCACGAGGCCAGGAGTTCGAGACCAGCCTGGCCAACATGGCAAAACCCCGTCTCTACTAAAAATACAAAAATTAGCCAGGTGTGGTGGCACGCACCTGCATTACCAGCTACTGAGGAGGCTGAGGCAGGAGAATGGCTTGAACCCAGGAGGCGGAGGTTGCAGTGAGCCAAGATCGTACCACCGCACTCCAGCCTTGGTGACAGAGCAAGACTCCATCTCAACAACAACAACAAAAATGGTTGAAATAAAACTTCTATGTGTTGAACGATTCCTCTTTTAGGCATAGAGTTTCAGTTTTACAAGATGAAAATATTCTGGAGATCTGTTTCAAAACACCGTGAATACATTTAACACTGCTATACTGTACACTTACAATGGCTAAGATGGTAAATTGTATGTTATGTTTTTACTACAATTTTTTTTTTTTTTTTTCTGAGACAGAGTCTCACTCTTGTTGCCCAGGCTGGAGTGCAATGGTGCGGTCTCGGCTCACCGCAACCTCCGCCTCCTGGGCTCAAGCCATTCTCCTGCCTCAGCCTCCAGAGCAGCTGGGATTACAGGCATGCGCCACCACGCCTGGCTAATTTTATATTTTTAGAAGAGACGGGGTTTCTCCATGTTGGTCAGGCTGGTCTCGAACTCTGGACCTCAGGTGATCCACCCGCCTTGGCCTCCCAAAGTGCTGGGATCACAGGCGTGAGCCACCACGCCTGGCCTACAATTTTTTTTTAACTTTTTTTTCTGAGATGGAGTCTCGCTCTTGTCACCCAAGTTGGAGTGCAGTAGTGTGATCTCGGCTCACTGCAACCTCTGCCTCCCTGGTTCAAGGGATTCTCCTGCCTCAACCTCCCAAGTGTGGGAGATCAGTCAGAGTAGCAGAAGAAATTATAGGAATAGGAAGCAGCAAACCTTCTTGGAAGGCCAGGGAGGTTGGCATAGCTTCAGATAGTTTGGCTGAAAGCAGCCAGATTCTCTTTTCAGGAGCCAAACAGCTTAGGGCGCAGATACAAAGGAATGCGGAGTATTTTATCTAAATAGCTTGCTTAGTCATATGGTCCTAAAATCAACCTTTGATCATTCTCGGGCAAGATGGCCCTCTCCAGGGAGGTGGCGGGGGGCGGTGACCAGGTTAATTACCCACAGGTGTGTTGACTCAAAGCCTTTGTTAATTAAATCTGTGCTAAATAAATGCAAGCGTTGCCAGCTTAGAGGGGCTGCACTCTCTTTGGCTCCTAGTGCCGGCAGCCCCCTGGCCTGCTCTTTCACTGAATATTGGTGTCTGAGGACGTGTCTCATCTGTCGTACAGCTGGGATCTGCAGAACAGATCCCCCCCGCACCCAAGAAGCTGGGATTACAGGCACCCGCCGCCATGCCCAGCTCATTTTTGTATTTTTAGTAGAGACAGGGTTTCACCATGTTGGTCAGGCCGGTCTCGAACTCCCGGCCTCAGGTGATCTGCCCGCCTCAGCCTCCCAAAAGTGCTTGGATTACAGGCATGAGCCACTGCGCCTGGCCTTAGAAAACTTCTTTTTCTTTTTTTTTTTTTTTTTTTTTTGAGACAGAGTTTCACTCTGTCGCTACGCTGGTGTGATCTGGGCTCACTGCAATCTCCGCCTCCCAGGTTCAAGTGATTCCCCTGCCTCAGCCTCCCGAGTAGCTGGAACTACAGGTGCGCACCGCCACGCCCGGCTAATTTCTTGTATTTTCGTGGAGACGGGGTTTCACCATGTTGGCTAGGCTGGTCTGTTTCATGCGCGTCCGTGTGAAGAGACCACCAAACAGGCTCTGTGTGAGCAACAAGGCTGTTTATTTCACCTGGGTGCAGGCAGGCTGAGTCCGACAAGAGAGTCAGCGAAGGGGGATAGGGGTGGGGCCGTTTTATAGGATTTGGGTAGGTAAAGGAAAATTACAGTCAAAGGGGGGTTGTTCTTTGGTGGGCAGGAGTGGGGGGTCACAAGGTGCTCAGTAGGGGAGCTTTTGAGTCAGGATGAACCAGAAGAAGGAATTTCACAAGATAATGTCATCAGTTAAGGCAGGAACAGGCCATTTTCATTTCTTTCGTGGTGGAATGTCATCAGTTAAGGCAGGAACCGGCCATCTGGATGTGTACGTGCAGGTCACAGGGGATATGATGGCTTAGCTTGGGCTCAGAGGCCTGACATTCCTGTCTTCTTATATTAATAAGAAAAATAAAACGAAATAGTGGTAAAGTGTTGGGATGGCGAAAATTTTGGGGGGTGGTATGGAGAGAGAATGGGCGATGTTTCTCAGGGCTGCTTCGAGCGGGATTAGGGGCGGCGTGGGAACCTAGAGTGGGAGAGATTAAGCTGAAGGAAGATTTTGTGGTAAGGGGTGATATTGTGGGATTGTTAGAAGAAACATTTTTCATTTAGAATTACTGGTGATGGCCTGGATGCAGTTTTGTATGAATTGAAAAACTAAATGGAATAAGGAAAGGAGAAAAACAGGTATTAAAGGTCTAAGAATTGGGAGGACCTAGGACATCTAATTAGAGAGTGCCTAAGGAGGTTCAGCATAGCCTTGCCAGCAAAGATTATTTATTTACTTCAAGAGTTAAGAGTGGTGGTTTGGGGATAGCACCAGGAGATATCAGCTGTGATGGCTTGGAAAAACAGTGTAAACCAGCAGTGTAAACAAGAGCAGGGCATGTGTGAGTAGTTGAGAATGGTGAATAGGAGTATGACTAGACAGAAGATAGTAGGGATGACAAGTTTTTGGGGGCACATTCCAAGTTGGTCTGGTGTCTGGAATGAGACTGGGGCTTAATAAAAAGGAGCGTCTATACAGGAGCTCAAATGGGCTGTACCCTTTAGCATTCTGAGGACAGGCCTGAATTCTGAGAAAAGAAAGTGGTAAAAGTATTGTCCAGTCTTTTTTAAGTTGGTGGCTGAGCTTGGTGAGGTGTGTTTTTAAAAGACTATTAGTCTGTTCTACTTTTCCTGAAGACTGAGGACTGTAAGGGATATAAAGGTTTCACTGAATACCAAGAGCCTGAAAAACTGCTTGGCTGATTTGACTAATAAAGGCCGGTCTGCTATCAGACTGTATAGAGGTGGGAAGGCCAAACTGTGGAATTATGTCTGACAGAAGGGAAGAAATGACCTCGGTGGCCTTCTCAGACCCTGTGGGAAAGGCCTCTACCCATCCAGTGAAAGTGTCTACCCAGACCAAGAGGTATTTTAGTTTCCTGACTCAGGGCATGTGAGTAAAGTCAATTTGCCAGTCCTAGGCGGGGGCAAATCCCCGAGCCTGATGTGTAGGGAAGGGAGGGGACCTGAGCAATCCCTGAGGGGTAGTAGAATAGCAGATGGAACACTGAGAAGTGGTTTCCTTGAGGATAGATTTCCAGGATGGAAAGGAAATGAGAGGTTCTAAGAGATGGGCTAGCAGCTTGTAACCTACATGGAAGAGGCTATGAAATATCGACCGAATAGAATGGGCCTGTGAGGCTGGAAGGAGGTATTTTCCTTGGTCTAAGAACCATTTGCCTTGTGTGGGAAGAGATTGATGGGTGGAAGTTTCAGTGGGGGAGTAGGTGGGAGTGACTGATGAGAAGGAGAAAAACTGGCTGTGGGGGACAGAAATTGGCATGCTAGCTGCTTGTCTAGCTACCTTATCAGCATAAGCATAGATGTGAGAGACAGAAGTTGGAAAGCTAGCTGCTTGTCTAGCCACCTTGTCAGCATAGGCATTGTCTAGAGCAATGGGATCTGATGACTTTTGATGGCCTTTGCAGTGAATGACTCCAGCTTCCTCTGGGAGTAAAGCGGCCTTGAGCAGAGTTTTTATTAAGGAGGCATTAAAGATGGAGGACCCTTGTGTAGTGAGGAAACCTCTTTCAGCCCATATGACCGCATGGTGGGGCAGAATATGAAAGGCATATTTAGAGTCAGTATAAATATTGATGCATAGTCCTTTTGCATCAGTGAGGGCTTGAGTTAAGGCAACTAATTCGGCTTGCTGAGAGGTAGTGGAGGGGGCAGAGCGGTAGCCTCAATGATAGATGTGGAAGATACTATAGCATAGCCTGCCTTTGCTGGTGAGTGGCGATTAGGCCTGGTGGAACTGCCATCAATAAACTAAATGTGATTAGGGTGAGGAATAGGAAAGAAGGAAATGTGGGGAAATGGGGTGAATGTCAGGTGGATCAGAGAGATACAGTCATGGGGGTCAGGTGTGGTATCCGGAATAATGTGGGAGGCCGGATTGAAGTATGGGCCAGTAACAATGGTAATTGTGGGAGACTCAACAAAGAGTGAGTACAGCTGAAGGAGCCGGGGAGCAGAAAGTATATGCGTCAGGTGTGAGGAAGAAAATAGATTTTTGGAAGTTATGAGAACTGTAGAGAGTGAGTTGAGCATAGTTTGTGATTTTGAGGGCCTCTAAAACTATTAAAGCAGCGGCAGCCGCTGCTCACAGACGTGAGGGCTAGGCTAAAACAGTAAGATCAAGTTGTTTGGACAGAAAGGCTACAGGGTGCGGTCCTGGCTCTTGTGTAAGAGTTCTGACCACGCTAACCATGCCTAGGAAGGAAAGGAGTTGTTGTTTTGTAGAAGGTGCTGGGGTTTGAGAGATCACTAGGACACGATTGGCAGGGAGAGCACGTGTGTTTTTATGAGAATTATGCCGAGATAGGTAACAGAGGAGGAAGAAATTTGGGCTTGACTGAAGTAATGGGGGCTGTCTGTGAAGCCTTGCAGCAGTACAGCCTAGGTAATTTGCTGAGCTTGATCGGTGTCAGGGTCAGTCCAAGTGAAAGCGAAGAGAGGCTGGGATGAAGGGTGCAAAGGAACAGTAAAGAAAGCATGTTTGAGATCCAGAACAGAATAATGGGTTGTAGAGGCAGGTATTGAGGATAGGAGAGTATATGGGTTTGGCACTACGGGGTGGATAGGCAAAACAATTTGGTTGATAAGGTGCAGATCCTGAACTAATGTGTAAGCCTTGTCTGGTTTTAGGACAGGTAAAATGGGAGAATTGTAAGGGGAGTTTATAGGCTTTAAAAGGCCATGCTGTAGCAGGCTTTAATCCTTTTAAAGCATGCTGTGGGATGGGATATTGGCATTGAGCGGGGTAAGGTTGATTAGGTTTTAATGAGATGGTAAGGGGTGCATGATTGGTCACCAAGGAGGGAGTAGAGGTATCCTATACTTGTGGGTTAAGGTGGGGGGATACAAGAGGAGGACACAAAGGAGGCTTTGGATTGGGAAGAAGGGCAGCAATGAGATATAGCTGTAGTCCAGGAATAGTCAGGGAAGCAGATAATTTAGTTAAAGTGTCTCAGCCTAATAAGGGAACTGGGCAGGTGGGGATAACTAAAAAGGAGTGCTTGAAAGAGTATTGTCTAAGTTGGCACCAGAGTTGGGGAGTTTTAAGAGGTTTAGAAGCCTAGCTGTCAATACCTACAACAGTTATGGAGGCAAGAGAAACAGGCCCTTGAAAAGAAGGTAATGTGGAGTGGGTAGCCTCCATATTGATTAAGAAGGGGACGGGCTTACCTTCCACTGTGAGAGTTACCTAGACTGTCTGTGATGGTCCTGTAGGCTTCCGAGGCGATCGGGATCGGGCAGTGTCAGTCTTCAGCTGCTAAGCCGAGAAGATCTGGGAAGGAGTCAGAGAGCCTTGGGCCAGAGTTCTAGCTGCTCTGGGAGTGGCTGCCAGGTGAGTTGAACAGTCCGATTTTCAGTGGGGTCCCGCACAGATGGGATGCGGCTTAGGAGGAATCCCAGGCTGTGGACATTCCTTGGCCCAGTGGCCAGATTTCCAGTACTTGTAGCAAGCTCCTGGGGGAAGAGGTTCTGGAGGAACCCCTGGCAGCTGCGGTTCAGGCGTTTGGAGTTCTCGTGTGCTGGAGATGTGGCTGGGGTTTGTCTCATCTGGATACTGGAGTGGAGGCAAGGAATTGCAACTCAGAAATATGTTGCTATTTGGCTGCCTCTACTCTATTACTGTACACCTTGAAGGCGAGGTTAATTAAGTCTTGTTGTGGGGTTTGAGGGACAGAATTTAATTTTTGGAGCTTTATTTAATGTTGGGAGCAGATTTGGTAATAAAATGTATATTGAGAATAAGACGGCCTTTTGACTTAGGGTCTAGGGCTGTAAAGCGTCTCAGGGTTGCTGCCAAATGAGCCATGAACTGGGCTGTGTTTTTAAATTTGATGAAAAAGAGCCTAAACACTATCTGATTTGGGAGAGGTCAGATAAAGAAAAAGGAGCATTAACCTTGACTATGCCTTTAGCTTCAGCCACCTTTTTAAGAGGAAATTGCTGGGCAGTTGGGGGAGGGCTAGTCATGGAATGGAACTGTAAGCTGGACCGGGTGTGAGGAGGGGAGGTGATAAAAGGATTATAGGGTGGAGGAGCGGAGGCTGAGGAAGAATTGGGACCCAGCTCGGCCTGGCGAGGAGGGGAGATGTCAGATGGGTCTGTAGAAAAGGAAGATTAGAAAGACTCAGCGATGCTTGGGGTTGGGACTGACGGGACAGGCGGGAGGGAAAGAAGGAAGATTTGGGACGAGTTGCACTGGGCATAGAGACTAGGGAGGGACCGATGTGTAAAAGAATGCCTGGATGTCAGGCACCTCAGACCGTTTGCCCATTTTACAACAAGAATTATTTAGATCTTGTAGGATGGAAAAATTGAAAGTGCCGTTTTCTGGCTATTTGGAACCACTGTCAAGTTTGTATTGGGGTCAAGCAGCATTGCAGAAGAAAATAAGGCATTTAGGTTTTAGGTCAGGTGTGAGTTGAAGAGGTTTTAGGTTTTTAAGAACACAGGCTAAGGGAGAAGAAGGAGGAATGGAGGGTGGAAGGTTGCCCATACTGAAGGAGGCAAGCACAGAGAAAAGAGAGAGTAGAGACATGGAGGGAAGGGGTTCAGGGGTTCTTACCTTCCAGAAAAGCGGGAAAGGGGTCAGGGCACAGAAGTAAGGGATTGGGGTGCAGAGACAAGAGGTCGGGGTGTGGAAATAAGGGATCGGGGTGCAGAGATAAGACGTCAGGGCACAGAAATAAGGGATCGGGGGATTCTTGCCCCCTAGAAAAGCGGTACTTGCCACTAAGGGTGAAGGAGAAGGGGTTGGGGGGTTCTTGCCCCCCCAGAAAAGCAGAGAAGGGGTAGAGACACAGAGAAGGAGTTGGGGGTTCTTGCCCCCCCAGAAAAGCAGTACTTGCCACTAAGGGTGAAGGACCAAGGCAGGCATCCCCATGTGGTCAGACACCTCTGAAACGTGGGTGAATAATCAGAGAGGTGTCCCCGCGTGATTAAACACCAAGGGAAGGCTGCCTTCCCGAGTCCATGACCGGCGCTGGAGTTTTGGGTCCACGAATAAAGCGCGTCTCCTGTCTCTACCAGAAAAGGAAAGGAACTGAAATTAAGAGAAGGGAGAGATTGAAGAGTGGAAAGGAGAAAGTGGTTGAGGGATAGTGAGAGAGGTTGGAGAAGAGAGTAAAAAGAGGCTGCTTACTGGATTTAAAATTGGTGAGATGTTCCTTGGGCTGGTTGGTCTGAGGACGAGAGGTCGTAGGTGGATCTTTCTCATGGAGCAAAGAGCAGGAGGACAGGGGATTGATCTCCTAAGGAAGATCCCCTGATTCGAGTTATGGCACCAAATTTCACTCACGTCCGTGTGAAGAGACCACCAAACAGGATTTGTGTGAGCAACAAGGCTGTTTATTTCACCTGGGTGCAGGCGGGCTGAGTCCAGAAAGAGAGTCAGCAAAGGGAGATAGGAGTGCGGCCGTTTTATAGGATTTGGGTAGGTAAAGGAAAATTACAGTCAAAAGGGGGTTGTTCTCTGGCGGGCAGGAGTGGGGTTCACAAGGTGCTCAGTAGGGGAGCTTTTGAGCCGGGATGAGCCAGGAGAAGGAATTTCATAAGATAATGTCATCACTTAAGGCAAGAACAGGCCATTTTCATTTCTTTCGTGGTGGAATGTCATCAGTTAAGGCAGGAACCGGCCATCTGGATGTGTACATACAGGCCACAGGGGGATATGATGGCTTAGCTTGGGCTCAGAGGCCTGACAGTCTGGATCACCTGACCTGGTGATCCGCACACCTCGGCCTCCCAAAGTGCTGGGATTACAGGCATGACCCACTGCACCTGGCCTTAGAAAACTTCTTAAATATTAAAATGTATGTTATGTGTATTTTGCCACAATTTTTGAAAAGTACCTTCTGGTGTTTAGAGACAGAAGATGAGTGGTTGCCTAGGGCCGGGAGAGTGAGGGGATCGTGGTGATGGGCAGCTGGTCGGCATGGGGTTCTGAAGGGCAGTGATGACAACATTCTAAAATTAGACTGTGTTGACGGTTGCACCAACTCCGTGAATACCACAAAATTTAAACCATTGAATTATGCACTTTTAATGGGTAATTGTATGGCATGTAAATTATATCTCAATAAAGTTATATTTTTAAATACCAAAAAAAGGCCGGGTGCGGTGGCTCACGCCTGTAATCCCAGCACTTTGGGAGGCCGAGAAGGGCGGATCACGAGGTCAGGAGATGGAGACCATCCTGGCTAACATGGTGAAACCCCATCTCTACTTTGAAAAAAAAAAAAAAAGATTACCCGGACGTGGTGGTGGGCACCTGTAGTCCTAGCTACTCAGGAGGCTGAGGCAGGAGAATGGCATAAACTCGGGAGGCAGAGCTTGCAGTGAGTCGAGATTGCGCCACTCAGGAGGCTGAGGCAAGAGAATGGCATAAACCCCGGAGGCAGAGCTTGCAGAGAGCCGAGATTGCGCCACTGCACTCCAGCATGGGTGACAGAGCGAGAGTCCATCTCAAAAAAAAAAAAAAAAAAAAAAAAGATTAGTAATATCCTCTGTGTCACTTACCACTTAAGTGATTGAATCACGACTTGAAATTCATCATCTCAAACATGGCTTAGAGTCTGTAGAGGGGGGACAGTCCCAGGAATGCTGGTGTGGGCTTAAGGCTGAATTAAATAGATCCAGATGGCTCACACCTGTAATCCCAATACCTTGGGAGGCCGAGGCAGGTGGGAGGCTGAGGCAGGCGGATCACTGGAGCTCCTGGAGCGAAGAAAGGATGCTAGTGGAAAAACTGGTGAAATCAGAATAAAGTCTATAGTTTTATTTTTTAAAGGAGGCTGGGCGTGGTGGCTCATGCCTCTAATCCCAGCACTTTGGGAGGCTGAGGCAGGTGGATCAGTTGAGTTCAGGAGTTCAAAACCAGCCTGGCCAACTTGACGAAACCCCATCTCTACTAGAAATACAAAAATTAGCTGGGCGTGGTTGTGGGTGCCTCTAATCCCAGCTACTCAGGAAGCTGAGGCAAGAGAATTGCTTGAACCCAGGAGGCGGAGGTTGCAGTGAGCTGAGATCACACCATTGCACTCCAGCCTGGGCTACAGAGCAAGATTCCATCTCCAAATAAGAGAGACATGACAATTAAATAAATTGTGTAATCTTGGATTAAATCCTAAACCAAATATATGTCACTGGTAAAACAAGTGGTGAAATTTGAATAAAGTGGATAGATCAGACAATAGTGTCATATCAGTGCTATTTCTTGACCTTGAACATTAATAACAGAATGTCCTTGGTTTTGGGAAATATAACCTGAAGTGATTAGAGGTTTAGGGCATCATATGCAAATTAGACACACTTTCTTCGGGGAGAGAGGGAGAGGGAGAGAGGCTGAATGATGAAGCAAATGTGGTAAAATGCTAACTTTGGGGAAATCTGGATGAAGAAATTACAGATTTTTTTTTTTTTTATAGACAGGGTAACACTCTGTCACCCAGGCTAGAGTGCAGTGGCACGATCATGGCTCACTGCAGCTTCTACCTCCCTGGGCTCAGATGACCCTCTCACCTCAGCCTCCCAAGTAGCTGGGACTATAGGCGCACAGCACCACACCTGGCTAATTTTTGCATTTTTTTTTCCCCCAGGCTCGTCTCAAGCAATCCACCCACCTCGGCCTCCCAAAGTGCTGGGATTACAGGTGTGAGCCACTGCACCTGGCCAGAAATTCTTTAAACTATTTTTGCAAGTCTGGAATTATGTCAAAATTAAAAGCTCAAAATAATAAAAGACAATATTCTTATATTTCTTTGGTGAAGGTAACTATGTTATGGCTGAGAGGGTGGCTGAGGTCTGAGGATCCAGCCTACATAAGTCTCCTCCATAGAGGGCATCCAAGCGCTCCGTAGGGGGAAGGATAAAGAAAACACCCAGAGTTATGACAGCTGTGTAAGGGGAAACGCCAGCACCGAGTACTGAATCTTCAGTAAATAAGAAGGAGGCGGGCTGGGTGTGGTGGCTCACGCCTGTAATCCCAGCACTTTGGGAGGCTAAAGTGGGCTGATCACTTGAGGTCAAGAGTTCGAGACTAGCCTGGCCAACATGGGGAAACCCTGTCTCTACTAAAAATACAAAAATTAGTCGAGTGTGGTGGCACACGCCTGTAATCCCAGCTACTTGGGAGGCTAGAACAGGAGAATTGCTTGAACCCAGGAGGTGAAGGTTGCAGTGAGCTGAGATTGCACCACTGCACCCCAGCTTGAGGGACAGAGTGAGATTCCGTCTTAAAGAGAAAAAAAAAAGAATTAGCACATTTGTTTGCCTCAAGAAGATACAACTAGTCTTGTACAGTAGTCACATGTATCCACCAGGATATATTCCAAGGCCCCAGTGGATGCTGAAAACTACATAGTACCTTACATGTATATATATATGTATATACATATATACACATATACGTATATGTATACATACATGTATATATACATGTATGTATATACATATATGCATATATACATACATGTATATATACATGTATGTATATACATATATGTATATGTATGTATACACGCATACATGTATGTATACACGCATACATGTATGTATATACATATATGTATGTATACACGGATACATGTATGTATATACATATATGTATGTATACACGCATACATGTGTGTATACATATATATGCATGTATGCATGTGTGTATATATACATATATGTGTATATATACGCATATACATGTATGTGTATATATGCATGTGTATATATACATGTACGGTACTATGCAGTATATATACACATATATGTATATATGTATACATATATGTATAAATGTATATATGTGTATATATATAAAAGGTATATATGTATATATGTGTGTATATATAAAATGCATGAATTTCTTTTTTCTTACTGTAGATCTTAACAACTTCTGCATAGAATTTTTTTTTATTAAGTGGAGAGTTAGTTACTTACTTAAAAGAAATGTTTCTTGGCTGGGTGTGGTGGCTCACACCTGTAATCCCAGCACTTTGAGAGGCCGAGGCAGGAAGATTCACTTGAGGTGAGGAGTTGGAGACCATCCTGGCCAACGTGGTAAAAACCGGTCTCTACTAAAAGTACAAAAATGAGCTGGGCGTGGTGTTGGGTGTCTGTAGTCCCAGCTACTCAGGTGGCTGAGGCAGGAGAATTGCTTGAACCCACAAGGCAGAGGTTGCAGTGAGCTGAGATCACACCACTGCACCACAGCCTGGGCAACAGAGCAAGACTCTGTCTCAAAAAAAAAAAAAAAAAAGAAAGAAAAAGAAAAAGAAAAGAAATGTTTCTTTTCTTATTAAGTTCTTTAAATGAAAAGCTTTTCTTTTCACTTTTATTTTATTGAAACATTATAACACTATCTTTGAAGAAGATAGTGTTATCATTCCATTCTGATGAAACCAATTAACTTATCCAAGCATATGTATACTGTACACAGAGAAGCCAACGTCAAAACCCCTATTTTTATCTTTTTAGATTCAGCAGATACATGTGCAGGTTTTTTATGAGTATATTGCATGATGCTGAGGCTTGCATTAATGATCTAGTCACCAAATAGGTAGATTTTCAAGCCTTGCTCCCCTCCTTACCCAATGTTTAGCGCTCTCACTTATAAGTGAGAACATGTGGTATTTGGTTTTCTTTTCTTTTTTTTTTTTTTTTTTGAGATGGAGTTTCACTCTTGTTGCCCAGGCTGGAGTACAATGGCACCATCTCGGCTCACTGCAACCTTCACCTTCCAGGTTCAAGCAATTCTCCTGCCTCAGCCTCCCGAGTAGTTGGGACTACAGGCATGTGCCACCACACCCGGCTAATTTTGAATTTTTAGTAGAGACAGGGTTTCTGCATGTTGGTCAGGCTGGTCTCGAACTCCCGACCTAAGGTGATCCACCTGCCTCAGCCTCCCAAAGTGCTGGGATGACAGGCCTGAGCCACCGTGTCTGGCCAGTATTTGGTTTTCTGTTTCTGTGTTAACTCGCTTAGGATAATGGCCTCTAGCTGCATCCATGTTGCTGCAAAGGACATAATCTTGTGATTTTTCAAGGCTGTATAGCGTTCTGTGGTGTATACATATCACATTGTCTTTATCCAGTCCACCTCTGATGGGACCTGGGTGGATTCCATGTCTTCACTATTGTGAATCCTGCTGCAATGAACATACAAGTGCATGTGTCTTTTTGGTAGAATGATTTATTTTCCTTTGGCTATATACCCAGCGATGGGATTGCTGGGCTGAATGGTAACTCTGTTTGTAGTTCTCTGAAATATCTCCAAACCAAACTGCTTTCCACAGTGGCTGAACTAATTTACACCCACCAACAGTGTATAAGTGTCCCCTTTGCTCCACAATCTCACCAGCATCTGTTAATTTCTGGCTTTTCAGTAATGGCCATTCTGACTGGTGTGAGATGGTATTGTTGAGGGATAATTTAGGAATCAGAGAGACCGAGGGGTTGAGGAGGATTTATTATTATTATTATTATTTAGGTGCACCGGCCCCAGTCAGATTAACATCCAAAAAGACTGAGGCTCGAACAGAGAGTCCGGTTACCTTTTAAGCATTTTGTGGGGTTGGGGGAGATCTGTGCAGGGGGAAGCATATTACAGAAGCAAGAAACAAAGGCAGTTATTCAATTGAGACATGCATCACATTATTCCTTACTTTTCAAGAAAAATATGTTTTACGACTTGAGGTTATCCTGTCTAGTGACCTTGCAGCCGCACGGCAAGAGAAACAGGGTCTTCACAATGCCTGGGAAAGGGAGAGATAAGGCTCACTAGCCACAGACAGAAAAACAGGCAGTTCATGTTTAAAGGACTCCACCTCTTTCTCTTCCTCGGGGGGAACTGGGTTTTCTTAAATACAACTGAGTTTTTGTTTACACATTCTGTAATTTCTTTTAATTCCTGTTCCAGTATCTCACTGTGAAACTCCCTATGTTTTTATACGATTCTCAGGGGGTTTCCTCTGGGCATGATTGGGCACAACTTCCCACAGTCAGCTCTGGGTACGACCTCCACATTGCAGAATTGAGAAGTTGACCCAGAAATGCATTTTGGGCTGAGCAGACAATTGTCAGAGTTGCTGGCTAGACCACAGATGTGTCAGAGGGACCACGGCCTTTCTGTAAGCTCATGGTCAGAGGCGGAGGGGAGTTGTGAACGTTCTGATGAAAGCAGTCAACGTGAAAGCGCTCTGGTGATGGGCGCTGGTGCTCACCCACCACTTCCTGTGTATCTATCTCCCTGGCCCGCCCGGCTCAGTCCCCACTGCTCAGCACTAGGCCGGCAGAATCTGAGCGATGTCTTCCACACTCCCTGCCCTGCTCTGCGTCGGTGAGTTCTGGCGTGGAAGGGGAATGGGATCACGGTGTGCCTGGGAGGCAACAGGTCTCATTACTCCCGTCTTCCAGGGCTGTGTCTGAGTCAGAGGATCAGCGCCCAGCAGCGTGAGTCCTTCCTTCAAAGCCCAGGGTCACTCTTCCGGATTCAGGCCAAGCTCCTTCCACCCAAGCACGGCTGGGGTGAGGGGACAGGGTGCTGGCTTCCCAGGAGAGCTTGGGGCCAGCAGCTGGGTGGAGCCTAAGGTTGGGGGGAGGGGGCTCCGCTGGAACTCCAGCCTCTGATTCCCTTCCAGAGACTCTCCCAAAACCGTTCATCTGGGCCGAGCCCCATTTCATGGTTCCAAAGGAAAAGCAAGTGACCATCTGTTGCCAGGGAAATTATGGGGCTGTTGAATACCAGCTGCACTTTGAAGGAAGCCTTTTTGCCGTGGACAGACCAAAACCCCCTGAGCGGATTAACAAAGTCCAATTCTACATCCCGGACATGAACTCCCGCATGGCAGGGCAATACAGCTGCATCTATCGGGTTGGGGAGCTCTGGTCAGAGCCCAGCAACTTGCTGGATCTGGTGGTAACAGGTAACTGTCCGGTTCTCTAACTGGAGAGTGATCTCAGTCTGCATCCGGGATGCAGCATCATCTATGAACTCTTCCAAGCCCCACTCAGACACTGCTTGTCTCGGTAGGAGGCTGGAAGGAGGGGTGATCCCCATCACAATCCTTGCCTACAAGGGGTTGTCTGCAGACCGTGTCTCTACGTCCTAGGAGCAGATGTGTCCTCAGTCAGTTTCTCCATGACACAGATTCTGAGATAGATATTTGTATGCAGGGGTATGACTGAGGAATGTCCTCAAAAACAATGCCTGTGGGCCAGGCGCAGTGGCTTACACTTTGCTTCCCTCACCCATCACAGGTGGTGGGTTTTTTTTTTTTTTATCTGTTTTGAGACGGAGTTTCGCTCTTGTCACCCAGGCTGGAGTGCAGTGGTGCAATCTCCAGTCACTGCAACCTCCACCTCCTGGGTTCAAGTGATTCTCCAGCCTCAGCTTCCCAAGTAGCTGGGATCACAGGCACCCACCACTACGCCACATTTTGTATTTTTAGTAGAGATGGGGTTTCACCATGTTGGCCAGGGTGGTGTCGAACTCCTGACCTCAGATGATCCGCCCGCCTCACCCTCCCAAAGTGCTGGGATTACAGGTGTGAGCCATCACACCCAGCCAGGTGGTGGTTTTCTAAAAAAAAAAAAAAATTAGCTTTTTTTTTTTTTTAACAATATGGTTGTTTATTATTATTATCAAGTATTATACATAGTTACATATACATACATAATTGTATGTGCTATACAATTAGGTTTGTTTATACCAGCAACACCAAAAACACATGAGCAATACTTTGTGCTAGGAAGGCTATGATGTCATCAGGCAATAGGAATTTTTCAGTTTCATTATAATCTTATGGGACCACCATCATATATGTGGTACATTGTTGGCCAAAATGTCATTATGCAGCTCACAACAGTATTTCATGTCCATTCAAATATCTTCTTTTGTGAAATGTCTATTTAAATCTTTTGCCTATTTTTAAATTGGGTTGCTTATATTTTGATTGATTAGGAAAAGTTATTTCTATATTCTGTGTCATATACTTGTGTTGAAATATATATATTTTTTGTCTGTGCCTTTTCATTTGCTCAGGGTCTTTGGACCTTGTTTGGAGGTTCTGGCAGGGGAACACAGCTACTCATTTATTCTTTTTTTTTTAATTTTTTTAGTATTTATTGATCATTCTTGGGTGTTTCTCGGAGAGGGGGATTTGGCAGGGTCATAGGACAATAGTGGAGAGAAGGTCAGCAGATAAACATGTGAACAAAGGTCTCTGGCTTTCCTAGGCAGAGGTCCCTGCGGCCTTCCGCAGTGTTTGTGTCCCTGGGTACTTGAGATTAGGGAGTGGTGATGACTCTTAAGGAGCATGCTGCCTTCAAGCATCTGTTTAACAAAGCACATCTTGCACCGCCCTTAATCCATTTAACCCTGAGTGGACACAGCACATGTTTCAGAGAGCACGGGGTTGGGGGTAAGGTCATAGATTAACAGCATCCCAAAGCAGAAGAATTTGTCTTAGTACAGAACAAAATGGAGTCTCCTATGTCTACTTCTTTCTACACAGACACAGTAACAATCTGATCTCTCTTTCTTTTCCCCACATTTCCCCTTTTTCTATTCGACAAAACCGCCATCGTCATCATGGCCCGTTCTCAATGAGCTGTTGGGTACACCTCCCAGACGGGGTGGCGGCCGGGCAGAGGGGCTCCTCACTTCCCAGACGGGGCGGCCGGGCAGAGGCGCCCCCCCACCTCCCAGACGGGGCAGTGGCCGGGCGGGGGCTGCCCCCCAACCTCCCGGACGGGGCGGCTGGCCGGGGCTTTTTTTTTTTTTTTTGAGACAGTCTCGCTGCAGTGCAGTGGTACAATCTCAGCTCACTGCAACCTCTGCCTCAGCCTCAATTCTCCTGCCTCAGCCTCCCAAGTAGTTGAGATTACAGGCATGTGCCACCACACCCGGCTAATTTTTGCATTTTTAGTAGAGACGGGGTTTCACCATGTTGACCAGGCTGGTCTCAAACTCCTGACCCAGGAGGTCGAGGCTTCAGTAAGCAAAGATAGTGCCACGGCGCTCCAGCCTGGGAAACAGAGCAAGACCCTGTATCATTTTTAAAAATGGTTTTAGACGGTAAATCTTCTATTGTGTGTATTTGACCAAAATAATAATTAAAAAAAAAAAAAAAAGCTGGCTGCCAGGCATGGTGGCAGGCCCCTGTAGTCCCAGCTACTTGGGAGGGTGAGGCAGGAGAAACGCTTGAACCCGGGAGGCGGAGGTTGCAGTGAGCCAAGATCGTGTCACTGCACTCCAGCCTGGGCGACAGAGAGAGACTCCATCTCTAAAGAAAGAAAAAAAAAAATAGCTGGCTGCTCATCACTGAGTTTCTGGTGTGGTGGCCCCACCTTCTCTCATAGAAATGTATGACACACCCACCCTCTCGGTTCATCCTGGACCCGAAGTGATCTCGGGAGAGAAGGTGACCTTCTACTGCCGTCTAGACACTGCAACAAGCATGTTCTTACTGCTCAAGGAGGGAAGATCCAGCCACGTACAGCGCGGATACGGGAAGGTCCAGGCGGAGTTCCCCCTGGGCCCTGTGACCACAGCCCACAGAGGGACATACCGATGTTTTGGCTCCTATAACAACCATGCCTGGTCTTTCCCCAGTGAGCCAGTGAAGCTCCTGGTCACAGGTGAGGAAATGCTCAATTCCCCACACCCTTCGCCGCCATGTGCTACCTGGAGCCCTGAGGGATCCCCAGAGAGTGATGGGGAGGGTGTCCAAGGGACGTCCACTTCCTGGGTGCCTGGTTGGTCATGTGAGGAAGAACACCAGAAGCAGGAAGGAGGAGGGAACAGAGAAAGGAATGGTAAGGCGGGTGGATCACAAGGTCAGGAGTTCGAGACCAGCCTGGCCAAGACGGTGAAACCCCGTCTCTACTAAAAATACAGAAATTAGCCAGACGCAGTGGCGGACACCTGTAGTCCCAGCTACTCAGGAGGCTGAGGCAGGAGAATCGCTTGAACCCGGGAGGCGGGGGTTGTAGTGAACCGAGATCATACCACCGCACTGCAACCTGGGCGACAGAGCAAGACTCCATCTCAAAAAAAAAAAAAAAAAAAAAAGAATGGCAAGACCGGAGGAAACCAAAAACCCTTACTTTTTTTTCTTTATCTCCTTTTCCAGGCGACATTGAGAACACCAGCCTTGCACCTGAAGACCCCACCTTTCCTGGTGAGTAACTGGTCCTTCTAAGCTCAGACGAGCGATCAGAGCCTCCCAGTGACACTAAAAACGTGGCATTCATTCAAAATATTCATCGAGGCCAGGCGTGGTGGCTCACGCCTGTAATCCCAGCACTTTGGGAGGCCGAGATGGTGCATCATTTGAGGTCAGGAGTTTGAGACCAGCCTGGCCAACATGGCGAAACCCTGTCTCTACTAAAAATACAAAACTTAGGCTGGGCATCATGGCTCACACCTGTAATCCCAACACTTCGGGAGGCCAAGGTGGTTGGATCACAAGGTCAGGAATTCGAGACCAGCCTGACCAACATGGTGAAACCCCATCTCTACTAAAAATACAAAAATTAGCCGGGCCTGGTGGTGCTCGCCTGTAATCCCAGCTACTCAGGAGGCTGAGGCAGGAGAATTGTTGAACCTGGGATGCAGAGGTTGCAGTGAGCTGAGATCGCGCCACTGCATTCCACTCCACTGCACGACACAGCGAGACTCCATCTCACAGAAAAACAAAAACAAAACTATTATATATATATATTCATCAAGTGCATAGTATACACAGTGAACTACACTGTAACAGTCAGCCAGGCAGATATCTTGACTGTGCAGCACTTAGATTCTAGCAGGAGGAGACACACCATCGGTCAACGTCAGGATAGCACACAGGAGGGAATGATGCTATGGAAGGAAAAGACAAAGTAGAACAGACTTACAGTGATTGAAATGGCAGCTAGCAATATTAAATAGGTTTGTCCAGATGGACCTCACAGAGAAAGAAGGCATCTGAGCAAATGCGTTCAGACTTGAGTTAATCATGTGGCTGTCAGGAGAAAGGAGGCTCTGGAGAGAATGAAATGGCATCTGCCTGTGCCCTGGGGCAGGAAGATAACTGGGGTAATACAATAATAACTATGAGGCCAGGAGGGTTGAAAATGATGTTTGGAAGATGACGGTGGGATGGGCCTGGGGCGCACGGCTAGGATTACAGGAGTGAGGCCCGGCGCGGTGGCTCACGCCTGTAATCCCAGCACTTTGGGAAACCGAGGCAGGTGGATCATGAGGTCAGGAGATCAAGACCATCCTGGCTAACACGGTGAAACCCTGTCTCTACTAAAAAAAAATACAAAAATTATCCGGGCGTGGTGGCGGGCGCCTGTAGTCCCAGCTACGCAAGAGGCTGAGGCAGGAGAATGGCGTGAACCCGGGAGACGGAGCTTGCAGTGAGCTGAGATCGCGCCACTGCACTCCAGCCTGGGCGACAGAGTGAGACTCCGTCTCAAAAAAAAAGAAAAAGAAAAAGAAAAAGAAAAAAAAATAGTGAGACTTTGAATTTCACTATGTGTGAGGAGAAAGAGGTAATGATGACTTAATGAGGAAAATGAGGCTTAAATAGAAGACGGGCTGGGCCGGGTGGCTCCTGCATGTAATCCCAGCACTTTGGAAGGCAGGGGCGGCTGGATCACTTGAGGTCAGGAGTTCAAGACCAGCCTGGCCAACACAGTGAAACCCCATCTCTACTAAAAATACAAACATGAGTTGGGTGTGGTGGCGCACGCCAGTAATTACAGCTACTCGGGGCTGAAGCAAGAGGATTGCTTGAACTCGGGAGGCGGAGGTTGCAGTGAGCTGAGATCACACCACTGTACTCCAGCCTCAGAGGCCTGCCATCCCAGCCCTTTGGGAGGCCGAAGCAGGCAGGTCATCTGAGGTTGGGAGTTCAAGACCAGCCTGGCCAACATGGCAAAACCCCGTTTCTACTAAAAATATGAAAAAAATTACCTGGGTATGTGGTGTGTGCCTGTAGTCCCAGCTACTCCAGAGGCTGGAACACAGTGAGACTCTATCTCAAAAAAAAAAAAAATAGAAGACATGACTGGTGCAAAGACACATGCTCACAAGTGCTAGAATGGAATTCCTCGTCAGGTTCGTCCATCTGTGGACCCTTCCACTTTACCTGCTGGATGAAGCTCCTGGGACCCGCAGGGTGAGGTGGGACCTTGTAAAGCTGCAGAACGTCATGGGGTAGACCCAAGGGAAGGAGTGCTGGGGTGGAGGAGGTCAAAACCATCCTCTTTTCTTCACTTCCCTTATCATCAGCAGACACTTGGGGCACCTACCTTTTAACCACAGAGACGGGACTCCAGAAAGGTAAGTAGACAGCTGGGGCCATAGGCTCTGAAGGAAGGGGCTGGGCATAGAGTAGACCTAGGAAGGGAATCTAAATGGGAACAAGAGGGTGTCCTTGGCCAGGCGCAGTAGCTCACACCTGTAATCTCAGCCCTTTGGGAGGCCGAGGCGGGCAGATCATCTGAGGTCGGGAGTTCAAGACCAGTCTGGCCAACATGGCGAAATCCCATCTCTACTAAAAATACAAAAAAATTAGCCAGGCGTGGTGGCGTGTGCCTGTAGTCCCAGCTACTTGGGAGGCTGAGACAGGAGAATAGCTTGAACCCAGGAAGTGGAGGTTGCAGTGAGCCGAGATCGTGCCATTGCACTCCAGCCTGGGCGACAAGACTGAGGCTCTGTCTCAAAAAAAAAAAAAAAAAAAAAAAAAAAAAAAAAAAAAAAGAGGGTGTCCTTACATCCCTGTCAGCGATCACCCTGTTCTCCTGCCTACAGACCATGCCCTCTGGGATCACACTGCCCAGAATCTCCTTCGGATGGGCCTGGCCTTTCTAGTCCTGGTGGCTCTAGTGTGGTTCCTGGTTGAAGACTGGCTCAGCAGGAAGAGGACTAGAGAGCGAGCCAGCAGAGCTTCCACTTGGGAAGGCAGGAGAAGGCTGAACACACAGACTCTTTGAAGAATGACCATGAGACACAGTGGCCATGGGTGGATCTGAAAGCTGGTGTTGAGCCTGGGCGGCGTGAGCTCTGTGTTGGACCCACGGAGGAGGGAGTCACTGCAGGGAAAGAGGGACACTGGCATTCCATTTGTCAGAGCATCCCGGACGATGCAGAGGGTGGGAGAACTACATGCTAAATTTCTTTTTTTTTTTTTTTGAGACAGAGTTTTCTCTTGTTGCCCAGGCTGGAGTGCAATGGCGCGATCTTGGCTCACTGCAACCTCTAGCTCTCCATCCCTCGGGTTCAAGTGATTCTCCTGCCTCAGCCTCCTGAGTAGCTGGGATTACAGGCATGTGCCACCACCCCAGCTAATTTTGTATTTTTAGTGGAGACGGGGTTTCTCCCTGTTGGCTGGTCTCGAACTCCTGACCTCAAGTGATCTCCCCGCCTTGGCCTCCCAAAGGGCTGGGATTACAGGCATAAGCCGCTGCGCCCAGCCACTGAATTTCTTCTGTAGACAAATCCTATGGTCTCTTCTAGGCTCTAACTATTTTTGTACCACTTACTGCAAACCATACTTTTAACCACTCTGGTCTTTTCTGAAAAGATCTCTCCTTCTTTAACAGGATGGCCATGGAAATATTTTTTTCCTACTTTGGTCTTTTTTTCTTTCCTTTCTCTGCAGGAAGCCATTCAAAATAGTTAATAACCAATATAGAATAGGTCTGTATCAAATGGTTCAGGAGGCATTGTGGCAACAACCAGTTGTAGAGAAGCAGCTTTATAAGTGAATCCTGCCAGGCACGGTGGCTCACACCTGTAATCCCAACACTTTGGGAGGCTGAGGCGGGCAGATCACCTGAGGTCAGGAGTTCGAGACCAGCCTGGCCAACATGATGAAACCCCATCTCTACTAAAAATACAAAAACTCGGCCAGGCACGGTGGCTCATGCCTGTAATCCCAGCACTTTGGGAGGCCAAGGTGGGAGGATCACCTGAGGTCAGGAGTTCGAGAGCAGCCTGGCCAACATGGTGAAACCACATCTCTACTAAAAATATAAAAATTAGCCAGGTATGGTGGCGTGTGCTTGTAATCCCAGCTACTCAGGAGGCTGAGGCAGGAGAATAGCTTGAACCCGGGAGGCGGAGGCTGCAGGGAGCCAAGATCGCACCACTGCACTCCAGCCTACGTGACAGAGCAAGATTCTGTCTCAAAAAAAAAAAGAAAAAAAAAAAATAAGTGACTCCTGGCTGCATCCCAACCATACCCCAATTCCTTCTAACCACAGAATTATTCCATCTTCTCTTCCTTTTTTTTTTTTTTCTTTTTTTTTGTTTGTTTTGTTGGGACAGAATTTCACTTTTTTTTTTTTTAATGTAAGTTTTAGGGTACATGTGCACAACGTGCAGGTTAGTTACATATGTATACATGTGCCATGTTGGTGTGCTGCACCCACTAACTCGTCATTTAACATTAGGTATATCTCCTAATGCTATCCCTTCCCCCGAGTTTCACTTTTGTCACCCAGGCTGGAATGCAGTGGTGCAATCTTGGCTCACTGCCACCTCCACCTCCAGGGTTCAAATGATTCTCCTGCCTCAGCCTCCTGAATAGCTGGGATTATAGGCATGCACCACCACGCCCGGCTAATTTTTGTATTTTTAGTAGAAATGGGGTTTCACAATGTTGGCCAGACTGGTCTTGAACTCCTGACCTCAGGTGATCCACCAGCCTCGGCCTCCCAAAGTGCTGGAATTACAGGTGTGAGTCACCGTACCCGGCCACCATCTTTGCTTCTTTATCCACACCTTGCCTTGTTCTTCAGGGCTCTGCAGAGATATCATTTCCTCCAAGAGTTTCCACAACTCCGACTTCACAAAGATAGCACTTTTTTTTTTTTTTTTGAGACAGTCTCACTCTGTAGCCCAAGCTGGCGTGCAGTGGCACAATCTCAGCTCACTGCAACCTTCGCCTCTGGGGCTCAAGCGATTCTCCTTCCTCAGCCTCCCAAGTAGCTGGGACTAGAGGCGCGCGCCACCACACCCGGTTAATTTTTTTTGCATCTTTAGTAGAGGTAGGGTTTCATCATGTTGCCCTGGGTGGTCTCAAACTCCTGAGTTCAGGTGATCCCCCCGCCTTGGCCTCTCAAAGTGCTAGGATTACAGGCGTGAGCCACTGCGCCCAGCCAAGACAACACTTTCCTCATCCCAAAGCACCTGTTAATTCCCTGTAACAGCACTTGAACCCTGATTCGGCATGCATGTCCATTTTCCTGCCTCTACCGTGAACTCGTGTGAATTGATCTATGTCAGATTTAGTGGCTGCATTCACAGCTCCCGCAACTATAACGGGGTTCTCGGGAAATATATATCAAATGAGTGAATGTATATACGGGGCTGTGGCACAGCCTGCAACTTGAGACTTCTCACTAGGGGTCTTGAAATGCTGTCTGGACACCACCATCGCTTTCCTCCCTGAGAACTTCTACTTATCAACCCATTTATATACTCATCGCATGGGTCCTCACGCCCTCCCATTATTCTGGTGCCTCATGCCGGTCAAATTTATTCTCTAAATCTGATTTTTCCATTAAATAGCAGCCTGGCCAACACGGTAAAACCCCATCTCTACTAAAAAATACAAAATATTAGCCAGGCGCAGTGGCTTGCACCCGTAATCTCAGCTACTCGGGAGGCTGAGGCAGCAGAATCACTTGAACCCGGGAGGCAGAGGTTGTGGTAAGCCGAGATTGCACCACTGCACTCCAGCCTGGTAACAGAGCGAGACTCCCTCTCAAAATAAATAAACTGCTGACTCGCGTATTTTTTCTTTACCCCAACTCATTCCTTACATGTAGGCACCTGTAATCCTAGCTACTCAGAAGGCTGAGGCAGGAGAATCGCTTGAACCTGGGAGGCGGAGGTTGCGGTGAGCCAAAATCGTGCCACTGCACTCCAGCCTGGGCGACAGAGCGAGACTCCATCTCAAAAAAAAAAAAAAAAAAACCACATAGGCTCAGTCTTTTCAGTATCTGCTTTACTGGTTCAGTAAAAGCCAGGAAACACAACTTTGTGGTAATCTGAATGTTATTGAACTGTATTTTGTTCACTTTATTGTAAATACTAGTGAACAGTGAATAAATGGTTGTATATTCCTAATAAGAAAAAAAAAAAAAAAGACCCAAAGTACAGCGAGCTGATGCCGATCTCATTTCGCAGAGGTCCGCCTGCTCTCCCCTCTCCAAGAGTGTAATCCTATGCTTAATAAACTTATGCCGCTTTGCTATGTGTGTGTATCACACCCAATTCTTTGTTCGAAACACCAAGGGCCTGGAACTTCACAGCTTTGGCTGGTAACGGGGAGCAGGGGTAAAGACATTTAAAAGCTGCTTGTGTTAACCATAATCGCCATCCCATATATCAGACCCCCAGAACTAACTCATCTTATAACTGAATATTGTGCTTTTTTTTTTTTTTTTTTTTTGAGACGAAGTCCTGCTCTGTCACCCAGGCTGGAGTGCAGTGGCGCGATCTTGACTCTGCAACCTCCGCCTCCCGGGTTCAAGCGATTCTCCTGCCTCAGCCTCCCGAGTAGCTGGGACTACAAGTGCGTGCCACCACGCCCGGCTAATTTTTGTATTTTTAGTAGAGACGGGGTTTCTCCATGTTGGTCTCAAACTCCTGGTCTCAGGTGATCCACCCGCCTTGGCCTCCCAAAGTGCTGGGATTACAGACGTGAGCCACCACACCCAGCTACTTGTGCTTTTTGACCAACATCTTCCTCTCCTACCACCCCCAGCCCCTGATAACCTCCACCTACTCTCACTTCTAGGAGATCAACTGTTCTATTTTTTTTTTTTTTTTTTTTTTTTTGAGTCTCGCTCTGCACACCCAGGCTGGAGTGCAGTGCTGCAATCTCGGATCACTGCAACCTCCGCTTTCCGGGTTCAAGCGATTCTCCTGCCTCAGCCTCCAGAGTCGCTGGGATTACTGAGCCACCGCGCCCAGCCAGAAGACCCACGCTCCCTAAGACATAACCCACACTGGTGGCCTTTGTTCTGACTTCTCACCTGTGCTCCCCACCCGCTAGAAACTGGCTTCTCTCCCCACACTTCCTCTGAAGCTGTCTGTGTGACCAACACTAATGAGCTTCCTTCCTGGAACATGCAGTGACCCTTTTCAGCCCTTCTCATTATTGCTCCCCCACAGTTGTATTTGACACGTTGACCACTTCCTCCTCGAAGGACTCACTTCTCTGGCTTTCTCGGACACTTCTTGCTACTCGTTTTCTGACGGTTACAGTACCAACAGGTTTGCAGGCACCTCCACCACCAGAGCCAATCCCAGCTACTCGGGAGGCTGAGGCAGGAGAATCGTTCAAACCCGGGAGGCAGAGGTTGCAGTGAGTCGAGATTGCGCCACTGCACTCCAGCCTGAGTGACAGACTGTGACTCCTCAAAAAAAAACAAAAACAAAAACAAAAAAACTACAGTCTTGCTCTGTCGCCCAGGATGGAATGCAGTGGTGCCATCTTGGCTCACTGCAACCTCTGCCTGCTGGGGTCTAGCGATTCTCCTGCCTCAGCCCCCCAAGGAGCTGGGACTACAGGCATGTGCCGCCACGCCTGGCTAATTTTTGTATTTTTAGTGGAGATGGGGGTTTTACCATGTTAGCCAGGTTGGTCTTGAACTCCCGACCTCATGTGATCCGCCCACCTTGGCCTCCCAAAGTGCGAGGATTACAGGCCCCCGCACCCAGCCTAGGATCCTGCACCTCTCTAGCCTAGCAGTTCTCTGCTGGGTGATTTTGCTCTCCACTCCAGGGGACATTTGGCAATGCCCATGGTAATTTTTAATTGTCATGACTTGGGGAGGGGTTCTACTGGCATCTGGTAGGTAGGGTCCAGGGGTGCTGCTCAGCTTCCTACAATGCCCAGGGCAGCCCCAGATGGCAGCAGCACCAAGGCTGAGAAACACTGGCTCATGCAGAAAGCAACCACCTTACACCCTTCAGTGCAGGGACAAAGGCAGGGTTACGAGTCCACGGAAACTCTCCAGTCTCAGCCTACGTAAGACGTGGCTATTTTTCTTTCTTATTGTTTTTATTCATTTATTTTTCTTGAGACAGAGTCTTGCTCTGTCGCCCAGGCTGGACTGCAGTGGCGCGATCTCTGCTCACTGCAAGCTCCGCCTCCCGGGATCACACCATTCTCCTGGGACTACAGGCGCCCGCCACCTAGCCCGGCTAATTTTTTGTATTTTTAGTAGAGACGGGGTTTCACCATGTTAGCCAGGATGGTCTCGATCTGACCTCGTGATCCTCCCGCCTCGGCCTCTCAAAGTGCTGGGATTACAGGTGTAAGCCACCGCACCCGGCCTTATTCATTTATTTTTTGAGATAGAGTCTGAGCCCTTTATTTTATTTATTTAGAGACCAAGTCTCGCTCTGTTACCCAGGCTGGAGTGCAGTGTCGTGGCCTCAGCTCACTGCAACAACCTCCGCCTCCCGGGTTCAAGCGATTCTCCCACCTTGGCCTCCCAAAGTGCTGGCATTACAGACACCCACTACCATGCCTGGCTAATTTTTTGTACTTTTAGTAAGTAAAGACAGGGTTTCACCATCTTGGTCAGGATGGTCTCGAACTCCTGGCCTCAAGTGATCGGCCCGCCTGGGTCTCCCAAAGTGATGAGATTACAGGCGTGAGCGACCACACTGGCCTAATGTGTAGTTTTTTATCTGTGGCCTCCCTTCTGCCCTCCCCCTTCTGAGACTCTGAAGCCCATTACATCACTCTGCCTTTGTGTACCAACAGCTTAGCTCCCACTGAGAACATACAGAGCCAGGCACGGTGGCGGTGGCTCACGCCTGTAATCCCATCACTTTGGGGGTGCTGAGGCAGGTGTATCGCCTGAGGCCAGGAGTTCAAGACCAGTCTGGCCAACATGGTGAAACCCCATCTCTACTAAAAATAGAAAAATACATAGCTGGGTGTGGTGGCACGTGCCTATAATCCCAGCTACTAGGGAGGCTGAGGTTGGAGAATCGCTTGAACCCAGGAGGCGGAGGTTGCGGTGAGCCAAGATCACACCATTGCACTCTAGCCTGGGCAACAAGAGCAAAACTGTCTTAAAAAAAAAAAAAAAAAGTGAGAACATATGGATTCTACTCCTGTTAGAATAATGGCCTCCAGCTCCATCCAAATTGCTGGAAATGACATTATTTCATTCCTTCTAATGGCTGAATAGTATTCCATGGTACATAGACACCACGTTTTCTTTATCCACTGTAGGGACCAGCCCCACAGGGTCGGTGGGTCTCTCCCTGTGTGCGGCGACGAGAGAGTGTAGAAATAAAGACACAAGACAAAGAGACAAGAGAAAAGGCAGCTGGGCCCGGGGGACCACTACCACCAATGCGCGGAGACCGGTAGTGGCCCCGAATGTCTGGCTGCGCTGTTATTTATTGGATACAAGGCAGAAGGGGCAGGGTAAAGAGTGTGAGTCACCTCCAATGATAGGTAAGGTCACGTGGGTCACGTGTCCACTGGACAGGGGGCCCTTCCCTGCCTGGCAGCCGAGGCAGAGAGGGAGAGGAGACAGAGAGAAAGACAGCTTACGCCATTATTTCTGCATATCAGGGACTATTAGTACTTTCCCTAATTTACTACTGCTATCTAGAAGGCAGAGCCAGGTGTACAGGATGGAACATGAAGGCGGACTAGGAGCGTGACCACCGAAGCACAGCATCACAGGGAGACGGTTAGGCCTCCGGATAACTGCGGGCGAGCCTGACTGATGTCAGGCCCTCCACAAGAGGTGGAGGAGCAGAGTCTTCTCTAAACTCCCCCGGGGAAAGGGAGACCCCCCCCCCCACCCGCTGCCCCTTTCCCGGTCTGCTAAGTAGCGGGTGTTGTTAATTGACACCTTTTGCTACCGCTGGACCATGATCCGCTTGGTGACGGGTGTCTTCCCAGACGCTGGCGTCACCGCTAGACCAAGGAGCCCTCTGGTGGCCCTGTCCGGGCATAACAGAAGGCTCGCACTCTTGTCTTCTGGTCACACCTCACTATGTCCCCTCAGCTCCTATCTCTGTATGGCCTGGTTTTTCCTAGGCTATGATTATAGAGTGAGGATTATTATAATATTGGAATAAAAAGTAATTGCTACCGGCTAATGATTAATGATACTCATATATAATCATATCTAAGATCTATATCTGGTATAACAATTCTTGTTTTATATTTTATTATACTGGAACAGCTCGTGTCCTCTGTCTCTTGCCTCGGTGCCTGGGTGCCTTGCCGCCCACAATCCACTCATTATTCAATGGGCACTTCGGTTGGTTCCACATCTTTGCAATTGTGAATGGCTGAGCCAGCCATTCTTAACTGGGGGTGATTTTGTCCCCATGGGGGTATCTGGCCACATCCCGAGAGGTTTTTTGGTTGTCACGAGTTGCAGTGGGGGCAGGCTCAGGCTCATCCAAGTCCAGGGGTGCTGCTATACATCACGTGATACACAGGACAGTCCTTGCTACGGACTGAATTGGTCCCACCAAACGTCATGTACAAGCCCTACCCCAGATGTGACTCTATTTGGACACAGGGCTTTTCAGAGGTAATTAAGGCTGGTCAGGCGCCGTAATCACAGCACTTTAGGAGTTCTGTGTTTATTACTGGTAAGTGGGTAAGAGCCCAGTGTGGCAGCTCACGCGTGTAATCCCAGCACTTTGGGAAGCGAAGGCAAGGGGATAACTGGAGGCCAGCAGTTCAAGACAAGCCTGGTCAATACAGCAAGACTCCATCTCTATAAAATATTTTAAAATTAGCCAAGCATGTTTGGCATGCACCTGTAATCCCAGCTCAGGAGGCTCAGGTGGGAGGATTCCTTGAGTTTAAGGCTGCAGTGAGCTAAGATCGCACCATTGCACTCCAACCCGGCTGTGGGCAACACAGCACCACCACCATCTTGGCTGGGCACGGTGGCTCACGCCTGTCATGCCAGCACTTTGGGAGGCCGAGGCGGGTGGCTCACCTGAGGTCAGGAGTTTGAGACTAGCCTGGCCAACATGGTGAAATCACGCCACTGCACTCCAGCCTAGGCAACCAAGTGAGACTCTGTCCGCCCCACCACCCCACCAAAAAAAAGACTACTATCTTAAACAAAATCAAAATTTTTAAGTAGATAAAATATTTAGGGGAAAAAAACTTCAATTAAATATGCAGCAGAGTCCGACCCAGATGTTTTCACTCCCAGCCTCTACCTACTATCTTTGTGTCTTTATTTTTAGCAAATTCTACACGGGAACTTCATGTGCATGTAGAACCCTAAATGTTGACTCAGCCCTACCTCTCATCACCTGACCACTTCCTTTATTCACGCTGTCTCTACCACCCTTCCCATCGGTGTGAGCTGTATCCCGCTAAACACTGTTACCACCCACAGCCTGCATTACTACCAGCTGACTGTAGCCTTAAACACCACAGTGATCTCGAGCATTTGAGAAGACTTATCTTGACAAGGGCTCACGAAAGACAGCAATGCTCAACAGCAAGATAAATGAGGGCCTTCATGGGATCATTCAGTGCTGAAGCCACTCAACCTCCAGGTTTGGGTTAGTAAAAAGAACTTTGTCAGGCCAGGCACAGTGGCTCACGCCTGTCATCCCAGCACTTTGGGAGGCCAAGGCGGGCAGATCACCTGAGGTCAGGAGTTCAAGACCAGCCTGGCTAACATGGTGAAACCTCGTCTTTACTAAAAATACAAAAATTAGCCAGGCATGGTGACGCACACCTCTAGTCTCAGCTACTCCGGAGGCTGGGACAGAAGACTCACTTGAACCCAGGAGGCAGAGGTTGTAGTGAGCCAAGATCGCACCACTGCACTCCAGCCTGGGCGACAGAGGCAAGACTCCATCTCAAAAAAAAAAAAAAAAAAAAAAAGAAAAGAAAACTTTGTCATACAAGCTTTCAACCTAAAGCATTAGCCATATGCCCGTGTTTTTGTGCCTGGGACCATGACAACTTTCCCCATATCAATGCTCTTATTTTTTTTTTTTCGAGACAAGAGTTTTGCTCTTATTGCCCAGGCTGGAGTGCAGTGGCACAATCTCAGCTCACCGCAAACTCCGCCTCCCGGGTTCAAGCGATTCTCCTGCCTCAGCCTCCCGAGTAGCTGGGATTACAGGCATACACCACCCCACCCGGCTAATTTTGTATTTTTAGTAGAGACGGGGTTTCTCCATGTTGAGGCTGGTCTCGAACTCCTGACCTCAGGTGATCCGCCCGCCTCGGCCTCCCAAAGTGCTGGGATTACAGGTGTGAGCCACAGCGCCTGGCTGCTCTTATTAAAATAGTCTCATCACCTACCGCAAGCGTGGAGAGCCAAGTGAGGAGAGGGGTCAGTCCCTTTTGGCAGCGCCTGGAAGCCAGTGCTAACATCATGGTGACAACTTTTCATTCTTAAGGAAAATTGCGGAGTGACTTCTATGCATTTTCTATGAATGACCAAATACAGGGTGTGGAAAAGCTGTGTTTGCCATGGCAATGGGAAGCCGAGAGAAACGGGGAGGCGAGAGAGACAGAGACATACACAGAGACTCCCAGAGACAGCCACACAGACTCACACAGAAACAGACAGACAGGCTGGGCTCGGTGGCTCACGCCTGTAATCCCACCACTCTGGGAGGCTGAGGCGGGTAGATCACCTGAGGTCAGGAGTCCGAGAACAGCCTGGCCAACATTGTGAAACCCCGTCTCTAGTAAGAATACAAAAAATTAGCCAGGCATGGTGGCACAGGGCTGTAATTCCGGCTACTCGGAAGGCTGAGGCAGGAGAATCACTTGAACCTGGGAGGCGCGGTTGCAGTGAGCTGAGATCACGCCATTGCACTCCAGCATGGGCGACAAGAGTGAAACTCCGTCTCAAAAAAAAAAACAAAAAAAAAAAACGAAAGAACAGAGAGACACATACAAAGACAGAGATAGAAACGCCCAGCGACAGAGACACACACAGAGAAACACAGACAGACACAGAGACACACACACAGAAACAGACACAGAGACAGAGAGACAAAAAGACAGACACAGAGAAACAAAGAGAGACACACAGAGACAGAGAGAGAGAGAGACACATACACACACACACAGAGAGTAGGAGGCGGCCCGTGGGAGCCGAGCAGAACCAGCGTGAGGCAGGGCCATCTTCTGAATTAAAGGCAACAGTGACTGTAAGCTTGTGCTTTGTGAGTAACAGGATAGATTAGAACAGGGCTGGCTGCCCATGGCCCACGAGCTGTTTCTGGGAAGCCTCCGCAGGTGCCAGCCAGGCCCTGCGCTGCTTCCATGTCCAAAGGCACAGCTGAGAGCTGATGAGAGACCGCGGGGCCCACAGTGCCAAGCATATGAACTATCTGGCCCGTTTGTCAATGCGTGGGTTGATCACATAAGTTATGATCACATAAGTCACAAAGACACACTGATCACATAGATGCACCTGGCAGATAGTAGACCACATGGCGCCTGAGTTAGGGAAGAAAAGAAATAGAAGAATCAACCGAATCATCCCTGAACTTCTTAGCAATACTTCCTCCTAGACAAAGCACAGAGTACCATGTTTATTGCAGGTTTGCTCCTGAGCATGTCAATAAACGCAGCTGCAACGAGAGTGCTCTAACTTTATTATCCCTGTGAGAAAGTACATAGCGTCATGTGAAGGGGGTGCGTGACTCGTGCAGAATCTCCCAAAAATAGTGAGAAAACCAGTGTCAAATCCTACCTCTCGACAGACTCTAGTGTTAACATGTGACCCTCTGACCTGCATTCATAAGACATCTTAGAGACCCGAATCCCGCTTCCTGTGTAATTCGTAGAGCGATCCCAGGCTGCTCAGCAAAAAAAGTCACAGCACGGAGGTGCCGTTGCCCCGGAAGCATTGCAATCAATAGTCAGCTTGGGATTCTTTTCTTTCACTTCCTCCAACAGCTTCTTGATTTCCAAATTAGTTTCATAGGTCTTCAACCTGGAGGGATCAGAGAACACAAATGTTCCCAGAAATTCATTCTCAACTACCCAGGATGCCTGAATATCTGTTTTCAAACACTCAAAGCAGGAAACGTTTTTGGGATTTTCTGGGGGACAGGGTCTTGCTCTGTTGCCCAGGCTGGGGTACAGTGGTGCCATCTTGGCTCTCTGCAACCTCCAGCTCCCAAGTTCAAGCAATTCTCATGCCTCAGGCTCCTGAGTAACTGTGATTACAGGTGTGCACCACCACGCTTGGCTAAGTTTTGTATTTACAGTAGAGATGGGGTTTCGACATGTTAGCCAGGCTGGTCTCGAACTTCTGGCCTCAAGTGATCCATCCACCTCGGCCTCCCAAAGCCATGGGATTACAGATGTGAGCCACAGCACCCAGTCAGAAAAGTTTTCTAAAAAGAAATTTAGACCCACACAATGGGGATCCTTATAAGTCTAAGAAAAAAAAGATTATGGCCAGGCACGGTGTCTCGCACCTGTAGTCCCAGCACTTTGGGAGGCCAAGGCAGGCAGATTGCTTGAGCTCCGCAGTTCAAGGCCAGCCTGGGCAACACGGTGAAACCCTGTCTCTACCAAAAATAGAAAAAGTTAGCCAGGAATGGTGGTGCACGCCTATAGTCCCAGCTACTCGGGAGGCGGAGGCAAGAGGATCACTTGAGCCCAGGAGGCGGAGGTTGCAACGAGCTAGAGATTGCCCTACTGCACTCCAGCCTGGTAACAGAGTAAAACATGCCTTTAAAAAATAAATTTAAAAAATAGATAATCAGGCTGGTGCACGGTGACTCACGCCTATAATTCCAGCACTTTGGGAGGCCGAGGCGGGCAGATCACCTGAGGTCAGGAATTCGAGACCAGCCTGGCCAACATAGTGAAACCCCGTCTCTACTAAAAATACAAAAATTAGCTGGGCATGGTGGCAGACAACTGTAATACCAGCTACTCAGGAGGCTGAGACAGGAGAATCGCTTTGAACCTGGGAGGCAGATGTTGCAGTGAGCCAATACCGCACCACTGTACTGCAGCCCGGGTGACAGAGCGAGACTCTGCCTCCAAATAAATAAATAAAAAATAGTGGCAAATCAAACCTTCAGTAGAACTAAGAGAATGCCAGAGTGAACCCCAGGGTTAATGATAGCAAACTTGGCTCTAACGTGGCTGCAGCATGCAAGCCTGTGTATGTGAACATGAGGGGTGGTGATTGTGGAGACACTGGCTTGCTATGTTGCCCAGGCTGGTCTCAAACTCCTGGCCTCAAACAATCCTCCCACCTTGGCCTCCCAAAGGAGGAACTGAGGAATGAGAAAAGAAATACGCCCCAAACATATGACATAAGAGACCACAGGGGGCTAGAGATTTGTCACCAATAGTCCTTGGTGGCATTACAGACCTCGGTCCCACCAACAAGAGAAGCATGACACTATTTAGCTCAAGTTTCATGATATACCCCTAAAACCTTAACCCATTTATGCCAGAGGTTACAATTATTTGAACTGCAGACGTGTGAAAAATCGTACCTTGAGCAGGATATAAATAACTCCCACATGCTTAGCGTTCCAATAATGCAACACTGGGCATCATGAAGCAGTTTACATGCGTATCATCTCTACAACTAAAATAACTCTTGAATAAGACAAGTGGGCTGTGCACAGTGGCTCACGCCTGCAATCCGGGTACTTTGTGAGGCCAAGACAGGAGGATCGTTTGAAGCCAGGAGTTTGAGAACCTCGGCAACACGGCCACACAGTGCAGCAGAGCAAAACGTTGTCTCAGAAAAGAAAAGACAAAGGCAAGAAGAAACTAAAGGTAGATTACGTTAAAATAAGTCACTGAGGCCGGGCGCGGTGGCTCACGCCTGTAATCCCAGCACTTTGGGAGGCCGAGGTGGGCAGATCACCTGAGGTCAGGAATTCGAGACCAGCCTGGCCAACATAGTGAAACCCCATCTCTACTAAAAATACAAAAAATTAGCCGGGCGTGGTGGCGGGCGCCTGTAGTCCCAGCTGCTCGGGAGGCTGAGGCAGGAGAATGGCGTGAACCCGGGAGGTGGAGCTTGCAGTGAGCCGAGATCGCACCGCTTCACTCCAGCCTGGGCGACAGAGACTGGAGTCTCTGTCTCAAAAAAAAGACAGATTCAAAAAAAAAGACAGACTCCGTCTCAAAAAAAAGACTCCGTCTCAAAAAAAAATAAAAAATACAAATAAGTCATTGAAAAGATATACACGGGTCACAACTAAGGGAGCATCTGTAGGACGATCTTCTGAAAAGCTAAGACCCAGGACAGCTCTGGGAACTACCTATTTTTGGATATAATGATTAGGGGTGTGTGTGTGTGTGTGTGTGTGCTCATGCACACACATACACACAAGCTTCCAGTCTGTACTCCAGGATGATTTAAACTCTCAGTATGCCTAGGACTAAGTGTTTTGGGGGAAAGTTGGACAATATTCAATTCACAGAGCATTTTAGAAAAGTATCTAATTTTTAAATTATCTCCTAAGCTAGGAGTGTGCTATAGAAAGATGCCTTAAGTTGATCCCTACAAAGAGTACACACACTCCCAAAAAAACTCTTCTCTGCATGGGAAATTCACCATGTGAAACAGCCATCCCAGGGCCGAGCACAGTGGCTCACGCCTGTAATCCCGGCACTTTGAGAGGCTGAGGCAGGTGGATCACCTGAGGTTGGGAGTTTGAGACCAACCTGACCAACATGGTGAAACCCCATCTCTACTAAAAACTACAAAAATTGGCCAGGTGCAGTGGCTCATGCCTGTAATCCCAGCACTTTGGGAGGCCAAGGCGAGAAGATCACCTGAGGTCAGGAGCTCGAGACCAGCCTGGCCAACATGGCAAAACCCCATCTCTACTAAAAATACAAAAATTAGCTGGGTGTGGTGGCGAGCGACTGTAATCCTAGCTACTCAGGAGGCTGAGGCAGGAGAATCACTTGAACCCAGGAGGCAGAGGTTGCACTGAGCCGAGATAGCGCCACTGCACTCCAGCCTGGGGGACAGAGAGAGACTCTGTCTTTAAAAAAAAAAAAAAAAAAAAAAAATTAGCCAGCTGTGGTGGTGTGTACCTGTAATCCCAGCTACTCAGGAGGTTGAGGCAGGAAAATCGCTTCAACCTGTGAGAAGGAGGCTGCAGTGAGTCAAGATCGCGCCACTGCACTCCAGCCTGGGCAACAGTGAGACTCCATCCCAAAAAGCAAAAACCAAAAAGGCCGGGTGCAATGGCTCACCTCTGTAATCCCACCACTTTGGGAGGCCGAGGCAGGTGGCTCACCTGAGGTCAGGAGTTCAAGACTAGCCTGGCCAACATGGTGAAACCCCTCTCTACTAAAAAATTAGCCAGGCATGGTGGCAGGCATCTGTAATTCCAGCTACTTGGGAGGCCAAGGTGGGAGAATCGCTTGAACCCAGGAGGTGGGGGTTGCAGTGAGCCAAGATCGCACCACTGCACTCCAGCCTGGGCTACAAGAACAAAACTCCGTCTCAAAAAAAAAAAAAGAAAAAGAAAAAAATTAGCTGGACATGTTGGCATGCCTCTAGGCCCAGCTACTCATGAGGCTGAGGCAGGAGAATTGCTTGAACCTGAGAGGCAGAGGTTGCGGTGAGCCAAGATTGCGCCACTGCACTCCAGCCTGAATGACAGAGCACGACTCCATCTCAAAAAAACAAAAACAAAAAACAAAACAAAACAAAACAAAAAACCCATACCTGAGTATCTTCAAGGATCCAGTTCTTTGTCTTAGAACCCCAAAGAGCTTAATTATGCCACTCTTCCACAAATGATTCTGGCCCAGGTCCAGAGTTTCAAGCTTCTGATTGCTGAGGAGAGCAGATCCAAGATGCTGACAATAGAAAGGCATGAGGGAGCAGCTCCAGAGGCTGTTGAGGAAGAACATGGAAATCCACGCATTCACTGAGCAGGTAGTGGCTCAAGCGTGTAATCCCAACACTTCGGGAGGCCAAGGCGGGTGGATCACTTGAGGCCAGGTGTTCGAGACCAGCCTTGCCAACACGGTCAAACCCCATCTCTACTAAAAATACAAAGATTAGGCAGGGCGTGGGGACAGACACCTGTAGCCCCAGCACCTTGGGAGGCCGAGGAGGGTAGATCACCTGAGGTCAGGAGTTCGAGACCAGCCAGGCCAACATGGCAAAACCCCATCTCTACAAAAAATTAGCCATGCATGGTGGTGTGTGCCTTTAATGCTAGCTACTTGGGAGGCTGAGGCACAAGAATCGCTTCAGCCTGGGAGGCGGAGGTTACAGTGAGCCCAGATTGCGCCACTGCACTCCAGCCTGGGCAATAGAATGAGACTCCATCTCACAAATATATAACATAAAATGAAAATACAAAAATTAGCCAGGTATGGTGGAACCACCTATAATTCCAGCTACTCGAGAGGCAGGAGAATCGCCTGAACCAGGAGGCAGAGGTTGTAGTTAGCCAACATATCACCACTGCATTCCAGCTTGGGTGAAAGAGTGAGACTTGGTCTCAAACAAAACAAAACAAAAAAACAAGCAGCATATTTGCTGGGGCTCCAGTAGTGAGGAAAGGCAGAGGGGAGTGAGCAGAAGAAATCCTTGTCCTCAGAGTTTTTAGTGACAGCAGACATCTCGATATGTTCTATTGAAGACAATGGATGATGGTATTAAAATAAACAGGGTAGAGGTAAGTCAAACAGAGAGGCATTGATTGGCTAGACTTATGCTGGTCATTTAAGTCCTCTTTTGGAAAGTGATATGAGGAAAGAAACTGAAGGATGGTAGATCATGAACCAGCATGCTAACTGGGGGAGGGAATCTTGTAAATAAAATACTGAGCTAGTGAGAAAGTAGAATGATTTATGGCTCATAACTTACACGAGGATCCCCCATAAGGCCCTGTAGGCCACTGTAGAAGCCTTTGGTTTTGTTTTTTTTAAGGCAGAGTTTCACTCTTGTTGCCAAGGCTGGAGTGCAATGGCGTGATCTCGGCTCACTGCAACCTCCGCCTCCTGGGTTCAAGCGATTCTCCTGCCCCAGCCTCCCGAGAATCTAGGATTACAGTCATAGCTGAGATTACAGGAACAAGACACCAGGTAATCCACCCGTTTGCATTGAGCTTTTGAGTCTTTGGAAATAAAGGTATCACGGTCTGGCTTGAGGCTTGAAATATTCCTCAGGGGGATGGGTTAAGAAACTTCAGGAGGCCAGGAATGGTGGCTCATGCCTGTAATCCCAGCACTTTGGGAGGTTGAGGCAGGTGGATCACTTGAGGTCAGGAGTTTGAGACCAGTCTGGCTAACATGGTGAAACCTGGTCTCTACTAAAAATACAAAAATTAGCTGGGTATGGTGGTGCACGCCTGTAATCCCAACTACTCAGCTCAATCAGGAGAATCGCTTGAACCTTGGAGGCTGAGGTTGCAGTGAGCCAAGATCGCACCACTGCACTCCAGCCTGGGTGACAAAGCGAGACTCTGTCTGAAAAAAGAAAAAAAGTACCCTGTGTTCTAGTGTTTTTTTTCTTTACTCTACAGCAAAGCTAAGTAGTAATGACGTGCAGATTCTCTTTGCATTAGGATTGCAGATTCTAGTTGGAAAATAGGTTGCATCCAAGAGATGCAACTGACAAACTTTGGGGAGAGAAGTGATGAAGAGCTCGCCATTCCATTTGTGGAGACTTTGCATTTTCTGGGGGTGGTATCCCACCTATGGTTCCCTGGGTTTATGAGGTGGGGCAGGCTCACTGCTTCCTGATTACTGGATCCCAGCAGAAGCAGCATGCTGCTGAAGTCCAGGTCACTGGGGGCCATTGTTATATATATTTCACTTCTCCAGGCCCTCTACCTGACTTTAGAAGTGCCCACCCACATATATTCAGTTTCTGGAGGGGTTTGATCTTAAAACTGGATCCGAAGTGATACAGTCTGAGATATTGAAAACATAGAAATTGGCCGGGCGTGGTGGCTCACGCCTGTAATCCCAGCACTTTGGAAGGCCAAGGCGGGCAGATCATGAGGTCAGGAGATCGAGACCATCCTGGCTAACACTGTGAAACCCATCTCTACTAAAAATACAAAAAAAATTAGCCAGGCACGGTGGCGGGCATCTGTAGTCCCAGCTACTCAGGAGGCTGAGGCAGGAGAATAGCGAGAACCCGGGAGGAAGAGGTTGCAGTAAGCCGAGATCGCGCCACTGCACTCCAGCCTGGGCAACTAGAACGAGGCTCCGTCTCAAAAAAAAAAAAAAAAAAAGAAAACATAGAAATTAAGGATTTCCAGATTTCCAAACACTTTAAAAATGAGGCCAGGCATGATGGCTCATGCCTGTAATCCTAGCACATTGGGAGGCCGAGGTGGGAGGATTCCTTGAGCACCAGAATTCAAAACCAGCCCGGGAAAGATGACAAGACCTCATCTCTACAGAAAACAGTTACCTGGCCATGGTAATACATGCCTGTAGAGCCAGCTACTCAGGAGGCTGAGGTGGGAGAACCGATCAAGCCTGGAAGACCGAAGCCGCAGTGAGCCGTAATCACCCCACTGCACTCCAGGCTGGGGGACAGAGCAAGACCCTGTCTCAAAAAAAGAAAGAAAGAAGAAAAAGAAAATCGCCTACCGTAGGTGTTTTAGGTTACAGTTTGGATTCTCTAATGCCTGACAGAGAATCCACAATCCACGAGCTATCTGGTTGATACTCAAGTCCAGGTTTGTGAGGCTGCAGGCTTCTTGGAGCGCCTCTGAGAGATATCTACAGCCAAGCTTGGTTATGCTGCATTGCTGTAACCTACAGGATAATCAAAGGAAGAGAAGCCTGTTATCCCTCTGGCTAACGCCCTGTGAAGCAGTTATTTCCAACACTATATACCTTCCACTTATATACTGGAATGCAGTGCTGCACTCTTGGCTCACTGCAACCTCTGCCTCCCAGGTTCAAGCGATTCTTCTGCCTCAGCCTCCCAAGTAGCTGGGATTATAGGTGCCCGCCACCTATATAACCAGACTTGGTGGTGCACGCCTGTAGTGCCAGCTACTCAGAAGACTGAGGCAGGAGAATCGCTTGAATCCGGGAGGCAGAGGCTGCAGTGAGCTGAGATCGCGCCACTGCACTCCAGCCCGGGCGACAGAGCGAGACTCCGTCTCAAGAAAACAACAACAACAACAAAAAGTATTTATATAAAACATAGGTGGCAGGTAGGAATTGACCCATGAACTGGAGCTATATACTTCCAGGTGGGCTTGCACATAAAAGCATGCAAATGGGCCGGGCACAGTGGCTCACGCCTATAATCACAGCAGTGGGAGGCCAAGACGGGCAGATCATTTGAGGTCAGGAGTTCAAGACCAGCCTGGCCAACATGGTGAAACCCCATCTCTACTAAAAAATACAAAAATCGGGCCGGGCGCGGTGGCTCAAACCTGTAATCTCAGCACTTTGGGAGACCAAGGTGGGTGAATCACAAGATCAGGAGTTCAAGACCAGCCTGGCCAAAGTGGTGAAACCCCATCTTTACTAAATACAAAAATTAGCTGGGCACGATGGCTCACACCTGTAATCTCAGCACTTTGGGAGGCTGAGGCAGACAGATCACCTGAGGTCGGGAGTTCAAGACCAGCCTAAGCAATATGGAGAAACCCGTCTCTACTAAAAATACAAAATTAGCCAGGTGTGGTGGCACATGCCTGTAATCCCAGCTACTCAGGAGGCTGAGGCAGGAGAATCTCTTGAACTGGGGAGACGGAGGTTGTGGTGAGCAGAGATTGCACCATTGCACTCCAGCCTGGGCAAGAGCGAAACTCCATCTCAAAAAAAAAAAAAAATTAGCCAGGTGTGGCGGCCCATGCCTGTAATCCTAGCTACTCAGGAGGCTGAGGTAGGAGAATTACTTGAACCCAGGAAGCGGAGGTTGCAGTGAGCCAAGATCGCACCACTGCACTCCAGCCTGGTGACAGAGAGAGACTGTTAAAAAAAAAAAAAAAACATCCAAATGGCCTTCTGATTCCATCCATTTCCAGCTCTGCCTGGGACAACAGCTTAGGCTCTGGGTTCAGACCGACCCAGGACAGGATCTGAGCCCTGGGTCACTTATTTTCTGCGTGGTTAGATTATGGAAATTTCACTTTCCCTGTCATTTTATTTCATGTTTAAGTTTTGTCTTTAACTGACACATTCTACATATATAGGGGTATAGTGTGATGTTTTGGTGCAGGTACACTTCGTATAACGATCAGGTAGGTGACTGTTTGTTTAACAATAGTTATTCTAAGCCAGGCACAGTGGCTCATGCCTGGAACGCCAGCACTTTGGGAGGCCGAGGCAGGCAGATCACTTAAGGCCAGGAGTTCAAGACCAGCCTGGCCAACATGGTGAAACCTCATCTCCACTAAAAGTGCAAAAATTAGCCAGGCATGGTGGAGGGCACCTGTAATCCCAGCTACTTGGGAGGCTGAGGCAGGAGAATCGCTTGAACCTGGGAGGCAGAAGTTGCAGTCAGCCAAGATTACACCACTGCATTCCAGTCTGGGCGACAGAGTGAGACTTCATCCAAAAAAAAAAAAATGAATCTCAGAAATGACCACTAGCTAGAATTTCTGAACAGGAACAGGTCTTCAACCCTATGCAATCTCTTGAATATTTTTCTAACCATAATTTTAATGTGAACAGGTAGCTCACGCTGGGCTTCTTTCCATATAACAAGATTCAGCCAACTATAGTTCGTGGGTCAATTCCAACCTGCCACCTATGTCTTTTACAAATAAGGATTTTTGTTGAGTTTTTTTTTGTTTTTTTCTTGAGACGGAGTCTCACTCTGTCGCCCGGGCTGGAGTGCAGTGGCGCCATCTCAGCTCACTGCAGCCTCTGCCTCCCAGATTCAAGCGATTCTCCTACCTCAGCCTTCTGAGTAGCTGGTACTATAGGCACGCACCACCAAGCCTGGTTAATTTTTGTATTTTTTAGTAGCGATGGGTTTTCACCATGTTGGCCAGGCTGGTCTCGAACCTTAGGTGATCTGCCCACCATTCACCACCTGTTCCCCAATAACCTATGGAAATAAAAGTTTAAAAAAAGGTGCCACTGGCCCT
The DNA here is from genome assembly GCF_000001405.40 of Homo sapiens. Lineage (NCBI taxonomy): Eukaryota > Metazoa > Chordata > Mammalia > Primates > Hominidae > Homo > Homo sapiens. The sequence goes on from NC_000019.10 coordinate 54,932,964, forward strand.
ACCACATAACTCAATCTACCTCCAATAGCAGGCAGTACTATGTCATAGGAATTTGAAAGAACACACACAAAGCATCAGATCCGAGAACCAACTACTCATCTCAAATCTTCCTTCATAGCAGGAAGAGGCTCTGCTGACATGCAAATATTAACATGTTTCTACCTGTATCTGCCTGGTTTTTTTTGTTTCTTTGTTTTTTTGAGAAGGAGTCTTGTTCTGTCGCCCAGGCTGGAGTGCAGTGGTGCGATCTCGGCTCACTGCAACCTCCGCCTTCCAGGTTCACGCCATTCTCCTGTCTCATCCTCCCAAGTAGCTGGGACTACAGGCATCCGCCACCACACCTGGCTAATTTTTGGTATTTTTAGTACAGACAGGGTTTCACCATGTTAACCAGGATGGTCTCCATCTCCTGACCTCATGATCCACCCGCCTCGGCCTCCCAAAGTGCTGGGATTACAGGCATGAGCCACCACGCCTGGCCTCTGCCTGTTCTTTAATTCTTACCAGGTTTTTAAAAGTTACATTTGAAATGAATTAACAAGTACTTTCATGTCTCTCCTGCTTGAATTCATGTGCACACACACACACACCCAGCAGGGACTTACACCAAGGTCTGCAGTTTACAATCAGGGTAACTCAAGCCCTCACACAGAAACTTCACCCCTGTATCCCCAATGGGGTTCTTGGCCAAGCACAGGTGTGTCAGCTTCTTGCTGACAACCAAGACAGCAGCAAGGTCCTTGCAACTGGCTTCTGTAAGACGACAGTTTTCCAACCTGCAAAAATATGAAACAAATGGTAGAAGGATGAGAACATTTCCACAACTCCAACCTGCTCAGTGATGTCCACATGCTAGGGTACTCAGCTTCAGCCCTTCCTGTTCATCCCCTGCCCTCTGTCCTGTGGGAGTCATCATGGCCACAAAAGAGCAGGAAGGCGAGAAGGCCAAGATGCAGCGGTCCACCTGGAGCCATCACAGGACACAGGTGTTGTTTTTGAGACGGAGTCTCGCTCTGTCGCCCAGGCTGGAGTGCAGTGGCGCGATCTCGGTTCACTGCCAATCGCCGCCTCCCAGGTTTACACCATTCTGCTGACTCAGCCTCCTGAGTAGCTGGGACTACAGGCGCCCACCACACCTGGATAATTTTTTGTATTTTTTAGTAGAGACGGGGTTTCACCATGTTAGCCAGGATGGTCTCGATCTCTTGACCTCGTGATCTCCCCGCCTTGGCCTCCCAACGTGCTGGGATTACAGGCATGAGCCACCGCACCCGGCCTGTTTTTGGTATTTTTAATAGAAACAGGGTTTCACCATGTTGGCCAGGTTGGTCTCGAACTCCTGAACTCAGATGATCCGCCCACCTCTCTGCTGAGATTACAGGCAGGAGCCACCGTGCCGGGCCTGAAGCAGGTGTTTATTTCAGCAAGAGGCGCCACGTGGGTGGCGCAGTAAGTCAGGTGTTACCCTTTCTCTTCTATAGCCCCAGAACTAAACCAGAGCTGCCCATGGGAAGAGGAGACTTACGACAACATCTGCAGGAAGTGTTTTGGGCGTGTCATGGTCTTGTACAGCAACATGGCACCCTCATCCAGGAGCACATTGGCTGAGAGACGCAGGTGCTTCAGGGACTGGTTGGCTTTGAGGACATAGAAGAATTCAGCCCACTGCTCCGGGGTGGCACAGTGACCTCCCAACCTGTGAAAAGAGTGGGAAAAGTCATTCTTCTGGGAGGACAGAGTATACCCTATCAGCTTTTTTTTTTTGAGACAGAGTTTCACTCTGTTGCCCAGTCTGGAATGCAAAGGCGTGATCTCACCTCACTGCAGCCTCCGCCTCCCGGGTTCAAGCTATTCTCCTGCCTCAGCCTCCGAAGTAGCTGGGATTACAGGCATTCGCCAATTTTTGTATTTTTAGTAGAGACGGGATTTCACCATGTTGGCCACACTGGTCTTGAACTCCTGACCTCAGGTGATCCACCCACCTTGGCCTACCGAAGTACTGGGATTACAGGTGTGAGCCACCGCGCCTGGCCCAGATCAGCTTCTTCTGCTTCACTTCCCAAGACATTATGTCTTTGGTTTATCTCATTCTACTCATGCCTCCAACCCTGGCCTGAATTACTGGAGAGATCTAATGTTGCCTCTGCTTCTTCAAGTATCCCCATGGCCATTAGGGTAACATCCAGCCACTTCTCCAAGAGATTGTAATACAATTCTGTGCAATGTTTCACCAAAACGGCCTGTGTGGATGATTTTGCAGGGGGGAAAAAAAAATTTTTTTTTTGAGACAGGATCTCGCTCTGTTGCCCAGGCTGGAGTGCAGTGGCATGATCACAGGTCACCACAACCTGTCTCCTGGGCTCAAATGATCCTCCCACCTCAGCATCCACTGTAGCTGGGACTAGAAGGGGCAAATTGATGCTTAATACTCAAAATAAAAATTTTATCCTGGCCAGGCGCAGTGGTTCATGCCTGTAATCCTAGCACTTTGGGAGGCCGAGACAGGCGGATCACTTGAGGTCAGGAGTTCGAGACCAGCCTGGCCAACATGGTGAAACCCTGTCTCTATTAAAAATACAAACATTTGCCAGGCGTGGTGGTGCACGCCTGTAACCCCAGCTACTCGGGAAGCTGAGGCAGAACTGCTTGAACCCAGGAGGCGGAGGTTGCAGTGAACGAGATCGCGCCACTGCGCTCCAGCCTGGGTGACAAGAATAAAACTGTCTCAAAGAAAAAAAAAAAAAAAAAAGATTCTCATTGAGTGCAGAGAAGGTTGCATGCTCCTTATGAATACCTAACTCCTGATGATCTGAGATTGATGATCCATTCTCCTCAGGCTCCCAAAGTGCGAGGATCATGCACTCCATAGGATCAGGCACCAACGATTAGCTCCTGTGCCTGATCTGAGATCGAACAGTTTCATCCCAAAACTACCCCCAAACCCGTCTGTGGAAAAAACTGTCTTGTGCAAAACCGGCCCGCGGTGCAGAAAAGGCTGGGGGCCACTGCTCTCAATCCCAACAATTAGGCAAGGTGCAGTCAGGAATAGCATGTCCCTAAAGCTGGAACCCAGCACAGAATTCGGGGTGTTTCTTTGCATGGATAGCTGGTTATGCAACACAGAAGACAAGCTGGTGGGGGAAAGAGGAGAGGCCGACTCCCCCACACAGGCCTGTTTGAGGAATACATTCCCTGTCTGGGACGGCATCTGGAGTGGTTACCCTTTTTCCTAGATCCCCCAGCAACACGGTGCAGTGGACTCCAGGTGCTGGGGAGAGCCGTGACCGTGAGACCCACCTCAGGTACTGCAGGTTGCATTTATGATTTCTGAGCAGGTCACACAGCATCAGCATCATCGTGCGTTCCCACTCGATGTGCCCTGCCAGGGTCAGGTGCGTGAGGGTCTTCTTCCCAATGAAAGCAAGACAGAAGTCCCGGTACGCGGTGTCAGGGGTGACGTTTTTAATCCTAGGGAAAAGCAGAAGAGATTCCACTTGGAGTGATTAATACTCACATTGTGTGGAGGCATGTATAAACAAAAAGCTGTTTCACATTTAGAAATTATTAGAAGTTCTTGGCCGGGTGCAGTGGCTCGTGTCTGTAACCCCAGCACTTTGGGAGGCTGAGGCAGGAGGATAACCTGAGGTCAGGAGTCTGAGACCAACCTGGGCAACATGGTGAAACTCCATCTCTACAAAAAATAAATTAGCTGGGGCCGAGGCAGGCAGATCGCCTGAGGTCAGGAGTTCGAGACCAGCCTGGCCAACATGGGGAAGCCCCGTCTCTACTAAAAATACAAAAATTAGCTGCACATGGAGGGGCATGCTTGTAGTCCCAGGTATTCGGGAGGCTGAGGTAGGAGAATCACTTGAATCCAGGAGGCAGAGGTTGCAGTGAGCCGAGACCGCACCACTGCACTCCAGCCTGGGCAACAGAGCAAGACTCCATCTCAAAAGAAAAAAAAATTCGCCGGGTGTGGTGGCTCACGCCTGTAATCCCAGCACTTTGGGAGGCCGAGGCCGAGGCGGGTGGATCACGAGGTCAGGAGATCAAGACCATCCTGGCTAACACGGTGAAACCCCGTCTTTACTAAAATTACAAAAAACTAGCCGGGCGTGGTGGCGGGCGCCTGTAGTCCCAGCTACTCGGGAGGCTGAGGCAGGAGAATGGCATGAACCCGGGAGGCAGGGCTTGCAGTGAGCCGAGATTGCTGCACTGCACTCCAGCCTGGGGAACATAGCGAGACTGTCTCAAAAAAAAAAAAAAAAGTCAAGAAGCAGAGGATCAGGAAAAACAACTAAGGGGTACTAGGCTTAATACTTGGGTGACAAAATAATCTGTACAACAAACTCCTATGACACACGGTTACCTGTGTAACTAACCTGTACTTGTACCTACTTTTTGGTTTGTTTTGGTAACAAAACAAACCAAAAAAAAGATAGCTGGGGCCAGGCATGGTGGCTCATGCCTGTAATCCCAGCACTTTCGAAGACCGAGGCAGGCGCATCACCTTAGGTCAGGAGTTCGAGACAAGCCTGGCCAAGATGGAGAAAATTCCACCTCTACTAAAAACACAAGATTAAGTCATTGCACTCCAGCGCCTAGGTGACAGAGTGAAACTCTGTCTCAGAAAAAATAAAAAATAAAAAAGGGGCCAGGTGCAGCGGCTCATGCCTATAATCCCAGCACTTTGGAAGGCCGAGGCAGGCAAATCACCTGAGGTCAGGAGCTCGAGATCAGCCTGGGCAACACGGTGAAAACCTGTCTGTGCTAAAAGTACAAAATTAGCCGGGCAAGGTGGCACATGCCTGTAATCCCAGCTACTCGGGAGGCTGAGGCAGGAGAATTGCTTGAACCTGGGAGGTGGAGGATGCAGTGAGCTGAGATCGCGCCATTGCACTCCAGCCTGGGCAACAAGAGTAAATCTCCGTCTCACCAAAAAAAAAAAAAAAAAAAAAGACAGCTGGAAAATCCCCAAATACATGGAGATGAAACAGCACATTTCCAAATTTAAAAAACAAAAGTACAAGAAGCTTAGTCATCGTTCAGGGTCTTCCTTGCAAGATGAGCTTCTACTTACTCCACTTTCTGCAGATGACAGGTGCTACGGGTTACGTGGTCACAAAGAATCCGCACAGAAGAGTCACTCAGGAAGCTTTGTTTCACTTCCAGAAACTTGAGGTTGCTGTTTGAGCTGAAGAGAGAGCAGAAATCTGTCCAGAGGCGAAGAGAGCGAAGATCCTGCCGAGCCCAGTTCGGAATGGTTAGGTAAGTGCACCTGCAGGAGAACACACGTTCATCTCTTAGGACTAGTACCTGCATGGTGAGATGGGCATCTGCAAACCACATTTCAATGGCAAAAACCACAATTACTTTTGCACCAACCTAAAACAGTGTCTATAGTAAACAATATTGCATCACATGCTTTGCTACCAGTATAGATCTTAAGTTTTACAAAAAAAATAAAATAATAGATAAGGCTGAGTGAGGTGGCTCATGCCTGTAATCCCAACACTTTGCTAGGCCAAAGTGGGAAGATCACTTGAGCCCAGGAGTTTAAGACCAACTTGGGCTAGAAACTGAGACCCCCATCTCTACAAAAAAATAAAATAATTAACCGGGCAAGGTGGTGCACGCCCATAGTCCCAGCTACTCGGGAGGCTGAGGCAGGAGAATCACTTGAACCCGGGAGGCGGAGGTTGCAGTGAGCCAAGATCGCGCCACTGCACTCCAGCCTGGGGGACAGAGCGAGACTCCGTCTCAAAAATAAAAAGCCCCAATTCCTAATTGCCAAGTCGTGTCTCCACGTTGAACATGAAGCTGGAAAGAAGTCCAGCCAGAGGGAAATTCTGACAGTAAGCGACAGGGCAAAGGAGACGCTGGCCTCTTCCTAGTGGAGCGTGGGATGGGAAAACAGTTCTTACCTTTCAAATTCAATGTCCAGTTCAAAATCCATGTAATTCTCCAGGAACACCCCCTTTGCTACCTGCAGTGAGAGTTTCTGCAAGTCTTGACAATGCTTCAGGCTGAAGGAACAATGCATCACTTCAGAAGTATTTGTCAGGTGAATAGAAATTTCCTTGAACGGGGCCACCACCACCTTCGCCAGCTCCTCCTCCTGAGACTCATACAGGCAGCCCAAGACCTCCTTCAGGTCGGTCACGGATAAGGGCTTATTTGCATGAAGATGTGCTTTGCATTGCAGCAATTCCTGTTTGATGTCCGGTGACATCCGGCAGCCAAAAGTGGCCTCCAACTCCTTGGCTCTCTTCTCGTTAGCGAGGCCGAATAAGAAGTGTCCTACTTGAATCAGGTCGGGGTTCTTGAGTCTTTCTTCTCCGGAAAGCAGCTTCTGTACGTCCCCGATGTCCCAGGCGTGGCCGTCCCTGTCCTCCCCCTCCTCCTTCTCCAGGGCGTAGAACAGGGCAGTGAGAAACTGCTGGAAGCTGAGGTGGATGAAGGAGTAGCAGCCTTTGGAGACTCTGTCCTGGCGGAGGATGTCTCCGTCCAGGAACAGACGGAGGTCGGACTCCTGCACCCCGAGCCTTTCCAGGTCCTCTCGGTGGAACACGGACATCTGCGCCCACAGGCCCTGCGCGGCCAGGAGGCTCAGCGTCCGCAGCGCGCCCCGCAGCTGTGCGCCCTGCGGGAACCGGCTGCAGAGGAAACGCAGGAACAGCCCCGTGCGGGTGAGGCAGGTGGGGACCGGGTCCTCCCCCTTCTCCATCTGCAGCTTCAGAGTCGTGCACACAATCCAGCACACCGCGGGGGCCGAGCCCAGCTGGAACAGGGCCGCGTTGCTCCTCATTAGCTCAAAGGCACGCATGGCTTGGTCCTCGTCTCCAAAGTGTCTCAGGAAATAGGCCCTCCTGTCCTCCTCCAGGAAGCCCTCCACCCTTACGTAGATCGGCTGCTGCGCCAGGAGCTGGAGGTCCCTCAGTGCCCTGGGCCGCGTGGTGACCAGCAAGGCTGCCCTGGGTAACATCTTCCTCTTCAGCAAACTCCCCAGGAGGACGGGCACCGGCTTCTTCTTCTCCCAGTCCCCGCAGATGTCCTGGATCAGCGCCCCAGGTGGGACTTTCAGCTCATCAAGGCCATCGACCACGAACAGGATTCTCTGTGCTTGGGCTAGGATGCTTGGAATGTCATCCTGCAATTCAGGCCAGTCTTTGGAGATCAGCTCTGCAAAACTGCAGGGGCCCATGCGGCTGAGCTCCTTGCAGCTGAGGTAGAACGCGTATCTGAGCGTCGGGCTGAGGTTGCAGTCTGTCCAGTCCAGCATACACTTTTTGGCCAGCGTGGTTTTCCCCACGCCTGCGGGGCCGTGCAGCACCACCGTGTAAGGTGTTAGCTTCCTGGGTGTTCTGGGATTCAAGAATGGAATGAACCGTTGGTTTCTCAGAGTGACGTCGTCATGGAAATTGTCAATGTCTCCTTGCCAAAAGGTGTTCTTCCAGACCAAAGACTGTTTCTCCATTGAATTTCTCCATCCTTCCTTTTCACCTGCAGTGACAGCCCATAGGACAGTTGAGGTTGATGATGATGATTTTCTGAATTATTTTGTCAAGTACCAGAAATGAGGGCCAGGCACGGTGTCTCATGCTTGTAATCCCGGCACTTTGGGAGGCCAAGGTGGGTGGATCACTTGAGGTCAGGAGTTCAAGACCAGCCTGGCCAAGATAGTGAAACCCCATCTCTACTAAAAATACAAAACATTAGCTGGGGGTAGTGGCGGCCGCCTGTAATCCCGGCTACTCAGGAGGCTGAGGCAGAGAATTGCTTGAACCCGGGAGGCAGAGGTTGCAATGAGCAGAGACGGAGCCACTACACTCCAGCCTGGGCTACAGAGCAAGATTCCGTCTCAAAAAAAAAAAAAACTACCAGAAATGAATAAAACCAGGAAGAAGTGATGCACCTTGCATGCTCTCAAACACCAAACTCATGACCATAGGACCGTATTTACCCACCTGGCTTTGCTAACTCCGAGTCTTCTTCTGCATCTCCCAGCTCAGGATTATCTATTTCTTGCACCTGTCCGTCCTCTGTAAAATACTTAGATGTAAGCCTGACACAGTAATTTACACTTCGTAAATCAGACATTATTGTACATAAAGTGTCAGCCAGGCATGGTGGCTCATGCCTGTAATCACAGCACTTTGGAAGGCTGAGGTGGGCGGATCACAAGGTCAGGAGATCAAGACCAGCCTGGCCAACATGGCAAAACCCCATCTCTACTAAAAATACAAAAAAAAAAAAATTAGCCAGGTGTGGTGAAACACGCCTGTAATCCCAGCTACTCCGGAGGCTGAGATAGGAGAATCACTTGAACCCAGAGGCGGAGGTTGCAGTGAGCCCAGATCTCGCCACTGCACTCCAGCCTTACACTCCAGCCTGGGCGACAGAACGAGACTCCATCTCAAAAAAAAAAAAAAAAAAAAAAAAATGACCAGGACACCCCAGGTTCTACTTACCCATCATCTCAGCCTTTGCCATCTTACACAATTCCGTGAGATTCATCTCTTCCAAGATGTTCACAGTCGCATTCCTTATCCAATTTTCTGAGGAGGTGTTGACCAGAATTTCTGCCAGTTTCTTGCCATCAGCCTCTTCCACCTCAGACCATGGGGTCTTCTGTAGCACGTCTTCGAGGGGAAAAGCCCATAAAAGGGATTTGAAACTCTTTAATTCATCCTCGTTCAGCTGCTCCAGAAGGGTCTGCAGAGTCCACTCTAGCTGGGGCGATGTCATAGTGCTCCGAGTATGAGACCTTAGGTTAAGGCTGAAGAACTGGGGGGAAAAAAGGAAAAACAGTTCACGAGTTACCATCATTAAATGAAACCACAGTTTCCTGTGTGCCAAGAACAAGACTGTTCCTGCTGTACAGTGAGTGGTAAAATATTCCAAAGACTGAATTAAGAGACTGAAAATCTGGCCCAGCACGGTGGCTCACGCCTGCGGCCAGGAGTTCGAGACCAGCCTGGCTAACTTGGTAAAAAGAACGAACAAAAGGCTGGGCACGGTGGCTCACGCCTGTAATCCCAGCACTTTGGGAGGCCGAGGCGGATGGATCACGATATCAGGAGATCGAGACCATCCTGGCTAACACAGTGAAACCCCTGCCTCTACTAAAAAAATACAAAAAATTAGCAGGGCGTGGTGGCGGGCACCTGTAGTCCCAGCTACTCGGGAGGCTGAGGCAGGAGAATGGTGTGAACCCGGGAAGTGGAGCTTGCAGTGAGCAGAGATCTCACCATTGCACTCCAGCCTGGGCGACAGAGCGAGACTCCGTCTCAAAAAAAAAAAAAAAAAAAAAAAAAAGAATACAAAGAATGAAGGGTCAGTGGTATGCTAGGGCCAGCCCGTGCTGCCTAATGGGGGCTTCCTATATGTACCTATACCAACGTCCATGGGCTGTGATTTCACACTGATAGTACAAAATCACAAGGGGAGTGTTTATGCCACAGAAATCAGCAAACACGGCAGGGCGCGGTGGCTCACGCCTGTAATCCCAGCACTTTGGGAGGCCAAGGCGGGTGGATAACCTGAGGTCGGGAGCTCAAGACCAGCCTGACCAACACGGCGAAACCCCATCTCTACTAAAAATACAGAAATTACAGGCGGGTGCCTGTAATCCCAGCTACTCAGGAGGCCGAGACAGGAGAATCACACTTGAACCTGGGAGGTGGAGGTTGCATGATCTGAGATCACGCCATTGCACTCGAGCCTCGGCAACAAGAACAAGACTCTGTCTCAAACAAACAAAAAAACAAATCAGCAAACACTACAAACCAAGACTTCCTCGCCACCAACCCTCAGAGCCACTTGTTTAACATTTCAGCCCACCACTGAATGACACATTGAAAACAAATAGCAAGAGGACAGATATAAATATAACTGTACTGGCCGGGTATGGTGGCTCAGGCCTGGAATCCCAGCACTTTGGGAGGCTGAGGCAGGTGGATCGCCTGATGTCAGGAGTTTGAGACCCGCCTGGCCCACATGGTGAAACCCCATCTCTACTAAAAATACAAAAGCTAGCCAAGTGTAGTGGTAGGAACCTGTAATCCCAGGTACGTGGGAGGCTGAGGCAGGAGAATCGCTTGAACCCAGGAGGCGGAGGTTGCAGTGAGCTGAGATAGCGCCATTGTACTCCAGCCTGGGCAACAAGAGCGAAACTCTATCTCAAAAAAAAAAAACTTAGCCAGGCCTGGTGGAACATACCCGTAGTCCCAGATACTTGGGAGGCTGACACAGGAGGATTGTTTGAGCCTACGATTTGGAGGTTGCAGTGAGCCAGCCACTGCACGCCAGCCTGGGTGACAGAGTGAGGCCCTGTCTCAAAAGTAAGTAACTAATGGCCGGGTGCGGTGGCTCACGCCTGTAATCCCAGCACTTTGGGAGGCCGAGGCAGGCGGATCACGAGGTCAGGAGATCGAGACCATCCTGGCTAACACGGTGAAACCCCGTCTCTACTAAAAATACAAACAATTAGCCGGGCGTGGTGGCGGGCGCCTGTAGTCCCAGCTACTCGGGAGGCTGAGGCAGGAGAATGGCGGGAACCCGGGAGGCGGAGCTTGCAGTGAGCGGAGATCGCGCCACCGCACTCCAGCCTGGGCGACAGAGCGAGACTCCGTCTGGGTTGGGGGGGCGGGGGGAAGAGGCAGCCTGGAAAATAAATAACAGAAAAAGTGACTTGCCAAGCCCGGGTGCTGATAGAGGTGGACAGCTTTACCCTTGGAGGGAACAGCAAATCTTTTTCCCCAGCTGTGACGTGTGGGGAAAAGGAGGACAGATCAGACTGTTACTGTGTCTATGTAGAAAGAAATAGACATAAGAGACTCCATTTTGTTCTGTACTAAGAAAAATTCTTCTGCCTTGAGATGCTGTTAACCTGTAACCCTAGCCCCAACCCTGTGCTCCCAGAAACATGTGCTGTGTCACACGTGGGTTTAGGGCTATGCAGGATGTGCTTTGTTAAACAGATGCTTGAAGGCAGCATGCTTGTTAAAAGTCATCACCACTCTCTAATCTCAAGCACCCAGGGACACAATACACTGCGGAAGGCTGCAGGGACCTCTGCCTAGAAAAGCCAGGTATTGTCCAAAGTTTCTCCCCATGTGATAGCCTGAGATAAGGCCTCGTGGGAAGGGAAAGACCAGACCGTACCCCAGCCCGACACCCGTAAAGGGTCTGTGCTGAAGAGGATTAGTATAAGAGGAAGGCCTTTTTGCAGTTAAGAGGAAGGTATCTGTCTCCTGCTCGTCCCTGGGCAATGGAATGTCTCGGTGTAAAACCCGATGGTATGTTCCATCCACCGAGATAGGGGAAAACCGCCTTAGGGCTGGAGGTGACACATGCTGGCAGCAATACTGCTCTTTAATGCACCAGATATGTTTATGTATGAGCACATCAAGGCACAGCACATTTCCTAACCTTGTTTATGACACAGACATTTGCTCACATGTTTTCCTGCTGACCCTCTCCCCACTGTTACCCTATTGTCCTGCCACATCCCCGTCTCCGAGATGGTAGAGATAATGACCAATAAATACTGAAGGAACTCAGAGACCCGGCCGGCGCGGGTCTCCTGAGCCCACTTTTCTTTCTGTGTACTTTGTCTCTGTGTCTCTTTCTTTTCTCAGTCTCTCGTCCCACCTGACAAGAAACACCCACAGGTGTGGAGGGGCAGGCCACCCCTTCAGTGAGGTATAATTACATATATCCTATTTTAGGATGGAGCAGGAAGAGCATGAGAGCCCAGGAGTTCCAGACCAGCCTGGGCGACACAAGGAGACCTTGTCTCTATTTTTTAAGTATTTTTAAAGTAATATATACAACGTTTACTTGTCAAAGTGTACAGCATGGAGCGATGTTATATATACAGTGAAATGATTACCACAATCCAGCTAATTAACATATCCACTGCTTCATATAGTTGCCTTTCGTTTTTGCAGTGACAACGCTTGATGTACTTAGAAAAATTCAGGGTTTTTTGGCCAGGCACGGTGGCTCACGCCTGTAATCCCAGCACTATGGGAGGCCGAGGCGGGCAGATCACAAGGTGAGGAGCTCAAGACCATCCTGGCTAACACGGTGAAACCCCGTCTCTACTAAAAATACAAAAAAAAAATTAGCCGGGCATGGTGGCGGGCGCCTGTAGTCCCAGCTACTTGGGAGGCTGAGGCAGGAGAATGGCTTGAACCTGGGAGGCGGAGCTTGCAGTGAGCCAAGATCGCGCCACTGCACTCCAGCCTGGGCGAGTGAGACTCCCTCTCAAAAAAAAAAAAAAAAAGAAAAGAAAAGAAAAATTCAGGGTTTTTTTTTTCTTTTTCAGAAAGTCTTGCTCTGTCGCCCAGGCTGGAGTGCAATGGTGCGAGGCTTACCACAACCTCCTCTTCCCGGGTTCAAGCGATTCTCCTGCCTCGGCCTCCCAAGTAGCTGGGATTACAGGTATGCCCCACCACACCTAATTTTTTTTGTATTTTTAGTACAAACGGGGTTTCACCATGTTGGCCAGGCTGGTCTTGAACTCCTGACCTCAGGTGATCTGCCCACCTCAGCCTCCCAAAGTGCTGGGATTACAGGTATGAGCCACCAGGCCTGGCCAAGTATTTTTTTTCCCAAGTACATTTTTTTCTTTTTTTCTTTTTTTTGAGATGGAGTCTCCCTCTGTTGCCCAGGCTGGAGTGCAGTGGCACAATCTCGACTCACTGCAACCTCCACCTCCCAGGTTCAAGTGATTCTAGTGCCTCAGCCTCTCAAGAAGCTGGGATTACAGGCGCACCGCATCACGCCGGGCTAGTTTTTGTATTTTTAGTAGAGACAGGGTTTCTTGTTTTTTTCTGAGATGGAGTCTTGCTCTGTCACCCAGGCTGGAGTGCAGTGGCGCGATCTGGGCTCACTGCAAGCTCCGCCTCCCAGGTTCACGCCATTCTCCTGCCTCAGCCTCCCAAGTAGCTGGGACTACAGGCGCCCGCCACTATGCCCAGCTAATTTTTTTTGTATTTTTAGTAGAGATGGGGTTTCACCGTGTTAGCCAGGATGGTCTCGATCTTCTGACCTCGTGATCCGCCCGCCTCGGCCTCCCATAGTGCTGGGATTACAGGCGTGAGCCACCGCGCCCGGCCGAGACAGGGTTTCTCTATGTTGGCCAGGCTGGCCTCGAACTCCTGACCTCAGCTGATCCACCCGCCTCGGCCTCCCAAAGTGCTGGGATCACAGGCGTGAGCCACCGCATCTGGCCATTTACATTTTTTTTTTTTTTTGATGCAGCATTTCACTCTGGTTGCCCAGGCTGGAGTGCAGTGGCGCAATCTCAGCTCACCGCAACCTCCGCCTCCCGGGTTCAAGTGATTCTCCTGCCTCAGCCTCCCGAGTAGCTGGGATTACAGGCATGTGCCACCACGCCCAGCTAATTTTGTATTTTTAGTAGAGATGGGGTTTCTCCATGTTGGTCAGGCTGGTCTCAAACTCCCGGCCTCAGGTGATCTGAAAGTGCTGGGATTACAGGCGTGAGCCACCGCGCCCAGCCTACTTTTTTTTTTTTTTAAACAGGGTCTTCATCTCATCCAGGCTGGAGTGCAGTGGCTCAATCACACCTCATTGCAGCCCCCACCTCCTGGCTCAGGTGATCCTCCCACCTCACCCCACAAGTAGCTTGGACACAGCACAAGGTCTGGCCTTCTTTGTTTTTTGAGACGGAGTCGCACTCTGTCTCCCAGGCTGGAGTGCAGTGGCGCGATCTCAGCTCATTGCAACCTCCCCCTCCTAGGTTTAAGCTATTCTCCTGCCTCAACCTTCCAAGTAACTGGGATTACAGGCATGCACCACCACACCTGGCTAATTTTTGTGTTTTTAGTAGAGACAGGGTTTCACCATTTTGGGCAGGCTGGTCTCAAACTTCTGGCCTCAAGTGATCCACCCGCCTCGGCCTCCCAAAGTGTTGGGATAACAGGCATGAACCACTGTGCCTGGCCTTATATTTTTTTGTAATGACAGAGTTTTACCATGTTGCCCAGGCTAGTCTCAATCTCCTGAACTCCTCTAAACTATATTTGAATAGAAGTCCTTAAGACATTAGGCCAGGCGTGGTGGCTCACACCTGGAATCCCAGCACTTTGGGAGGCCGAGGCAGACAGATTACCTAAAGTCAGGAGTTCAAGACCAGCCTGGCCAACATGGTGAGACCCCGTCTCTACTAAAAATACAAAAATTAGCTGGGCATGGTGGCACGTGCCTGTAGTCCCAGCTACTCAGGAGGCTGAGGCAGGAGAATGGCGGGTGAACCCAGGAGGCGGAGTTTGCAGCGAACCAAGATCACGCCACTGCACTCCAGCCTGGGCGACAGAGGGAGACTCCGTCTCAAAAAAAAAAAAATCAAAGATCCTTCCAGCATCCTCGCACCAACCATTAAGGCTTGGGAAGGGCTATGGTGGAAACTCAACCAATAGCTTCTTCTCCCTTAAACGAGAAGACAAAGAAATCGATGCAAGAACCAGCACTCACCTCCCTCAGGTCAGGTCTTGCTTCCAGCCTGTGTTTCCTGCAAAGGAAACGGATAAAAAGGGGAGGTCTCTGGCCCTTGGTACGCTAGGTGGAGAGACAGCTTTCCCGCCCAGGGTGGAACCGCCCCACTGAGATTAACATTGGGTGGCTCCCAACCACTGACCTCAGGCTCACCTTGACATCACCTGGGCCCCATCCTCAGGGATTTGGCTGTAATTGGGCTTCAGTGGGCTTTGGAGAATTACGGCTTGCTGAATCTCCCCAGGTGAGATTAATGTGCAATTCCCTTCCTAGACCACCCGGGCCAGGTGTGATAGGCGACAGAACAGGAAATACACATTTTGGGTTTTGCAGGGTACCTGGCTCCCAGCTTTAAAAACTCTTGTAGAGAAAAAAAATTAAACAAAAATAAATAAAAATTAAAAAAAAAGAGGACAAAAACTCCCGTGACTTCCTAAGTTACAAATACAATAAGTCTACTTTGTGGCCAACTGTGGTGCCTCCTGCCTATAAATCCCAGCAGGCTGAGAGGCCTAGGCCAGTGGATCCCTAGGGGCCAGGAGTTTGATACCAGCCTAGGCAACATAGCAAGATGCCATCTCTTCAAAAATATTTAATAATTAGCCATGCATAGGCTGGGCGTGGTAGCTCATGCCTGTAGTCCCAGCAATTTGGGAAGCCGAGGCGGGTGGATCACCTGAGGTCAGGAGTTGGAGACCAGACTGGCCAACGTGGTGAAACTCTGTCTCTACTAAACATACAAAAAATTAGCCAGGTGTGGTGGCAGGTGCCTGTAATCCCAGCTACTCGGGAGGCTGAGACAGGACAATCACTTGAACTAGGGAGGTGGAGGGTGAGTGAGGCACGATCACGCCATTGCACTCCAGCCTGGGTGACAAGAGCAAGACTGTCTCAAAAACAAAAACAAAAAAATTAGCCATACATGATGGGCTGCACCTGTAATCCCAGCTATTCAGGAGGCTGAGGTGGGAGGATCACCTGAGCTCAGGAGTTTGAGGCTGCAGTGAGCTGTGACTGGCCATCTCACTCCAGCCTAGGCCACAGAGTGAGACCCAGTCTCAAAAAAATAAATAGATAACTGATATTTAATTTTTTTTTTTGGATGGAGTCTTGCTCTGTGGCCCAGGCTGGAGTGCAGTGGTGCAATCTCCATTCTTGCAACCTCTGCCTTCCAGGTTCAAGCAATTCTGATGCCTCAGCTTCCCAAGTAGCTGGGACTGCAGGCACATGCCACCATGCCCAACTAATTTTTTGTATTTTTAGTAGAGACAGGGTTTCACCATATTGGTCAGGCTGGTCTCAAACTCCTGATGTCAGGTGATTACAGGCATGAGCCACCGCACCTGGCCTAAAATTGTTTTTAAATAAAACAGTGTATGTTGTGGAAAGCATTCAGCACAGAATTTTGGTAGTTTAAACTGTTAATTTAATGGAAGCAAATGGTCCCACAAATGAAGATGTATATATCAGTTGCAGCATGCCATCTATAGAAATAGGCACTATGGAGGCCTGGCATGGTGGCTCACACCTGTAATCCCTGCACTTTGGAAGGCTGAGGCAGGTGGATCATCTGAGGTCAGCAGTTCGAGACCAACCTGGGCAACATGGCAAAAAACCCCTGGCTACTAAAAATAAAGAATTAGCCAGGCATGGTGGTGTGCACCTGTAATCCCAGCTACTCAGGAGGCTGAGGCGTAAGAATTGATTGAACCTGGGAGTTGGAGGTTGCCGTGAGCCGAGATTGCACCACTGCGCTCCAGCCTGGGCGACAGAGACTCCATCTTTAAAAAAAAAAAAAAAAGATGGCCAGGCGCAGTGGTTCATGAATGTAATCCCAGCACTTTGGGAGGCTGAGGCGGGAGGACTGCCTGAGTCCAGGAGTTCAAGACCAGCCTGGGCAATATGGCGAGACTCCCTCTCTGAAGAAAAAGAAAATAAAAACAATAAAAATAAATTATATTCTAGCTGACAAAAAGAGAGAGAGAGTATATTTTGTTAAAACATTTGGCCTTTAGTCCTAGAGCAGCTATGGAGAGATAAACATGAAAGAGGTATCTCTTGTTATACATACCCAGGCCCTGCAACCACACCTGAGTTTATGTAAATGAGGTGACTTTTGGAAAGCCCCTAGATAACCCCACAAGTGCGAGGGACTGGCTGCCAAAGAAACCGTCAGTGATTAGACATTGGGAACTTTCAGCCCCAGGCTCCAAGTGGCCTCCAGGGAGGGGAGAGGGGCTGAAGGTTGAATTGATTATGAACTGCCAGCTATGTGATCAGCATTGCCCACCTAAGGAATCCTCCATAAACCCCAAAAGAAAAGGGTTTGGGCCGGGTGTCCTGTGGCTCATGCCCGTAATCCCAACGCTTTGGGAGGCCTAGATGGGAGGATTGCTTGAGCCCAAGAATTCTAGGCCAGTCTGGACAAAATAGCAAGACCCTGGCTCTACAAAAAATAAAAAATTAGCCAGGCGTGGTGGAGTGCACCTGTAGACCCAGCTACTCAGGAGGCTGAGGCATGAGAATCACTTGAACGCAGGAGACAGAGGCTGCAGTGAGCTGAGATAGCGCCACTGCACTCCAGCCTGGGTGACGGAGTTAGACTGTCTCAAAAAAAAAAAAAACCAGGAAAGAGTTCAGAAGAGCTTCCTGGTTGGTGAACCCGGGTGCATTCGTGTGCCAGGACTGTGGTGCACCCCAGGTCCACAGGGACAGAAGCTCCTGCACTTCGGACTCCTCTAAACCTCCCCCTACGCATCTCTTCCTTGGCTGTTCATTTGTATCCTTTAAAATATGAAAGGGCGGGTTGCCCCTCCACACCTGTGGGCATTTCTCGTTAGGTGGAAGGAGAGACTTGGAAAAGAAAGAGACACAGACAAAGTATAGAGAAAGAAATAAGGGGACCCAGGGGACCAGCATTCAGCATATGGAGGATCCCGCCAGCTTCTGAGTTCCCTTAGTATTTATTGATCATTTTGGGGTGTTTCTCAGAGAGGGGGATGTGGCAGGGTCATAGGATAATAGTGGAGGGAAGGTCAGCAGATAAACACGTTAACAAAGGTCTCTGCATCATAGACAAGGTAAAGAACTAAGTGCTGTGCTTTAGATATGCATACACATAAACATCTCAATGCCTTACGGAGCAGTATTGCTGCCCGCATGTCCCACCTCCAGCCCTAAGGCGGTTTTCCCCTATCTCAGTATATGGAATATACAATCGGGGTTTACACCCATACATTCCATTGCCCAGGGACGAGCAGGAGACAGATGCCTTCCTCTTGTCTCAACTGCAAAGAGGTGTTCCTTCCTCTTTTACTAATCCGCCTCAGCACAGACCCTTTACTGGTGTCGGGCTGAGGGACGGTCAGGTCTTTCCCTTCCCATGAGACCATATTTCAGGCTATCACATGGGGAGAAACCCTGGACAATACCTGGCTTTCCTAGGCAGAGGTCCCTGCGGCCTTCCGCAGTGTTTGTGTCCCTGGGTACTTGAGATTAGGGAGTGGTGATGACTCTTAAGGAGCATGCTGCCTTCAAGCATTTGTTTAACAAAGCACATCTTGCACAGCCCTTAATCCATTTAACCCTGAGTGGACACAGCACATGTTTCAGAGAGCACAGGGTTGGGGGTAAGGTCATAGATTAACAGCATCTCAAGGCAGAAGAATTTGTCTTAGTACAGAACAAAATGAAGTCTCCTGTGTCTACTTCTTTCTACACAGACACAGTTACAATCTGATCTCTCTTTCTTTTCCCCACAAAAATATCCTTTGTAGACCAGGCACAGTGGCTCAGGCCTGTAATCCCAGCACTTTGGGAGGCTGAGGCAGATGGATCACTTAAGGTCAGGAGTTTGAGACCAGCCCAGCCAGCATGGTGAAACTGCGTCTCTACAAAAATACAAAAATTAGCGGGGCATGGTAGTTCAACGCCTGTAATCCCAGCTACTCGAGAGGCTGAGGCAGAATTGTTTGAACCCGGGAGGCAGAGGCAGAGGTTGCAGTGAGCCGAGGTCGCACGACTGCACTCCAGCCTGGGTGCAACAGAGTGAGACTCCATCTCAAAAAACAAAAAACAAAAACAAAAACAAAACAAAAAATGAAAACCCACTTTTAGTAAAAAAAATAAAAATGAAAAAATGTGAATCAGGCTGCACTCTGGCCCACATCCTGGCTGCTGTGTATCACGTGGCTCTAGACACTGCACTTTTGCCTCCTCATCATTGCTGTAGATAGGATTTCTGACAGCAGGGTCATTAGACGAATTTTTTTTTTTTTTTGAGACGGAGTCTCGCTCTGTCGCCCAGGCTGGAGGGCAGTGGCGCAATCTCTGCTCACTGCAAGCTCCGCCTCCCGGGTTCACACAATTCTCCTGCCTCAGCCTCCCGAATAGCTGGGACTACAGGTGCCTGCAACCATGCCTGGCTAATTTTTTTTGTATTTTTAGTAGAGACGCGGTTTCACCATGTTAGCCAGGATGGTCTCGATCTCCTGACCTCGTGATCCTCCCGCCTAGGCCTCCCAAAGTGCTGGGATTACAGGCGTGAGCCACCGCGCCCGGCCCCATTAGACAAATTTGTATCTGCACGGTTCCTACAGATAAACTCTGGGACATTAGAATTATAAGGCTTTTGTTTAAGGATGGTTTCAGATGTTTTTCAGACCTTGAATTCCAGCCAAATAGCTGACACTAACCAGTTTGAAGACCCCAGTGAGGAATGGGATCAGCATGAGAACACTGCGTCTTCATGCCCCTGTCTCCGCCAGCAGTCAGCATGGCCACACTCTGGCCCACACCAAAACACTTAAAAACCCTAGCCCCGGCCGGGTGCAGAGGCTCACACCTGTAACTCCAGCACTTTGGGAGGCCAAGGCAGGTGAATCACCTGAGGTCAAGAGTTCAAGACCAGCCTGGCCAACATAGTGAAACCCCGTTTCTACTAAAAACACAAAAAATTAGTCGGGCGTGGTAGCGGGTGCCTGTAACCCCAGCTACTCAGGAGGCTGAGGCAAGAGAATTACTTGAACCTGGGAGGCGGAGGTTGCAGTGAGCAAAGATCCTGCCACTGCACTCCAGCCTGGGTGACAAAGCAAAACTCCATCTCAAAAAAAAAAAAAACCCTAGACCCAAACTTCTGGGGGAGATGGATTGGAGGTTTCCTCCCATCTCCTCATTCCTCAGCCCTGTGATTAAACTTCCTTCTCTTCTGCAACACAGTGACCCGGCAAATTGACTCACAGCGTGCATTGGGCAACGGACCTACTGTCAGAGGCGTGTAACCAGGGCAACTCCATCTTGAATAGGAGCTGACTAAAATAAGGCTGAGACCTACCGGGCTGCATTCCCAGACAGTTAAGGCATTCTCCAAAAAAAACAAAAATGACAGGCACGGTGGCCCAGCACTTTGGGAGGCCGAGGCGGGTGGATTACCCGAAGTAGAGTTTGAGACCAGCCTGGCCAACACGGTGAAACCCCGTCTCTACTGAAAATACAAAAATTAGTCAGGCGTGGTGGCTCGTGCCTGTAATCCCACCTACTTGCGAGGCTGAGGCAGGAGAATCGCTTGAGCCGGGGAGGCGGAGGTTGCAGTAAAAAGAAAAAAAAAAGCATTCTAAGTCACAGGATGAGATAAGTCAGCACAAGATACAGGTCATAAGGACCTTGCTGATAACACAGGTAGCAATGTAGCAGGACCAGCCACAGACAAAACTCCTCAGACACCGAGTTAAAGAAGAAAGGGGTTTATCCGGCCAGGGGCATCGGCAAGACTCCCGTCTCAAGAGCCGAGATCCCCAAGTGAGCAATTCCTGTCCCTTTTAAGGGCTCACAACTCTAAGGGGGTGTGCGTGAGAGGGTCGTGATCGACTGAGCAAGCAGGGGGTACGTGACTGGGGGCTGCATGCACTGGTAATCAGATCCAAACAAAACAGGATAGGGATTTTCACAGTGCTTTTCTATACAATGTCTGTAATCTATAGATAACCGATTAGGTCAGGGGTCAATCTTTAACTACCAGGCCCAGGGTGTGGCGCCGGGCTGTCTGCTTGTGGATTTCATTCCTGGGCCGCGGGGCTGTCTGCTTGTGGATTTCATTCCTGGGGCGCGGGGCTGTCTGCTTGTGGATTTCATTTCTGCCTTTTAGTTTTTACTTTTTCTTTCTTTGGAGGTGGAAATTGGGCATAAGACAATATGAGGGGTGGTCTCCTCCCTTAGCAATAAAGAATCCAGCCAGGCCGGGCGCGGTGGCTCACACCTGTAATCCCAGCACTTTCGGGGGCTGAGGCGGGTGGATCACACGGTCAGGAGATTGAGACCATCCTGGCTAACACGGTGAAACCATCTCTACTAAAAAAAAAAAATACAAAAAATTAGCTGGGCGTGGTGGCGGGCGCCTGTAGTCCCAGCTACTCGGGAGGCTGAGGCAGGAGAACGGCGTGAACCCGGGTGATGGAGCTTGCAGTGAGCGGAGATCGCGCCACTGCACTCCAGCCTGGGTGACAGAGCGAGACTCCGTCTCAAAAAAATAAAAAATAAATAAAAATAAATAAAGCATCCAGTCAAACTCCATCAAAACCAAGATAGTGACGAGAGTAACCTCTGGTTGTCCTCACCGCTCCACTCCCAGCAGCCCCATGACAGTTTACAAATGCCATGGCAATGTCAGGAAGTTACCCTATGCTGTCTAAAAAGGGGAGGCATGAATAATCCACCCCTTGTTTAGCATATCCATAGAAATAACCATAAAAATGGGCAACCGGCCGGGCGCGGTGGTCACGCCTGTAATCCCAGCACTTTGGGAGGCCGAGGCGGGTGGATCATGAGGTCAGGAGATTGAGACCATCCTGGCTAACACGGTGAAATCCCATCTCTACTAAAAAAAAATACAACTAATTAGCTGGGTGCGGTGGCGGGCGCCTGTAGTCCCAGCTACTCGGGAGGCTGAGGCAGGAGAATGGCCTGAACCCAGGAGGCGGAGCTTGCAGTGAGCCGAGATAGTGCCACTGCACTCTGGCCTGGTGAAAGAGCGAGACTCCGTCTCAAAAAAAAAAAAAAAAAAAAAAAAGGGCAACCGAGGCCGGACGTGGTGGCTTACGCCTGTAATCCCAACACTTTGGGAGGCCGAGGCGGGCATATCACCTGAGCTCAGGAGGTCAAGATCAGCCTGGCCAACATGGTGAAACCCCATCTCTTACTAAAAATACAAAAATTAGCCAGACGTGATGGCAGGCACCTGTAATCCCAGCTACTCAGGAGGCTGAGGCAGGAGAATCACTTGAACTGAAGTGATTCAAGGCAGAGGTTTCAGTGAGCCAAGATCACGCCACTGCACTCCAGCCTGGGCGACAAGAGCAAAACTCCATCTCAAAAAAAATAAGGGCAACTAGCAGCCCTATGGGCTGCTGTCTATGGAGTAGCTATTCTTTTACTCCTTCACTTTCCTAATAAGCTTGCTTCCACTTTACTCCATAGTCTCGCCCTGAATTCTTTCTGGTATGAGATTCAAGAACCCACCATGCCCAGCTCGTCCTTACTTGCTTTTAAAAAATATCATTGGTGGCCGGGCGCGGTGGCTCACGCCTGCAATCCCAGCACTTTGGGAGGCCAAGGCTGGCGGATCACCTGAGGTCCGAAGTTTGAGACCAGCCTGACCAACATGGAGAAACCCCGTCTCTACTAAAATACAAAAAAATTAGCTGGGTGTGGTGGTGCGTGCCTGTAATCCCAGCTACTCAGGAGGCTGAGGCAGGAGAATCACTTGAACCCGGGTGGCAGAGGTTGCAGTGAGCCAAGATCATGCCATTGCACTCCAGCCTGGGCAACAAGAGTGAAACTCCGTCTCAAAAATAAATAAATAAAATCATTGGAATAATTTTCTTCTTTAGGAAGAGCAGCCTTGGGCCAGGCATGGTGGCACATGCCTGGAATCCCCGAACTTTGGGCAGCCCAGGTAGGTGGATTGCTTGAGTTCAAGAGTTCCAGACCAGCCTGGACAACATGATGAAACCTCTTCTTGATCAAATATACAGAATTTCGACTGAGCACAGTGGCTGTAAGCCCAGCATGTTGGGAAGCTGAGGTGGGTGAATCATTTGAGGTCAGACCAGCCTGACTAACATGGCGAAACCCCATCTCTACAAAAAATACAAAAGTTAGCCAGGAGGTCGTGGGCGCCTGTGGTCCCAGCTACTCGGGAGGCTGAGGCAGGAGAATGACGTGAATCCCGGAGTCGTAGGTTGCAGTGAGCCAAGATCGTGCCACTGCACTTCAGCCTGGGCGACACAGCAAGACTGAGGTTGCAGTGAGCTGTGATCCTCAACCTCCTGGGTTCAAGGGATTGTCGAGCCTCAGCCTCCCAAGTAGCTGGGATTATAGACATTCGCTCCCATGCCTGGCTAATTTTTGTATTGCAAAAATGCACTCCAGCCTAGATGACAGGACTGCACTCCAGCCTGGATGACAGAGCAAGACTGTGTCTCAAAAATAAATAAATAAATAAATAAATAGCCAACTGTGATCGTGCATGCCTGTAGTCCCAGCTACTCAGGAGGCCAAGGCAGGAGGATCACTTGAGACTGGGAGGTCATGGCTACAGTGAGCCATGATCTCGCAACTGCACTCCAGCCTGGGCAACAGAGGGAGAGAAAGGAAGGAAGGAGGGAAGGAGGGAAGGAGGGAAGGGAAGGAGGGAAAGGAAGTCAGTCTTGTGGGACAAGGAAGGAAGGAAGGAAGTCAGTCAGTCTTGTGGGACTCAGCCCTGAACCTTTGGGATCTGATGCTGTCCCCAGGTAGGGAGTGTCAGAACTAAATCAAAGGAGAGGACACCCAGCTGGTCTCTGCTGGAGAACTGGTTGTTGGTGGGGAGAAACATACATTTTTGGTGAAGTATTCTGTGTTGAGTGTGAAAGTAGGAAAAACAGGACTGGGTATGGTGGTTCATGCCTGTCATTCCAGGATTTTGGGAGGCCAAGGCAGGCGGATCACTTGAGGTCAGGACTTTGAGACCACCCTGGTGAACATGGCAAAACCCCATCTCTACTAAAAAAAAATACAAAAATTAGCTGGGCGCGGTGGCAGGTGCCTGTAATACCAGCTACTCGGGAGGCTGAGGCAGGAGAATCACTTGAACCCGGGAGGCGGAGGTTGCAGTGAGCTGAGATTGTGCCTTTGCACTCCAGCCTGGGAGACAGAGCAAGACTCTCCCTCAAAAAAAAAAAAAGGCCGGGCGCAGTGGCTCACGCCTATAATATCAGCACTTTGGGAGGCCGAGGCAGGTGGATCACTGACACCCAACACCACGCCTTCTAATTTTTTGCATTTTTAGTAGAAACGGGGTTTCACCATGTTGGCCAGGCTTGTCTCGAACTCCTGTCCTCTGGTGATCCACCTGCCTTGGCCTCCCAAAGTGCTGGAATTACAGGCGTGAACCCAGCAACTTTTCCCCCTTTTATCATACCTTAATTTGCCTCCACCACCCCCAGAAGCTCCAAGTCTCTACGCCTTTTCATTTATGTATGTATGTATTTATTTATTTATTTATTTATTTTATTTTGAGACAGGGTCTCCCTCTATCTCCCAGGCTGCAGTGCAGTGGCGTGATCTTGGCCCACTGCAACCTCCACCTCCCGGGTTCAAGTAATCCTCCTGTCTCAGCCTCCCAAGTAGCTGGGATTACAGGGCACACCACCACACCTGGCTAATTTTTGTATTTTTAGTGGAGACTGGGTTTCACCCTGTTGTCCAGGCTAGTCTCAAACTCCCGACGTCAGGTGATCCACCCATTTCGGTTCCCAAAGTGTTGAGATTACAGACCGTGAGCCACTGGGACGGACACCCCTACTCCTTTCTTCTTCTTCTTCTTTTTTTTTTTTTTTTTGAGATGGAGTCTCCCTTTGAAGCCCAGGCTGGAGTACAATGGTGCGATCTTAGCTCACTGCAGTTTCCTCCTCCCGGGTTCAAGTGATTCTCCTGCCTCAGCCTCCGGAGTAGCTGGGATTACAGGCACACACCACCACACCAGCTAATTTTTGTATTTTTAGCAGAGATGGGGTTTCACCATGTTGGCCAGGCTGGTCTCAAACTCCTGACCTCAGGTGATCCACCCACCTTGGCCTCCCAAACTGCTGGGATCACAGGCGTGAGCCACTGCACCCTACACTCTTATACTCCTTTCTGTAGCTCAGGCAGCTAGATGAGCTTCAATCATCTGGCCCTTCCTCCAGTCTCACATTTTTGTGGGACTCCTGTGCATACATAATTGAATCTGGTTTTTCTTCTGTCAAACTGTTTTGTGTCAATGTAATTCATAGCCCATCCAAAGAACCTAGGAGGGTGGAGGGAATCCATTTTCTCTCCTCCACACTGGAGGGCCATGGAGCCCAAGAGTTCAAGACTGGCCCGGTGTACAAAGTGAGACCCAGTCTCTATTTAAAAAAGATGGGGAGGGGGCCGGGCACGGTGTCTCACGCCTGTAATTCCAGCACTTTGGGAGGCCCAGGTGGGTGGATCACCTGAGGTCAGGAGTCCGAGACTAGCCTGGCCAAGGTGGTGAGACCGTGTCTTTACTAAAAATACAAAATTAGCTTGGTATGGTGGCAGGAGCCTGTAATCCCAGCTACTTGGAAGGCTAGGGCAGGAGAATCGCTTGGTTTGGGATTTTCTCCCTGAGGCACTTGCTATCTCCAGGATTATGGGTCTCAGGTGAAAGAAAGACAAAGAAGGAGAGAGAGACAGAGAGGGACAGGGAAAGAGAATTTCAGACTTATCTAACATTGACACTTAGGAGAAGTAGGGAGAAAGAGGTGGGAAAATAAAGTGGCTAGGTAAAAATGAACATGTCAGTAACAATAATAGCATTAACAATAACTAGTATTGCCGGGTGCAGTGGCTCACGCCTCTAATCCCAGCACTTTGGGACGCCGAGGTGGGCGAATCACAAGGTCAGGAGTTCAAGACCAGCCTGGCCAACATGGTGAAACCCTGTCTCTACTAAAAATACAAAAAGTTAGCTAGCTGGGCATAGTGGTGCATGCCTGTAATCCCAGCTACTCTGGAGGCTGAGGCAGGAGAATCGCTTGAACCCGGGAGGCAAAGGTTGCAGTGAGTCAAGATCAGGCCACTGCACTCCAGCCCAAGGGACAGAGTGAGACTCTGTCTCAAATAATAATAATAATAATAACTAGTGGCCAGGCACAGTGGCTCACGCCTGTAATCCCAGTGTAGCAGGACGAGCCACAGACAAAAACCTCTCAGACACCGAGTTGTAGAAGGAAGGGCTTTATTCAGCTGGGAGCATCGGCAAGCTACTGTCTTAAAATCCAAGCTCCTCGAGTGCACAGTTTCTGTCCCTTTTAAGGGCTCACAACACTAAAGACTGCGCATGAAAGGGTCATGATTGAGCAATCTAGGGGATACATAACAGGGGTTTCGTGCACTGCTGGTCAGAGAGAAAGAATAGGGCAGGGAGTTTCACAGTGTTCTTCTATACAATGCCTGGAATCTATGGATAACATCGGGTTCTAAGTCATGAGTTGATTTTTATCTACTAGGTTTACGCCAGGCAGGCCCAGGCCTGGTTTCGGGTCTGGTTTTGGGTCTGGTGCCTGGCGCCGGGCTACCTGCCTTTGGTTTCACTTCCTTGTTTTTTTCTTTTTCTTTTTTTTTTTTTTTGAGACAGAGTCTTGCTCTGTCGCTAAGGCTGGAGTGCAGTGGCACAATCTCGGCTCACTGCAAGCTCCGCCTCCTGGATTCAAGCAATTCTGCTGCCTCATCCTTCCGAGTAGCTGGGATTACAGGCGCACGCCACCATGCCCGGCTAATTTTTGTATTTTTAATAGAGACGGGGTTTCACCATGTTGGCCAGGCTGGTCTCAAACTCCTGACCTTGTGATCCACCCGCCTTGGCCTCCCAAAGTGCTGGGATTACAGGCGTGAGCCACCGTGCCCGGCCTCCTTGTTTTTTTTCTAAAACAAGTACTGAGTATAAAACAATATAAAACAATATGAGACGGTTTCTCTCTTCCCTCACCAGCACTTTGGGAGGCTGAGGCAGGTGGATCACAAGGTCAGAGTGGATAGCACTTTAGGAGGTTGAGGTGGGAGGATCCCTTGAGCCCAGGAGCTCAAGTCCAGCCTGGGCAACATAGCAAGACCCCCATTTCCAATTTTAGTGTATGTGCTGCCAAAGCAAATACTCTGAGACCCTGTTTCTACAAAAAATAAAAAAATTAAAATTAGTGCTTGGAAAAAAAAATTAGTGCTTGACCAGGAGGCAAGCACACCTCCTCATCCTCTCATGGATGTCTGTCTGTAGAAAGTAAATGGAGACAGCTTCATTTTACCCAACTGCTCCGTTTTAGGTCCGCTCCTGAGCTTCTGTTGTTCCCAGCCATGCAACCCTGGGAGCCGACTCCCGGCTGCAGAGCCTTGTCAGAAGCAGGCAATGTACACAGAGACCCAAGGCCTGGTGTAGACAGGCTTTCACAGACCTGGGCATTTTGTTGAATTGTTTTTGAATTGTGGTTTCTTATCAGTTCATCCGATACTCTGTTCTAACCACGTAGTTCCTCTTTTGGATCTCCAAACCCCTTTGCAGGTTCCATCTACCCGAACCAAACTCACTTATTCCAACAGAAGTCTGGTGTTTCTTGTTTTTTTTGTTTGTTTGTTTCTTTCGTTTTGTTTTTTGAGATGTTGTCTCCCTCTATCACCCAGGCTGGAGTGCAGTGGCGAGATCTCAGCTCACTGCAACCTCTGCTTCCCGGGTTCAAGCAATTCTCCTCCCTCAGCCTCCTGGGTAGCTGGGATTACAGGTGCCTGCCGCCACACCCAGCTAACTTTTGTATTTTTAGTAGAGACGGGATTTCACCATGTTGGCCAGGCTAGTCTCGAGCTCCTGACCTCAAGTGATCCACCCATCTCAGCCTCCCAAAGTGCTGGGATTACAGCCTTAAGCCACCGCGCTCAACCAGAAGTCTGTTTAAATCCATCCTTCTCCCCAGCCACCCATGAGTTATGTGACCTTGGGGTTGCTACTTAACATTTCAGTCTCAATTTCCTCAATAGAACAAAAGTTAGAAGAATTGTAACAAAAGATAGTTTTATTTTTATTTTTATTTTTATTTTTTGAGATGGAGTCTTGCTCTGTCACCTAGGCTGGAGTGCAGTGGTGTGATGGTGGCTCACTGCAAGCTCCGCCTCCCGGATTCACGCCATTCTCCTGCCTCAGCCTCCCAAGTAGCTGGGACTACAGGCACCCGCCACCGTGCCCAGCTAATTTTTTTAATTTTTAGTAGAGACGGGGTTTCACCGTGTTAGCCAGGATGGTCTCGATCTCCTGACCTCGTGATCCGCTTGCCTCGGCCTCCCAAAGTGCTGGGATTACAGGCGTGAGCCACCATGCCCAGCACAAAAGATAATTTCTTAATCCCATGCATTTGAGTCTTAAAAAAATATTCTATATAATTCCAAGGTCAAAGAAGAAATAACAAAGGGCATTTTTAAAAATGCTAGAACTGAGTGGTGGTGAAATTGCTGTTGAAATGTGTTTGTTGCACTGATGGAAATTTATAAATGTAAATATTTATATTAAAATATAAAATAATGGGCCAGGCATAGTGGCTCACACCTGTAATCTCAGTACTTTGGGAGGCCAAGGCGGGAGGGCCATGGAGCCCAGGAGTTCAAGACCGGCCCGGTGTACAAAGTGAGACCCAGTCTCTAGTTAAAAAAGAGGGGGAGTGGGCCAGGCACAGTGTCTCACGCCTGTAATTCCAGCACTTTGGGAGGCCAAAGCAGGTGGATCACCCGAGGTCAGGAGTCCAAGACCAGCCCGGCCAAGGTGGTGAAACCCCGTGTCTACTAAAAATACAAAATTAGCTTGGTATGGTGGCGGGAGCCTATAATCCCAGCTAGGGCAGGAGAATCACTTGAACCCGGGAGGCAGAGGTTGCAGTGAGCCAAGATCATGCCACTGCACTCCAGCCTGGGCAACAACAGAGAGACTTCATCTCTAAATAAATAAATAAATAAATAAAAGAAAATACAAATTTTTTAAAAAAGGTACTGTGGCTGGGCGTGGTGGTTCACACCTGTAATCCCAGCACTTTGGGAAGCCGAGGCAGGTGGATCTCAGATCAGGAGTTCAAGAAGAGCCTGGCCAGCATGGTGAAAACCTATCTGTACTAAAAATTAGCCTGGCATGGTGGCAGGTGCCTGTAGGAGGCTGAGGCAAGAGAATTGCTTGAGCCCCGGAGGCAGAGGTTGCAGTGAGCCGAGACCACACCACTGCACTCCAGCCTGGGCAACAGAGCGAGAGTCTGTCTCAAAAAGGAAACAAAAAAAAAAGTACCTCCAAATTATGGTAGGGTGTCCATATTAAGAAGGTAGAAAAAGGTCGGGGGAAGTGGATGCCTGTAATCCCAGAACTTTGGGAGGCTGAGGCGGGTGGATCACCTGAGGTCAGGAGTTCAAGAACAGCCTGGCCAAAAGGGTATGGTGAAACCCCATCTCTACTAGAACTACAAAATTAGCCGGGCGTGGTGGTACATGCCTGTAATCCCAGCTACACAGGAGTCTGAGGCAGGAGAATCACAGGAAACCGGCAGGCAGAGGTTGCAGTGAGCTGAGATCGCGCCATTGCACTCCAGCCTGGGCGACAAGAGCAAAACTCCATCTCAAAAAAAAAAAAAAGAAAAAATGAAAAAGAATTTATTGAAATGTGCAGTCTGAAAACTGCTCCTGCACATTTTCATTCATCCTTCCTATTCCCTCCATCCCTCAATTTTTTTTTTTTTTTTGAGACAGAGTTTCGCTCTTGTTGCCCAGGCTGGAGTGCAATGGCACGATCTCAGCTCACTGCAACCTCTGCCTCCCAGGTTCCAGCCATTTTCCTGCCTCAGCCTCCAGAATAGCTGGAATTACAGGCATCTGCCACTACGCCTGGCTAATTTTTTGTGTATTTTTAGTAGAGATGGGATTTCACCATGTTGGTCAGGCTGATCTCGAACTCCTGACCTCAGGTGATCCACCCGCCTCGGCCTCCCAAAGTGCTGGGATTACAGGCATGAATCACCACGCCCGGCCCCTCATTTTCTTTTCTTTCTTTCTTTCTTTTTTGTTTGTTTGTTTTTGAGACAGAGTCTTGCTCTGTCACCCAGGCTGGAGTGCAGTGGCGCGATCTCAGCTCACTGCAAGCTCCGCCTCCCGGGTTCACGCCATTCTCCTGCCTCAGCCTCCCGAGTAGCTGGGACTACAGGCGCCCGCCACCACGCCCGGCTAATTTTTTGTATTTTTAGTAGAGACGGGGTTTCACCGTGTTAGCCAGGATGGTCTCCATCTCCTGACCTCGTGATCCGCCCGCCTCGGCCTCCCAAAGTGCTGGGATTACAGGCGTGAGGCACCACACTGGGCCCCCTCACTTTCTTATTCTTTCTAGGATAGGCAACTGAGCGCGGCAGTGAAGAGCTGGGCTTCCGGAAGCTGACAGCTGTTTGTGATCTTCAAGACCTCAGACAGGTTTTCTAAATATGCCTTGCCTTCATTTTCTCAAGGAAAGTGAAAAATGGGTAGGATCATGGCAATCACTACTGTGTAGCAATGTTTAGAGGACTTAATAAGTAAACACAGGGTCAAGCATGGTGGCTCACACCGGAAATCCCAGCACTTTGGGAGGCCGTGGTGGGAAGATTGCTTAAGCCCATGGGGTTGAGACCAGCCTGGGCAACATAGTGAGACCTCCATCTCTATAAAAAATACAAAAATCTAGTCAGGCGTGATGGCGTATGCCTGTAGCCTTCAGTAAGCTATGATTGTGCCACTGCACACCAGCCTAGGCGACAGAGTGAGACCCTGTCTCAAAAAGAAAAAACGAAAAGAAATATAGATGTACATATACATATGTTGGTTCTAAAACATGAAAAAGGCTGGGCGCGGTGGTTCGTGCCTGCAACCCAAGCACTTTGGGAGGCCGAGGCGGGCGGATCACGAGGTCAAGAGTTTGAGACCAGCCTGGCCAACATAGTGAAACCCCATCTCTACTAAAAATACAAAAAAAAGGCTAGGCGCAGTGGCTCATGCCTGTAATCCTAGCACTTTGGGAGGCCGAGGTGAGCAGATTACCTGAGGTTGGGAGTTCAAGACCACCCTGTCCAACATGGTGAAACCCCATCTCTACTAAAAATAAGAAAATTAGCCGGGTACAGTGGCACGCGCCTGTAATCCCAGCTATTCAGGAGGCTGAGGCAGGAGAATCGCTTGAACTCTGGAGGCGGAGGTTGCAGTGAGCCAAGATTGCGCCACTGCACTCCAGCCCGGGCGACAGTGCCAGACTCAGTCTCAGAAAAAAAAAAAGCAAAACAAACAAAGAAACATGAAAAAAAGCTATAAAACCCAACTTTTTTCTTTTTTTTTTTGAGACGGAGTCTCACTCTGTCGCCCAGGGTGGAGTGCAGTGGTGCGGTCTCGGCTCACTGCAACCTCCGCCTCCTGGGTTCAAGCAATTCTCTGCTTCAGCCTCCCAAGTAGCTGGGATTACAGGCACCCGCCACCACGCCCGACTAATTTTTTGTATTTTTAGTTGAGACGGGGTTTCATCATCTTGGCCAGGCTGGTCTTGAAGTCCTGACCTCGTGATCCACCCGCCTTGGCCTCCCAAAGTGCTGGAATTACAGGCGTGAGCCACCGCGCCCGGCCAAAACCCAACTTTTTAGTCTTATTTATATGGTGTTTTTTTTTTTTTTTTTTTTTTTGAGATGGAGCCTTGCTCTGTCGCCCAGGCTGGAGTGCAGTGGCGCGATCTCGGCTCACTGCAAGCTCCGCCTCCCGGGTTCACGCCATTCTCCTGCCTCAGCCTCCCGAGTAGCTGGGACTACAGGTGCCCGCCACCACGCCCGGCTAATTTTTTGTATTTTTAGTAGAGACGGGGTTTCACCGTGTTAGCCAGGATGGTCTCGATCTCCTGACCTCGTGATCCACCTGCCTCGGCCTCCCAAAGTGCTGGGATTACAGGCGTGAGCCACTGTGCCCGGCTATATGTTTACAAAATTAATACTGCCAGCCAGGCACGGTGGCTCACGCCTGTAATCCCAGCACTTTAGGAGGCTGAGGCTGGCAGATCACCTGAGGTCAGGAGTTTGAGACCAGCCTGGCCAGCATGGCAAAACCCCGTCTCTATTGAAAAAAATACAAAAATTAACCAGGCGTTGTGGCGCATGCTTGTAATCTCAGCTACTCGGGAGGCTGAGGCAGGGGAATCACTTGAAGCCGGCAGGCGGAGGCTGCGGGGAGCCGAGATCGTGCCGTTGCACTCCAGCCTGGGGAACAGAGCAAGACTCCATTAAAAATAAAATAATAATAATACTGTGAATGTGAAACTGATGAACTTGGTGCTTTTCATGCGTCTCATAGTTGACGTGTCATTGATATTTCACTTGAAATACGGTTGGATTTTTATTAATAATATACCTGGGGTGATGGGAGAAGGTAGCCAATCACAGCTGAGGCTTCTAAGCGGTGATTCTCAGCCTCGGCCGCAATCACAATTATCTGGGACTCTCGAAAGAACTCCAGGGTCTGGGCAGTCCCAGTGTAACCAATCAAGCAGAATCTCTAGGCGTTCGTGCTTTGAAATGAGGCTCCACATAGGTAAGTTTAACAGGCAGTCAAGATGGAGGACCACAGGTGGAGATCGGGAAGCTCAGGTGAAGGACCGCCCCCCAACACCCCCCGCCCCCAAAAGACCTCTCAGTAATTCCGGTGGATACAGGAAGTGCTCAGCAACGATTACGCCCCGAGGGCCAATCACAGGGCTGCGGCCGAGAAAGAAGCCTTAATAGAGCTTTCTCAACCTGCAGCCCTCATCTCCGCCGGCGAGTAGGGCCAGGTGTTGGGAGGTGAGTAGCTCTCCGGCAGCTCTGCAACTTCATTTCTTTATTTCTCCATTCCACAGTTGGTAAAATTTCTCCTTTTATTTCATATATTTTTTTTCTGAGACGGAGTCTCGCTCTGTCGCCCAGGCTGGAGTGCAGTGGCGCGATCTCTGCTCACTGCAAGCTCCGCCTCCCGGGTTCACGCCATTCTCCTGCCTCAGCCTCCCGAGTAGCTGGGACTACAGGCGCCCGCCACCACGCCCGGCTAATTTTTTGTATTTTTAGTAGGTGGCTCACGCCTGTAATCCCAGCACTTTAGGAGGCTGAGGCTGGCAGATCACCTGAGGTCGGGAGTTTGAGACCAGCCTGGCCAGCATGGCAAAACCCCGTCTCTATTGAAAAAAATACAAAAATTAACCAGGCGTTGTGGCGCATGCTTGTAATCTCAGCTACTCGGGAGGCTGAGGCAGGGGAATCACTTGAAGCCGGCAGGCGGAGGCTGCGGGGAGCCGAGATCGTGCCGTTGCACTCCAGCCTGGGGAACAGAGCAAGACTCCATTAAAAATAAAATAATAATAATACTGTGAATGTGAAACTGATGAACTTGGTGCTTTTCATGCGTCTCATAGTTGACGTGTCATTGATATTTCACTTGAAATACGGTTGGATTTTTATTAATAATATACCTGGGGTGATGGGAGAAGGTAGCCAATCACAGCTGAGGCTTCTAAGCGGTGATTCTCAGCCTCGGCCGCAATCACAGTTATCTGGGACTCTCGAAAGAACTCCAGGGTCTGGGCAGTCCCAGTGTAACCAATCAAGCAGAATCTCTAGGCGTTCGTGCTTTGAAATGAGGCTCCACATAGGTAAGTTTAACAGGCAGTCAAGATGGAGGACCACAGGTGGAGATCCGGAAGCTCAGGTGAAGGACCGCCCCCCAACACCCCCCGCCCCCAAAAGACCTCTCAGTAATTCCGGTGGATACAGGAAGTGCTCAGCAACGATTACGCCCCGAGGGCCAATCACAGGGCTGCGGCCGAGAGAGAAGCCTTATTAGAGCTTTCTCAACCTGCAGCCCTCATCTCCGCCGGCGAGTAGGGCCAGGTGTTGGGAGGTGAGTAGCTCTCCGGCAGCTCTGCAACTTCATTTCTTTATTTCTCCATTCCACAGTTGGTAAAATTTCTCCTTTTATTTCATATATTTTTTTTCTGAGACGGAGTCTCGCTCTGTCGCCCAGGCTGGAGTGCGGTGGCGCGATCTCGGCTCACTGCAAGCTCCGCCTCCCGGGTTCAGGCCATTCTCCTGCCTCAGCCTCCCGAGTAGCTGAGACTACAGGCACCTGCCACTATGCCCAGCTAATTTTTTTGTATTTTTAGTAGAGACGGGGTTTCACCATGTTGGCCAGGCTGGTCTCAGTCCGCCTCGGCCTCCCAAGGTGCCGGGATTACAGGCGTGAGCCACCGCGCCCAGCCTTTTTTTTTTTTTTTTTTTTTTTTTTCTTCTCTTTTTTGAGGGTCTTACTCTGTTTCCCAGGCTGGAGCGCTGTGGCAGGATCTCGGCTCACTGAACCCTTGACCTCTCAGGTTCAAGCAGTCCTCACGCCTCAGCCTTTGAAGTAGCTGGGACCGTGGGAGGGTGCCACCACATCTGTTCTGGCTAATAATATTATTATTACCACTGTTTGCAGAGACTCACTAGATGTAGGGTCTTAATATGTTGCCGAAGCTGGTCTCTAACTCCTGGGCTCAAGCGATCTTCCTGCCTCAGACTCCCAAAATTCTGGGATTATAGGCAGGTGCCACCGCGCCCGGCCTAAATCTTTTCTTCTGTTAGAAATTAAGTGGTTCTGCCTGTCTCAGTGGCTCACGCCTGTAATCGCAGCGCTTTGGGAGGCCGAGGCGGGAGGATCACCTGAGGTCGGGAGTTCGAGACCAGCCTGACCAACATGTAGAAACCCCATCTCTACTAAAAATATAAAATTAGGTGGGCGTGGTAGCGCATACTTGTAATCCTAGCTACTCAGGAGGCTGAGGCAGGAGAATCACTTGAACCCGGGAAGCGGAGGTTGCGGGGAGCCTAGATCATACCATTGCTCTCCAGCCTGCGCAGCAAGAGAGAAACTGTCTCAAAAAATAAAATAAAATAAAATTCAGTGGTTCTGACTGGGGAAAGAGTAGCAGATGCTTAGATCTAGAGAGACTCTAGTTAAGGTTGGCTCATAAGAGGATAGTTGTGTGTGCTTTTATTTCTGTTCTCTTGGGGGATTTAGGATAGAGCTATAGAGAGCTCCAAAAAAAAAAATATATTGGAACAGGTCAGATGCTGTGGTTGCTGTGTGTGGAGTCCTGGGCAGTGCTAAGGTTTTGTGTCTAATGAGTCCTCTTAACAAGAAGGTATTGTTTTTTATTCACTGAGGTGAGGGAGCCTCTTAGCATCATTCTAGTCCAGCTTCCGGACCTGAGTCTTATGCAAATACCTATGCCAGTTGCCATTCTCACGCTATTCACAGCTATCATATAAAGAGGTGTTATACCCTTTCTGTAAAGTTTTTGTTGCTACTGCTATTTTTTTTTTTTTTTTTTTGAGACAAAGTCTAGCTCTGTTTCCCAGGCTGGAGTACAGTGGCGCTATCTCAGCTCACTGCAACTTCCACCTCCCAGGTTCAAGCAATTCTCGTGCCTCAGCCTTCTAAGTAGCTGGGACTACAGCCGCCTGTCACCAACCTGGCTAATTTTCGTATTTTTAGTCGATATAGGGTTTCACTATGTTGGCCAGGCTGGTCTCAAGCTCCAGACCTCAGGTGATCCTCCCACCTTGGACTCCCAAAGTGCTGTGATTACAGGCGTGAGCCACCGCACCCGGCCCTGTTGTTTTTAAAATAGAGACAGGGTCTTAAGTTGCCAGGCTGGTCTGGAACTTCTGGACTGGAGTGATCACCCACCTGAGCTTCCCAAAGTGCGGGGATTGCAAGCGTCAGCCACCACCCCCAGTGTTGTGTTTTTGTTTGTTTTACCAGGCTGGAGTGCAGTGGTGCGATCACAGCTCACTGCAGCCTTAACTTCCCTGGCTCAGGTGATCCTCCCACCTCAGCCTCCTCAGTAGCTGGGACTACAGGTGCATGCCACTATGCCCAGCACAATTTTTTTTTTTTTTGTATTTTTTTGTAGAGACAGGGTTTTGCCATGTTGCCCAGGCTGGTCTCAAACTCCAAGCAATCCTCCCACCTTGGCTTCCCAAAGTGTTTGGGGTTCCAGGTGTGAGCCATGGCCCCCCGGCCAGCTTCAGTAAAGTAAAAGCCACACACCTGTGTCCTGAGACCAGGCTCCACCACTAAGTTATCTTTAAGCCTTTTTTTTTTTTGAGACAGTTTCACTCTTGTCGCCCCAGGCTGGAGTGCAGTGGCGCCATGTCAGCTCACCACAACCTCTGCCTCCCACTCCCAGGTTCAAGCGATTCTCCTGCCTCAGCCTCCCAAGTAGCTGGAACTACAGGCACCTGCCACCACGCCCGGCTAATTTTTTGTATTTTTAGTAGAGACGGGGTTTCACTGTGTTAGCCAGGATGGTCTCGATCTCCTGACCTCACGATCCGCCCGCCTCGGCCTCCCAAAGTGCTGGGATTGCAGGCGTGAGCCACCGCGCCCGGCTGTGTGTTTGCATTATCATATTCAGCCCAGTTTTCACGAAGTTTCTTGTCTCCTGGGTGATCCACGTAGCTCCCCACTTCCTTATCTGATCTATGCTTGTCCTTTCATTGTTGTGTTACTACTTTGCTATAATGAGAGAGTGTTTTCGCTTTATAGGTTAACTTTTAGAACCTGAGCAGCCCCTCAGGGAAAACCCTGACAGTAGCTGGTTATTTTGCAATTAGAAAAACTAGCTGGGCACTGAGGCAGGTGAATCACGAGGTCAGGAGTTCGAGACCAGCCTGGCCAACTTGGTGAAACCCCCCATCTCTACTAAAAATACAAAAAAATTAGCTGGGCACAGTGGTGAATGCCTGTAATCCCAGCTACTTGGGAGGCTGAGGCAGGAGAATTGCTTGAATCCGGGAGGCAGAGGTTGTAGTGAGCCGAGATTGCAGCACTGCACTCCAGCCAGGGTGACAAAGTGAGACTCCGTCTCAAAAAAAAAAAAAAAAAAAATACAAAAAGTAGCTGAGCGTGGTGGTGGGTGCCCATAATCCCAGCTAGTCGGGAGGCTGAGGCAGGAGAACTGTTTGAACCTGGGAGGCAGAGGTTGCAGTGAGCTGAGATCGTACTACTGTACTCCAGCCTGGGCTGCAGAGTGAAACTATCTCAAAAATAAGTAAATAAAAGTAAAATGAGTTGAGGTCTTGCTCTGTTGCCCAGATGGGAGTGCAGTGGCACAATCAAGGCTCACTGCAGTTTCAGTCTCCCAGGCTCAAGCAATCCTCCCACTGCAGCCTCCTGAGTAGCTGGGACTACAGGCATGTACCACCACCCACTGCTAACTTATTTTTCATGGAGATGGGGGTCTCACTATGTTGCCCAGGCTGGGAGTTTGTTCTTGAAGAAGCAGGGTAGATGGTGAGTGTCCTTGTTCGTGGCACAGCAGGAACTGGCATTTGAGACAGGAGTGCTAATCACCATCCCTCTCCACTCCTCCCTTGATTGTCATCACAGCTCCCACGTGGGACAAGATGGTGTCTTCGGCGCAGATGGGCTTCAACCTGCAGGCTCTCCTGGAGCAGCTCAGCCAGGATGAGTTGAGCAAGTTCAAGTATCTGATCACGACCTTCTCCCTGGCACACGAGCTCCAGAAGATCCCCCACAAGGAGGTAGACAAGGCTGATGGGAAGCAACTGGTAGAAATCCTCACCACCCATTGTGACAGCTACTGGGTGGAGATGGCGAGCCTCCAGGTCTTTGAAAAGATGCACCGAATGGATCTGTCTGAGAGAGCAAAGGATGAAGTCAGAGGTGAGTGGAAATCGGTCCACACTGTGTCCTAGGAGGAAGCAGGCGTCCTCTCCAGGACTTTAGAAATTCAGAAGGCCAGGCGCGCTGGCTCACGCCTGTCGTCCCAGCCCTTTGGGAGGCTGAGGCGGTTGGACCACCTGAGGGTCAGGAGTTTGAGACCAGCCTGACCAACATGGTGATGAAACAGCATCTCTACTAAAAATACAAAAATTTGCTGGACGTGGTGGCAGACACCTGTAATCCCAGCTACTCCGGGAGGCTGAGGCAGGAGAATCACTTAAATCTAGGAGGCGGGGGTTGCTATGAGCCGAGATCACGCCATTGCACCCCAGCCTGGGCAACAAGAGCAAAATTCTGTCTCAAAAAAAAAAAGAAATGGCATTGAGGCTTGGAGAGGGACTGCTTGTTCTGAATGCAGGTGCTGGATCTTCATAAACCCTGGTGTCTGTCCTGGTCCTTATTTTCTACCTACTTCTTTTTTTTTTTTTTTTTGTCCTTTTATTTTTTTATTTTTTATTTTATTATTATTATTTTTTTTATTATACTTTAAGTTTTAGGGTACATGTGCACATTGTGCAGGTTAGTTACATATGTATACATGTGCCATGCTGGTGCGCTGCACCCACTAACTCGTCATCTAGCATTAGGTATATCTCCCAATGCTATCCCTCCCCCCTCCCCCCACCCCACCACAGTCCCCAGAGTGTGATGTTCCCCTTCCTGTGTCCATGTGATCTCATTGTTCAATTCCCACCTATGAGTGAGAATATGCGGTGTTTGGTTTTTTGTTCTTGTGATAGTTTACTGAGAATGATGGTTTCCAATTTCATCCATGTCCCTACAAAGGACATGAACTCATCATTTTTTATGGCTGCATTGTATTCCATGGTATATATGTGCCACATTTTCTTAATCCAGTCTATCATTGTTGGACATTTGGGTTGGTTCCAAGTCTTTGCTATTGTGAATAATGCTGCAATAAACATACGTGTGCATGTGTCTTTATAGCAGCATGATTTATAGTCATTTGGGTATATACCCAGTAATGGGATGGCTGGGTCAAATGGTATTTCTAGTTCTAGATCCCTGAGGAATCCCCACACCGACTTCCACAATGGTTGAACTAGTTTACAGTCCCACCAACAGTGTGAAAGTGTTCCTATTTCTCCACATCCTCTCCAGCACCTGTTGTTTCCTGACTTTTTAATGATCGCCATTCTAACTGGTGTGAGATGATATCTCATAGTGGTTTTGATTTGCATTTCTCTGATGGCCAGTGATGATGAGCATTTTTTCATGTGTTTTTTGGCTGCATAAATGTCTTCTTTTGAGAAGTGTCTGTTCATGTCGTTCGCCCACTTTTTGATGGGGTTGTTTGTTTTTTTCTTGTAAATTATTTTCTACCTATTTCTATCGCTTTCAGGTATCGTACAGTTGGCCTAACATATCTGTGGATTTAACCAATCCTAGATCAAAAATAATGGGGGCAAAGACAATTAAAAATAACAATACAATAAAATGCACATGAACTATGGTTATTTAACTCTTCTTGAGAGAGGATCTCACTCTGTCACCCAGGCTGGAATTTAGCAGCACGATCTCGGCTCACTGCAACCTCCGCCTCCCGGGTTCAAGCGATTCTCCTGCCTCAGCCTCCCGAGTAGCCGGGATTACAAGCATGTCCCACCATGCCTGGCTGATTTTTTTTTTTTTTTTTTTTGTATTCTAAATAGAGATGGGGTTTCACCATGTTAGCCAGGATAGTCTCGATGTCGTGACCTCATGATCTGCCCGCCTCGGCCTCCCAAAGTGTTGGGATTACAGGCGTGAGCCACCGCACCCAGCCAGCAAGTGCATTTAGAACTACTCTACTTTCTACCCCATAACTTTTTTTTTTGTTTGTTTGAGACAAGTCTCACTCTGTCACCCAGGATGGAGTGCAGCAGCACAATCTCAGCTTATTGCAACTCCCGCCCCCTGGGTTCAAGTGTTTCTCCTGCATCAGCCTCTTGAATAGCTAGGATTATACAGGCACCTGCCACTGTGCCTGGCTAAATTTTGTATTTTAATAGAGATGGGGTTTCACTATGTTGGCCAGGCTGGTCTTGAACTCCTGACCACGTGATCAACCCGCCTCAGCCTCCCAATGTGCTGGAATTACAGGTGTGAGCCGCCATGCCCAGCTACACTTTTTTTTGAAACGGGGTCTCGTTTTCTTGCTCAGGCTGGAGTACAATGGGGCAATCACAGCTCACTGCAGCCTTGACCTCCCAGACTTGAGCAATCCTACCACTATGGCCTCCCACCACACCTCGCTCATTCTTGTATATATATATATTTTTGTAGAGATAGGGTTTCACCATGTTGCCCAGGCTGGTCTCGAACTTCTGTGGGCTCAACCGATCCTCCTGCCTTGGCTTCCCACAGTCCTGGGATCAGAAACATGAGCCACAGTGCCTGGCCAGTGCAGCTTTATTTACAGTAACCAAGATATAGAGTCAGTCTAAGTGACCATCAGTGGATGAATAAAAAATGTGCCCGTTGGGTACCCTGCCTACTGCCTGGGTTATGAGATTGTTGGGACCCCAAGCCTTAAAAAGGAAACATGGTAGGCCGGGCACAGTGGCTCACGCCTGTAATCACAGCACTTTGGGAGGCCAAGGCGGGTGGATCACTTGAGGCCAGGAGTTTGAGACCAGTCAGGCCAATGTGGTGAAACCCTGTCTCTACTAAAAATATAAAAAAATCAGCCGGGCGTGGTGGCACACTCCTGTAGTCCCAGCTACTTGGGAGGCTGAGGCAGGAGGATTGCTTGAACCAGAGAGTCAGAGGTTGCAGTGAGCCAAGATCGTGCCACTGCGCTCCAGCCTGGGTGACAGCAAGACTCCATCTCAAAAAAAAAAAACAAACAAACATGGTATTAATTACACAATGGAATACTCCTCAACCTTAAGGAACTCCTATCTTTTTATTTAAAAATTGCCAGTTTTATTTCAGCTAGAGATCACTTTTTAGCATAATGTTTCCTGTCTTTAACAATGGGTGAGGGTTTTTTTTTTTTTTTTTTTGGTTTGGTTTGGATTTTGGTTTTGCTTTTGAGTCGAAGTTTCACTCTTGTCTCCCAGGCTAGAGTGCAATGGCGCGATCTCGGCTCACTGTGACCTCCTCCTCCCAGGTTTAAGTGATTCTCCTGCCTCAGCCTCCAGAGTAGCTGGGATTACAGGCGCCTACCACCATGCCCGCTAATTTTTGTATTTTAGTAGAGACAGGGTTTTACCATGTTGACCAGACTGGTCTCGAACTCCCGACCTCAGGTGATCTGCCCACCTCAGCCTCCCAGAGTGCTGGGATTACAGGTGTGAGCAACCATGCCCGGCC
The DNA here is from genome assembly GCF_000001405.40 of Homo sapiens. NCBI lineage: Eukaryota > Metazoa > Chordata > Mammalia > Primates > Hominidae > Homo > Homo sapiens. The sequence continues at coordinate 54,973,674 of NC_000019.10, forward strand.
AAGGGTTTTTAACTTTAGCTGACCTCCGGAGGTTACAAGTTTGAAAACGGCAGGAGGAAACCCAGAGAGTTGTAAACTTACGAAGGTCTGGGCTCTGAAAAAGATACAAATTTTCTTTCCATGCCAATAGCGCTCACACAGACATGGTGAATGTTCCTGAAACCCGCCGGACTTTCTGTAAGAAGTGTGGCAAGCACCACCCCCACAAAGTGACACAAGGCAAGGATTCTTGGTATGCCCAGGGGAAGTAGTGTTATGACAGGAAGCAGAGTGGCTATGGTGGGCAGACTAAGCCGATTTTCCGGAAAAAGGCTAAAACTACAAAGAAGATTGTGCTAAGGCTTGAGTGCCTTGAGCCCAACTGCAGATCTAAGAATGCTGGCTATTAAAAGATACAAGCAGCCAAGCGCGGTGGCTCACGCCTGTAATCCCAACACTTTGGGAGGCCGAGGTGGGCGGATCACAAGGTCAGGAGTCTGAGACCAGCCTGGCCAAAATGGTGAAACCCCATCTCTACTAAAAATACAAAACTTAGCTGGGCATGGTGGTGTATGCCTATAGTCCCAGCTACTCAGGAAGCTGAGGCAGGAGAATCGCTTGAACCTGGGAGGCAGAGGTTGCAGTGAGCCAAGATTGTGCCACTCCAGCCTGGGCAACAGAGTGACACTCTGTCTCAAAAAAAAAAGATGCAAGCATTTTGAACTGGAAGGAGATAAGAGAAAGGAACAAGTGATCCAGTTCTAAGTGTCATCTTTTCTTTTATGAAGGCAATAAAATCTTGAGCTTATGGTAAAATGCAAAATTTTCCCCCCTTCTCCTTTTTCAGAAGCAGCTTTGAAATCCTTTAATAAAAGGAAGCCTCTATCATTAGGTAAGTTACCTCATTTATAACTTTTATTCTTCATGTGAGATCTGGGGACTCGGGCCTTTGTTTTAAGGAGAATGTGCTGAGCACTAAGAATGCAAAGAAATGCCGGACTTAGCATCCCTGCTCCCAGGGCGGAGCTGGTCTCGCAGGTGCGTAGCAGTAAGACCTGGGAAGCTGAAACACGATCGCGTTTGTTGGAAATCTATAAATACATACAAAGCGGGGAAGGGTAAGCTTGGCCTTTGAATCTGGATAAGGTAGAGACTTTTCTTTTTTGAGATGGAGGCTTGCTCTGTCACCTAGGCTGAAGTGCAGTGGTACGACCTCGGCTGACTGCAACCTCTACCTCCTGGGTTCAAGCAGTTCTCCTGCCTCAGCCTCTAGAATAGCTGGGATTACAGGTACCTGCCACCAGGCCCGGCTAATTTTTTGTGGTGTTTGTAGAGATGGGGTTTCACCATGATGGCCAGGCTGGTCTTGAACTCCTGACCTCAAGTGATCTGCCCACCTCAGCGTCCCAAAATGCTGGGATTATGGGCATGAGCCACCACCACACCCGGTTTTGTTTTTTTTTTTTTTTTTTTTTTTTTTTTTTTTTTTTTGAAACAGGGCTTCACTCTGTCACTTAGGCTGGAGTGGTGCAATCATGGTTCACTGCAGCCTTGACCTCCCAAGCTCTGGTGATCCTCCTGCCTCAGCCTCCTGAGTAGCTGGGACCACAGGCACTTGCCACCATGCCTGGCTAATTTTTTTCACTTTTTGTAGAGACAGGGTCTTGCTATGTTGCCCAGGCTGGCCTCGAATTACTAAACTCAATCAGTCCTCCTGCCTCACCCTCCCAAACTGCTGGGGTACAGGTGTGAGCCATGACACCTGGCCCTTACCAGCTACTTATATCCTGAAGATTATTATTATTTTTTTTTTTTTTGAGATAGAGTCTCTCTCTGTTGCCCAGGCTGGAGTGCAGTGGCGTGATCTCGGCTCACTGCAAGCTCCGCCTCCCGGGTTCATGCCATTCTCCTGCCTCAGCCTCCCGAGTAGCTGGGACTACAGGCGCCCACCACCACGCCTGGCTAATTTTTTTGTGTTTTTAGTAGAGACGGGGTTTCACCGTGTTAGCCAGGATGGTCTCGATCTCCTGACCTTGTGATCCGCCCGCCTCGGCCTCCCAAAGTGCTGGGATTACAGGCGTGAGCCACCGCGCCCGGCCCCTGAAGATTGTGTTTTGAGATGGGGTCTTGCTGTGTTGCTCCGGCTTGATTGCAGTGGCACAGTCATAGCTCATTGCAGCCTCAACCTTCCAGGCTCCAGAGATCCTCTTACCTCAGCCTCCTGAGTAGCTGGGACTACAGGTGTGCACTGCCACACCTGACTAATATTTGTATTTTTGGTAGGGACAGTTTCACTATGTTGCCAGATATGGTGTCAAACTCCTGGTCTCAAGTGATCCTCCCACCTTGGCCTCCCAAAGTGCTGGGATTACAGACATGATTCACCACACCTGGCCATGAAGACTTTTTTTTTTTGGACAAAGTCTCACTCTGTTGCCCAGGATGGAATGCAGTGGCATGATCTCAGCTCACTGCAACCTCTGACCTCCGCCTCCCGGTTCAAGTGATTCTCTTGCCTCAGCCTCCCGAGTAGCTGGGATTATAGGTGTCTGCCACCAAGCCCAGCTAATTTTTGTAATTTTAGTAGAGATGGGGTTTCACCATGTTGGCCAGGCTGGTCTTGAACTCCTGACCTCGTGATCCACGTGCCTCAGCCTCCCAAAGTGTTGGGATTACAGGTGTGAGTCACTGCGCCTGGTCTCATGAAGACCTTTTTTGAGACAGAGTCTTGCTCTGTCACCCAGGCTGGAGTGCAGTGGTACAATCTCACTGCAGCCTCCGCCTCCCAGGTTCAAGTGATTCTCCTGCCTTAGCCTCCCAAGTAGCTGGGATTACAGGCGCCTACCACCACGTCTGGCTAATTTTTGTATTTTTAGTAGAGACAGGGTTTCACCATGTTGGCCAGGCTGGTCTCAAACTGCTGACCTCAAATGAACTGTCTGCCTCAGCCTCACAAAGTACTGGGATTACAGGCATGAGCCACCTCACCTGGTGGTGAAGACTCTAAAGGCTCTTCTCAGATCAGCCTTTGTCCTGAATTTCACATGCCCGTGTCCAGTTCCCTCCCCAGCATCTTTTCAGGAGTTCCATGGACTCACCTCTTCATTATCCAGGGTTAAGCTGCAGATATTGTTATTAGGATTCCACCTTGTTCTCTCTCTTTTTTTTTTTTTTTTTGATACGGAGTCTCGCTTGCTCTTTTGCCAGGCTGAAGTGCAGTGGAGCGATCTTGGCTCACTGCAATCTCCGCCTCCTGGGTTCAAGCAATTCCCTTGCCTCAGCCTCGCAAGTAGCTGGGACTTACAGGTAACACACCACCATGCCCGGCTAATTTTTTGTTTTAGTAGAGACGGGGCTTCACCATGTTGGCCGGGATGGTCTCGATCTCCTGACCTCATGATCCGCCTGCCTTGGCCTCCCAAAGTGTTGGGTTACAGGCATGAGCCACCATGCCCGGCTGATTCCACCTTGTTCTTACATTCTTTCCCAGTTCATTTTAAATTTATCTACCTCATCAGAAACTAGGGGGTTAGGCCTGGCAGGCAGATCACCTGAGGTTGGGAGTTCGAGACCAGCCTGACCAACGTAGAGAAACCCTGTCTGTACTAAAAATACAAAATTAGCCAGGTATGGTGGCACATTCCTGTAATCCCAGCTACTCCGGAGGCCGAGGCAGGAGAATCACTTGAACCCAGGAGGCGGAGGTTGCAGTGAGCCGACATCACACCATTGCATTCCAGCCTGGGCAACAAGAGCAAAACTACATCTCAAAAAAAAAGAAAAACTAGGCAGTTAATCCTCAAAGCCTTTCCAGTGGCCTTATGCGTGAGTAGTTTGTGTGTGTGTGTGTGTGTGTGTGTGTGTGTGTGTGTCTTTCACACCATGTGTTCTGAACTACTTAGGAATTCTCACCAGAAAGGCACATAAACCTGGGATCATGGCCTAATGTACTTTCACTTTTACATCCAGTACCTTATCAACGTCCTTTTTAGTACCTAATCTAGGCTTCACTACTGAGACTCAGGGGTCCAACTTGAGCCATCTTGGAGTCCCACTGCCAGCACAGCAACAGGCCTGTAATGCCGCCCTTTTTCTCCAGGGATAACACGGAAAGAACGACCACCTCTAGACGTGGACGAAATGCTGGAGCGCTTCAAAACAGAAGCACAAGGTGGGTGTCAGGACCTCCAATGTTGGAGTCAGCTGAGGAAGCCCCCCGTTCTTGCTGCTATCTCCTGTTCCTTTGAAGAACCCCATCTCTCTCCAATCTTTTCCTCCACTATTCTTAATGTGCCCACTGTCTCCTGGAGAATGCCAACCTCCCTTCCGTAAGAATAGAGGGAAGAACGAACGTTGCAGAGAATTAGAACTCAGTTTGTAGAAAGTTAGGAGCACAGCGCAGAGAGTTTTTGTTTTTGTTTTTGTTTTGAGACAGTTTCTCTGTTGGCCAGGTTGGAATGCAATGGCGCGATCTCGGCTCACTGTAACCTCCACCTCCCAGGTTCAAGCGATTCTCCTGATTCTCCTGACTCAGCCTCCTGAGTAGCTGGGATTATAGGCACCTGCCACCACACCCAGCTAATTTTTTTTTTTTTTTTTGAGACGAAGTCTTGTTCTTGTCACCCAGGCTGGAGTATAGTGGCACCATCCCTGTTCACTGCAACCTCCGCCTCCCAGATTCAAGTGATTGTCCTGTCTCAGCCTCCTGAGTAGCTGGGACTACAGGTGCATGCCACCACGCCCAGCTAATTTTTTTTTGTACTTTTAGTAGAGACAGGTTTCACCATCTCATTCAGGGTGGTCTCAAACTCCTGACCTCAAGAGATCTGCTCCACCCACCCCCAAGTCTCCCGAAGTGCTGGGATTACAGGCGAGAGCCACCGTACCCGGCCTTCTTTAAATTATTTAAAAGTTGACAGGTGGCCAGGTGTGGTGGCTCTCACCTATAATCTCCCAGCACTTTGGGAGGCTGAGGCGGGTGGATCAAGAGATCGAGACCATCCTGGCCAACATGGTGAAACCCAACTCTACTAAAAACACAAAAATTAGCCGGGTGTGGTGGCACCCGCCTGTAGTCCCAGCTACTCAGGAGGCTGAGGCAGGAGAATCGCTTGAACCCGGGAGGTGGAGGTTGCAGTGAGCCAAGATTGTGCCACTGCACTCCAGCCTGGCAACAGTGCGAGACTCCATCTTAAAAAAAAAAAAAAAAAATTGACAGGCATAAATGTATTTATGGTACATTGCTCAGACAACTTTAATATAAACAACTTACAGAGAAAATTGAGTCTTTTGGGTAGGTGACTTGCCTGAGCTGACTTTGTGATAGGTTTTTTCTGTTTTTTTTGTTTTTGAAATAGAGTCTCACTCTGTCATGCAGGCTGGAGTGCAGTGGCCCCATCTTGGCTCACTGCAATCTCTGCCTCCTGGGTTCAAGGGGTCTTCCTGCCACAGCCTCCCCAGGTGCTGGGACTATAGGTGCCCACCACTATGCCTGGCTAACTTTTGTGTTTTTAGTACAGATGGGGTTTCAACAGGGTAGCCAGGTTGGTCTAGAACTCCTGACCTCAAGTGATCCACCTACCTCGGTCTCCTAAAGTGCTGGGATTACAGCTGTGAACCACCGCACCTAGCCTGTGATCAGTTTCAGATCAGCCTTGCTTACTCCACATTCCCTCTTATCTTCCTGGTAGCATTTTTGTTTTTTCTTGAGAAAGAGTTTTGCCCTTGTCGCCCAGGCTAGAGTGCAATGGTGTGATCTCGGCTCGCCACAACCTCCACCTCCCAGGTTCAAGTGATTCTGCCTCAGCCTCCCGAGTAGCTGGGATCATAGGCGCCCACCACCACATCTGGCTAATTTTTGCATTTGTTAGTTTTATTTTTAGTAGACAGGGTTTCACCATGTTGGGCAGGCTGGTCTTGAACTCCTGACCTCAGGTGATCCACCCACTTCGGCCTCCCAAAGTGCTGGGATTACAGGCATGAGCCACCGTACCTAGCCCACATTGACTTTTGATACAGCAAGTATTTCTTGCTATGGCTCTGTATAATAGAGGTGAGTAACTTGGTTGAAGGAATTGTTTGCCCTGTTCATCTCTCTAGACACGGCCAATGTCATTCCTGGCACACAATCTTTTTTTTTCTTGAGATGGAGTCTCACTCTGTTGCCCAGACTGGAGTGCAGTGGTGCAATCTTGGCCCACTGCAACCTCTGCTACCCAGGTTCAAGCGATTCTCCTGCCTCAGCCTCCCAAATAGCTGGGAGTACAGGTGTGTGCCACCACGCCCAGCTAATTTTTTGTATTTTAGTAGAGACAGGGTTTCACCGTGTTAGTCAGGATGGTCTGGATCTCCTAACCTCGTGATCCGTCCGCCTCAGCCTCCCAAAGTGCTGGGATGACAGGCGTGAGCCACTGTGCCCAGCCTAGCACACAATCTTGACAAAGAATTTCGGTGCGACTTGGGGTACTGTGGTGCCTGCTCTATCATCATGCTTCAGCAGGAAATGTGGGTGAATAGTGCCTGGTGGCATGGCAGGTAAAGAAATGTTTTGTTTTGTTTTTTTTTTTGAGACAGTCTTGCTCTGTCACCCAAGCTGGAGTGCAGTGGCGCAATCTCGGCTCACTGCAAGCTCCATCTCCCGGGTTCACGCCATTCTGCCTCAGCCTCCCCAGTAGCTGGGACTACAGGCGCCCGCCACACGCCCGGCTAATTTTTTGTATTTGTAGTAGAGACAGGGTTTCACCGTGTTAGCCAGGATGGTCTCGATCTCCTGACCTTATGATCCACCCGCCTTGGCCTCCCAAAGTGCTGGGATTACAGGCGTGAGCCACCGCGCCCAGCCGCGGGTAAAGAAATTTATGAAGACAATCGTAGGTAAAGGAAGGCAGATTTATTGGAGAAAGTAGGAAAAGACATTGGCAGAGAGACCCCAGCGGGCAGGTTGTCATGAGTAGCTCACTGCCAGGAGACCAAAGCTTCCTGCAGATTTTATAGAATAGGGCTTGGGCTGATTGATAATGTCAACAGGGGGTTTAACTTGCGGTCTTCTTTCAGCAGAAGTGTTTGATAAACTGAGGCGTTTCATGGCAAACAGGGAGTTTGTGAGCTCTGTGTGTGATCTGGCCAGGAAGGCCAAACATCTTGGGCCGTATCTCCTGGACCATAAAAGCAGACCTGGCCCAGTGCAGTGGTTCATGCCTGCAATCCCAGCACTTTGGGAGGCTGAGGTGGGTGGATCATCTGAGGTCAGCAGTTTTAGACTGGCCTGGCCAACATGGCGAAACCCCATCTCTACTAAAAATACAAAAATTAGCCTAGACGCAGTGGCACATGCCTGTAATTCCAGTTACTTGGGAAGCTGAGGCAGGAGAATCGCTTGAACCCGGGAGGCGGAGGTTGCAGTGAGCTGAGATTGCGCCACTGCACTCCAGCCTGGGCAACAGAGTGAGACTGTCTCAAACAGACCTATAGCTGACCTGTTTCCTCTTGTTTGTATGCCCTGAACCATGGAGGAAAGCTTATTTATTTATTTTATTGAGATGGAGTCTTGCTCTGTTGCCCAGGGTGGAGTGCAGTAGTGCGATCTCTTACTACAACCTCCATCTCCCAGGTTCAAGCAATTCTCGAGCCTCTTGGCCTCCCAAGTAGCTGAGATTACAGGCATGCGCCACCACGCCTGGCTAATTTTTGCATTTTTAGTAGAGATGGGGTTTCTGTGTTGGCCAGGCTGGTCTCGAACTCCTGAGCTCAAGTGATCCACCCCACCTCAGCCTCCCAAAGTTCTGGGATTATAGGCATGAGCCACCACACCTGGCCGGAAAACACATTTGTAGCTTATTTGCTTTATCTGATCCCGTGCCCCCCCTCCCCCCCGCCCCATCAGCCTGCCTCCTTTTCTCTAATTGGGACTCCACAGGAAATACACCTGATTTTGTGTCAATCTCACATGAGTTTGTATTTTGTAGCGTTTACAGAAACGAAAGGAAATGTCATCTGCCTGGGTAAAGAAGTCTTTAAAGGAAAAAAGCCAGGTCTGTACCATATCTTCCTGCAGGGAGCTTGGGATCAGATTTCTCTTTATAAACTTGAAGTCCTCTTAACTTTCCTATGTAACACAAAGCATTTATTTATGTATGTATGTATCGAGACGGAGTTTTGCTCTTGTTGCCCAGGCTGGAGTGCCGTGGCGTGATCTCGACTCACTGCAACCTCCGCCTCCCAGGTTCAAGCAATTCTCCTGCCTCAGCCTCCCGAGTAGCTGGGATTACAGGCATGCGCCACCATGACTGGCTAATTTTTTATTTTTAGTAGAGACAAGGTTTCTTCATGTTGGTCAGGCTGGTGTTGAACTCCCAATGTCAGGTGATCTGCCTGCCTCGACCTCCCAAAGGGCTGGGATTACAGGCATGAGCCACTGTGCCCGGCCAACACAAGGCATTTTGTTATTTTGGTTTTCCCTATGGGTAACTGATTGCATCCTCTCTCCCTTCCCTCCTCACCAATGATAAAGACAAAGACAATAGGTGCAGGTATATATTGAAGACGAAGTTCCGGGAGATGTGGAAGAGCTGGCCTGGAGATAGCAAAGAGGTCCAGGTTATGGCTGAGAGATACAAGATGCTGATCCCATTCAGCAACCCCAGGGTGCTTCCCGGGCCCTTCTCATACACGGTGGTGCTGTATGGTCCTGCAGGCCTTGGGAAAACCACGCTGGCCCAGAAACTAATGCTAGACTGGGCAGAGGACAACCTCATCCACAAATTCAAATATGCGTTCTACCTCAGCTGCAGGGAGCTCAGCCGCCTGGGCCCGTGCAGTTTTGCAGAGCTGGTCTTCAGGGACTGGCCTGAATTGCAGGATGACATTCCACACATCCTAGCCCAAGCACGGAAAATCTTGTTCGTGATTGACGGCTTTGATGAGCTGGGAGCCGCACCTGGGGCGCTGATCGAGGACATCTGCGGGGACTGGGAGAAGAAGAAGCCGGTGCCCGTCCTCCTGGGGAGTTTGCTGAACAGGGTGATGTTACCCAAGGCCGCCCTGCTGGTCACCACGCGGCCCAGGGCCCTGAGGGACCTCCGGATCCTGGCGGAGGAGCCGATCTACATAAGGGTGGAGGGCTTCCTGGAGGAGGACAGGAGGGCCTATTTCCTGAGACACTTTGGAGACGAGGACCAAGCCATGCGTGCCTTTGAGCTAATGAGGAGCAACGCGGCCCTGTTCCAGCTGGGCTCGGCCCCCGCGGTGTGCTGGATCGTGTGCACGACTCTGAAGCTGCAGATGGAGAAGGGGGAGGACCCGGTCCCCACCTGCCTCACCCGCACGGGGCTGTTCCTGCGTTTCCTCTGCAGCCGGTTCCCGCAGGGCGCACAGCTGCGGGGCGCGCTGCGGACGCTGAGCCTCCTGGCCGCGCAGGGCCTGTGGGCGCAGACGTCCGTGCTTCACCGAGAGGATCTGGAAAGGCTCGGGGTGCAGGAGTCCGACCTCCGTCTGTTCCTGGACGGAGACATCCTCCGCCAGGACAGAGTCTCCAAAGGCTGCTACTCCTTCATCCACCTCAGCTTCCAGCAGTTTCTCACTGCCCTGTTCTACACCCTGGAGAAGGAGGAGGAAGAGGATAGGGACGGCCACACCTGGGACATTGGGGACGTACAGAAGCTGCTTTCCGGAGTAGAAAGACTCAGGAACCCCGACCTGATCCAAGCAGGCTACTACTCCTTTGGCCTCGCTAACGAGAAGAGAGCCAAGGAGTTGGAGGCCACTTTTGGCTGCCGGATGTCACCGGACATCAAACAGGAATTGCTGCGATGCGACATAAGTTGTAAGGGTGGACATTCAACGGTGACAGACCTGCAGGAGCTCCTCGGCTGTCTGTACGAGTCTCAGGAGGAGGAGCTGGTGAAGGAGGTGATGGCTCAGTTCAAAGAAATATCCCTGCACTTAAATGCAGTAGACGTTGTGCCATCTTCATTCTGCGTCAAGCACTGTCGAAACCTGCAGAAAATGTCACTGCAGGTAATAAAGGAGAATCTCCCGGAGAATGTCACTGCGTCTGAATCAGACGCCGAGGTTGAGAGGTGAGAACCGTTTCACTCTACCAGTCGTTCCATCTTTAGCCTCATCCCATGCCCCCTTAGGAAGAGGCCAGAGCCTCCTATGCACTGTGGCTTAGGGTCAGGAATTCCCTCTTGTTGGACTCTTTGTTTGTTTTTGTTTTGAGATGGAGTCTTGCTCTGTCGCTCAGGCTGGAGCGCAGTGGCGCGATCTTGGCTCCCTGCAACCTCCGCCTCCCGGGTTCAAGTGATTCTTCTGCCTCAGCCTCCTGAGTAGCTGGGACTACAGGCGCCTGCCACCTTGCCCGGCTAATTTTTATATTTTCATTAGAGACGGGATCTCAGCATGTTGGCCAGTCTGGTCTTGAACTCCGCCTGACCTCAGGTGATCCACCTGCCTCAGCCTCCAAAGTGGGATTACAGGCATGATTCACCATGCCCGGCCCAAATATATTTTTTTAAGACAGGGTCTTGCTGTGTTGCTCAGGCTGGAGTACAGTGGTGAAATCAGCTCACTGCATCCTCAAACTTCTGGGTTCAAGTGATGTTCCTGAGTACCTGGGATGACAGGTATTAAGTGTGCACCATCATGTCCAGCTAACTTAAGTGGGGGTTTTTTTTTGTGTTTTTTTTTTTTTTTTTTTTTTTGGAAAGACAAAATCTCACTATGTTGTCCAGGCTGGTCTTGAACTCCCAAAGCACTGAGATTACAGGCATGAGTTACCACACGCCCTGCCTGAATATTTCTTATTGATATGTATAGATATGTATATTCCCAATCTTTTTTTTTTTTTTTGAGACGGAGTTTCACTCTTTTTCCCAGGTCGGAGTGAAGTGGCTCGATCTCGGCTCACTGCAACCTCCGCCCCACCAGGTTCAATGATTCTCCTGCCTCAGCCTCATGAGTAGCTGGGATTACAGCCACCCACGACCATGCCCAGCTAATTTTTGTACTTTTAGTAGAGACGGGGTTTCACCATGTTGGCCAGGCAGGTCTCGAACTCCCGACCTCAGGTGATCCACCCGCCTCAGCCTCACAAAGTGCTAGGATTATAGGCGTGAGTCACCGTGCCCGGTCTATATTCTCTATCTTTTATCAATGATGTGCTTAGCATTTTAACTTATTTTTACCCTCTATTGGATTTTTGTCTAAGAAGAATAGGTTCTTTCTCCTGTGATGCTTCTTGGGTGTTGAGTTGTCTGATGGTGGTGCTAATAAGTGATTACATGGTCCAGCTTTCAATTGTACTCATTTGTCAGGGGTATATGCCCAGAGAAACCCTAAATACTTCAGCCGTGATGGACACACATTTGGTGTAACCCTTTCTTCTCTTCCCTATAGATCCCAGGATGATCAGCACATGCTTCCTTTCTGGACGGACCTTTGTTCCATATTTGGATCAAATAAGGATCTGATGGGTCTAGCAATCAATGATAGCTTTCTCAGTGCCTCCCTAGTAAGGATCCTGTGTGAACAAATAGCCTCTGACACCTGTCATCTCCAGAGAGTGGTGTAAGTAGAAACTAATTCATGAACTCAAATCCTTAGGGTATGAAAATGGTACAATGTTAACATCGGAGCAATATTCAGATTCCTGTACTAGACTCTTAAGTGCTCGAGACACAGGGAATTGAGAGAGTCCTGTCCTTAAATTTATTTTGTGGGATAATCGTATAAAGTAATTTCTAGGGGCTGGGCATGGTGGTTCACACTTGTAATTCCAACACTTCGGGAGGCCGAGGCAGACAGATCACTTGAGGTCAGGAGTTCGAGACCAGCCTGGCCAACGTGACAAAACCCTGCCTCTACTAAAAATACAAAAATTATCCAGGCGTGGTGGCAGGCACCTGTAATATCAGCTACTTGGGAGGCTGAGGCAGGAGAATTACTTGAACCCAGGAGGCGGAGGTTGCAGTGAACCAAGATCCTGCCACTGGACTCCAGTCTGAGTGACAGAGCGAGACTGCGTCTCAAAAAAAAAAAAAAAAAAAAAGAAAAAGAAAAAAAGGGCCGGGCACAATGGCTCACGCCTGTAGTCCCAGCACTTTGGGGGCCCAAGGTGGGGGGATCACTTGAGGTCAGGAGTTCAAGACCAGCCTGGCCAAGATGGTGCAAGACCCTGTCTCTACGAAAAATACAAAAATTTGCCAGGTGTCGTGGCAGGTGCCTATAATCCCAGCTACTCCGGATGCTGAGGGTAGGAGTCGCTTGAATCCGGGAGGCAGAGTTTGCTTTGCAGTGAGCCGAGATCGCGCCACTGCACTCCAGCCTGGGCAACAGAGTGAGACTCCATCTCAAAGAAAAAAAAAATCTGTAAAGATGGACAAAAATTTAAACATGGAAAAAATAGTTCCTAAAGTTTAAATATATCGAGCCCCTGGTTTCCATTTAAGTACGATACAGGTGTACACACTAAAGATTTCACTTTCGTTCTCTTTTCCCTAGGTTCAAAAACATTTCCCCAGCTGATGCTCATCGGAACCTCTGCCTAGCTCTTCGAGGTCACAAGACTGTAACGTATCTGACCCTTCAAGGCAATGACCAGGATGATATGTTTCCCGCATTGTGTGAGGTCTTGAGACATCCAGAATGTAACCTGCGATATCTCGGGTATATCTCTTAATCATTAAAATCCTTCATCATACAAACATAAGCTACCACAAGCTTATGTGGCAATTTTGTGTAAATAAGAAAAAGTTCGTTATTCTGACTAGAAACAGTACTAAGGGCAGATGACCCAGGATGCAGCATGGGCTGAACTTGAGTTTCTACTTGCCTTGAACAGTAAACACCCTGGACAACCATACGTGAGGACCCTGAATCCAAAGAAACTCCCAGAATCTTTATCATCTTTTTTTTTTTTTTTATGAAGTCTTGCTCTGTTGCCCAGGCCAAAGTGCAATGGCACGATCTTGGCTCACTGCAACCTCTGTCTCCTGGGTTCAAGTAATTCTGCTGCCTCAGCCTCCCAAGTTGCTGGGATTACAGGCACCCGCCACCACGCCCGGCTAATTTTTGTGCATTTAGTGGAGCTGGTTTCGCCACATTGCCAGGCTGGTCTCGAACTCATGACCTCAGGTGACCTGCCCTCCTCAGGCTCCCAAAGTGCTGGGATTATAGGCATGAGCCACCATGCCCAGCCAGAGTCCTTATGTTTTGGTTTTGGTTTTGGTTTTTTCTTTTTCTTTTTTCTTTTTGAGATGGAGTCTCGCTCTGTCACCCAGGCTGGAGTGCGTTGGTATGATCTCAGGTCACTGCAGCCTCCACCTCCCAGGTTCAAGTGATTCTCCTGCCTCAGCCTCCTGAGTAGCTGGGATTACAGGTGCACACCACCACACCTGGTTAATTTTTGTATTATTAGTAGAGATGGAGTTTTACCACATTGGCCAGGCTGGTCTCGAACTCATGACCTCAGGTGATCTACCCCCCCACCCCCACCCCACCCCGCCGTCGGCCTCCCAAAGTGAGGCATGAGCCACCGTGCCCAGCCCAGAATCTTTATCTTCTATCAGAGATCATTCACTCATGGTTCATGCTTCTCCTGTATGATGATTCAGAATACCAGCTATTGACATTTTTCAAGCAAGAACCCTTCAGGAACATCAAGTTGCCCCTTTTCTGTTAGTCCTCTGGTTTGAGAGCTCTCCCCTTGGGAAGCTGTCCAGTGGCTGCCCAGGCGATGAGAACCTACATGCATCATGGGGTTCCATGAAGCCTCACTTGGCCACACTGGTGTAGTAGGTGGTCATTGGCCTCAAATTATTGCCCTGGGCCAGGCGCAGTGGCTCACGCCTGGGAGGCCGAGGTGGGTGGATCACTTGAGGTCAGGAGTTCAAGACCGGCCTGGTCAACATGGTGAAACTCTGTCTCTACTAATAATACAAAAATTAGCTGGGCATGTTGGCGCACGCCTGTAGTCCCAGCTACTCAGGAGGCTGAGGCAGGAGCATCATTTGAACCTGAGAGGCGGAGGTTGCAGTGAGCTGAGATCACACCACCGCACTCCAGTCTGGGCAACAGTGTGAGACTGTCTCAAAAAAAAAAAAAAAAATCTTGGCTGGGTGCGGTAGCTCATGCCTGTAATCCCAGCACTTTGGGAGGCCAAGGCAGGTGGATCACAAGGTCAGGAGTTCAAGACCAGCCTGGCCAACATGGTGAAACCCCACGTCTACTAAAAATACAAAAACATTAGCTGGGCATGGTGGCGCGTGCCTGTAATCCCAGCTACTCATGGAGGCTGATGCAAGAGAATTGCTTGAACCTAGGAGGCAGAGGTAGCAGTGAGCCAAGATCACGCCATTGCACTCCAGCCTGGGCAACAGAGCAAAACTCCATCTCGAGGACAGAAAAAAAATTGATTGCTCTGGCTCTACTGATACAATCTTAGGCTGCTTAATGGGATCTTAGTTGAATAGGATGCTGTACATCTTACAGGTATTGGAAGGTTGAATGAAACCAAGCCCATGCATTCAATAGTGGCTGCTATCATTACTAACCGTTGCAATTACCCTCTTTTCTTTTTGCCTGAGAATAATGGGATGCAGGGTGAGGGGGAATATTGGGTGAATTAAAGATTTGGGTCACTAATTTCTTTCTTTTTTTCTCAAGATATAGTCTTGCTCTGTCTCCTAGGCTGGAGTGCAGTGCCACAATCTTGGTTCACTGCAACCTCTGCCTCCCGGGTTCAAGTGATTCTTCTCCGTCAACCTCCCAAGTAGCTGGGATTACAGGCACCCACCTGTATTTTTGTATTTCTAGTATTTTGTATTTCTAGTAGAGACAGGGTTACGCCATGCTGGTGGCCAGGGTGGTCTCAAACTCCTGACCTCGGGCAATCCACCACACCCAGCTAATTTTTGGTATATTTAGTAGAGCCGGGGTTTCACCGTGTTGGCTGGGCTGGTCTCGAACTCCTGACCTCAAGTGACATCCATCTTCCAAAATGCTGGGATTACAGCCATGTGCCACCACGCCCAGCTAATTCTTGTATTTTTAGGAGAAATGGGGTTTCATCATGTTGTTCCGGCTGGTCTTAAACTCCTGGCCTCATGATCCACCTGCCTTGGCCTGCCAAAGTCCTGGGATTACAGGCATGAGCCACTGTGCCCAGCCACTCATTTCTTATGAATTTATTCTAACACATTTTCCGGATGAACAGGGCACCTTGAAACATAGGTTAGTGGGCTGGGTATGGTGGCTCCTGCCTGTAATCCCAGTACTTTGGGAGGCCTAGGCTGGTGTATCGCTTGAAGTCAGGAGTTTTTTGTTTTGAGACGGAGTCTTGCTCTGTCGCCCAGGCTAGAGTGCAGTGGAGTGATCTCGGCTTACTGCAACCTCCGCCTCCTGGGTTCAAGTGATTCTCTTGCCTCAGCCTCCTGAGTAGCTGGGACTACAGGCACGTGTCGCCACGCCCATCTAACTTTTGTATGTTTAGTAGAGCCGGGGTTTCACCATGTTGGCCAGGATGGTCTCAAACTCCTGACCTCCTGATCTGCCCACCTCGGCCTCCCAAAGTGCTGGGATTACAGGCATGAGCCATTGCCCCGGCCAAAGTTAGGAGTTTGAGACCAGCCTGGCCAACATGGTAAAACCCCATCTCTACTAAAAAATACAAAAATTAGCCAGGCAAGATGGCATTTGCCTGTAATCCCAGCTACTCAGGAGGCTGAGGCGGGAGAATCTCTTGAATCTGGGAGGCAGAGGTTGCTGTGAGCTGAGATCGCGCCACTACACTCCAGCCAGGGCGACAGAGCATAAATAACTCCCTTTCAAAAAACCAAACAATGAAACATAGGTTAGCGGAGTCTGCATCCAACATTAGAGTCAGATTGACTAAGTTCTGTATTTCCAGCTGATTCCTGGGCGATGTTGGTGCCACTGGTCTGACCACCCTTTGACAACTGCTGCTCCAGATAATTCAAGTCGGGGTATAACACAACCAGTGAGATGTAAACCAAAGACGATTCCACGGTTAGATTCTCAAGAATGACTTGTTCTGCCGGGCGCGGTGGCTCACGCCTGTCATCCCAGCACTCTGGGAGGCCGAGGTGGGCAGATCACCTGAGATTGGGAGTTTGAGACCAGCCTGACCAACATGGAGAGACCCCCACCTCTACTGAAAATACAAAATTAGCTGGGCATGTTGGTGCATGGTGCATGCCTGCAGTCCCAGCTACTCGGGAGGCTGAGGCAGGAGAATCACTTGAACCCAGGAGGCGGAGGTTGCTGTGAGCCGAGATTGCGCCACCTGGGCAACAAGAGTGAGACTCAGTCTCAAAAAAAAAAAAAAAATGACGTGGTCCTATTTCTCCCACAGGTTGGTGTCTTGTTCCGCTACCACTCAGCAGTGGGCTGATCTCTCCTTGGCCCTTGAAGTCAACCAGTCCCTGACGTGCGTAAACCTCTCCGACAATGAGCTTCTGGATGAGGGTGCTAAGTTGCTGTACACAACTTTGAGACACCCCAAGTGCTTTCTGCAGAGGTTGTCGTAAGTCTCTCCTCTCTTACAGAGCAGCTGTGCTTTCGATCTGGGGCCACAGACGAGCAATGGTCATGCCTGACTTGGCTGTATGGAACCTCTCGCTGATGTGAACACCTGTTCCCATGTTTAGATCCAGGCCGATGGCCTGTGAATTTTGTTCTTCTCTCATTCCTATTCCTTCATAGGATCACCAGTGCATGATAGAAGGTGGGGAGTTCACAAGAAGGGGCTTTTGGATGCTGGCACTTGTGGAGCTAGCCGGGAAGGTTGAAGTTGGACCTGTCAACCGTGTTGCCATTTGTGATTCTTTTGTAGGTTGGAAAACTGTCACCTTACAGAAGCCAATTGCAAGGACCTTGCTGCTGTGTTGGTTGTCAGCCGGGAGCTGACACACCTGTGCTTGGCCAAGAACCCCATTGGGAATACAGGGGTGAAGTTTCTGTGTGAGGGCTTGAGGTACCCCGAGTGTAAACTGCAGACCTTGGTGTAAGTCCGTGCTGGCTGCCTGTGTGCGTGGGTGTATATGCACACGCCCCCCACCTCCGGGTTTGAGTAGGGTGGTTATGAGAACACTTAATTCCTCTAAAAGTTCCAAGCATGATGCTAATGACAACTGGTAAGACCTGGGTAGATGATGGTAGGAAAAAAGTATAAGTAGTAGTAGAGTAGTAGTAATATTCTATAGGGATTTGGGGAATGTAGCTGGTTTTCGGGTTTTTTTTTTCCTCTTTATGTATGTATGTATTTTAGAGATGGGATCTCGCCGTGTTGCCTAGGCTGGTCTCAAACTCCTGAGCTCAAGAGATCTGCCTGCCTTGGCCTCCCAAAGTGCTAGAATTACAGGCATGAGCCATGTCACCCCATGCTGTGTTTTCTCTTAATCTGTGTTCTTAGAACTATAACTGTAACATAAATTGCATGCAATTGGTTGTAAATGGAATTCATTTACTTATTTTTTAATGAATGATTTGCAAATCAGGTAGTCTTCTGGGCCAGTGTACGCTCAGACTCCCAATGGAAGCTATTGGAAGCTACATGCTCAATGTGATCCTCCTTTTAATACTAAAATCACAGGACACGTGGCCTGGCATAGTGGCTCACGCCTATAATCCCATCACCTTGGGAGGCCGAAGCAAGGCAGATCCCTTGAGGGCAGGAGTTCAAGACCAGCCTGCCCAACATGGTGAAACATTGTCTCTCTACTAAAAATACAAAAATTAGTCACGCATGGTGGGACATGCCTGTAATCCCAGTTACTCAGGAGGCTAAGGCAGGAGAATCACTTGAACTTCGGAGGTGGAGGTTGCAGTGAGCTGAGATGGCACCACTGAAGTCCAGTCTGGCCAATAGAGCAAGACTCTCTCAAAAAAAAAAAATTATAGGACAAATCTTTAGAAAGGAATTGGGGCCTGGCATGGTGGCTCATGCCTGTAATCTCAGCACTTTAGGAGGCGGGCAGAACACCTGAGGTCAGGAGTTTGAGACCAGCCTGGCTGATGCAGTGAAACCCTGTCTCTACTAAAAATACAAAAATTAGCTAGGCGTGGTGGTATGGTCCTGTAATCCCAGCTACTTGGGAGGCTGAGGCAGGAGAATCGCTTGAAGTCGGGAGGTTGCAGTGAGCCGAGATCGTGCCAGCCTGGGTGACAGAACGAGATTGTCTCAAAAAAAAAAAAAAATTGTATCTGCACTGATGGTTTCTGTTCAGAGATTCGATTTTATGTTAACATCTCTGGTATTTTTTTTTTTTTTTTTTAAGATGGAGTTTTACTCTTGCCCACGCTGGCAATGGCATGATCTAGGCTCACTGCAACCTCCGGCTTCAAGGAGGTTGATTCTCCTGCCTCAGCCTCCTGAGTAGCTGGGATTACAGGCACTCACCACCACGCCGGGCTAATTTTTATATTTTTAGTAGAGATGGGATTTCACCATGTTGGCCAGGTTGGTCTCGAACTGACCTCATGATCCGCCCGCCTCAGCCTTCCAAAGTGCTAGGATTTACAGGCATGAGCCACTGCGTCCAGCCATACATATCTCTGGTATTCTTTGTCTCTAACATCACCTCCAACAGTTAGGAACTGTCCTCTTCCTATGAAGTAACTAATCTAGGATATGTACCTGGCATCTGAAAACTACCCACTTAAATTTAATGACATATTCAGTTCATGGCTGGAGACGATGAGTAGAAGGAAAGGATTCTTCCCACACCCACTATATCTAGGCCCTGAAACATTAAAAAAGAAGTCCCACAAGCAGTGAGATGTCACCGACTCACTAACTGTATCTTCAAATGAATGTCTAGTTTTTTTGGTTGTGTGTGTGTGTGGTGTGTGGTGTGTGTGGTATTTTTTTGGGGGGGGGGGGGTTTTCTTTTTTTTTTTTTTTTGGTTTTTTTTTTTTGATAGTCTTGCTCTGTCGCCCAGGCTGGAATGCAGTGGCTCCATCTCAGCTCACTGCAACCTCCACCTCCTGAGTTCAGGTGTGATTCTCCTGCCTCAGCCTCCCAGGGATTAAGGTGCATGCCACCACGCCCAGCTAACTTCTTTATTTTTAGTAGAGACGAGTTTTCACCATGTTGGTCAAGCTGGTCTCGAATTCCTGACCTCAGGTGATCCACCCACCTCAGCCTCCCAAAGTGCTGGGATTACAGGTGTGAGCCACCGTGCCGGCCCCCTCAATTCAACTTTTTGATCCATGCCCCTATTTTGCTAAGTTGTCAACTTCCCTTTAGTCTTATGTGGGTTTTCCTCCATTACAGTCATGGAAGTTTCTAGAAGGCCGGGTAGGGTCTTTGAGAGGCCGAGGCAGGTGGATCATGAGGTCAGGAGTTCAAGACCAGCCTGGCCAACATGGTGAAACCCTGTCTTTACTAAAAATACAAAAATTAGCCAGGCGTGGTGTCGGAGCCTGTAATCCCAGCTTACTTGGGAGGGTGAGGCAGAGAATTGCTTGAACCTGGGAGGCGGAAGTTGCAGTGAGCTGAGATTGTGCCACTGTACTCCAGCCTGGGTGTCAGAGCGAGACTGTCTCAAAAAAAAAAAAAAAAAAGTTTCTATACATTCATAAAGTTTCAAGATTTGGGGGTGTGTTTTCACTTCTCCATCGTCATGGACTCCAATCTGCCATCTATTTCCAAGGCCCTTCCAGGTCCTGTGTCCCTCAGCTAGTGGTATGCTTCACTTGGGACCCAGAGATACATGGGCATTATAGTTCAAATTATAATTAAGTTTAGAACTCTATTGAGACAGAAGAAAGAAAACAGAGCTAAGGTGAAATATCTCTGATAATCTGTGTTGGTTAATATCTAGGATCCTAGTACCAGATATGTTGGAGTGTGAGCTGGTGTCTTCTGCCTGTAAGACACTACCTCTCTAGCAACTGAATTTAGCAAATACAATCGTAATCCCAGCATGTTAGGGAGGCCAGGGTGGGCAGATCATCTGAGGTCGGGAGTTCAAGACCAGCCTGGCCAACATGGGGAAACCCTGTCTCTACTAAAAATACAAAACTTAGCTGGGTGTGGTGGCACGCGCATGTGTGTACACACACACACCCCCCTGTAATCCCAGCTACTCGGAAGGCTGGGGCACAAGAATCGCGTGAAACCAGGAGGCGGAGGTTGAAGTGAGCCACCGTGCCAGCTGAGAATCCTTTTTACTTCTCCAACTTCTGTTGGCCACCTGCATTCCTTGGCTTGTGGCCCTTCCTCCAACTTCGGCAGAGCATCTTCAAACGTTGCCCTGGCTCCCTTATCACGTCACCTCCTGCTGGCTTTGACTCTCAGCTCCCTCTTATGAGGATCCCTGTGATTGCTGGACCTACCCAAATAAACCAGGATATAAACCATCTTAAGATGCTCAGTCACCTCTACGAGGTCCCTTTTGCTCGCAGGTGCCAGGAGTTGGGACTTGGACATCTTTAGGGGAGGCCATTCTTCTGTCCACCACACCACCCCATGATTCCATTTCCATGTCACCACTGTCTCTAAGTGTGTCTAACCCACGGCTCAAGAGTCAAAGGTGCATCACAGCAGTGAGAACTCACAGGTTCGGGTTTGCTTTCTTCCTGTGGTTGATTTCTAGGCTTTGGAACTGCGACATAACTAGCGATGGCTGCTGCGATCTCACAAAGCTTCTCCAAGAAAAATCAAGCCTGTTGTGTTTGGATCTGGGGCTGAATCACATAGGAGTTAAGGGAATGAAGTTCCTGTGTGAGGCTTTGAGGAAACCACTGTGCAACTTGAGATGTCTGTGGTGAGTTAACTTATAAGTTCAACTTCCTATACTTACACCTTACTGAATCTGTGGCTAGTGTAAAATAATCAGTGAAGCCGACTTCCCAAGTTATATAATTGAGAGGACCTTTATAGAGTCGATCGAGCATTTACTAGGATGGTTAAAGGAATAAGTTCTAGTCTATGTCTAAGTTTTTGTTTTTTTTTTTCTTGAAGTTTTGCTCTTGTCACATAGGCTGGAGTGCAGTGGCGTGATCTTGGCTCACTGCAACCTCCGCCTCCCAGGTTCAAGCAATTCTCTTGCTTCAGCTTCCCGAGTAGCTGGGATTACAGGCGCCCGCCACCATGCCCAGCTAATTCTTGTATTTTTAGTAGAGACAGGGTTTCGCCATGTTGAAGGTTCATCTCAAACTCCTGACCTCAGGTGATCCGCCCATCTCGGCCTCCCAAAGTGCTGGGATTACAGGCGTGAGCCACTGCGCCAGGCCCTATGTCTAAGTTCTAGTCTGTGTCATGCAAAGAACACCTGTGAAATTTTAAGGATACAGTGCCTCAAGCCATTCAGCCAAAAGCCACTGCCCAGCACCCCACATTCAGAGAGGTGGGAATTGGGCCAGGCACAGTGGCTCATACCTGTAATCCCAGCACTTCGGGAGGCCGAAGCGGGCGGATCACTTAAGGTCAGGAGCTCAAGACCAGCCTGGCCAACTTGAAACTCCATCTCTACTAAAATATAAAAATTAGCCGAGCATAGTAGTGGGTGCCTCTTTTTTTTTTTTTTTTTTTTTTGAGATAGTTTCACTCTTGTTGCCCAGGCTGTAGTGTAATGGCGCGATCTCAGCTCACTGCAACCTCCACCTCCTGGGTTCAAGTGATTCTCCTGCCTTAGCCTCCCACATAGCTGCAAATAAACAGGCATGTGCCACCATGCCTGGCTAATTTTGTATTTTTAGTATAGACGGGGTTTCTCCATGTTGGTCAGGCTGGTCTCGACCTCCGGACCTCAGGTGAGAGCCACCGTGCCCAGCCAGTAGGTGCCTTTAATCCCAGCTACTTGGGAGGCTGAGGCAGGAGAATCACTTGAACCCTGGAGGCAGAGGTTGCAGTGAGCTGAGATCCTGTCACTACACTCCATCCTGGGCTACAAGAGCAAGACTCCATCTCAGGAAAAAATAAAAAAGAGGTAGGAATTAGATATCGTGCCAGAAAATGCTGGCTCTATCAGCAGGTGAGTGGTCTCAACTTGGCTATCTTACAAATACCTTGTGAGTTAGCTACAATCAGATGCACTTGAACCTGGAATCCTATCTGGGAGGCAATCTTAAAAGAATTTGACTCGGGATGGGCAAGGTGGCTCATGCCTGTAATCCTGGCATTTTGGGAGTCCAAGGCAGGTAGATTGCTTGAGGCCAAGAATTTAAAAACAGCCTGGCCAACACAATGAAGCCCTGTCTCTACTGAAAGTACAAAAATCCGCTGAGCATGGCTGTGTACCTCTGCTCCCAGTTACTCAGGAGGCTGAGGTGGGAGGATCACTTGAGCCTGGGAGGAAGAAGTTACAGCGAATTGAGATCACGTCACCTCACTCCAGCCTGGGTGACAGTGAGATCCTGTCTCAAAAAAAAAAAAAAAACAAAAAAAACAAAGGCGCCTTTTTAATCACTCACTGACACGTGTAGAGGAGCAAAAAGTTTGAGTTGCTGGTTGGCCCAGGAGGTCAAGGCTGCAGTGAGCCAAGATGGCGTTACCACACTCCAGCCTGGGCAACCGAGTGAGACCGTGTTTCAAAAAATAAAGTGGCAGGGTGCAGTGGCTCATGCCTGTAATTCCAGCACTTTGGGAGGCCGAGGCAGGTGGATCACCTAAGGTCAGGAGTTCGTAGACCAGCCTGTCTCTACTAAAGAGACAGGTGAAACCCTGTCTCTCTAAAACCACAAAAATCAGGCAGGCATGGTGGCACATAGCTATAATCTCATCTACTTGGAGGCACGAGAACTGCTTGAATCCAGGAGGCAGAGGCTACAGTGAGCCGAGATCATGCCACAGCACTCCAGCCCTGGCGAGAGAGCAAGACTGTCTCAAAGAATAACTTCAAAGATGGAAGTTATTTAACCTCTCTGCTCAAAAGCCTCAGTGCTTCCCTATGTCAATCCAGGTAAAATCCTATATTGACGATGGCTTCAGGGTCTTCTGTGAGCTGGCCACTGCTTACCTATGACCTCATCTTGACAATCCTCCCTGTCTCACTCATGCCCGCTGCCTGGATGTTCTATTTTACGTGTCAGTCACATGTATCTTCAGGGCCTCTGCACAAGCTATTTCTCTGCCTGGAGAACTCCCCCCCGAGCTCTATGACTCGGTCTCTTCACCCCCTCACCTCCAACCATTGTAGCCAGAACCCCCAGTTATTCCCTGTACCCCTTGCCCTTCAGAACCCCTCATCGCCTCCATATTTTCCTGTTAGCAGATGAGCCCTGAGGGCGGAGACGTTTTGTTTGTTTTTTGAGACCGGAGTCTCACTCTGTCACCCAGGCTGGAGTGCAATGGCGCGATCTCGGCTCACTGCAACCTCCGCCTCCTGGGTTCAAGCGATTCTCCTGCCCCAGCCTCCTGAGTAGCTGGGATTACAGGTGCCTGTCACCACGCCCAGCTAACTTCTGTATATTTAGTAGAGACACGGTTTTACCATGTTAGGTTGGTCTTGAACTCCTTGACCTCAGGTGATCCATCCACCTCGGCCTCCCAAAGTGCTGGGATTACAGGCGTGAACCACCGTGCCCGGCCTGAGACTTCTGTTGGTCATGCAGATCCCCAACACACGAGGGTGGGCTTGGCTTGCCGGAGGGCATCGATCAGCACTGGCTGCATTAACGTGTTGATTTCTGTGTTTCCCCAGGTTGTGGGGATGTTCCATCCCTCCGTTCAGTTGTGAAGACCTCTGCTCTGCCCTCAGCTGCAACCAGAGCCTCGTCACTCTGGACCTGGGTCAGAATCCCTTGGGGTCTAGTGGAGTGAAGATGCTGTTTGAAACCTTGACATGTTCCAGTGGCACCCTCCGGACACTCAGGTATGATCCATTTACTTCCCCATCAGGCTTTCTCCAGAGTGGTAGGTTTAGGGGAAGCATAATGACATGGACCTGCTGTAGGAGACTGATCTGGTAGCTGGATTACAGGTTCCCGCCATCACACCCAGCCAATTTCTGTATTTCACTTGGAGAAACGGGGTTTCACCATGTTGGTCAGGCTGGTCTCAAACTCCTGACCTCAGGTGATCCGCCCGCCTCGGCCTCCCAAAGTGCTGGGATTACAGGCGTGAGCAACCGCACCCGGCCACCTTTTTTTTTTTTTTCCTTTGAGGCAAGAACTCACTATGTTCCCCAGGCTGGAGTCCAGCAGCACAATGATGGCTCGCTGCAGGCTCGCTCCAGCTCCTGGGCTCAAGCAATCCTGCCTCAGTTCCTGAGTAGGTAGGTTTATAAGCATGAACCATTGCACCCAGCCACGGCTGCCGTCTACCTGCTCATGATAGCCATTTGTCACTGGGCTGTGTTTTGTTTGTTGCATTTTGTCAGGGTTTTGGGGTTTTGTTTTGTTTTTTCTTTCTTTTTTTTTTTTTTTTTCTGAGATGGAGTCTCACTCTGTTGCCCAGGCTGGGGTGCAGTGGTTGCTAACTGCAACCTCCACCTCCCAGGTTCCAGCTATTCTCATGCTTCAGCCTCCCAAGTAGCTGGGATTACAGGCATGCACCACCACACCTAGGTAATTTTTGTATTTTTAGTAGAGACAGGGTTTTGCCATGTTGGCCAGGGTGGTCTCAAACTCCTGACCTCCGTGATTTGCCCACCTCAGCATCCCAAAGTGCTGGGATTACAGGCATGAGCCACCGCACCCGGCCTGAGTTGTATTTTGATACCATGGCATCAAAGAACCAAGAAGCCCCTTCCTAGGAATGTGGGAACTTCAGAAATTCTCACAAGCAATATACTCTACTGCTGGCTTAAAATAATCTTTATGTAGAAGAAACATAGATTACTTGTTTATTTAACATGAAACTCAGCCTAAGATACTTTGTAAGTCAAAAGACATATGGACACTAAGGGTTTTTTTAAGCTTTAAGTTTGTTTGTTTGTTTATTTATTATTTATTTTGGAGACAGTTTTACTCTTTTTTTTGGGGTGCATCTTTTTTCTTTTTTTTTTTTTTTTTTCCTTTTTTTTTTTTTTTTTTTTTATTGATCATTCTTGGGTGTTTCTCACAGAGGGGGATTTGGCAGGGTCATAGGACAATAGTGGAGGGAAGGTCAGCAGATAAACAAGTGAACAAAGGTCTCTGGTTTTCCTAGGCAGAGGACCCTGCGGCCTTCCGCAGCGTTTGTGTCCCTGGGTACTTGAGATTAGGGAGTGGTGATGACTCTTAACGAGCGTGCTGCCTTCAGGATCTGTTTAACAAAGCATATCTTGCACCGCCCTTAATCCGTTTAACTCTGAGTGGACACAGCACATGTTTCAGAGAGCACGGGGTTGGGGGTAAGGTCACAGATCAACAGGATCCCAAGGCAGAAGAATTTTTCTTAGTACAGAACAAAATGGGGGGCTGACCCCCCCACCTCCCTCCCGGACAGGGCGGCTGGCCGGTTAGAGGGGCTCCTCACTTCCCATTAGGGGCGGCCGGGCAGAGGCGCCCCTCACCTCCCGGACAGGGCGGCTGGCTGGGCGGGGGGCTGACCCCCCCACCTCCCCGCCCGGCCAGAGTTTTACTCTTGTTGTCCAGCCTGGAGCGCAATGGCGCTATCTCGGCTTACTGCAACCTCCGCCTCCCGGGTTCAAGAGGTTCTCCTCCCTCAGCCTCCCAAGTAGCTGGGACTACAGGCATGTGCCACCACACCTGGCTAATCTTGTATTTTTAATAGAGACAGGGTTTCTCCATATTGGTCAGGCTGGTCTCGAACTCCTGACTTCAGGTGACCCGCCTGCCTCAGCCTCCCAAAGTGCTAAGATTACAGGCGTGAGCCACCATGCCTGGCCTGCATCTCCTCTGTTTAACTGGTACTCCGGGGTCCACTGAGTAGAAGTTGCCAAAGTGGGTGATAGAGCGGGTAAGCAGGTATTAGAGCTATAGCCCAGCTGTACTCAGCAATTCCATTTTCTGTGTATGATAATCAACAAGCATCTCAAACTGCACAATGGCTATATACCATTACAAGGTTAACCTGATGTTATGTTTTTCTCTATCAGATCAACATGGTTGAGAATAAGAGGAATGAAAAAAAGGATTAAAAAGAGAAATGAAAGTCTTTAATATTACATTTTATTATTTACTTCATTTATTTTTTAGACAAAAATCTCACTCTATTGCTCAGGCTGGAGTGCAGGGGCCCGATCTCAGCTCACTGTAACCTCCGCCTCCCAGGTTCAAGTGATTCTCCTGTGTCAGCTTCCTGAGTAGCTGGGATTATAGGGATGCACCATCACACCCAACTAACTTTTATATTTTTAGTAGAGATGGACTTTCACCATCTTGCCTAGGCTGGTCTCAAACTCCTGACCTCAAGTGATCTGCCCACCTCACTCTCCCAAAGTGCTGGCATTACAGGCATGACCCACCACATCTGGCCTCATTTTATATTTAAAAATAAAAAATAAGCAAATCAAGCCAGGTACAGTTTAGGCAACATGGTAAAACCCCAACTCTACTAAAAATACAAAAATTAGCTGAGCATGGTGGCAGGTGCCTGTAGTCCCAGCTACTCGGGAGGCAGAGGATAGGATGGCTTGAACCCAAGAGGCACAGGTTGCAGTGAGCTGAGATGGTACCACTGCACTCCAGCTTGGGCAACAGAGAGACTGTCTTTTTTTTTTTTTTTTTTTTTTTTTTTTTTTTTTTTTTTGAGATCGCCCAGGCTGGAGTACAGTGGCACGATCTCGGCTCACTGCAAGCTCCGCCTCCCGGGTTCACACCATTCTCCTGCCTCAGCCTCCTGAGTAGCTGGGACTACAGGCGTCCGCCACCACGCCCGGCTAATTTTTTGTATTTTTTTAGTAGAGACAGGGTTTCACCGTGTTAGCCAGGATGGTCTTGATCTGCTGACCTCGTGATCCACCCGCCTCAGCCTCCTAAAGTGCTGGGAATTACAGGCGTGAGCCATCACGCCCCACCTGAGACTGTCTTTTAAAAAAAAAAAAAAAAAATCAATGTGGAACACTCCTTTGCCACCTAGAATAATCAGGAAAGGTGACCCATGCCCTGTGCCTCCTTAACAGACTTTCAGGTACTTGGGAATTTGAAACAAATCTCCTTGATGCACAAAGTAACCTTTTCTTCCCCCATTGTACCCCAGGTTGAAAATCGATGACTTTAATGATGAACTCAATAAGCTGCTGGAAGAAATAGAAGAAAAAAACCCACAACTGATTATTGATACTGAGAAACATCATCCCTGGGCAGAAAGGCCTTCTTCTCATGACTTCATGATCTGAATCCCCCCGAGTCATTCATTCTCCATGAAGTCATCGATTTTCCAGGTGTTGGTGAACTGCCTGTGACTCCTCTCCTCCCCGGCCCCTACCCCTCAGGGATAATGAGTTCATTGCTGGGCTAGATGTTTTAGCCATGATTCTGCCTCTGTTTTATACCTGCACACATCCTTATCTTTGTTACATATGAAATATCTGTATCACGGGTATATTGAGAGAAATAAAGGTGAGAGCATTCACAAATGAAGCTGTTACTTAATAATGGGCTTTGACAAGTTAGAGAAAAGATATCTTACTGGGTAGAACCTGGGGGGTGGGGGAAGTGACAGTGTTTAATTGCATTGATTTCTATTGCCTTGTCAATCTTTGCCTTGCCTTGGTATTTCCTTTCTTTTTTCTTTTCTTTTTTTTTTTTTTTTTTTTTAGACTGAGTTTCACTCTGTTGCCCACGCTGGAGTACACTGGCACGATCTCAGCTTACTACAACCTGGCAGGTTCAAGCGATTCTCCTGTCTCAGCCTCCTGAGTAGCTGGGATTACAAGCATCCCCCACCACACCCGGCTAAATTTTTTTGTATTTTTAATAGAGATGAGGTTTCACCATGTTGGCCAGTCTGGTCTCAAACTCCTGACCTCAAGTGATCCACCCACCTCAGCCTCCCAGAGTGCTGGGATTACAGGCATGAGCCACTGTACCCGGCTTTTTTTTTTTTCTTTTTCTTTTTCCTCAAGCATGAGTGTTGCTCTGTTGCCCAGGCTGGAATACAGCAGCATGATGATAGCTCACTGCAGCCTCAAGCTCCCAGGTTCAAGCGATCCTCCAGCCTCAGCCTCCTCAGTAGCTGGGACTACAGGTGCACACCACCAAACCAGGCCAATTTTTGTGGGATTTTTTTTGAAGACAGGGTCTCACTATGTTGCCCAGGCTGATCTCAAACTCCCAGGCGCAAGTAATATTCCTGCCTCAGCCTCCCAAAGTGCTAGGATTACAGGTGTGAACCACTGTGCCTAGCCTGTCTTGTTACTTGTTGACCTGCGTGGATCACTGCCTGCTGAGTATTACTTGCCAGAGGATTTCTCCTACCAATCTACAATATTTTAGGTGCTTCGGTGTAGCTCATATATGACCATGTCATTGCTCTGATTTTGCTTTTTAAAAATTCTAACTTAAAATAGAATCTCGGCCAGGCACGGTGGCTCACACCTGTAATCCCAGCACTTCGGGAGGCTGAGGTGGGTGGATCACGAAGTCAGGAGTTGGAGACCAACCTGGCCAACGTGGTGAAACCCCGTCTCTACTAAAAATATAAAAAATTAGCCAGGCATGGTGGCACATGCCTGTAATCCCAGCTACTTGGGAGGCTGAGGCAGGAGAATTGCTTAAACCCAGGAGGTGGATGTTGCACTGTGCTGAAGACTGCACTACTGCATTCCAGCTTGGGCAACAGAGTGACTCCTTCTCCAAAAAAAAACAAAATCTCATGGTATGCATAGTTTTTCACTATAGAGTCTCCATTATTTCCTTGTGATACAGAATTCCAAATTCAACAAAGCAGCAGTGCAAGCTCTACGCTGTAAAACCACAAACAAAACGAACTGTACTATAAAGACAACACTAGTTGGCAAAGTTGCTTCTCATGGGGAGACTTTGTTGCTGTCTGTGTTTACTGGATGAGCAAACAAATGGACGGTAAGGGGGAAAAAGAACAGTACAAATTTTTATTAAACACTAATCATGTTTTTTTTTGTTTGTTTTGAGACAGTTTCTTCTTGTTGCCCAGGCTGGAGTGCAATGGCACGATTTTGGCTCACTGCAACCTCCGCCTCCCCGGGTTCAAGCGATTCTCTTGCCTCGACCTACTGAGTAGCTGGGATTATAGGCATGTGCCACCAAGCCTGGCTAATTTTGAATTTTTAGCAGAGACGGGGTTTTTCCATGTTGGTCAGGCTGGTCTCGAACTCCCGACCTCAGGTGATCCACCAGCCTTGGTCTCCCAAAGTGCTGGGATTACAGGTATAAGTCACCGCACCTGGCAACATTTTTTTCTTTTTTTTTTTTTTTTTTTTTTTTTTTTTTGGTGGCAGAATCTTGCTCTTTCACCCAGGCTGGAATGCAATGGCACGATCTCGGGTCACTGCAGCCTCCACCTCCCCAGTTTAAGCAGTTCTCCCATCTCAGCCTCCCATGTAGCTGGGACCACAGGTGTGCACCACTGCACCCAGGTAATTTTTGCATTTTTGGTAGAGATAGGGTTTTGCCACGTTGTCCAGACTGGTCTTGAACTCCTGAGCTCAGGTGATCTGCCCACCTTGGCCTCCCCAAATGCTGGGATTATAGGCATGAGCCACCACACCTGGTCAAAAGTAGTTTTAATATTTAAATTTAAAACTAAAAAAGTTAATCTCTCTTCCTACTTTCATTTCTTCATCAGGGGCTATTGGTTTATTCCCACCGACTAGATCCAAGTTCTCTGATACTACCTTTAAACCACTCCATCACTTTCCAGTTCCACTGCATACAGTGTGGGCTTCTGAGGTTTCCTGGTTCAAGGTGTCCTTGTTCAATGCGGCATGGGTCATTCCCTGAGCATTTTTTTTTTTTTTTGACAGTCTCGCTCCATTGCCCGGTTTGGAGTGCAGTGGTGTGACCTCGGCTTACTGCAGCCTCTGCCTCCCAAGTTCAAGCAATTCTGCCTCAGGCTCCCGGATAATTTTTGCATTTTTAGTAGAGACAGGGTTTCACCGCGCTGGCCAGGCTGGTCTCGAACCCCTAACCTCAAGCGATCTGCCTGCCTCGGTCTCCCAAAGTGCTGGGATTACAGACATAAGCTACCGTGCCCGGCCTCCAGAGCATCTTTATTCTCAGTTTCAGCGGGAAGAAGGGGGAAGGTTGGTAAAAAGAGAGGCACAAAGTTTAAAAAGGACATTGCGTGAAGAAACTAAAGGTTTCTCCTTCTCCACACTATTGACATTTGGGATCGGATCACTACTCGTTGGGAAACGTCCTGTACATTTCCAGGGTGTTCGGCACCATCCCTAGCCTCTACCCCCTAGATACCAGCTCACATCCTCACAGTTAACAGTGATCAAAAATGTCTCTGGGCAGTAGAAAATATTTCCTGAAATGCAAAGTTTTCTTAGGTTGAGAACCATTGTAATCTAGCCCCATCTTTAGAGAAGAAATTGAGTAACGGATCTACATCCATTGAGGAACTATCGACACCCCAGGGGCCCATGAAATGTAAACTCGCACTCACAATTAACCATCTTTCTCCAACGTGTGTATTTCATGTAGCCACACTCTCAGATGCCCACCCCCATGACCTACAAGTCCTAAACAGGGAAACCTGTGGCACATGGGTTCATGTGTGTCTGAATCTATACGTTCAGAGATGAACAAGTACTGCTCTCCCTATACCTGTGACCACTCGCCTCCGCCCATCACTGAATTCTGAAAATGTGGCCTCAGGCTCACAGCAGCATTAGCACTTGCTTGCTCTGGATCTCATCACATTGATGATCAAGAACAAAGTATTCACTGGGTTCTCTGCTAAGGATACAAAAAAAACCATTCCACAATTCCACGGCCATGTTTGCACCCAGGAACCACGAGGGCTGGGTTAGCCCAGATGGTGGGCTTGGGAAATGTTCCTGGAGCAAAAAAAAGAGCCAGAAGTCATGAGAGCCTGACCCCCTCCCCCAACGCGCACACACACACACCACTCTCTACCTCCAAGCCTCATTTTCAGGCTTCTCAAAGCTAAGGTCACTCCCATGAGCTAAGCCGCGCTTTTCTCAATCCTCAGCTCTTCCACAAGAATAGGAAGAACTCTCTCCTGTTCAAGATCCTGTGGCTCAGCTGCAGCTCTGGAAGAAAGACCCCGGTGAGGGTCTTGCTTTTCACAATCCCCAATCCCAGACCACATCCTGTGCCCCAAAACAACTTCCATGGTAACCACATCCTTCAGGAAGTGAAGTCAGGCAGGAAGTCAAGTCAGAAGACGGAATGGGCTGGGCATGGTGGATCGCACCTGTAATCCCAGCACTTTGGGAGGCAGAGGCAGGTGGATCACATGAGGTCAGGAGTTTGAGACCAGCCTGGCCAACATGGTGAAACCCTGTCTCTACTAAAAATACCAAAAGTAGCCAGGCTTGGTGGTGCATGCCTGTAATCCCAGCTACTCTGGAGGCTGAGGCAGGAGAATCGCTTAAACCCGGAAGGCGGAGGTTGCAATGAGCCGAGATCGCACCATTGCACTCCAGCCCGGGGGACAGAAAAAAAAATGTAGCTGAGCATGGTAGTGCACGTCTGTGATCTCAGCTACTTGGGAGTCTGAGGCAGGAGAATCACTTGAACCCAGGCGGTGGAGGTTGCAGTGAGCCAAGATTGTAATAGTCCAATGTGTTCACCTTGCCCACTGCCTAGACAGAGCTGATTCGTCAAGACAGGGAATCGCAATAGAGAATAATTCATGCAGAGCTGGCTCTACGAGAGACCAGAGTTTTATTATTATTCAAATCAGTGTCTCCCAGCATTCAGGAAGCGTTTTTAAGGATAACTTGGTGGGTGGGTGGGAAGCCAGTGAGCCAGGAGTGCTGTTTGGTCAGGGATGAAATCGTGGGAGCCAAAGCTATCTTCTTGCACTCAGTTCCTGAGTGGAGGCCAAAAGATAAGATGGGCCAGTTTATTGATATGGGTGGTGCCAGCTGATCCATCAAGTACAGGGTCTGCAAGTTAAACGCTGATCTTAGAAGCAGTTTAGGGAGGGTCACAATCTTGTAGCCTCCAGCTGCATGACTCCTAAGTCATAATTTCTAATCTCGTGGCTAATGTTCGTCCTACAGGGCCAATCTAGTCCCCAGGCAACAAAGAGGTGTGCTTTGGAAAAGGGCTATCATCTTTGTTTAAACTATAAGTTTCTCCCAAAGTTCAGCCTATGCCCAGGAATGAAAAAGGACAGCTTGGAGGTTAGAAGCAAAATGGAGTCAGTTAAATCTCTTTCACTGTCTCAGTCATAATTTTGGAAAGGTGGTTTCAAGCTGGCACAACTGCACTCCACCCTAGGAGACAGAGCGAGACCCTGTCAAAAAAAAAAAAAAAAAACAAGAAGTGAAGTCAAGATAGGAGGTAAATTCGGAAGACAGGAAGTGGTGGTAGAAGACAAGAAGTGAAGTCATACAGGAAGTAAAGTCAGAAGACAGGAAGTGAAGTAAGAAGACAGGAAGTGGTTGTAGAAGACAGGAAGTGAGGTCATACAGGAAGTAAAATCAGAAGACAGGAAGTGACGTCAAACCAGGATTTGCAGTCGGAGGCAGGCAAGAAGTGAAATCAGAAGACGGGAAGTGGCTGAGGGGAACGTCTTTTCTCTCTCCTGCTCAGCCCGAAGTGAACAGGTAGCATCAGGTGTGCCATTTCAGTGACTGGGCACAGCCCAGGCACCCACATCTCTCTGCAGCGCCTATTCTTGGAACACCAGAGACCTCTACACTATTTTCTGTTGCTTTTTTCCTTCATTTTCAGAGATGAGATCCTGGATTGAATGACTACTATGGAAAGTGATTGACCAAGGTAAGTCACAACTATCTTGTTCTTTAATTTTGGTGTTGTTTGTTATGACTTGTTAGCCGTCTAGCACTCATAGCTTTGCATTTCCACTCTGCATTACTTGTATTTTTATTATTTTGTGATATTCGTAATAATTTATTATAAAACTGTGTTATTTTTGGATATTTTTAAGTTAAAATGCGATTTTTTAACTAAGTGGCAGTATGCAAAGCAAGTGGTTCAGAACTCTCCCCCATTAATAAGTCTTCTCTCCTGAAAGAAACAATTTTGAGACTTCCTGTTCTTAATTCTGTTTAACAGCATACTTCTAAAAGAAAAAGTGTATACTGTTATTATTTATTGTGTTACAAAAATATACACGCACCTTTCATGCACGTCCGTGTGAAGAGACCACCAAACAGGCTTTGTGTGAGCAATAAAGCTTTTAATCACCTGGGTGCAGGTGGGCTGAGTCTGACAAGAGAGTCAGCGAAGGGGGATAGGGGTGGGGCCGTTTTATAGGATGTGGGTAGGTAAAGGAAAATTACAGTCAAAGGGGGGTTGTTCTCTGGCGGGCAGAGTCGGGGTCATAAGGTGCTCAGTAGGGGAGCTTTTGAGCCAGGATGAGCCAGGAGAAGGAATTTCACAAGACAATGTCATCAGTTAAGGCAGGAACAGGCCATTTTCGCTTCTTTTGTGGTGGAATGTCATCAGTTAAGGCACGAACCGGCCATCTGGATGTGTACGTGCAGGTCACAGGGGATATGATGGCTTAGCTTGGGCTCAGAGGCCTGACATTCCTGTCTTCTTATATTAATAAGAAAAATAAAATGAAATAGGGGTAAAGTGTTGGGACAGCAAAAATTTTTGGGGGTGGTATGGAGAGATAATGGGTGATGTTTCTCAAGGCTGCTTTGAGCAGGATTAGGGGCGGCGTGGGAACCTAAAGTGGGAGCGATTAAGCTGAAGGAAGATTTTGTGGTAAGGGGTGACATTGTGGGATTGTTAAAAGAAACATTTGTCATTTAGAATTATTGGTGATGGCCTGGATACAGTTTTGTATGAATTGAAAAACTAAAGGGAATAAGGAAAGGAGAAAAACAGGTATTAAAGGTCTAAGAATTGGGACGACTCAGGACATCTAATTAGAAAGTGCCTAAGGAGGTTCAGCATAGCCTTGCCAGCAAAGATTATTTATTTATTTTAAGAGTTAACAGTGGCGGTATGGGGATAGTACCAGGAGATACCAGCTGTGCTGGCTTGGAGAAACAGTGTAAACTGGCAGTGTAAACAAGAGCAGGGCATGTGTGAGTAGTTGAGAACGGTGAATAGGAGTATGACTAGACAGAAGATAGTAGGGATGACAAGTTTTTTGGGGCACAATCTAAGTTGGTCTGGTGTCTGGAATGAGACTGGGGCCTAATAAAAAGGAGTGTCTACACAGGAGCTTAAATGGGCTGTATCTTGTAGCATTCCAAGGACAGGCCTGAATTCTGGAAGCGAAAATGGTAAAAGTATTGTCCAGTCCTTTTTAAGTTGGTGGCTGAGCTTGGTGAGGTGTGTTTTTAATAGACCATTAGTCTGTCACTGAATACTAAGAGCCTGAAAAAATGCTTGGCTGATTTGACTAATAAAGGCTGGTCTGTTAGCAGACTGTATAGAGGTGGGAAGGCTGAACTGAGGAATTTTGTCTGACAGAAGGGAATGACAAGGCTAAACTGAAGAATTATGTCTGACAGAAGGGAAGAAATGACTGCGGTGGCCTTCTCAGACCCTGTAGGAAAGGACTGTACTTACCCAGTGAAAGTGTCTACCTAGACTAAGAGGTATTTTAGTTATCTTACTCGGGGCATGTTGAGTAAAGCTAATTTGCCAGTCCTGGGCGGGGGCAAATCCTTGAGCTTGATGTGTAGGGAAGGGAGGGGGCCTGAATAATCCATGAGGAGTAGTAGAATAGCTGATGCAACACTGAGAAGTGATTTCTTTGAGGATAGATTTCCACAATGGAAAGGAAATGAGAGGTTCTAAGAGGCTGGCTAGTGGCTTGTACCATAGCATAGCCTGCCTTTGCTGGTGTGTGGCGATTAGGCCTGGTGGAACCGCCATCAATAAACTAAGTGTGATCAGGGTGAGAAACAGGGAAGAAGGAAATGTGGGGAAATGGGGTGAACGTCAGGTGGATCAGAGAGATGCAGTCATGGGGGTCAGGTGTGGTATCTGGAATAATGTGGGAGGCCAGATTGAAGTCCGGGCCAGGAACAATGGTAATTGTGGGACTTAACAAAGAGTGAGTACAGCTGAAGGAGCCAGGGAGCAGAAAGTATATGCATCAGGTGTGAGTAAGAAAATAGATTTTGGAAATTATGAGAGCTGTAGAGAGTGAGTTGAGCATAGTTTGTGATTTTGAGGGCCTCTAAAAGTATTAAAGCAGCGGCAGCCACAGCACGCAGATATGAGGGCTAGGCTAAAACAGTAAGGTCAAGTTGTTTGGACAGAAAGGCTACAGGGTGTGGTCCTGGCTCTTGTGTAAGAGTTCTGACCGCGCTAACCATGCCTAGGAAGGAAAGGAGTTGTTGTTTTGTAGAAGGTGCTGGGGCTTGAGAGATCAGTCAGACACGATCAGCAGGGAGAGCACGTGTGTTTTTATGAGAATTATGCCGAGATAGGTAACAGATGAGGATGAACTTTGGGCTTGACTGAAGTAATGGGGGCTGTCTGTGAAACCTTGCAGCAGTACAGCCCAGGTAATTTGCTGAGCCTAATGGGTGTCAGGGTCAGTCCAAGTGAAAGCGAAGAGAGGCTGGGACGAGGGGTGCAGGGGAATAGTGAAAAAAGCATCTTTAAGATCAAGCATGGAATAGTGAGTTGTGGAGGAAGGTATTGAGGACAAAAGAGTGTAGGGGTTGGGCACCACAGGGTGCATAGGCAAAACAATTTGATAAGGCGCAGATCCTGAACTAATCTGTAAGACTTTTCCGGTTTTTGGACAGGTAAAATGGGGGAATTGTAAGGAGAGTTTATAGGTTTTAGAAGCCCATGCTATAGCAGGCGAGTGATAACAGGCTTTAATCCTTTTAAAGTGTGCTGTGGGATGGGATATTGGCATTGAGCAGGGTAAGGGTGATTAGGTTTTAATGGGATGGTAACGGGTATGTGATCAGTTGCCAGGGAAGGAGTAGAGATGTCCCATACTTGTGGGTTAAGGTGGGGGAATAGGAGAGGAAGACGCGAAGGAGGCTTTGGGTTGAGGAGAAGGGTGGCAATGAGATGCGGCTGTAGTCCAGGAATAGTCAGGGAAGCAGATAATTTGGTTAAAATATCTCGGCCTAATAAGGGAACTGGGCAGGTGGGGATAACTAAAAAAGAGTGCATAAAAGAGTGTTGTCCAAGTTGGCACCAGAGTGGGGGAGTTTTCAGGGGTTTAGAAGCCTGGCCGTCAATACCCACAACAGTTATGGAGGCAAGAGAAACAGGCCCTTGAAAAGAAGGTAATGTGGAGTGGGTAGCCTCCGTATTGACTAAGGCGACGGACTTACCTTCCACCGTGAGTGTTACCCGAAGCTCGGCATCCGTGATGGTCTACAGAGCTTCCGAGGCGATTGGGCAGCATCAGTCTTCAGCCGCTAAGCCGAGAAGGAGTCAGAGAGCCTTGGGCCAGAGTTCCAGGGGCTCTGGGAGTGGCTGCCAGGTGAGTTGAACAGTCCGATTTCCAGTGGGGTCCCGCACAGATGGGACACGGCTTAGGAGGAATCCTGGGCTGCAGGCATTCCTTGGCCTGGTGGTCAGATTTCTGGCACTTGTAGCAAGCTCCTGGGGGAGGAGGTTCTGGAGGAACGCCTGGCCGCTGCGGTTCAGTTCCCTTCTTGTGTGCTGGAGATGTGGCTGGGGTTTGTCTCACAGTGGAGGCAAGGAATTGCAACTTTTTTCTATTATTGTACACCTTGAAGGCGAGGTTAATTAAATCCTGTTGTGGGGTTTGAGGGCCGGAATTTAATTTTTGGAGTTTTATTTAATGTCGGGAGCAGATTGGGTAATAAAATGTGTATTAAGAATAAGACGGCCTTTTGACTTTTAAGGGTCTAGGGCTGTAAAGCTTCTCAGGGTTGCTGGCGAACGAGCCATGAATTGGGCTGGATTTTTATATTTGATGAAAAAGAGCCTAAACACTATCTGATTTGGGATAAAGAAAAAGGAGCATTAACCTTGACTATGCCTTTAGCTCCAGCCACCTTTCTAAGAGTAAATTGCTGGGCAGGTGGAAGAGGGCTAGTCACTGAACGAAACTGTAAGCTGGACCAGGTGTGGGGAGGGGAGGTGATAAAAAGATAATACGGTGGAGGAGCGGAGGCTGAGGAAGAATTGGGACCTAGCTCAGCCTGGGGAGGAGGGAGAGGTCAGACGGGTCTGTAGAAAAGGAAGATTAGAAAGACTCAGCGACGCTTGGGGTTGAGACTGAGGGGACAGGCAGGAGGGAAAGAAGGAAGATTTGGGACGAGTTGCACTGGGCACAGAGACTAGGAAGGGACTGATGTGTAAAAGAATGCCTGGACGTCAGGCACCTCAGACCGTTTGCCCATTTTACGACAAGAATTATTTAGATCTTGCAGGATGGAAAAATTGAAAGTGCTGTTTTCTGGCTATTTGGAACTGCTGTCCAGTTTGTATTGGGGTCAAGCGGCATTGCAGAAGAAAATAAGGCATTTAGGTTTTAGGTCAGGTGTGAGTTGAAGAGGTTTTAAGTTTTTGAGAACACAGGCCAAGGGAGAGAAGGAGGAGGAATGGAGGGTGGAAGGTTGCCCATAGTGAAGGAGGCAAGCCTAGAGAAAAGAGAGAGTAGAGACACGGAGGGAAGGGGTTCGGGAGTTCTTACCTTCCAGAAAAGCGGGAAAGGGGTTGGGGCATGGATATAAGGGGTTGGGGCACAGAGATAAGAGGTTGGGGCATGGAAATAAGGGATCAGGGTGCAGAGATACGAGGTTGGGGTACTTGCCCCTCTAGAAAAGCGGGACTTGCCGCTAAGAGTGAAGGAGAAGGGGTTGGGGGTTTCTTGCCCCCCAGAAAGGTGGAGAAGGGGTAGAGACATGGAGAGGAGGGGTTGGGGAACTTGCCCCTTCCCCAGAAAAGTGGGACTTGCCACTAAGGGTGAAGGACCAAGGCAGGCATCCCTGCGTGATCTGACACCTCTGAAGCGTGGGTATATAATCAGAGAGGCGTCCCTGCAATGATTAAACGCCAAGGGAAGGCTGCCTTCCCTAGTCCGTGACCGGCGCCGGAGTTTTGGGTCCACAGATAAAACGTGTCTCCTTTGTCTCTACCAGAAAATGAAAGGAATTGAAATTAAGAGAAGGGAGAGATTGAAGAGTGGAAAGGAGAAAGTGGTTGAGGGACAGTGAGAGAGGTTGGAGAAGAGAGTAAGAAGAGGTCGCTTACCCAATTTAAACTTGGTGAGATGTTCCTTGGGCTGGTGGGTCTGAGGACCTGAGGTCGTAGGTGGATCTTTTTCACAGAGCAAAGAGCAAGACAGGGGATTGATCTCCCAAGGGAGGTCCCCCGATCCAAGTCACGGCACCAAATTTCATGTGCGTCCATGTGAAGAGACCACCAAACAGGCTTTGTGTGAGCAATAAAGCTTTTAATCACCTGGGTGCAGGTGGGCTGAGTCCGACAAGAGAGTCAGCGAAGGGGGATGGGGTGGGGCCGTTTTATAGGATTTGGGTAGGTAAAGGAAAATTACAGTCAAAGCGGGGTTGTTCTCTGGCGGGCAGAGTGGGGGTCACAAGGTGCTCTGTAGGGGAGCTTTTGAGCCAGGATGAGCCAGGAGAAGGAATTTCACAAGACAATGTCATCAGTTAAGGCAGTAACAGGCCATTTTCACTTCTTTTGTGGTGGAATGTCATCAGTTAAGGCAGGAACCAGCCATATGGATGTGTACGTGCAGGTCACAGGGGATATGATGGCTTAGCTTGGGCTCAGAGGCCTGACAGCACCTACCTAAAAAATTCCAATAGCACTAAAAGGGTGTGTACAAAATGCAGTGGCTGACTAACCATCTCCTCCATTGCTCCGCCTAAGAGACACCCACTTTTAGCTGTTTTCTTTAGGAACTTGTTAATATTAGGTTTCTAAAAACATGTAACCATGTGAATGAGCTTAGACTTACTGGATTCCTATCATAATAGGCGGGGCCTTAGTTATTCTACAGCGTTGTTCTTACTGTTTTTTCTCTTCCAATGTTTATCTCTATGTCTGCATATCAACATTCAGTATCACATTTTTTTTTTTTGAGACAGAGTCTCACTCTGTCACCCAGGCTGGAGTGCAGTGGCGCAATCTCAGCTCACTGCAGCCTCAGTCTCCTGAGTAGCTGGGACTACAGGCGTGTGCCACCACGACTGGCTAATTTTTGTATTTTTAGTAGAGACAGGGTTTCACCATGTTGGCTGAGCTGGTCTCGATCTCCTGACCTCGTGATCTGCCCACCTCAGCCTCCCGAAGTGCTGGGATTACAGGCATGAGCCACCACGCCCGGCCAGTATCACATGTTTATACCCACAGATATTCGCAGCCGAGAATTTTCGGGTAATATAACTTGCTTCTTTTATTTTTGTTGTTGTTATTGTTCCCCTAAAGTTTATATTTGTTTTTTATTTTTATTTTCTTTTGAGGCAGGGTCTCACTCTGTCACCCAGGTTTGACAGCAGTGGTGCAATCATGGCTCACTGCAGCCTCAACCTCCCCGGGCTCAGGTGATCCCCAACCTCAGCCTCCTGAGTACCTGAGAGTAGGCATGTGGTACCACACCCAGCTAATTTTTTATATTTTTTGTATATGAGACAAGGTTTCACCATGTTGCCCAGGCTGGTCTCGAACTCTTAGGCTCAAGCGATCCCGCCTCAGCCTCCCAAAGTGCTGGGATTACAGGTGTGAGCCACTGTGCCTAGGCTATACTGGTCTTTTTAAAATCTACTTAGTTTACTTGACCTCTAAAATTATTTTTCCTCTGTCTTCTGATAGCATCTCAGTATGATTTTCCACTATGTTAAGACGAGGAATTGACCCATTCTTACATTTGGAGGCTTCTCTAAGCAACTTTCCCATTCCCCCTTCACCCAAGCTGTGTGCTCACTAGCCCTGATTCACAGCCGTCGTCCTGGAACTTCTTGGTGCCATCCTTCTGTCTTTTCCCAAGTGACTCACCTACCTCAACCTCCCAAAGTGCCGGGATTACAGGCGTGAGCCACTGTGGCCAGCCATTCTTTTCCTTTTTTAAAACAATTTTTATCTTCTTTATTTTAAGTAGAGATGGGGTCTCACTATGTTGCCCAGGCTGGTCTTGAACTCCTGGGCTCAAGCGATCCTCCTGCCTTGGCCTCCCACAGTGCTAGGATTACAGACATGATCCACTGCACTTGGCCCAGTGGTACAGTTTTACACTCATTAGATGGTCAAGAAATGCCTAAACGCTATAATAAATATAGAACTTTACCTTGAGAAGACCTAACATTTCCTTCAGAAAGTAAATATGAGAGGGGTGGAGACGGTGCATTATCTTATTTTTATGATTTTAAAAATGTATACAGAATTGTACATATTTATGGGGTGGACAGCAATATTGCAGTACATGTATACAACGTGCTATGATCAAATCAGGGTAATTGACATATTCATCCCTGTATTTTTTGAGACAAAGTCAGGCTTCGTCACCCGAGCTAGAGTGCAGTGGTGTGATCTCAGCTCACTGCAACCTCTGCCTCCCAGGCTCAAGCCATTCTCCCACCTCAGCCCCCTGAGTTGCTGGGAGTATAGGGATGCACCACCACACCTGGCTAATTTTTGTGTTTTTTTGTTTTGTTGGTAGAGATGAGGTTTCACCATGTTGCACAGGCTGATCTTGTTTTCTAATGTGAAGGGAAGCGGGCAACGTGCTAGTTTTACACTAAGGAAAATGAATGACATACCCAAACTGCCTGCAAGACCCGTTCTGAGAGACGAAAGGAGATTTGTTAGACCGCAGTGGGAGATGGAGTGAGGGTGAGAGTTTCTGGGGAAAACCAGACAAGAGCACAGAGGGCCAAAGGGAAGCACGGGAGGATTTTGCACAGAGGATGGAACAGAGTCAACCCTGAGAGCTGGGAACCTTAGAGATCCGTCTGGAGCCCATATTAGAGAGGTTGAAGAAAGAGGCCAGTATGTGGTCCAGCCAGGGTACCATGTCATCCACAGTGTGCAGGGAGGAGGATGGGGTCTCCACAGATTCCTTCCATCCCAAATGGAGGGTGCCCTCAGACAGAGAGGCAGACAGACAGACAGACACTGGCCGAACGGCTCCCTGATGGAACACCAGGAGGAGGCAGCATGGCCTCGTTTCCACAGCTGTAGCCTCTGCCCTCCTGCTTCCACGCTCCACACACGCCAGTCTTTGAGTCGCCTCCCATGCCATGATCCCTCCCTTGGATACGACCGTGCCTGGGGTTCAGCGGTCATGAACATAACCCGCGGCTGTGAACATCCTGTCGGCCTCCATCCTGACCCCCGTTTGATTTCCGGGTCAGCGGGAGGGGCGGGAGGGGCGGAAGCGGCCTCTGCACAGCCCTGCCCCTGTGCCGCAGGCGCTTCCTCCGGCTGTGCCAGTCCTCTGCCAGAAACCCCGCCAGGATTATTAGGATCACAGCCCCGAGGCATATCCGGACCAGGTTGCCCTTGGTGTAGTACTGGCGGGCAGGACCTGGAGGAATGAGGAGAGGCAGGAGCAGGTGAAAGAGCCCACCTCCAGGACCCCCTCCAAGCCACATCTGGGCTTCTCAGAGATCCTATTATTCTCTACTAGCTAGGGGATGCCGCTCACTTTCCTGGAGGGTCCCTCCCTTCCCGAGTAGGGGTCAGGGCCAGATGACCCCAATTCTCTAAGTAGCACCTCTCCCTCCTGTGCTCTCACAGGGCTCTGAGACAACTCCTCCCCAGACACAGATGCTGCCTCGTTATCTGATGCATTGCAAAAGAGAGGACAGTTATAAGGGGTGGGGAAGAGATGGAATCTCTCTTTCTCTGACCCTTTTTAAAATCTCAACCTTCCCACCTGATCTTAATGCCCAATTCTGAACCCCATACGCTGATATTCTGCCTTTACTCTACACACTGGAACCCAAGATCTGAGAGCTGCAGCCCCTGCGTAGACAAAGGAGTTGGCTTTGGTGAAGAGACGGGTGAGAAGGAAGGGGGTCTGGAGAGGATGACTTACTCACCAGCTGGAGAGTCTGACTCCTTTGGACTGGCGGTGATACTCCTAGAAGTCTCTGGGAACCAAACAAAGGCTAAGTGTGAAATGAAACCATATTCCCGCCCCCTGTCACTGTGCCTACTCCGAACACACACACACATGGGGAGGCACAATTCCACAGCATTTAAGAAAAGCATGGGCCGGGCACGGTGCCTCATGCCTATAATCCCAGCACTTTGGGAGGCTGAGGTAGGAGGCTGGCTTGAGTCCAGGAGTTCAAGACCAACCTGAGCAACATAGAAAAACCCTATCTCTACAAAAAAATACAAAAATTAGCCAGGCGTGGTGGCACGTGCCAGTAATCCCAGCTACTCAGTGGAGGCTGAGGCAGGAAGATCACCTGAGCCCTGGGAGGTTGAGGCTGCAGTGAGCCAGGATTGTACCACTGCACTCTAGCCTGGGAAACAGAGCGAGACCCTGTCCAAAAAAAAAAAAGCAAGAACTGTAGAGTCAGGCTGTCCTCCAGATTTGAACCCCAACTCTATCACCTATTAGATGTCAGTTATCTGGCAAGTGACTCAGCATCTGTGAGCCAGTTCCCCATGTGTCCAATAAAATTAACAAGATCCCTTATAGGTTGATGTGAAAGTCAAGATAATAATAATGGTAGAAATATAAAGCACCGTGCTTGACATATGAGCACCTCATACGTGCCAGCTTTTTTTTTTTTTTTTTTGAGACAGAGTCTGGCTCTGTCTCCCAGGCTGGAGTGCAGTGGCCCGATGTCGGCTCACTTCAACCTCCGCCTCCTGGGCTCAAGCGATTCTCCTGCCTCAGCCTCCCGAGTAGCTGGGACTACAGGCGTCCGCCACCACGCCCAGCTAAGTTTTGTATTTTTAGTAGAGATGGGATTTCACCATATTGGCCAGGTTGGTTTTGAACTCCTGACCTTGTGATCCGCCCGCCTAGGCCTCCCAAAGTGCTGGGATTACAGGCGTGAGCCACTGCACCCGGCCTCCAGCTCTCTTATTCCTCAAGTATCTCCTGAGACTCGCCAGGTACTCAGCCATGTGCTGGGCCATGGGAACCCAAATATTAATAAGACATTGTCAGGCCAGGCATGACACTGGCTGAATGCCTGTAATCCCAGCACTTTGGGAGGCCAAGGTGGGCGGATCACCTGAGGTCAAGAGATCGAGACCATCCTGGCCAACATGGTGAAACCCCGTCTTTACTAAAAATACAAAAAATAGCTGGGCATGGTGGCACACACCTGTAGTCCCAGCTACTCAGGAGCCGGAGATTGCAGTGAGCTGAGATCGCAGAGTGAGCCGAAATCACAGATCACAGAGTGAGCAGAGTGAGACTCCGTCTCAAAAACAACAACAAAAAACAAAAAAACCATAAGACATTGTCCATCTGCGGTTCCCAGACTATTGCAGGAGACCAAAAAGTAAAGCGATTTTTTTTTTTTTTTAATACGGAGTCTCACTCTGTTGCCCAGGCTGGAGTGCTGTGGTGTGATCTCAGGTCACTGCAACCTCCAACTCGTGAGTTCAAGCGATTCTCCTGCCTCAGCCTCCCAAGTAGCTGGAATTACAGGTGCCCACCACCACGCCCGGCTAATTTTTGTATTTTCAGTAGAGACGGGGTTTCAGCATGTTGGCCAGGCTGGTCTCCTGACCTCAGGTGATCCACTCACCTTGGCCTCCCAAAGTGCTGGGATTACAGACAAAGCGATAATTTTAATATACTGTAAAAATTGCTGTAATAGGCAGCCCACAAGACACTGAGCGAGAGCAGAGGAAACCATCGATCCAGCCTGGACGGTCAAGGCTTTCTTGAGGAATTGATGCCATGGGGAAATGGAAGAAAAGGCAGAGTGAGTGGGTTGGGTGCAGAGTCAGGAGAGGTTAGGAAGCCTCCAGGAGAGCTTCAAGTGACTGTGTGTGGCTGAGAACAGCATGGGAATGCGTGGAAGGTATG
Organism: Homo sapiens; assembly: GCF_000001405.40. Lineage (NCBI taxonomy): Eukaryota > Metazoa > Chordata > Mammalia > Primates > Hominidae > Homo > Homo sapiens. The sequence continues at coordinate 55,017,644 of NC_000019.10, forward strand.
CAGACAAAATTGGAGGGATCAACAGGGGCTGGATATCTAAGCTCACAGAATAGCAAGCTGAGGAATTGGAACTGCATCCTGAGGGTGATTGGGAGGTTCCGAACTGAAGATAGGGAAGGCTTCCATCACAGAACTCCCTGGGATATGCCGGGCGCGGTGGCTCATGCCTCCAATCCCAGCACTTTGGGAGGCCGAGACAGGTGGATCATGAGGTCAGGAGTTCAAGACCAGCCTTCCCAAGATGCTGAAACCCCGTCTCTACTAAAATACAAAAATTAGCCAGGTGTGGTGGCATGCACCTATAATCCCAGCTACTCGGGAGGCTGAGGCAGGAGAATCGCTTGAACCCGGGCAGCAGAGGTTACAGTGAGCCGAGATCGCACCACTGCACTCCAGCCTGGGCGACAGAGCAAGACTCCACCTCAAAAAAATAAAAAATAGAACTACGTGGGATCAGGTGCCTCATGAAAGCCAGAGTCATGTGGGCCCAGTGGAAGTATCTAACCTATTATCAGGGAATCTGTGAAGGTGTTTAGTCTGGAAGGAAATGGAGATTTTCCAGGACAGGCAAGGGGAAAGAGACTGAGGAAAGCGTATCTGCAGAGGCCTGGAGCGGTTAGAAGATGTGCTGTGTCCAGGTGCCTACAGTCTGTGTGCGTCCGAGCATGGGCTCTACCTGGACACAGTGAGGAGCGAGATTAAATACCTGGATCACAGCCGAGTCCAAAGCCTAGGACTTCATCCTGGGAGCAGTGCGTAGGGATGGCGGTCGTCCCGCCACAGCCTTGGCTCCGCCATCTTTGAAATGGCCCCATCACCCAAAACGCTCCTCCTTCTGAACCCCAGAGCTCCACTCTGCACCCATGCTCTAGCCTCACACCAAGGACTTTCTTGGTAAGAGACGGACAGTTCGGTGAAGTGATTAAAAGCCTACAGGCTTAGATAATGGAAGAGAGAGCTCCGTCCTCACACTCCTTTCTGCTGAGCATGAAATGCCTGGTTACTCACCAGTTGTGAAGACTTCGTTTGTGAATGAGACGGTCAGTTCAGCGGTGGCTTCTGAGAATTCTAAGAAAGCAAAACAATGTTAGGTCTTCCCCGTGGTTCCCTATATCCTCTAGATATCTCCATTCCCCTTTTGAGATATCTAGGCTCCCTGAAACCCCTTTCTCTGACACACTGCACAGACACTGAAGACAGACAAATTCGAAAGGTGTAAGACTTATCTTCCATGACCGGCTTAGTAAGAAGCAGATCCGTTCAGCAATTGATAGACACTTGGTTTTTTTTCCACGTTTTGCTGTTATGAATATTGCTGCTGTGAACATTGACGTACAGGTTTTTGTGTGAACATAAGTTTTCTGTTCTCTTGGGTACACACCCAGGGGTGGTGGAATCACTGGGTCATACAGTAACTCTGTGTTTTACTTTTTGAAGAACTACCAGACTTCTTTCTTTTTTTTCTTTTTTTTTTTTTTTTGAGACAGAGTCTCATTCTGTTGCCCAGGCTGGAGTGCAGTGGCGCGATCTCAGCTCACTGCAACCTCCACCTCCTGGGTTCAAGCGATTCTCCTCCCTCAGCCTCCCGAGTAGCTGGGATTACAGGCACCTGCCATCACGCCTGGCCAACTTTTTTTTTTGTACTTTAGTAGAGGCGGGGTTTCACCATGTTGGCCAGGATGGTCTCGATCTCCTGACCTCGTGATCCACCCTCCTTGGCCTCTCAAAGTGCTGGGATTACAGGCTGCGCCTGGCCACAGACTGTTTTTCAAAGCAGCTGCACCATTTTATATTCCCACCAGCAATATAAGAAGGTTCTTCCAAATCCTCACCAATACTTCTTGTCCGTTTGTTTTGTTTTAAAAATCATAGTCATCCTAGTTGGCATGGTGAATTTTATGGTATGTGAATTATATCTCAGTTTGAATAATAAGATGTGGATCCATGTCTTCGTGAGCCTAGAGGAAGAATGAGCTCGTGTTAGCCTCAGAACACGGGATCTCCACCTTCCAACTTAGGCCATTTTCTTTTTTTCTTTTTTTTTTTTTTTTTGAGACAGAGTCTTACTCTGTCGTCCAGGCTGGAGTGCAGTGGTGCAATCTCGGCTCACTGCAAGCTCTGCCTCCCGGGTTCACACCATTATCCTGCCTCAGCCTCCCGAGTAGCTGGGACTACAGGCACCCGCCACCACGCCTGGCTAATTTTTTTGTATTTTCAGTAGAGATGGGGTTTCACCGTGTTAGCCAGGATGGTCTCGATCTCCTGACCTTGTGATCCACCCGCCTCAGCCTCCCAAAGTGCTGGGAATACAGGCGTGAGCCACCGCGCCCGGCCAGGCCATTTTCTTAACCAGGGGCCTCCTGAGGCCACCAAAATATTCCTGAACTGCCTCAGCTGATAAATACGAAGCTCTTGTTGCAGTGGGTACTATCCTGGGAGTCTTTTTATGGTGGAACCAGCTTGGAAAAAACTAGTTTATGCTCAGCTCTCGGTGGCATAATGAGAGTGTGGGTATTATTTGGTCTTTGTTATTTCTCTTCGTGTGAGATGCATTAATAAACCTTTTTTTTTTTTTTCAATTAAAATTTCAGTTCCAGAATCCATGTGCAGGACGTGCAGGTTTGTTACATAGGTAAACGTGTGCCATGGTGGTTTGCTGCACCCATCAACCCATCACCTAGGTATTAAGCCCCACACGCATCAGCTATTTATCCTGATCCTCTCCCTCCCCCAATTCCCCCTACAGGCCCCAGTGTGTGGTGTTCCCCTCCCTGTGTCCATGTGATCTCATTGTTCAGCTGCCACTTACAAGTGAGAACATGCAGTGTTTGGTTTTCAGTTCCTGTGTTAGTTTGCTGAGGATAATGTTTTCCAGCTCCATCCATGTCCCTGCAAAGGACATGATCTCATTCCTTTTTATGGCTGCATAGTATTCCATGGTGTATATGTACTGTATTTGCTTTATCCTTTCTATCATTGATGGGCATTTGGGTTGATTCCTTGTCTTTGCTATTGTGAATAGTGCTGCAATGAACATATGTGTGCATGTATCTTTATAATACAATGATTTATATTCCTTTGGGTATATAACCAGTAATGGGATTGCTGGGTCAAATGGTATTTCTGGCCAGGCGCAGTGGCTCACACATGTAATCCCAGCACTTTGGGAGGCCGAGGTGGGCAGATCACCTGAGGTCAGGAGCTCAAGACCACCCTGGCCAACATGGTGAAACTCCCGTCTCTAGCAAAAATCCAAAAATTAGCCAGGCGTTGTGGCATGCACCTGCAGTCCCAGCTACTCGGGAGGCTGAGGCAGGAGAATCACTTGAACCCTGGAGGCAGAGGCTGCAGTGAGCCGAGATCATGCCCCTGCAATCCAGCCTGGGTGACAGAGTGAGACTCTGTTTAAAAAAAAAAAAAAAAAAAAAAGGTGGCCCTGGTGCGGTGGCTCACGCCTGTAATCCCAGCACTTTGGGAGGCCGAGGCAGGTGGATCACCTGAGGTCAGAAGTTTGAGACCAGCATGACCAACAAGGTAAAACCCCATCTCTACTAAAAGAAAAAAAAAAAAAAAAGCCAGGCATGGTGGCAGGCGCCTGTAGTCCCAGTTACTTAGGAGGCTGAGACAGGATAATTGCTTGAACCTGGGAGGTGGAGGTTGCAGTGAGCCGAGATCGCACCACTGCACTCCAGCATGGGCTATTGAGCAATACTACATCTCAAAAAAAAAAAAAAGGAAAAAGGATTTCTGGTTCTGGGTCTTTGAGGAATCACCACACTGTCTTCCACAATGAACTAATTTACATTCCCAACAGTGTAAAAGCATTCCTATTTCTCCACAGCCTCGCCAGCACCTGTTGTTTCTTGACTTTTGTTGGTTTTTTTTTTTTTTTTTTGAGATGGAGTCTTGCTCTGTCGCCCAGGCTGGAGTGCAGTGGCACAATCTTGGCTCACTGCAACCTCCGCCTCCCGGGTTCACGCCATTCTCCTGCCTCAGCCTCCCGAATAGCTGGGACTACAGGCGCCCGCCACCACGCCCGGCTAATTTTTTGTATTTTTAATAGAGACGGGGTTTCACCGTGTTAGCCAGGATGGTCTCGATCTCCTGACCTTGTGATCTGCCTGCCTCGGCCTCCCAAAGTGCTGGGATTACCGGCGTGAGCCACCGTGCCCGGCGTTTCTTGACTTTTTAATAATCGCCATTTTGACTGGTGTGAGATGGTGTCTAAATGTGGTTTTGATTTGCATTTCTCTAATGATTGGTGATGTTGAGCTTTTTTTTGTATGTTTACTGGCTGCATAAACGTCTTCTTTTGAGAAGTGACTGTTCATGTCCTTTACCCACTTTTTAATGGTTTTTTTTTTCTTGTAAATTTGTTTAACTTCCTTGTAGATTCTGGATATTAGACTTTTGTGAATTGATAGATTGCAAACATTTTCTCCCATTCTGTAGGTTGTCTGTTCACTCTGATGATACTTTCTTTTGCTGAGCAGAAGCTCTTTAGTTTAGTTAGATCCCATTTGTCAGTTTTTGCTTTTGTTACAATTGCTTTTGACGTTTTTGTCATGAAATCTTTGCCCATGCCTGTGTCCTGAATGGTATTACCTAGATTTTCTTCTAGGGTTTTTATAGTTTTCGGGTTTTGCATCCAAGTCTTTCATCCATCTTGAGTTAATTTTTGTACAAGGTGTAAGGAACGGGTCCAGTTTCTATTTTCTGCATATGGCTAGCCAATTCTCCCAGCACCATTTATTAACCCACAGCCAATTTCATACTAAATGGGCATTTCCCTTGAAAACCAGCACAAGACAAGGATGCCCTCTTTCACCACTCCTATTCAACATAGTATTGGAAGTTCTGGCCAGGATAATCAGGCAAGAGAAAGAAATAAAGGATACTCAAATAGGAAGAGAGGAAATCAAACTATCTCTGTTTGCAGATGACATGATCCTATATCTAGAAAACCCCATCATCTCAGCCCAAAAGTTTCTTAAGCTGATAAGCAACTTCAGCAAAGTCTCAGGATACAAAATCAATGTGCAAAAATCACAAGCATTCCTATACACCAACAATAGACAGGCAGAGAGCCAAATCATGAAGGAACTCCCATTCACAATTGCTACAAAGAGAATAAAATACCTAGGAATACAGCTAACAAGGAAAGTGAAGGACATCTTCAAGGAGAACTACAATTCACTGCTCAAGAAAATCAGAGCGGACACAAACAAATGGAAAAACATTCCATGCTCATGGATAGGATGAATCAATATCGTGAAAATGGCCATACTGCCCAAAGTAATTTATAGATTCATTGCTATTCCCATTGAACTATCATTGACATTCCTCACACAATTAGAAAAAACTATAAAATTCATATGGAACCAAAAAAGGGCCCATATAGCCAAGACAATACTAAGCAAAAAGAACAAAGCTGGAGGCCTCAGGCTCAGACTTCAGACTATATTACAAGGTGATAGTAACCAAAACAGCATGGTACTGGTACAAAAACAGACACATAGACCAATGGAACAGAATAGAGATCTCAGAAATAAGACCACACATCTACAACCATCTGATCTTCAACAAACCTGACAAAAACAAGCAATGGGGAAAGGATTCCCTATTTAATACACCTTGTTTTGATTTTGATTTCAACACAGCGTGTGGTATTTGCATGCCATGTGATACAGTTTGAATATGTGTTCCCACCAAATCTCATACTGGATTATGATCCCCAATGTTGGAGGTGGGGGCCTGGTGGGAGGTGTTTGGATCATAGGGGTGGATCCCTCATTGCTTGGTGCTTTCCTTGCAATAGTAAGTGAATTCTCACAAGATCTGGCTATTGCAAAGTGTGGCATGTCCCCCAGTCCCAACTCTCTCTCTCTCTTGCTCCTGCTCCCACCACATGAGACAGCTACCCCCTCTTTGCCTTCTGCCATGACTGTAAGCTTCCTGAGGCCTCCCCAAAAGCAGAAGCCAGCCTTCTGCTTCCTATACGGCCTTCAGAACCATGAACCAATTAAACCTCTTTTCTTATCAATGATCCAGTCTCAGATATTTATAGCAGCACAAAATCGGCCTAATATAGCATGAAATATTGCTCAGCAATCAAAAGGAACACATCATTGATACATACAGCAGCTTGGATGGGCCTCAGGGGCATTGCACTGAGTGACAAAAGGATATCTCAAACGGTTGCATACTGGATGATCCCATTTACATCAGATTCTAGAAATGGAAGATTATAGAGATGGAGAACAAATTAATGGATACCAGGAGTTAGGGATGGCAAGGGAAGGAGAAGGGTGTAGGTGTGAATATAAAAGGGTAGCCCAAGGGAGGCCCTTGTGAGACGGAAGAGTTCTGTACAGTGACTGCGGTGATGGTGACGCGAATCTACAACTGTGACAAATTGGCATAGAACTAGACACCTACTTTATGCCAATGTCAAATTCCTGGTTTTTATGTTGTACTCTAATTACGTAAGATGTAACCATTAGAGGAAACTGGAAAAAGAGCACATGGGATTCTTCTGTTCTATCATTGTAGACTTCCTGTGACTCTAGAACCATTTCAAAAGAGAAAGTTCAAAAATTCAGTCAGAAGCACACGCACACATATGCACGCATGCACACACACACATATGCACGCATGCACACACATATGCACGCACACACACATATGCACGCACACACGCACATGCACGCACACACACATATGCACGCACACAGTATGTGACCATCTTCCATGTCCCTGCCCACTAGGCATAATAGCCCTCACTCTGCCCTCAACCCCGCAAATCTCATCCTTATCAACCTCGGCTCTTTCCAGCATGTTTCTCCTGCCTTGGTGCTTCACTCTGAGACACAGGGAATGTTAGACACGCCCAGCCTCCAGCCTAGCGTATGATATTCTTAAAGTGCAGGCCGTAGTCTGGTACACCGTATTCAGCTGAGATGTTTGTGAAAGTGGAGGGGATAACACGCCTCACACAAAACTTACCGCAGTGGTTCTCAAAGCAGCATTCTGGAGCCATAGCATCAGCATCACCTGGGAACTTACTAGGAATGAAAATGACTGGATTCACCCCAGACCTACTGAAGCAGAAGCCCTGGGGGCTCAGAAATCTATTCTTTAAGCCTCCAGGTGATTCTTATGCTCATGGAAGTTTGAGAACCGCTGATCAATGCATTCAGTGACTCAGAAACAGAGTCCCGGACTCTACAGGTTTGTTGGTTGGTTGGTTGGTTGGTTGGTTGGTTAGTTTGTTTGTTTTTGTCACCCATATTCAACCAGCTGGACTCCACAGTATAGCAAGCCACTCCGATTATTCTTCTGCATGTTATATGTGATAAACCATCCACCTAGAGTAGGATTGGGGGCAGCATCTTAACATCTAACTACTTAGGACACCCACCCTGTTTACAGGCAGAAATAAAGGATTTTTAAAACAAAGCAAATCTGTGAAAGAACCAACTGAATTAAATCGAGAAGTCTAGGCAGAGAGGAGAGAGAGAAGGGGTCCGTGTACCTCATACGCTGTGCACCAGAATGGACCCTGCAGAACCTACCTGCTACCGGGGAAGGTGGTTCTGTTGGTAACCGGCTGGGGGTCACAGAGGTTCCTGGGAAATCAGAAAATGAGATAAATCTGTGCTCTGTCGCTGTGGGTCCTGAACAAATAACGAAACATCTCCGTGACTGAGTTTCCTCACCGGAAAAATGAGCCTAAAGTAGCTTACATCACTGGACTGTTGTGGATGTTAATAAGCATTTGAGCTGGGTGCAGTGCCTCATGCCTGTAATCCCAGCACTTTGGGAGGCTGAGGAGGGCAGATCACTTGAGGTCAGGAGTTCAAGCCCAGCCTGGCCAGTATGGTGAAACCCCGTCTCCACTAAAAATACAAAAATTAGCCAGGCGTGGTGGTGTGCACCTGTAATCCCAGCTGCTCGGGAGGCTGAGGCAGGAGAATCACTTGAACCTAGGAGGCAGAGGTTGCAGTGATCTGAGATCGCACCACTGCACTCCAGCCTGGGTGACGCAGTAAGACTCCATCTGAAAAAAAAAGGCTTAGCCAGGCGTGGTGGCTCACACCTGTAATCCCAGCACTTTGAGAGGCCGAGGCAGGCAGATCACCTGAGGTCAAGAGTTCAAGACCAGCCTGGCCAACATGGTGAAACCCTGTCTCTACGAAAAATACAAAAATTAGCTGGGCATGATGGCAGGTGCCTGTAATCCCATCTACTCAGGAGGCTGAGGCAGGAGAATCGCTTAAACCCAGGAGGTGGAGGTTGCAGTGAACTGAGATCACTCCACTGCACTCCAGCCTGGGTGACAAAGTGAGACTCCCCCCAAAAAAAAAAAAAAAAAAAAAAGCAGCAGCATTTGTAAAGCACACCTGGCACATTCTGGGCTATTAACAAGGAAATGCATGCAGCTCCCGTCCACCTTTTTCAACCTCAGTTCTATTTCTTCTGGATTCCTGTGTCCTACCCCTCACTGTGACCCTGGGGGCAAAACAGATTTTTCTACCAAAAACTAAATGATGTATTTTGTTTGATTTAATATGACATTGTTAAATGTACTGATCAGTGGCGTTGGGTATGTTCACATTGTGGTACAATATGTTGACCTCTAGAACTTATTTTTCTTGCAAAACTGAAATTCTGTGCCCATTAAACACTAATTCCTTCTCTCTCCTCTTTCTGGCCCTTAACAACCACCATTGTACTTTGTGTTTCTACAGTGTTGACATTAGATACCTCCTTTGACTAGAATCATACAGTAGTTGTCCTTTTGTGACTGACTTAGCATAATGTCCTCAAGGTATATCCATGTTGTAGTATGTGTCAGAATTTCCTTCTTTTTTAAGGCTGCATAATATTCCATTGCATGTATATAACCACATTATGAGGTATGCTGCTCTTTTTTGAAAGAAACCCCCTTTAAGAATGGTAGTCAAGTCCGACGCGGTGGCTCACGCCTGTAATCCCAGCACTTTGGGAGGCCGAGGCGGGCAGATCATGAGGTCAGTTCAAGACCAGCCTGACCAACATAGTGAAACCCCGTCTCTACTAAAAATACAAAAATTGGCCGGGCATGGTGGCAGGCACCTGTAATTCCAGCTACTCGAGAGGCTGAGGCAGCAGAATCGCTTGAACCCGGAAGGCGGAGGTTGCAGTGAGCTGAGATCGCGCCACTGCACTCCAGCCTGGGTGACAGAGTGAGACTTCGTCAAAAAAAAAAAAAAGAAACCTCCATTCTCCCAGCTGCCTGTAGCCCAGGGCTTCCTGCCCTCCCACTTCCTTCCCACCTCTGGCCCCGCCCCTGCAGCCCAGGGCTTCCTGCCCTCCCACTTCCTTCCCACCTACGGCCCCGCCCCTGCAGCCCAGGGCTTCCTGCCCTCCCACTTCCTTCCCACCTACGGCCCCGCCCCTGCAGCCCAGGGCTTCCTGCCCTCCCACTTCCTTCCCACCTACGGCCCCGCCCCTGCAGCCCAGGGCTTCCTGCCCTCCCACTTCCTTCCCACCTACGGCCCCGCCCCTGCAGCCCAGGGCTTCCTGCCCTCCCACTTCCTTCCCACCTACGGCCCCGCCCCTGCAGCCCAGGGCTTCCTGCCCTCCCACTTCCTTCCCACCTCTGGCGCCGCCCCTGCAGCCCAGGGCTTCCTGCCCTCCCACTTCTTTCCCACCTATGGCCGCGCCCCTACAGCCCAGGGCTTCCTGCCCTCCCACTTCCTTCCCACCTACGGCCCCGCCCCTGCAGCCCAGGGCTTCCTGCCCTCCCACTTCCTTCCCACCTACGGCCCCGCCCCTGCAGCCCAGGGCTTCCTGCCCTCCCACTTCCTTCCCACTTATGGCCCCTCCCTTGGAATGGCCATCAGGACCTATAAAGGCTGAGGAAGAAAGGTTTGGTCTGCACTACCCCTACCTGTGACCACAAGCTCCAGGGGGTCGCTGGGGGCTGACCACAGGTATGGGTCCCTGCTGGAGAAGCTGTAGCATCGGTAGGTTCCGCTGTGGGCGGCGGTCACCGTGATGATGGGAAAACTAGCCCTGTACCATCTCTCGGGATTCTTGTAGGGCGCAGGGTCCCCTTCCTTGTACAGAGCAAATTGGTCAAAGCCATACCGAGTCTGACACTGTAGGGTTACGTCCCCTCCTGACGACACCGCCGGGCCGGGCTGGGCTGAGAGCGAGGGTTTGGCAAAAACTCCTGGGAGAAAAAGAAAGTCTGATGTTGAAGGCAGGAGCCAGCATCTCAGCTGAGACTGGGGAGGTCCCCACACCTGCCTAAGAGCTGGGGAGCTTTTTGGCTGTATCCCTCCCAGAGAGCGCACTCCCCCACCCAAGCTCACAGAGAGGTCGAGTCACCCAGTGGTTGAGGAAGGAGGCTGTGCTCACGTCCTAGTGCTTGGGTGCAAATCCTAGTTCTGCCTTCAGGGGCCTGGTGGCCCTGGAGACAAATCTCCCTCTGTATCTGAGCCTCACTGCCTTGTTCTGTTAAAATGGGGATGACTGAATGAGACAGTACACAGTAATTTGCAGAGTGCCTGTTGCCTAGCAAGCGCTGGAGTAAGTAAATAGCTTAAGCTTATACTGTGCTGTAAGCTTGTATTGCCACATACAATTGTTACGTTGTAAATGTGGCTGACAGTGCTAGCTTCCGGGTGCCTTCCAAACTTATGATGTATATCAGTTCAGTGAATCCTCAGAGACCTATGGAGTCCTCACTCTTAATGTCCCTATTTTATAAATGAAACTAAGGCACATGGCATTAAATAATTTGTCCAACTCTAGGTAACAATACTGCAGTGTACAGCTGAAATTTGCTAAGAGGGTAGATTATAAGTATTCTCACACACAAAAAAGTTAACTGTGTCAGGTGATGTATGTTAATTAGCTTGCTAGTAGTAACTGTCTCACAGTGGATTCGTATATCAAAACATCAACTTGTACACCTTGGATATATTCCATTTTTGTTTTTCAATTATACCTCAACAAAGCTGGACATATTTTAATTTAAAAATAAATAAAAAACTTGTCCAAGATCATAAGTGGCAGAGTTGAAATCTGCACTCACAGAGTTTGATTCCAGGGTCTCCGCTCCTAAACACGAACCTACACTACTCTGATGTGAGGTTGTTGTCATAGACCGGTGTGGTGATGCATGCCTGCACACAGGAGTCAGAAAAACAAAGGTTGAGGCTGGGTGCGGCGGCTCACACCGGTCATCCCAGCACTTTGGGAGGCCAAGGTGGGAGGATCGCTTGAGCCCAGGAAGGCGAGGCTGCAGTGAGCTATGATCACTGTACACTAGCCTGGGTGACAGAGTGAGACCTTGTCTCAAAAAAAGACAGAGAGAGAAAGCAAAAGAAAGGAAGTAAGGAAGATAAAAATATAAGCTGCCTAATAATTATGGCATTCACTCAACAAGAAGAAAAAGAAAGAAAGAGGAAGGAAGGGAGGGAGGGAGGAAGGAAGGAAGGAAATATATAAGCTGCCTGATAACTGTAACATTCACTCAGCAATATTTTCTCTTAATTTTCACTTAAGCAACTATTATGTGTCTGTCTGTATTCTTTTTTTGTTGTTTCATTTGTTTTGTTTTGTTTTGTTTTGTTTTGAGACGGAGTCTCGCTCTGTCACCCAGGCTGGAGTGCAATGGCATATATATATATATATATATATATATATATATATATATATATATATATATATATATATATTTTTTTTTTTTTTTTTTTTTTTTTTTTTTTTGGGAAACAGAATCTCACTCTGTTGCCCAGGCTGGAGTGCAGTGGCATGATCCCAGCTCACTGCAACCTCCACCTCCTGGGTTCAAGCGATTCTCCTGCCTCAGCCTCCCGAGTAGCTGGGACTACAGGCATGCACCACCATGCCCAGTTAATTTTGTATGTTTAGTAGAGACAGGGTTTCACCATGTTAGCCAGGCTGATCTCGAACTCCTGACCTCAGGTGATCCGTCCACCTCGGCCTCCCAAAGTGCTGGCATTACAGGCGTGAGCCACCGTGCCCGACCAGGAATTAAAAATAGACAACCACCACCAAGATAAAAAAAGGTATACTTCACATACCAGATAGTGAGGAGGGCCACTTTGACTAGGGTGGTGGGGGATATACTTAGCGAGAAGAGAGTATTTGAGTCTGACCCTGAAAGAAGTAATGAGGCAGCCAGGCTGGTCCATTCTAGTAGCAGAGAGGAGGCCAGTGATGCTGTGGAGGGGAGTGAGGCAGGGAAGAGGGGAGGGAGGCAGGATTTATAACGCGGAATAGACCACAGTGCAGCTGGCCAGGAATTAGGGTGGCGTGAGTGAGGCACTCTCCTGGGATGTAAAATTTAATTATTCCCAAACAATTAACATATTTGAAAAAATTATTGAAAATTTGAAGAGTAGGTCGTTAAAACTCACATTATTCTGTTTGAATACTTTATTCCCCTGAAAGATTTATTAGAATTTTACATTCTAGGCTTTTGTGGATGCAAGCGCATCAGTGCTATTTCCAAAACCTACTTCTAGAAAATAACCATTTAAAAGTGCACTAACTGGGTGCACCTATAGTCCCAGCTACTAGGGAGGACCACTTGAGCCCAGGGATTTGAGGCTAAAGTGAGCTATGATCATGCCTGTGAATACAGCGAGTGTACTAAAGCCTGGGCAACATAGTAAGACCTCTTCTCTTTTTTTTTTTTTCCCAAGACGGAGTCTTGCTCTGTCGCCCAGGCTGGACTGCAGTGGTGCAATCTCGGCTCACCGCCTCCCAGGTTTAAGCGATTCTCCTGCCTCAGCCTCCGGAGTAGCTGGGATTACAGGAGTGCGCCACCGCGCCCAGCTAATTATTATTATTTTTTTTAGTAGAGACGGGGTTTCACCATGTTGGCCAGGCTGGTCTCAAACTCCTGACCTTAAGTGATCCACCCACCTCAGCCTCCCAAAGTACTGGGATTACAGGCGTGAGCCGCCGCGCCCGGCCCAACCTCTTCTCTTAAAAAAAATAAATAAATAAGAAAAGAAATTAGAATATTTGCACCAATCAAGAGTCTAAGGAGACATAAATACTAAATGCACTGTGGGGCCCTGGACGGGGTCTGGGAACAGAAATAGGATATTAGTGGAAAGACTGGTGAAATTCAAATAGCCTGGAGTTTACTTGATATAATATAGTTGTGTCTATGGTTAGTTTTTTGTTTGTTTTTTGATACAGGGTCTCACTCTGTCACCCAGGCTGGAGTGCAGTGGCGTGATCACAGCTCCCTGCAGCCTCGGCCTCCCTGGCTCAAGCGATCCTCCTGCCTCAGCCTCCTGAGTAGCTGGGACTATAGGTGTATGCCACCATGCCCCACTAATTTTTAATTTTGTTTAAAGATGAGGTCTCACTATGTTGCCCAGGCTGGTCTTGAACTCCTGAGCTCAAGCAATCCTCCCGCCTCAGCCTCCCAAAGTGCTGGGATTACAGGTGTAAACCACTGGGACCAGTGCTACGTTTATTTTTTGGTTGTAACAAATGTAAGATGTTAACATGAGGGGATCCTGGGTGAAATATTTCCATTAATATTATCTTTGGAACTTTTCTGTCAGTCTAAAAATTACTCCAAAACAAAGTTTTAAAAAGAATCCCGAGCCAAGCACGGTGGCCCGTGACCGTAGTCCCTGCTACTCATGAGGCTGAGGCAGGAGGATTGCTCAAGGCAAGGAGCTCCAGGCTGCAGTGAGCTATGACTGCTCCTATGAACAGCCACTGCACTCCGGCCTGGGCAGTGTAGCAAGACCCCATCGCTAATTTTTTTAAGTGCATTAAAACACAGATAAAGGGTTGCCTGTTTTTCGTTTTGGCACAGACTCTGGTATGACTTGACACAGGCACTGGCTGATTCTGCCTTTATTTGAAATTCTGGTTTTTTTCATTGTGGATGTTTTTGCAATTTATTTTGATTTTTTTAAAAATTGCATGAAAATGTTATTCACAGCCAGATGCAGTGGCTCACGCCTGAAATCCCAACACTTTGGGAAGCCAAGGTGGAAGGATAGCTTGAGCCCACAGGAGTTCGAGACCAGCCTGAGCAACATAGCGAGACCCTATCTCTCTCTCTTTTGTATTTTAATGCCTTTTGTGAAAACTGTCAAGAGACCCCATCTCTATAAAAACATAAAAAATGAGCTGGGCGTGGTGGTGCACACCTGTAATCCTAGCTACTTGGAGGGCTGAGGCGGGAGAATCGCTTGAGCCCTGGAGGTGGAGGCTGCAGTGAGCCAAGATCGCGCCACTGCTCTCCACCCTGGGTGACGCAGCAAGACCCTGTGTCCAAAAAACAAAATATTATTCACATTGATCCATAAATGTCGTGGCACCACCACCCGCTAGGCCAGTGCCTCGTTTGCCTCACCCTAATCCCTGCCCTCAATGTCCCCCGTATTTGTGTCCTGAACGGAGGACCACGCAGTCCCAGGCTCCGATCCCCCTTCCTTTACCCGTGGCAACGAGCTCCAGCTGGTCGCTGGGCAGGGACCAGAGGCTTCCGTTCTGGTAGGAGCAGCGGTAGCGTCCAGCCAGACTTCTCTTCATGGCCGGGATGAAGAGGACTGCCTGATCCTGGTACCTGCTGGAACTCAGCTTCTCCAGGCGGTACAGGTCCACGCCCGGAGGTCCCTGGCACCGGAGGGTCACTGGCTTCTCCAGGGGCACCAGGGAGCTGGGCAGAGCCTGGAGGGAGGGCTTGGGGAGCGGTCCTGGAAGAGGAGCAGGGCTGGGTCAGCCTCCCCGCAGACCCCGCCTGGACCCCGCTGCTCCCGCGCTGGCGGATCCCGCAGGAGGGAAGGGGTCTGGGGAAGGACTCACCACTCTGCGCTGGCACACGCCCCAGACACAGCCCTGAGGAAAGAAGAAAGGGACCAGATGCCAGGACTCGCTTTTATGGACATTCCTGCCTGCTGGGCGCGGTGATAAGACATTTGCATGCATATGCTTTACTCTGTCCTAATAATTTCTTCAAAAGACACACAGGAATGTAATTTAAGTGAGAGAAACCGGTCAGAAAAAGCCACATAGTTTATGAGGTCATTTACATGAAATATCCAGAATAGGTAAATCTATAGGAGATGGAGAAGAAAGCAGATCCATGGCTGGGGGTGGTGGGAGAGGAGGGCAAGGCATGGTGGCGTACTGCTCTCTGTGGACTTGTTCGTGTTAGACACGGTGGGCTCGTTCGTGTTAGACACGGTGGACTCGTTCGTGTTAGACACGGTGGGCTCGTTCGTGTTAGACACGGTGGGCTCGTTCGTGTTAGACACGGTGGACTCGTTCGTGTTGTGTTAGACACGGTGGACTCGTTCGTGTTAGACGCGGTGGACTCGTTCGTGTTAGACACGGTGGACTCGTTCGTGTTGTGTTAGACACGGTGGACTCGTTCGTGTTGTGTTAGACACGGTGGACTCGTTCGTGTTAGACACGGTGGGTTCGTTCGTGTTAGACACGGTGGGTTCGTTCGTGTTAGACGCGGTGGGTTCGTTCGTGTTAGACGCGGTGGACTCCTTCGTGTTGTGTTAGACACGGTGGACTCGTTCGTGTTAGACACGGTGGACTCGTTCGTGTTAGACACGGTGGACTCGTTCGTGTTAGACACGGTGGACTCGTTCGTGTTGTGTTAGACACGGTGGACTCGTTCGTGTTGTGTTAGACACGGTGGGCTCGTTCGTGTTGTGTTAGACACGGTGGACTCGTTCGTGTTGTGTTAGACACGGTGGGCTCGTTCGTGTTAGACGCGGTGGGCTCGTTCGTGTTAGACGCGGTGGGCTCGTTCGTGTTGTGTTAGACACGGTGGGCTCGTTCGTGTTGTGTTAGACACGGTGGGCTCGTTTGTGTTGTGTTAGACACGGTGGGCTCGTTCGTGTTAGACATTGCCCATTGACTTCCTCAGTGGATGTGAGGAATGGGACCTGAGACATTGCTGTCCCTTCGTTTCCTCCCTTCAGTCTCCCAATATTAAATAATATCCAAGTACATTACAATAGTATGCAATTGTATAGACAAGTATTGTAAATACTATTGCATATTGTATATTATTGTATTTTATTGTCTATGTAATATATGCGATAAAACCCCACACTAATGGGATGCATTGGGCTCCAAGGATGGAGCAGGATGGAGCCTCAGCGTGTAAGTCAGGACGTCTCAGCATGTGCTGGCCATGGGTTTCCCGGTATTTACAACATTTGCTTGAATCAGTATTCCATGATTACATGATAGGATATAATATATATAATAATCGTTTCAAATAGCCTGAAGGAGGATGGGGAAAGTTCCCAACACAGAAAGGATGCATGTTTGAGAAGATGGGTGTGCTACTTACCCTGATCTGATTACTATATGTATATACACATATAGTGCATATATGTAAACCTACATCTATACATACATGTGTATGTACATATACACGTGTGTACATACACACGTGTATATGTATGTATATGTATATATGTATGCATGTGTGTGTGTGTGTGTGTGTGTGTGTATACATATGTATACAAATACATGTACATAAGCGATCCCCTCCTGGAATTGCTTGAGCCCAGGAGGTCAAGTCTGCTGTGAGGTAAGATTGCACCACTGGCCGGGCACGGTGGCTCATGCCTATAATCCCAGCACTTTGGGAGGCCAGGGTGGGCGGATCACAAGGTCAGGAGTTCAAGACCAGCCTGGTCAACATGGTGAAACACCATCTCTACTAAAAATACCAGAAATTAGCTGGGCATGGTGGCACGTGCCTGTAATCCTAGCTACTGGGGAGGCTGAGTCAGGAGAATCACTTGAACCCGGGAGGCGGAGGTTGCAGTGAGCCAAGATCACGCCACTACACTCCAGCCTGGGCAACAGAGCAAGACTCCATCTCGAGGAAAAAAAAAAATGATATTGCCCCATTGCACTCCAGACTGACAACAGAGCAAGACCCTGTCTCAGAAAACGAAGAGGAGGAGGAAAAAAAAAGTACTAATTATCTGAAATTCCAATTTAACCAGGCATCCAGTGTTTTATCTGGTAACCCTCATTCTTACACACACACACACACACACACACACACAAAGGCGGGATAGTTGTCATTCCCACTGTAAACATAAGGAAACTGGGCAGAGGCCAAGCAACCTTGTGTAGCTCACATAGCAAGAAGTGGGTGAACCCAGCTCATGTCTTGACTCTGAGCTCAGAGAGTGACAACTTGTCACCAGCGCCCCCATAGCCACCACCCTTTGTCCACCCCAGGCTCCCTCTGCACCCCAACGCAAGCTCCGGCCGCTTCTCTGTCCCCCTCCTCCTGCCGCATCACAGCCCACCTCAGCCTCTTTGTAGGTTTCCATGCGACGCTGTACCATGGCTGGGAGTCTTCCAGGCGCCGTGCTGAGCGCCTTCTGTGCATGGACTCCAAGTCGCCATAATCGTACGGGTTACCCACCATTATCAGTCCCCTCTTATACATCAGGCTAGTGAGACAGTATCTTATCCACAGTCCTACAGCTGGCAGGAGTAGATTCAAACCCTAGCAGCACCAATTAGTGGTAAAGAGTGTGGACTTGGGAACTTACAGGAGTAGAGAGCACAGTGGTGGTTACCGGGGCGGTGGGGTAAGGTTTGGGGAGATGTTGGTCAGAGGAGGACAGTTTCAGTTGGACAAGAGGAGTATGTCTTGGAGATCTACTGCACATCATGGTGACTGTAGTTAATAACAACATATTGTACACTTGCATATCACCGATAGTAGATTTTAAATGTTCTCACCGGCCGGGCGCGCTGGCTCACACCTGTAATCCCATTTTGGGAGGCCAAGGTGGGCGGATCACCTGAAGTCAGGAGTTCGAGAGCAGCCTGACCAACATGGTGAAACCCTGTCTCTACTAAAAATACAAAAATTAGCGGGGCGTAGTGGCAGGAGCCTGTAATCCCAGCTACTTGGGAGGCTGAGGCAGGAGAATCGCTTGAACCTGGGAGGTGGAGGTTGCAGTGAGCCAACGTCATGCCACTGCGCTCCAGTCTGGGCAACAGAGTGAGACTCCATGTCAAAAAATAAAAATAAATAAAAATAAATGAGCGTGGAATACTACTCAGCCATTAAAAGGAGTGAAATAATGTCTTTTGGCCAGGCACAGTGGCTCACATCTGTAATGCCAGCACTCTGGGAGGCCGAGGTGGGTGGATCACGAGGTCAAGAGATCAAGACCATCCTGCCCAACATGGTGAAACCCCATCTCTACTAAAAATACAAAAATTAGCCGGGCATGGTGGCGGGTGCCTGTAGTCCCAGCTACTCGGGAGGCTGAGGCAGGAGAATCACTTAAACCCGGGAGGTGGAGTTTGCAGTAAGCCGAGATCACACCACTGCACTCCAGCCTTGGTGAGAGAGCGAGATTCCGTCTTTAAAAAAAAAAAAAAAAAGTCTTTTGCAGCAACTTGGATGGAGCTGGAAGGCATTATTCTAAGTAAAGTAATACAGGAGTGGAAAACAAAAATCTGTATATTCTCACTTATAAGTGAGAGCTAAGCTGTGGGTATGCAAAGGCATGCAGAGTGATGTAATGGACTTCAGAGACTCAGAAGGGAAGGGCAGAAGTGGGGCAGGGATGAAAAACTACACATTAGGTACAAGGTACACTAGTCAGGTGACAGGTGCACTAAAATCTCAGAATTCACCAGAATATAATTCATCCATGTAACCAAGAACCACTTGTATCCCAAAAGCTACTGAAGCAACAAGCCAGATGCAGTAACCTGTACAGGCCACACCTGTAACCCCAACACTTTGGGAGGCCGAGGTGGGTGGATCGCTTGAGCCCAGGAGTTCAAGACCAGCCTGGGCAACATAGCGGACCCCCGTAACTAAAAAAATTACAAAAACAAGCCAGGCATGATGGTGTACAACTGTAGTTCCAGATACTCAGGAGGCTGATGGGGAGGCACTGGTTGAGCCTGGGAGGTTGAGGCTGCAGTGAGCCATGATCATGCCACTGCCCTCCTGCCTGGGTGACAGAAGTGAGGCCCTATCTCAAATAAAATTAAATAAATAAAAGTTAAAACAGGCTGGGTGCGGTGGCTCACGCCTGTAATCCCAGCACTTTGGGAGGCCGAGGCGGGTGGAACCTGAAGTAAGGAGCTTGAGACCAGCCTGGCCAACATGGTGAAACCCCGCCCCTACTAAAAATACAATAATTAGCCAGACCTGGTGGCAGATGCCTGTAATCCCAACTATTCGGGAGGCTGAGGCAGGAGAATCACTTGGACCCGGGAGGCAGAGTTTGCAGTGAGCTGAGATCATGCCATTGCATTCCAGCCTGAGCGACCGACTGAGCGAGACTCCATCTCAAAAAACAAACAAAAAGAAAAAAAGAATACATCCATGGATGGATAATGAATGAGAGGTTGTTTATATTCACAGTTAACCCTCTCATCTCCAGTAATGCAACCATCTTCTTCCTGCTTAGCCTTTTGGAGATGCTGTCCCTTTAGTGGTCAAATTCTGAAGAAATCAGGAAATAATGCATTCGACATGCCCAGCACAAGTGAAGATCAGGCAGCAGAAATGCATTCGACCTGCCACCCATCCATCAGGAGACTATTTACTCCACTACTGTAGGGGATACTGACAAATTAAATCCATACCTAGTCCAGATATCAATTCCACAATTTTTTTTTTTTTTTTTTTGAGACGGAGTTTCGCTCTTGTTGCCCAGGCCAGAGTGCAATGGTGTGATCTTGGCTCACCGCAACCTCCACCTCCCAGGTTCAAGCGATTCTCCTGCCTTAGCCTCCAGAGTAGCTGGGATTACAGGCATGTGCCACCACACCCGGCTAATTTTGTATTTTTAGTAGAGATGGGGTTTCTCCATGTTGGTCAGGCTGGTCTCAAACTCCCGACCTCAGATGGCCCACCCGCCTCGGCCTCCCAAAGTGTGTAAGCCATGGCACTCAGCCTTTTTTTTTTTTTTTTTTTTTTTTTTTGAGATGGAGGCTCTCTCTGTTGCCCAGGCTGGAGTGCAATGCCTGACCTCAGCTCACTGCAACTTCTGCCTCCCAGTTTCAAGCAATTCTCCCACCTCAGCCTCCCACGTAGCTGGGATTACAAGCACCCGCCATCACGCCCGGCTAATTTTTGTAGAGATGGGGTTTCACCATGTTGACCAGGCTGGTCTTGAACTCCTGACCTCAGGTGATCCACCCACCTCGGCCTCCCAAGGTTGAGATTACAGGCGTGAGCCACTGTGCCTGGCCCACATTTTTTAAAAAAGGGGCAACTGCAGTGTAGTAGAACAAAGTTGTGACCAATGCTAGGATACTCTGTTCATTTCCTGACCCAGCCATGAATACACTGGAATAACTCATGCAAAATGCCAGCTCGCTGGCCCCCCGTTTCCCCACCCAACAAATGAAGGGGCTCTTACAGGTTCCTTTTTGTCCTGAAATTCATCACCAATGCAAATTTCTTAAAAATCCTTTGTCTGGCAGTCCATGCCTGTCCTTCAGCATTTCCCAGATCTGACCCTCAGGACTCACCAAGACAGAAGAGGGCGGTCGGGGATGGAGACATGGTTCCTCAGCCCTGTCCTGAGCTCTGTGGCCAGGGAGGGAAGTGGTGGGAGCCTGGGGCACAGGCTCAGGATGTGATGAGGATGAAGAATGCTCTCCTCCCTTCCTCCACCAGCCCCGGCCTTTCCTAATTGAGACTCATCGAGCCGTAGCCGGCTCCTCAGTACAGTGACTTGCACACAAGCTCCAAGGAGCCGCGCTTATCTCCTCTGGCCAGCCTGGCGTTGCACCGTTTGTCCGCCTGCTGGGGCCTGGTCTGTGTTCCCGTGCTCCCATAAACTCCCTGATGTCACTAGGAAAATACGCATCAAAACCACAGTGAGATATGACTTCACACCTTCTGGAATGGCTGTATTTTTTTTTTTTCTTTTGAGACAAAGTCTCGTTCTTTTTGCCCAGGTTGGAGTGCAGTGGCGCCATCTCGGCCCACTACAACCTCCACCTCCCAGGTTCAAGCGATTCTCCTGCCTCAGCCTCCCAAGTGGCTGGGATTATAGGTATGTACCACACCAGGCTAATTTTTGTATTTTTAGTAGAGATGGGGTTTCACTGTGTTGGCCAGGCTGGTCTTGAACTCCTGACCTCAGTTGATCCACCTGCCTCGGTCTCCCAAAGTGCTGGGATTACAGGCATGAGCCACTGCACCCGACCGGCTATAATTTTTTTTAATGGAAAACAGCAGATATTGGTGAGTATGCAGAGAAATTGAACTGCGCGTGCATTGCTGGCAGGGACGTAACATGGCGCCCCTGCTGTGGAAAACAGTTCCAGCAGCTCCTCCAGAAGTTAAACGTGGGATTGCCATAAAATCCAGCAATTCCACTTCGGGGTACACACCTAAAAGAACTGAAAACAGGGTCTCTAACATATTTGTACACAGTGTTCATAGCAGCTTTATTCACAATAGCCAAAAGGTGAAACCACCCACATGTCCATCAACAACAATGGATAAACAACATGTGGTATATACACACAAGGTAATATCAACCAGCCTTAACTAAAAGAATAAAAATCAGCCAGGCACAGTGGCTCACGCCTGTAATCCCAGCACTTTGGGAGGCCGAGGCGGGCGGATCACCTGAGGTCAGGAGTCCGAGACCAGCCTGGTTAACATGGTGAAACCCCATCTCTACTAAAAATACAAAAATTAGCTGGGCGTTAAATTAGCCGGGCATGGTGGCAGGTGCCTGTAATCCCAGCTACTTGGGAGACGGAGGCATGAGAATCGCTTGAACCTGGGAGGCAGAGATTGCGGTAAGCCGAGATCGCACCACTGCACTCCAGCCTGGGCGGCAGAGTGAGACTGTCTCAAAAATAAAAATAAGGCCGGGCGTGGTGGCCCATGCCTGTAATCCTAGTACTTTAGGAGGCTGAGGCAGGCAGATTGCCTGAGCTCAGCAGTTCAAGACCAGCCTGGGCAACACAGTAAAACCCCCAAAAAATACAAAAAAAAAATAGCCGGGCATGGCGGCAGGCACCTGTAGTCCCAGCTACTCCGGAGGCTGAGACAGGAGAATGGCTTGAACCCGGGACGCGGAAGTTGCGGTGAGCCGAGATCGCGCCATTGCACTCCAGCCTGGGTGACAGAGCGAGATTCTGTCTCCAAAAAATAAAAAATATTATAAAAGAATAAATTCAGATACATGCTACAACGTGATGGACCTTGAAGACATTATGCTAAAGGAAATATTCCGGACTTGACAGATAAATACTGCATTGTGCCGCTTATCTGAGGTATCGAGAGGAGTCAAATTCATAGAGACAGGGATTAGAATGGTGGTTGCCAAGGCCTGGGAAAAGTGGGGAGTTACTATTTAATAGGGAGCGCTTAGGTTGAAGATGATGACAAAGTCTGGGGGATCCATAGTGGTGATGGTTACACAACACTGTAAATGTATTTATATTTAATGCCATTGACTGTTTTTTGTTTTTTGGTTTTTTGAGACGGAGTCTCACTCTGTCGCCGAGGCTGGAGTGCAGTGGCGCGATCTTGGCTCACCGCAACCTCCGCCTCCCAGGTTCAAGCGATTCTCCTGCCTCAGCCTCCTGAGTAGCTGGGACTACAGGTGCGTGCCACCATGCCTAGTTGATTTTTTGTATTTTTAGTAGAGACGGGGTTTCACCGTGTTAGCCAGGATGGTCTCGATCTCCTGACCTTGTGATTTGGCCTCCCAAAGTGCTGGGAATACAGGCATGAGCCACCGCGCCCGGCCAGTGCCGTTGACTTGTATGTGCACTTACAGGTGGTTAAAATGAGAACTATCAGGGTGTTGATATCTAAAAACCTCCCTGCCATCATCTTCCCTACATCTCTCATTCAGTGACCATGGTTGAATGCCTGCCACCTTTCAAATATTATGTCAGGCACTCAGTATTGGCAGTTTTATCCATTATAAATGCTTTAAGCTGCATAGAATTTTAAACGTGTTAATAAAAGTAGTTATAAATCTTTAATACATAAGCTGGCTTTAAAATTATTGGTAAAATAAGATTAGAAATGTCTTAAGAATTGTTGGCGTTTTTGTTTGCACTTATTGAACGAGTGGTTTCATGCTTATCCCTGCAGAATACTATGAGATTTGTCATAAGGGTTATAAAACTATAAACCCGGCTGGGCGTGGTGGCTCACGCCTGTAATCCCAACACTCTGGGAGGCCGAGGCAGGCAGATCACCTGAGGTCGGGAGTTTGAGACCAGCCTGACCAACATGGAGAAACGCCATCTCTACTAAAAATACAAAATTAGCTGGGTGTGGTGGCGCATGCCTGTAATCCCAGATACTCAGGAGGCTGAGGCAGGAGAATCGCTTGAACCCGGGAGGCAGAAGTTGCAGTGAGCCGAGATTGCGCCACTGCACTCCAGCCTGGGCAACAAGAGTGAAACTCCATCTAAAATAAATAAAAATAAAACATTTGTTTTTTGTAGAGTTGGGGTTTCACTATGTTGCCCAGGCTGGTCTTGAACTCCTCCTGGGCTCAAGCAATCCACCGACCTCAGCCTCCCAAAGTGCTGGGATTACAAGTGTGAGCCACTGTGCCTGGCCCTATTGGGTCCTTTTAAAAGATACATAAAAAATCAAATGCAACAGTGAAGTCAATCACCCGATGGCAGAAATTGGGGTGCTCCTGGCATGTGGTCGGTCGAAGCCAAGGACACTGCTCAGCATTCTGCAGTGCACAGGACGGCCCCGCCCAGGCGGAGAATGATCCGGTGACACATATAGGTGGGAAGGATGCACGAATGATGGCGTTTAGGAAGAATATTATCACTTCTTTCCCGTAAGAGCAACTTAGAGCAAGAAAATGGTATTATTCTTAGGGCCTTCTCTCTTATGGAGGCTCCAAGCCAGGGTTGCCATGGCAGAAGATGCTGGGCTTGCTTTTTCCTTGAGAGAACTGTACTCAAGATGATGTAACTGTCACCCCGGGTGCCACTTGGGTGCTTTGGAGAAGCGCTCAGACGCGACACGCCGTGACGACTCCGCGGCAGGCAGCCGGACCTGTCCTCTGGCGTGCGGTTCACGGGCTGTGTTTATCCCCCTGGTTCCTTCACAGCCACCTTGGGAAATACGTTGCCTCTGAATCACGCCAGGCAGGCTCTCACTGTGTGTGCTGCGGGGCTGGAAATCAGGGTGACACTCCGCTACCGAACAGCCTGACTAGGAAGCCAGAAAGACGCTGCCGGCTTTAGTTTGTCCTTTGACTTTCCTTGATATGAATGAAGATAGAGCACTTCCACACTGCACAACAGGAAAAGCCCAGAACGCTTCCTGGAGATAGCGAGGGGGTGATGCAGCGGACAGCTATGGCTGATGACCCCCTCACCTCTGACTCCCCCTCCCTCCCTGCTTTCTGAACGCACATCCATCACCAACCATAGGTTCCTGTTTGGGGTTTGCTGGCTGGAAAAAAAAAAAAAAAAAAAAGGAAAGCTGGCTTTCTAGTAAAAACCACTTCCTTTGCTCATTTATCAAACTCAAACGCTAGGAGGGCCACCTAACATCCTCCGTCCCACGCAATGGGGTGTTTCTGGAGCACTCCGGTTTATCAGGGACCCTGTCAGTTGCCATCGCACATGTATATGGGGCCAGCCCCTGTGCCACCGAAGAGGGGGGATATTGAAAACATGTTACAGCCAGGAGCGGTGCCCCCTTGGTTCAAGCAGTTCTTCTGCCTCAGCCTCCCTAATAGCTGGGATTACAGGCGTGCACCATCACGCCTGGCCACTGTTATGTAGTTTTTACCACAATTTAAAAAAGGAAAGAGTGCCTGGGTGAGTCCTACGCACCTATTCGGAGAACCAAAGGCTTTGAGGTTATCCTCGGCCCACCCATCTGATGGGAGTGTTTCTCAAACTTGCTTTTCCGTGATCTCCCAGTAAGAAATACCTACTACACACACACAGTCTCCGGTCGGCATGCTTAGGGTAGTCTTCCAATTCCCCCTCCTGGTATTTACACCCTGGAGTGGTCCGCTCCTCTTGGGCTGAACCTGTAACTTGCTCCCAAGCAAGAGCACACAGCAAGCTCACGCACGTGGTTGTTGGTGTGATTCTGTTTCTCCAGATTGTCTCCATTCCTCCCTGGCTTCTCCACAGGGCCGCTCACCATGGCAGCCGGCTCCATCACCACCAGCCAGCGAGAGGGCAAGACAAGAGGGCTGACGAGGGACGCTACCATCACAGAGGTCAGTTTTGTAACCTAACCACAAGACTAACCTACTGTCACTTCTGCCCTATCCTACTGCTAGAAGCCAGTCGCTACATCTCCCCCACACTCAAAGGGAGGTGGTCGCACCGTGGGGTCCACTGGAAGTTGCCTACCAGACTCAGGTCATCCCAAACACACCCTCTAGCCATTTGGTGTGGCATCGGAAAGAAAACTAAGGCCAGGTACGGTGGCTCATGCCTGTAATCCCAACAATTTGGGAGGCCATGGCGGAAGGGTCACTTGAGCCCAGGAGTTTGAGACCAGCCTGGGCAACATAGCAAATGTTATGTTGCCACCTCTACAAATAATTAGCCAAGTGTGGTGGCATGCACCTGTAGTCCCAGATACTCAGGAGGCTGAGGCAGGAGAATCACAGGTCGAGGTTGTAGTGAGCTGTGACGGCACTGCACTCCAGCCTTGGCAACACAGTAAGACCTCGTCTCTAAAAAAGCAAAAAGGGCTGGGTGCACTGGCTCACACCTATAATCCCAGCACTTTGGGAGGCCAAGACGGGTGGATCACCTGAGGTCAGGAGTTCAAGATAAGCCTGGCCAACATGGTGATACCGTCTTTAATTAGCCAGGTGTGGTGGTGGGCGCCTGTAATCCCAGCTACTCGGGAGGCTGAGGCATGAGAATCGCTTGAACATGGGAGACACAGGTTGCAGTGAGCTGAGATCATGCCATTGCACTCCAGCCTGGGCAACAGAGCGAGACTAGGTGGCTGTTCTGTGTACTGTGGGATATTGAGTAGCATCCCTGGCCTCCCCAGTATCTCAAATATGAAAACATGTTTTCTATCTCGATTACTGAGCTTTTCGGTGCCTCCTTCGGTTCTGCACCTAAGCTAAGAGCCCCTTCATCTCACCCTGATCTCTATCCAGTTTCTAACACAGCAGTCTTGTAAGATGCCCGGACTTAAACGGTTATTTCCTGTGAAACAGGTGAAAGGGGCTTTCATCTCTAAAAAGTCGGAACTTTTTTTTTTTTTTGAGACGGAATCTTGCTCTGTCACCCAGGCTGGAGGGCAGTGGCATGATCTCGGCTCACTGCAATCTCCGCCTCCCAGCTTCACACCATTCTCCTGCCTCAGCCTCCCGAGTAGCTGGGACTACAGGCGCCCACCACCATGCCCAGCTAATTTTTTGTATTTTTTTAGTAGAAACAGGGTTTCATTGTGTTAGCCAGGATGGTCTCGATCTCCTGACCTCGTGATCCACCGCGCCCGGCCAAGTCTGAACTTTTGCATGGCCTGTTGCCCTGGTGATAAACTGATGCCTTGTTTCCTAAAAGGAATAAAGCCATGAGTTGCCTTTGTTCAGCTCATGGGCATTCACCCATGCACAGAGGAAAAATAAAATCTACGACTCGGGTACATTTTCTTCTTTTTTTTTTCTTTTAAATGAGCAAGTTTGAGAGTCTGCAGTTTGGACTACCATGAGAATTGATAGGAAGGTGGGAGTCCCAGGCAATCCCAGGTCCTGTAGCAGCAGCTGGTGGGGTTCCCACTCCATGCCGTGCAGAGCCTGAACTCAGGATGACACCTGCACCTGCTCTCTGGCTGGGCTCTGGCACAGGAAGCCCTCAGCAAACACCCCCGGCACAGCCATGCCATAGCCAGACAACAGCTCGCTGTACCACACCATCATGGGAGACAGCAGTTATTCTGAGCATCTCACTGCTGAAGAAACCAAGGCTCAGAGAGGACCATGCATGCACAAGGTCCCACAGGGACCCAAGAATCCACCAAGTGTCAGACAACTTGCCCATGCTCTTCACGGAGCACCTTGGAACCCTCCCCGACAGGCACCGCTGGCTCTCCTGACGTGGCCTGCAAGTGCACGGAGCCCCTTCCTCCTCGGCCATTCCCAGTTTAGATTCCCAGGGGAAGCATCAGATGGCCCCTCTCCCCTGCTGGCAGCAGAGCAGACGGAACCAGCCAGAGCCCAGGGCAGTGCTCACCTGCAGGCCAGTCCACTGCGGCCAGCACCGCCCCCTAGAACCTACTGCGGGCATGGCGGCCGCCAGTCCTGGGTCTCCCGGCTCAGGTAGTGCCAGGAAGCTGCGGGCATGGCGGACAGCTGTCCTCGGTCTGGAGGCGCCATCCTGGCTTTCAAATCTGCTCCAGAGGTTATCTGGGGAGGGGCTGCTCCCTCACAGAGGGAGCCTCTAAGCCCACCAGGCGGGCACTTTCAGCCCAAAGCCTCCGGGCCACCTCCTCATCCTCAGCCTCGGGGGCCGGGGCCTTCTGTTTGAGTCCATCGAAGTACTTTCCGGAAACATCCGCCAGTTCCTCCGCCACGGCCAGGTATGTGCTGGGCTGGGCGGCCAGCTCGGGGCTCTTGACCAGCAGCCAGAAGATGGGCCCTGCAATCAGCCCACAGGGCATTTAGTCCACACTCGCTCAGAGAGAAGGAAGGAAGCCCCGCTCCCCGGTCAGGGAGCTCCGGGTCCCTGGAGTCCCACAGAGCCCTCCTCTAGCCCTTTCCCCTTGGCTGCCTCCATCTGCAGTTCCCTTCCCTGGCACTGCCCAGGCAAATCCCACCAGACCAGGGATCAGACCAAAAGCTGCCTCCCCCAAGGAGCCTTCCTGGCTTTGTCCAGGAAAATGGAAGCTCTCTTCCTCTTGGTCAGCCCCAGTCCTCACCCTACCCCATTTCTCCTTTAATAACATCTTATTAAATGCACCTGGCACCAGCCTCAGGTTAAGGATCTTTTTTTGGCCAGGCGAGGTGGCTCAGGCCTGTAATCCCAGCACTTTGGGAGGCCGAGGCGGGCGGATTACCTGGGGTCGGGAGTTCCAGACCAGCCTGGCCAACATGGTGAAACCCCATTTCTACTAAAAATACAAAAATTAACTGGGTGTGGTGGCGGGTGCCTGTAATCCCAGCTGCTCGGGAGGCTGGGGCAGGAGAATCCCTTGAACCTGGGAGGCGGAGGTTGCAGTGAGCTAAGATCACACCATTGCACTCCAGCCTGGGTGACAATAGCAAGACTTCGTCTCAAAAAAAAAAAAAAAAAAGGGCTGGGCGTGGTGACTCACGCCTGTAATCCCAGCACTTTGGGAGGCTGAGGCAGGTGGATCACCTGAGGTCAGGAGTTCAAGACCAGCCTGGCCAACGTGTGAAACCCTGTCTCAACTAAAAATAAAAACTTAGCTGGGTGTGGTGGTGGGCGCCTGCAATCTCAGCTACTTTGGGAGGCTGAGACAGGAGAATCACTTGAACCGAGGAGGCAGAGGTTGGAGTGAGCCAAGATTGTGCCACTGCACTCCAGCCTGGGTGACGAGCAAAACTCCGTCTCAAAAAAAAAAAGACATTTATTTATTTATTTATTGAGACCTGGTGTCTTGCTCTGTCACCCAGGCTGGAGTGCAGTGGTGTGATCTCAGCTCACTGCAACCTCTGCCTCCCGGGTTCAAGCGATTCTCCTGCCTCAGCCTCCTGAGTAGCTGGGACTACAGGTGCACACCACCACACCTGGCTAATTTTTGTATTTTTAGTAGAGACGGGGTTTCACCATGGTGGCCAGGCTGGTCTCGAACTCCTGACCTGAGGTAATCCGCCCACCACAGCCTCCCAAAGTGCTGGGATTACAGGCGTGGCTATTAGCCTCGCCAAGTTAAGATTCTTGATGCCAACCAATCACCCACTCCATGTTTTTCAGGATTATAAACACTAGTCATAAAGCATGAACTGCCTGGGGGTGGTGGCTCACACCTGTAATCCCAGCACTTTGGGAGGCAGTTGGATCACCTGAGGTCAGGAGTTTGAGACTAGCCTGACCAATATGGTGAAACCCCACCTCTAGCTGGGTGTGGTGGTGTGCACCTGTAATCCCAGCTACTTGGAGACAGGAGAATCGCTTGAACCTGGGAGGTGGAAGTTGCAGTGAGTGGAGATCATGCCATTGTACTCCAGCCTGGGCGACAGAGCAAGACTTCATCTCAAAAATAAGTAAGTAAAGCTCCAACTGTTTGTTCCACCTATTCTCTGGGCGGGGTCCTGTGCTGGCCCTTTCAAGGAAGGTCTCGTATAACCCCCCCAGTGACTGTGAGGTGAGTCCTATTAAGGCCTGCACTCTGCAGATGAAGAAACAGGCTCAGAGGGGTAACAGCTCTTCCCCAGGAGGTGCAGCTGGTTTGGGGTGAAGCTGGAGTTACCCTGAGTACAGCCTGACTCCAGGCGTCAGCTCCACGGCCTCTTCCTCTGAGACACGGTTTTCTCATCCGCCAGCAGGGCTCTGCCTGCTTCCCGGGGCTGTTAGAGGCTGGCAGGCCAGGTCAACGGAGGAAAGGGACCTGTGCTCTGTGCCTCAGAAGACGTAGGCGAGGAGCAGGCATGAGGCCTCAGGGACGGTCTCTGAGGGAGGGTCCTGGGCCCTGGGCTGAGAAAGCAGGGGTGGAGGGCTCCACGTGGAGACCCCAGGCTGGGAGGGGACTCACCGAGTGTGGTGCTGGAGAAGGTGGAGCCATGGATGCCCGTGTGTCTGCCCAGCTCTGTCCTGGCCACGCCGGGGTGCAGGGCGTTGACAGTCACACCAGAGCCTGGGGAAGAAAGAAAGAGAAGACTGAGGGAGGGGTCCAGCCTCACCTGGGAGGCTGTGGCAGCCCACACCCAGCTGTGGGGCTTCCGGGCACCAGGCTGCTTCCTGCACTCAAACCCCATCGTCCCTCTTGCTCTGGAATCTTAGTGAAGTGGTCTTATCTTGCGGAGCGGCTCTGCCACATGGCTGCTGGGAGCCGAGCTTTCCTGGAGGGCTTCATAAACCCAGAACGCTGAGCTTACCCCGGGAGCCTGCATCGGTGCGTGGCGGTGGGACCTAAGATACTGTAACTCTGACCAGCTCCCAGTGGGGCTGGCACCGCTGGTCCACAGACCGTCTTTCAGAAGCAAAGGCCTAGCACAGATTTCTCAATCTCAGCACTGTGGATGCTGTGGGTTGGGAGGAGTGAGGGGCCATCCCGTGCGCTGTAGGACATTGAGAGCATCTGGGCCTTTACCCTCCAGATGCCCAGAGCAATCTCTCCCCAAGCCAGCTGTGATCACTGTGTTTCCAGGCATTGACAACTGCGGGTCAAAACTGCCCCTGGTTGAGACTCACTGGCTGGAGCCAAAAGGCTGAGCTGCCTGCCCAACAGCAGCAGGGAAGGACATCTGATCCAGGCAGACTAGACCACCTGGGATGAACAGACAATCCTCAGAAGAACGATCGATTAGTGATGTCTGCTTCAGGCACCAGAAGCGGGCAGCGTGGTCCACATGCTCTACTTTTGCTGACTCTGTTCTGGATCCACCGTTTGGCCTCCCATCAGCCTAGGATCATGGAAAGGCCGCTCTAGGCTCAGAGTAAAGCAAGAGGGAGGCCGAGCCTAGCGCCCCCGTACCTTGCAGCCGCCGGCTCAGCTCCTTGGTGAAGAGGACGATGGCGAGCTTGCTCTGGCAGTAGGCGGCTTTGGTGTTATACTTCCTCGTCTGCCAGTTCAAGTCGTCAAAGTCTATGTGCCCAGCAACATGGGCCAGGGACGAGAGGTTGATGATCCGCGAAGGGGCTGAGGCTTTCAGCTTGTCCAGCAGCAAGTTTGTCAAGAGAAAGTGACCTGGATTAAGGATGATGAAAAGGTCACTTTTGACTCACACCTAAAATCCCAGCACTTTGGGAGGACGACGGGGGAGGATCGCTTGAACCCATGGTGCAGCCCCTGCCCAGGCCTCACCCAGGTGGTTAACGCCAAACTGCATCTCGAAGCCGTCCTCGGTGGTCCAGTGGGGGCACCGCATCACACCCGCGTTGTTGATTAGAATGTCCACTCGCTCCTCCTCTGGAAGAGAGGGGTGGAGGAGGAGACATCCCGGTGAGGACAGACCCCAGCCTGATGCACCAGCAGAAACACTCCTGTGCTCCCACAACCTGTGAATGTGGCCTGTGCCGGAAACAGGGTCTGTGCCGAAGTGGCCATGTCAGGATGCGGTCATTAGGGTGAGCCCTAATCCAATGACTGGTGTCCTTATAGGAAGGGAAAACAGAGACAGAGACACATGGGGAGAAGGCCATGTGTGGACAGAGGCAAAGACCGGAGAGGCACAGCTCCAAGGTGAGGGTGGGCCGCCCCCGCTGGAAGTGGAAGAGGCTGGGAGGATTATGGCCCGTCTCACAGGTCACAGCCACAGGGACACCGCGATTCAGACTGCCGGCTTCCGGAACCGTGAGGGAATGCACGTCTGAGGGTGTAAGCCACTGGGTTTGCAGTACATTGTTACAGCAGCTCCAGGACACTCACACGCCCTCCGCACCTCCATCTAAGCCTTGGGACTCCTTCCTGCCGGAGCCCCGAGGCCAAAAACGGGAGGTTACCGGTGGGAGCCCCGGCACCGCAGGCGTGGTTTCATTCCCAAACCTGCCACCTCACTCATACAAGCAACCAAAGGACACACAGATGGAGACTGCAGCCTCAGTTTCCTCAGCTGTAAAATGCGCTGAACCACAGGGCCTTCCTCCCTGTACCACTCAGCTCGGGTTCCGTAACAAAGTGCCACAGACAGGTGGTTTAAAACCTCACAGACCTGGCCGGGCACAGTGGCTCACGCCTGTAATCCCAGCACTTTGGGAGGCCGAGGTGGGCAGATCACCTGAGGTCAGGAGTTTGAGACCAGCCTGGCCAACATGGAGAAACCGCGTCTTTACTAAAAATACAAAATTAGCCAGGCGTGGTGGCATGCACCTGTAATCCCAGCTACTCAGGAGGCTGAGGCGGGAAAATCGCTTGAAACCAGGAGGCAGAGGGTGCAGTGAGCCGAGATCGCATCATTACACTCCATCCTGGGCAATAAAAGCAAAACTCCATCTCAAAAAAAAAAAAAAAAATCACAGTCCCAGAGGCTGGAAGTCCCAGATCAAGGTGTGGGCAGGGCTGGTTCCCTCTCAGGGCCCTCAGGGAGGATCCGCTCTGGTCTCTCTCCTTGGCTCACAGGTGACCATCTCCTCTCTCCCTCTTCCCTTCCTCTTCCCTTTGGAGCTGTCTCTTTTTTTTTTTTCATTTTTCCTTTTTTAATTTTAGATTTTTCAGACATGGTCTCACTATGTTGCCCAGGCTGGTCTCAAACTCTTGAACTCAAGCAATCCTCCTGCTTTGGCCTCCCAGAGTGCTGCAATTTCACTGCCCCCAGCCTATTTTTTTTTTTTTGGGGGGGGGAGATGGAGTTTCACTCTTGTCACCCAGGCTGGAGTGCAATGGTGCGATCTTGGCTCACTGCAACCTCTGCCTCCCAGGTTCAAACAATTCTCCTGCCTCAGCCTCCCAAGTAGCTGGACTACAGGCATCCACCACCACACCGGGTTAATTTTTTGTATCTTTAGTAGAGACGGGGCTTCACCATGTTGGCCAGGCTAGTCTCACACTCCTGACCTCGTGATCCACCTACCTCAGCCTCCCAAAGTGCTGGGACTGCAGGCGTGAGCCACCACACTCAGTCTACTTGGCCTATTTTTTATATTTCTTTGAGACAGGGTCTCCCTCTGACACCTGGGCTGGAGTACAGTGGCGCAATCACTGCTCACTGCAGCCTCAACCTCCCAGGCTCAAGCAGTCTTCTTGCTCAGCCTCCCAAGTAGCTGGGGCCACAGGCATGCGCCACCATGCCCAGCTAGCACGTCTGTTTCTGTGCGCAAATCTCCCCTTTTCATAAGGACACCAGTCACTGGATTAGGGCCCACCCTAATGACCTCATTTTCACTTCAGGACCTCTGTAAACACCCACCTCTAAATGAAGTCACATGCTGAGGGATGGGGGTTCAGGATCCCAACCTATCCTTGGGGGTGGAGGACACAATGGAATTCATAATGCTCCCGAAGTGGTTTTCGGCGGGGATCGTGAATTAGGTGTCCAGCGCGTAACACACAGACACCATCTGGTTCTCTGTGTGAGAAGGAGGGGGTTGCAGCACACCCGTCATGAATACCAGCTCTGGAGCAGGACAGACAGGTTCAAAGCCTGGCTCCACCCCGACCAGCTGCATGATCCTGGCCAAGTCACATCACTTCTCTGTGACTCAGTTTACTCCTTGTAAAAAAAAAAAAAAAAAAAGGATAATAACATCACCTGCCTGGTACAACTGTATACTTACTCATTCAGTAAGTATTTTCTAAGCACCTATTACTGGGCACTGGAAATACAGGGTGGACAGCACAGCCGAGGCCCCGTCCGTGTGGACCGGACATTCCAGTGCAGCTGAGAGCCACTTCCACTCGTGAGAGAATCTACCCGTGACAGAGCTGCGTGGAAGCTGACAGGAGGCCCCTCTCAGGAGGTGACGCAGAAACTGGGACCGGGAAAATGAGGCAGGGCCCACGTGCGGAGACCCAGGGAAGGGGGATGCAGGCAGCAGGCGCAGCACGGGTAAGGCCCAAAGGCGGGACAGGGAGACTCCACTCACAGCTGGGCGCCCAGGAGTGCCGCCAGCTTCTGGTGTTTTGTTTTGGTTTTTTTTCTTTTTTTTTTTGAGATGAAGTCTCACTCTGCCACCCAGGCTGGAGTGCAGTGGTGTGATCTTGGCCCATGGCCCACTGCAACCTCTACCGCCTGGGTTCAGGCGATTCTGCTGCCTCAGCCTCCCGAGTACTGGGATTACAGGTGCCCGCCACCGCACCCTGCTAATTTTTGCATTTTTAGTAGAGACGGGGTTTCACCATCTTGGTCAGGCTGGTCTTGAATTCTTCACCTCGTGATCCACCCGCCTCTGCCTCCCAAAGTGCAGGGATTACAGGTGTGAGCCACCGCGCCCAGCCTGTTTTTTTTTTTTTCTTTTTATGAGAGGGAAGCTCACTCAGTGGCCCAGGCTGGAGTGCAGTGGCGCGATCTCAGCTCACAGCAACCTCCGCCGCCAGGGCTCAAACGATCCTCCCACCTCAGCCTTCCACATAGCTGAACCACAGGCGCCCGACACCACAAGCAGCTACTTTTAAAATTTTTTGTAGAAATGGGGTTTGGCTATGTTGCTTAGGCTGGTCTCGAATTTCTGAGCTTAGGCAATTCGCCCACCTCGGCCTCCCAAAGTGCTGGGATTGCAGGCGTGGGCCACAGTGCCTGGCCTGTTGTTTTGTTTATCTGGGAACTGCCTCAACTTTTTTTTTTTTTTTTTTTTTTTGGACACAGGGTCTCACCCCGAGTGCAGTGGTACAATCAAAGCTCACTGCAGGCCGGGCGTGGTGGCTCACATCTGTAATCCCAGCACTTTGGGAGGCCGAGGCGGGCAGATCACCTGAGGTCAACCAGCCTGACCAACATGGTGAAACCCTGTCTCTACCTAAAACAAAAAAGTAGCCGGGCATGGTGGCAGGTGCCTGTAATCCCAGCTACTCAGGAGGCTGAGGCAGGAGAATTATTTGAAACCAGGAGATGGAGGTTGCAGCCTGACCAACAGGAAGAAACCCCGTCTCTACTAAAAATACAAAATTAGCCGGGCGTGGTGGCGCATGCCTGTAATCCCAGCTACTCGGGAGGCTGAGGCAGGAGAATCACTTGAACCCAGGAGGTGGAGGATGCCGTGAGCCAAGATCCCGTCATTGCACCAGCCTGGGCAACAAGAGCAAAACTCCGTCTTAAAAAAAAAAAAAAAAAATCCCTCACTGCAGCCTCAACCTCCCAGGCTCAAGCAATCCTCCCACCTCCACCTCCCAAGTAGTTGGGACTACAAGTGCACACCATCACGCCTGCCTCATTGTTTTTTATTTTTTTTTTGAGATGGAGTCTCACTCTGTCACCCAGGCTGGAGTGCAGTGGCGCCATCTCGGCTCACTGCAAGCTCCACCTCCCGGGTTCACGCCATTCTCCTGCCTCAGCCTCCCAAGTAGCTGGGTTACAGGTGCCCGCCACCACGCCCGGCTAATTTTTTTGTGTTTCTTAGTAGACACGGGGTTTCACCGTGTTGGCCAGGATGGTCTCGATCTCCTGACCTTGTGATCCGCCCGCCTCAGCCTCCCAAAGTGCTGGGATTACAGGCGTGAGCCTGCACGCCTGCCTGATTGTTTTGTATTTTTTGTAGAGATGAGGTCTTGCTATGTTGCCCAGGCTGATCTCAAACTCCCTGATAAACAAGGCTGTGGGTACCTGCTTCCTGGGGCTCTTTGCTTTGTGTTCTTTCTAGTCGGGAGCTGGGAAGAGCCACAGCTTCCAGCTTTGTCAGAGTGTCATCTCACAAACTGATCTTCCCAAAACTTCTGTCTCCCAAAGTGCCGGGATGACAGGCGTGAACCGCTGCACCTGGCCTGCCCCAGTGTGGTAGAATACACACCACATAAAATGGACGATCTTCACTATTTTTAAATCCACTGCTGTCTTTATTCCTGGCTGTTGATCTTAGGAAAACACCAAGAAGCTGGTACTTGATTTGCTAAAAAAGTCACAGACACAGCTTTACTTAATCCTCTAGAGAGGCTGGGCGTGGTGGCTCATGCCTGTAATCCCAGCACTTTGGGAGGCCGAGGTGGCTGGATCATGAGGTCAGGAGATCGAGACCATCCTGGCTAACACGGTGAAACCCCGTCTCTAGTAAAAAATATAAAAAATTAGCCGGGCGTGGTGGCAGGCGCCTGTAGTCCCCCGCCACTCGGGAGGCTGAGGCAGGAGAATGGCATGAACCCGGGAGGCGGAGCTTGGAGTGAGCCGAGATGTGCCACTGTCCTCCAGCCTGGGCGACAAAGCAAGATACCGTCTCAGAAAAAAAAAAAAACCCCTCTAGAGAATCCCAGAAAATAGAAGGAATTATTCCATTTCCCGGAAGAGGAACGTGTGGCTAAGAGAGGAGGCATCACCTGCCCAGGTGTGTCCAGCCGGGGTCCTCACTGTCTCAGGGACCTCAGTGCTCCGGACACCTGTGTCCACAAGCCAGAGACAGGATCAGAGGCGCCCTGGGTGGGATTGCCTGGGACAGTGTGCATGAAGGTGACAGTGCTGTACCTGGTACACAGCAGGTGCTTAATAAATGTTCATCCACCTCTGAGACTCTGAGGCATTGCCCTCTCACTGTTCTTTGTGATCTCACCGTAGTGCCTCTCACCTACCCGACAACAGTGCCGGCTCTTTCTTGATCCCCAAGGGCACAGCAGGGGCTCAGTATGAATGAATGAATGAACCAACGAATGTGCACCTGCACCTGCCTCCCTAGGGCTGTGAGTGGCACAAGGACAGCTCTGGTTCATCTCACACCTCCAGCACCTGGTCAGGTCTGAGATCACGTCTGCTAAATAAATGAGGTCCCACAACTCCCCCATTCCTTGTTCATTTCCTGAGTACCCGTTTACTGAGCGGGGCACATTGACTCTGAAGAAGAAAGCTTTGGCCCTTTCAGTGCCAGACTAGAAAAGAAACAAAGCAGCTGGGCATGGTGGCTCATGCCTGTAATCCCAGCACTTTGGGAGGCTGAGGCAGGCGGATCACAAGGTCAGGAATTCGAGACCAGCCTGGCCAACATAGTGAAACCCCGTCTCTACTAAAAATACAAAAATTAGCCGGGCATGGTGGCACCCGCCTATAGTCTTGGGAGGCTGAGGCAGGAGAATCGCTTGAACCCAGGAGGCGGAGGCTGCAGTGAGCCAAGATCGCATCATTGCACTCCAGCCTGGGTGACAGAGCAAGACTCCATCTCAAAAAAAAGGTCTTGCTCTGTCATCCAGGTTAGAGTGCAGTGGCACAAATACGGCTCACTGCAGCCTTGAACTCTCGGGCTCAAGTGATCCTCTTGCCTCAGCCTCCTGAGTAGCTGGGACTGTAGGCACATGCCAGGATGCCCGGCTAATTTTTTTTTTTTTTTAATCTTTGGTACACACAAGGTCTCACTATGCTTCCTAGGCTGGTCTCTAACTCCTGAGCTCAAGCAATCCTAAGAGAAGAGATTTTAAATGTGGTCACCACAAAAACAGGTAAGTATTTGAGGTAATGCATATGTTAATTAGCTTGATTTAGCCATTCTACAATGTATACAATGTACATCATGCTGTACATAATATATACAAGTATACATGTCAACTAAACAATAAATAATTTTAGTGTATTCTTGAGTCTATTTAAAGATGAACAAGAATAGAAAAGCTAGAGGATGGTCCCAGTTTTACATAAAAATATATAAATACACACACAAACCTATTATAAACAAGACTAGAAAGATCCATAAAAGTGATTCTCCTGGGGCTGGTGCAGATCAAAGTTGTTTAGTTCTGTCTTCTTTTTTATTGAGACAGAGTCTCACTCTGTCACCCAGGCTGGAGTGCACTGGCACAATCTCAGCTCACTGCAACCTCCGCCTCCTGGGTTCAAGCAATTCTCCTGCCTCAGCACCCTGAGTAGCTGAGATTACAGGTGTGCACCACCACGCCTGGCTAATTTTTGTATTTTTAGTAGAGACAGGGTTTCACCATGTTGGCCAGGCTGGTCTCGAACTCCTGACCTCAAGGGATCCACCTGCCTCAGCCTCCCAAAGTGCTGGGATTAACAGGCGTGAGCCACTGTGCCCAGCCAGTTCTGTCTTCTTTACATTGCAGTATTTTATAAATGTCCCATAACAAACACATATTTCTTTAACCATGGTGGGGAAGGCACTTGATCAATAAATGCTTAATAAGGTCAGGTGCGGTGGCTCACGCCTGTAATCCCAGCACTGTGGGAAGCTGACCTGGGTGGATCACTTGAGCCCAGGAGTTGGAGACCAGCCTGAGCAACATGGTGAAACCCCAGCTCTAAAAACAAAACAAAACAATAAAACAATAATTAGCTGTGTGTGGTGGCGTATGCCTGTACTCCCAGCTACTTGGGAGGCTGAAGTGGGAGGATCCCTTGAGCCCAGCAGGTTGAGACTGCAGTGAGCCATGACTGCACCACTGCACTCTAGCCTGGGTGACAGAGATGGATCCTGTCTCAAACAAACTAATTATTCAGGTAGGGCACGGTGGCTCACACCTGTAATCCCAGCACTTTGGGAGGCCAAGGGAAGCAGATCACCTGAGGTCAGGAGTTCGAGACCAGCCTGACCAACATGGTGAAACCCTGTCTCTACCTAAAACACAAAAAATTAGCCAGGCACGGTGGCGGGTGCCTGTAATCCCAGCTACTCAGGAGGCTGAAGCAGGAGAATCATTTGAAATCGGGAGACGGAGGTTGCAGTGAGGCAAGATCACACCACTGCACTCCAGCCTGGGCAACAGAGCGAGACCCCATCTGTCTCAAAACAAACAAACAAAACAAAGTCAGCCGGGCGCAGTGGCCCACGCCTGTAATCCCAGCACTCTGGGAGGCTGAGGCAGGAGAATCACCTGAGGTCAGGAGTTCCAGACCAGCCTGGCCAACGTGGTGAAACCCCGTCTCTACTAAAAATACAAAAATTAGCAGGGTATGGTAGCAGGCATCTTAATCCCAGCTACTCAGGAGGCTGAGGTCCGCGCTTGAACCCAGGAGGCAGAGGTTACAGTGAGCCGAGATCGCGCCATTGCACTCAGCCTGGCCGACAGAGTGAGACTCCCTCTCAAAATAACAGTAGTAATAAATAAATAAAGTCGTTGCTTGCAGGCTGTACAAAAAAAGGCAGCAACTGGACTTGGCCCCTAACTCATAGTTTGCCAAAACTCTGCTCTAAAGTTTGCTTGCTTCATTCACTTCTCAGAGCCTGGCCCTGGGAGCCGCCTATCCCAGTCCTCATCCCACATGGCCAGCGTTCTCCTACCTTCAATGATCTTTGCTGCAAACTCTCGGATAGACTTGAGGGAAGCCAAGTCCAGGTGCCGGGCGTTGACATGGTGATTGAGGGTCTCCCCGCGGATGTCCTTTGCTGCCGCCTCACACTTCTCCATGTCTCGGCAGGCCAGGATGATGTTGCCTCCTGAAAACCCAGGATGGAAAAAGATTTAAATTAATAATCCACTCCTGGGTACTGACCCCAGAGACATGAAAACATACGTCTACACAAAAACACATCCACCAATGTTCACTGCGGCATTCTTCACAAAAGCCAAAAGGTAGAAACAACCAAATGCCCATCTGTGGATGAAGGGACAACAAAATGTGGTCCATCCATAGAGATGGAATATTAGACGGCCGTGAAAAGGAGTGAAGCACTGGCTCATGCTACAGCAAGGATGACCGTCAGAAACACTGTGCTCGGGGAAAGAAACCAGACACGAAAGACCACACAGCGTACAATCCCATTTACATGAATTCTATGTATATGATTTCACACCTATGAAACGCCCAGAATAGGCAAATCCATAGAGAAAGAAAATAGATTCTTGGTTTTCTAGGGCAGGGGGTGGGGAGAGGGAATTACAGCTTGATAGTTACAGTGAGCAGGTTTCTTTCTAGGGTAACAGATGTTCTAAGATTGATTTTAAAGATGGTTGCATCATTCTGTGACTATACTAAACATCACTGAATTGGTCGGGCACGGTGGCTCACACCTGTAATTCCAGCACTTTGGGAGGCCAAGGCAAGAGGATTCCCCATCCTCTCCTTTTTTTTTTTTTTTTAGATGGAGTCTCACTCTGTCACCCAGGCTGGAGTGCGGTGGCGCAATCTCGGCTCACTGCAACCTCCACCTCCTGGGTTCAAGCAATTCTCCTGCCTCAGCCTCCCGAGTAGCTGGGATTACAGGCACCTACCACAACTAGCTAATTTTTTATTTTTTTATTTTTAGTAGAGACAGCGGTTTCACCATGTTAGCCAAGCTAGTCTTGAACTTCTGACCTCAGGTGATCCACCCCGCGGCCTCCCAAAGTACTGGGATTACAAATAAGCCACAATGCCCAGCCTCCAATTTTTTTTGTTGTGGTAAAATACAAATCACTTAAAATTTATCATCTTAACCCCCTTTTCTTTTTGTTTATTATTATTTTTTTTTTTTTGAGTCAGTCTCACTCTGCTGCCGCGGCTGGAGTGCTGGCGCCATCACAGCTCATTCAGCCTTGAACTCCTAGGCTCAAGTGACCTGGGACTATAGGTACCACCTGTGCCAGCATGCCTGGCTAACTCTGGTAGAGATGGGGGTGTTGCTATGGTGTCCAGGCTGGTCTGGAACCCCTGGCCTCAAGTGATCCTCCTGCCTCAGCCTCCAAAAGTGCTGGAATTATAGATGTGAGCCACCGAGACCCGCCCTCTTAGCCATTTTTAAGTGTCCAGTTCATTGGTATTAAAAACATTTATGGCTGGGCCGGGCATGGTGGCTCACACCTGTAATCCCAGCACTTTGGGAGACCAAGGCAGGTGGATCACCTGAGGTCAGGAGTTCAAGACCAGCCTGGCCAACACATTACAAACTTAGCTGGGTGTGGTGTTGCATGCCTGTAATCCCAGCTACTCGGGTGGCTGAGGCAGGAGAATTGCTTGAACCCGGGAGGCGAAGGTTGCAGTGAGCCAAGATCATGCCACTGCACTCCAGCCTGGGCGACAAGAGCAAAACTCCATCTCAAAAAAAAAAAAACAATAATAATAATTCCTAATGTTGTGCAACCATTACAACCATCCATCTCTCAAATTGTTTCATCTTGCCAAACTAAACTTCCGTTTCCATTAAACAGTAACTCCCCATTCTCCCCTCCCCTCCTGACCCCTGG
Source organism: Homo sapiens (assembly GCF_000001405.40). Taxonomy (NCBI): domain Eukaryota; kingdom Metazoa; phylum Chordata; class Mammalia; order Primates; family Hominidae; genus Homo; species Homo sapiens. The sequence continues at coordinate 55,058,535 of NC_000019.10, forward strand.
CAAGCACCATTCCAACTTCTCTATGAATTTAACTGTAGGTAGCTCCTGTAAGTGGAATCATACCGTATTTGCTCTTCTGTCGACTGGCTTATTTCACTTCATGGAATGTCCTCAAGGTTCATCTGTTTCAATGCCCTTTTTTTTGTTTTGCTTTGTTTTGTTTTGTTTTTGAGTCTCACTCTGTCACCCAGGCTGGAGTGCCGTGGCGCCATCTCTGCTCACTGCAACCCCTGCCTCTCAGGTTCAAGCGATTCTCCTGCTTCAGCCTCCCAAGCAGCTGGGACTACAGGTGCCCACCACAACTCCTGGCTAATTTTTGTATTTTTAGTAGAGAGGGGGTTTCACCATGTTGGTTAGGCTGGTCTCGAACTCCTGACCTCGTGATCCGCCAGCTTTGGCCTCCCAAAGTACTGATTACAGGCGTGCACCACCGCGCCCGGCCAGAATGCCCTTCCTTTTTAAGGCTGAATCATATGCCCCTGTCTATAGAAGCCACATTCTGTTTCCCTGTTCATCTGTGGATGGGTGCCTGGGTTCCTTCCACCTCCGGACTGTGAATAATGCTGCAGTGAGCATGGATGTACAGATATCTCTCTGAGAGCCAAAGCAGGGGAGATTTTACCTCTCCTGGCCAGTTCCAAGGCGGTCTGCTTCCCGATGCCTGTGTTGGCACCCGTCACGATGACCGTCTTCCCAGGGATGGTGGCCTTGCTGGGGCAAGCCCCACCGGTGACATAGTCCCTGAGGGTGAGAAGCGGCACGGTCAGTCCTGTGGGCCCACTCTCACCCCACGTGCCCCTGACTGAATGATCTCAGGCAACCTTGTCTGAGCTCACTCACATACCCCAACTGAAACACAGACATCATCACATCACACCAAGGGACCTCTGTCATGTTCTCCATAAGTGGCTCCACCCAGTGTCTGGCGTGTGGAACGCCTTCAGCAAGTGACAGTCATTATTTTATAAATGCTCACTGCATGAGATTCCCGGCCAGGTGAGGGGGCTTGCACCTGTAATCCCAGCACTTTGGGAGGCCAAAGTTTTGGGGGTGGGGGGGGGCGGGGGCGGATCACTTGAGGTCAGGAGTTCGAGTCCAGCCTGGCAAACATGGCGAGACCCCGTCTCTACTTAAAATACAAAAATTAGCCAGATGTGTAGGGAAAAGAGAGATTAGACTGTTACTGTGTCTATATAGAAAGGAAAGACATAAGAGACTCCATTTTGAAAAAGACCTGTACTTTGAACAATTGCTTTGCTGAGATGTTGTTAATTTGTAGCTTTGACCCAGCCACTTTGACCCAATCTGGAGCTCACAAAAACCTGTGTTGTATGAAATCAAGGTTTAAGGGATCTAGGGCTGTGCAGGAAGTGCCTTGTTAACACAATGTTTCCAAGCAGTATACTTGGTAAAAGTCATCGCCAGTCTCTAGTCTCAATAAACCAGGGGCACGATGCACTGCAGAAAGCTGCAGGGACCTCTGCCCTTGAACACAGAGTATTGTCCAAGGTTTCTCCCCGTGGGATAGTCTGAAATATGGCCTCGTGGGATGAGAAAGACCTGACCGTCCCCCAGCCCAACACCCGTAAAGGGTCTGTGCTGAGGTGGATTGGTAAAAGAGGAAAGCCTCTTGCAGTTGAGAGAGAGGAAGGCCACTGTCTCCTGCCTGACCCTGGGAACTGAATGTCTCGGTATAAAACCTGATTGTACATTTGTTCAATTCTGAGACAGGAGAAAAGCCGCCCTATGGCGGGAGGCGAGACATGTTTACAGCAATGCTGCCTTGTTATTCTTTACTCCGCTGAGATGTTTGGGTGGAGAGAAACATCAATCTGGCCTACGTGCACGTCCAGGCATAGTACCTTCCCTTGAACTTAATTATGTCATAGATTCTTTTGCTCACATGGTTTTTGCTGACCTCATTATCACCCTGCTCTCCTACTACATTCCTTTTTGCTGAAATAATGAAGATAATAATCAGTAAAAACTGAGGGAACTCAGAGGCCGGTGCCGGTGCAGGTCCTTGGTATGCTGAGCGCCGGTCCCCTGGGCCCACTGTTGTTTCTCTATACTTTGTGTCTTATTTCTTTTCTCAGTCTCTCGTCCCACCCAACTAGAAATACCCACAGGTGTGGAGGGGCAGGCCACCCCTTCACAGGCGTGGTGGTGCACACCTGTAATCTCAGCTACTCAGGGGGCTGAGGCACGAGAATTGCTTGAACCTGGAAGGCGGAGGTTGCAGTGAGTCGAAATGGTGCCAGCCTGGGCAACAGAGCGAGACTCTGTCTCAAAAAAATTTAAATTTAAATTTAAAATGCCCGCTGCACGAGATTCCCAAGGCTGCTGTACGCATTACCACAGACTTAGTGGCTTAAAACCACATAAGTGCATCCTCCTCCAGTTCGGCAGGTCAAGAGTCCAAAACATGTCTCACTGGAATAAATCAAGGTATTGGTAGAGTCAGGTTCCTTCTGGAGGCTCTAGGGAAGAATCCACTTCCAGCTCCTACAGACCGCCACATTCCTCCACTCTTGGCCCCGCCTCCATCTTCAACCTGCATCCTCACTGGAACCTCTCCTTTATTTATTTATTTATTTACTTATTTATTTTTGAGACAGAGTCTCGCTCTGTCGCCCAGGCTGGAGTGCAGTGGCTCAATCTCAGCTCACTGTAACCTTCGCCTCACAGGTTCAAGCGATTCTCCTGCCTTAGCCTCCTGAGTGGCTGGGATTACAGGCACATGCCACCACACCTGGCTAATTTCTTTTGTATTTTTAGTAGAGACAGAGTTTTACCACGTTGGTCAGGCTGGTCTCGAACTCCTGACCTTGTGATCCGCCTGCCTTGGCCTCCCAAAGTGCTGCGATTACAGGCGTGAGCCACCACACCCAACAACCTCTCCTTCTATCTTCCATCTCCCCTCTGACTGAGCCTCCTGCTCCCTCTTATAAGGACCCTATAAGACTACAAGGCAGGACCGGCACAGTGCCTCACACCTGTAATCCCAGCACTTTGGGAGGCCAAGACAGGAGGATCACTTGAGGTCAGGAGTTCGAGACCAGCCATGGCCAACATGCTGACACCCCATCTCTACTAAAAATACAAAAATTAGCAGGGCTTGGTGGTGCACGCCTGTAGAGTCAGCTACTCGGGAGGCTGAAGTGGGAGGACCACCTGAGCCCAGGGAGGGTGAGGCTGCAGTGAGCTGTGACAGCATGACTGCACTCCAGCCTGGGTGACAGAGAGACCCTGTCTCCAAAAAAAAAAAAAGACTACATGATAATCATAAGATCCTTCACTTGGCCGGGCACGGTGGCTCACGCCTGTAACCCCAGCACTTTGGGAGGCCAAGGTGGCCAGATCCCCTTTGGTCGGGAGCTCAAGACCAGCCTGACCAACATGGAGAAACCTCGTCTCTACTAAAAATACAAAATTAGACAGGCGTGGTGGCACATGCCTGTAATCCCAGCTACTCAGGAGGCTGAGGCCGGACAATCGCTTGAACCCGGGAGGTGGAGGTTGTGGTGAGCCGAGGTCGTGCCATTGCACTCCAGCCTGGGCAACAACAGCGAAACTCTGTCTCAAAAAAAAAAAAGATGCTTCACTTAACACATCAGCGAGAACCTCTGACACGTGAGGTAATGTCGTCACACCTTCCGAGGATTAGGACGTGGACCCCTCTACGGAGTCACGACTCTGCCCACCACACCCATGTCCCACAGAGGCTAACGCTGGCAACAAGATAGTGTCCAGCAACAGGAGGCTGAGCAGGTAAACAGCACTGCACCCACAGGAGAGAAGGGCACCATGCAATACAGTGGCCACCAGCCACAGAGGCTAATTTTTAAGAAAGTTTAAATTAAGTAGGCTGGGCGAGGTGGCTCACGTCTGTAATCCCAGCACTTTGGAGGCCGAGGCAGGCGGATCACCTGAGGGCAGGTGTTTGAGACCAGCCTGGCCAACATGGCAAAACCCCGTCTCTGCGAAAAATACAAAAATTAGCCGGGCGTGGTGGCGCACGTGTGATCTCAGCTCCTGGGGACGCCAAGGTGGGAGGATCACCTGAGCCCAGGAGGTCAAGGCTGCAGTGAGCCAAGATCGCGCCACTGCACTCCAGCCTGGGCGACAGAGCCAGATTCTGCCTTTAAAAATAAACGAACAAATAAATAATACAAAACAACAAAATAAAGAGTTTAAAAGTCTGGAAGGAAAGCAACATTTACAAGGGCCCAGGCTCGCCCTTCCCTCCGAGTGACCTTGGGCCGGTGACCTGGCCGGCCAGAGCGCAGGTTTGCCCCACTCCGGGCGGGCACTGCGGGTCGGGAGCTACGGGGCCTGGACCCGGGTGCGAGGGGCGGGGGTCTCCGCCGCCTTCCCGGCCCCTGCGCTGGGGGCCCGCCTTGACCGCGCACGCGGGGCTAGAATGTACTCACTTGAGCAGCACGGCGGCGCCTGCTACCGTGCCCAGCGCCGACAGCGGCAGCAGGTAGCGGCTCATGCCGGGCCGGGGACAGGCGTCAGGCGTCAGGGGTCGGCGCGGAGCTTGCTGCACACCAGCCGCCTGGGTAGCTCCGAGGAAGAGCGCGCGACGCAGCCACAGGCGAGCGGAGGCGCAGGCGCGGCTGGGCCCGCGTCCGGAACTGGGCTGCGAGGGGCGGGGCGCGGGCGGAGGGGGCGGGGATCCTAGGGACGGGACCTATGAGCATCGGTCCTGAGCGCTGTCACAGCTGGGATTGGTGGTTTCAGGAGCCTGTGGGCGTGGCTAGTCCGGGGGCGGGGCCTATGGTTTGTTCGAATGACGTCACACTTGCCGCAGCGTATAAGGCGCTACGCAGTTCTGGAGTGAAATAGGTTCGAATCCCACCACTGTCAATTCCAGACTGTGACCCTCTGTGTGTCTTTCAACTATATCAGCCTATTCCCTCATCTGGAAATGTGTGTTTACCTTCTTCATAGACTTTTGGAGATAATTTGAGAATTTCCATGCACAGAAACAAGGATCTAGTAGCCTGTGGGTACCCAAGCTCCTGGGGTCCTGCAGGAGAAGGCGGCTGGGGGCCTGGACTCCTGGGTCTGAGGGAGGAGGGGCTGGGGGCCTGGACTCCTGGGTCCAAGGGAGGAGGGGCTGGGAGCATGGACTTCTGGGTCCGAGGGAGGAGGGCCGGGTGCCTGGACTGCTGAGTCTGAGGGAGGAGGGGCTGGGGGCCTGATTCATTCCCAAATTATCAGAATCTCATCCCCATGTCTGGCCCTGCACAGAGATATCTTCCCTGAACTCTGCCTGAACTACCTTTCTTAGATTGAGTATTGCACACACTCCTGCACTTACCTGTCCATGTTTGTCACCCCCACCAAACCGGGATGCACCTCTGGGCACCTGCTTCCCCTTGCACTGCTCACAGCGAGTGTATCTGATCACCACCTCCTACCCCTGACTGTGCCTGAGGTGCCAGGAGCAGACACCGCTGGAAACAGGGAAGAATTCAACCCAATCTAACTAGGAGTAAGTTTTCTTCCTCATCAGATGAACTGTCATCTTCTTATATGAGCCCTGCCATAATGGAGATTATACAGGCAGGAAGAGCTATTTTAAGACCTTAGTCAATGGCCGGGCACGGTGGCTCACGCCTGTAATCCCAGCACTTTGGGAGGCCGAGACAGATGGATCACGAGGTCAGGAGATTGATACCAGCCTGGCCAACATGGTGAAACCCTGTCTCTACTAAAAATACAAAAATTAGCTGGATGTGGTGGCACTCACCTGTAGTCCCAGCTACTCAGGAGGCCGAAGCAGGAGCATCACTTGAACTCGGGAGGTGGAGGTTGCAGTGAGCCGAGATTGCCCTACTGCATTCCAGCCTGGCGACAGAGTGAAATTCTGTCAAAAAAAAAAAAACCTTAGGCCTGTAGACCTTAAGCTCTCACCATCTCAAACGTATTAAACCAGTTACACAATGCCAAATGCTGTATAAGAGGCACTTGGAGGAGTCAAATTCATAGAGACAGAAAACAGAGTGGTGGCTGCAGGGGGCTGGAGATGAGATTGGGAAGTCACAGGATTTGTTTTTGTTTGTTTGTTTGTTTTGTTTTGTTTTTTGAGAGACAGTCTCACTGTGTCACCCAGGCTGGAGAGCAGTGGGCGATCTCAGCTCACTGCAACCTCTGCCTCCTAGGTTCAAGCGATTCTCCTGCCTCAGCCTCCCGAGTAGCTGGGGCTACAGGCACGTGTCACCACACCCGGCTAATTTTTGTATTTTTAGTAGAGACGGGGTTTCACCATGTTGGCCAGGTTGGTCTCAAACTCCTGACCTCAGGTGATCCACCTGCCTCGGCCACCCAAAGTGCTGGGATTACAGGCATGAGCCACCGCACCCGGCCGGGAAGCTGTTTTTTAATAGATACAGAGTTTGTTTTGCAAAATAAAAAAAAGACCTGAAGGTGGACGGTGGTGATGGTTGCACAACAATGTGAATATACTTAACATCACTGAATTGTACACTTAAAATGGTTAAGATGGTACATTTTACTTTATGCATAGTTTACCAAACTAAAAATAAAGAAAAATTTTAGACTGGGCATGGTGGCTCATGCCTGTAATCCCAGCACTTTGGGAGGCCAAAGTGGAGAATAGTATGAGCCCAGGAGTTTGAGAGCGGCCTGGACAACACGGCAAAACCTTATCTCTACAAAAAATACAAAAATTAGCAGGTTTGGTGGCACGCATCTGCACCCTCAGCTACTTGGGAGGCTGAGGTGGGAGGTCTGCTTGAGCCCAGGAGGTCAAGGCTATGATGAGCTGTGATTGTGCCACTGCACCCCAGGCTGGGTGACAGAGCAAGACCCCATCTCAAAAATAATAATAATAAATGTTTACATTTAATAACATGGGCAATTGGTTCAGATGTTCATTTTCTCAACCTTGAAAAAAAAACAACACTGTTTTTCCCTGTCTTTTTCTCCTTTTCTGTAAACTGAAATCCTAATATCATTGACTTCCAGGACAGAGATCAGCAAACTTTTTCTACAAACAGCCAGATAGTAAATAATTTCAGCTTTGTGATCCACACAGTGGCTGTTGCACCTCCTCTGCCAGAGGAGCTGGGAAGCAGCCACAGATGATGTGAAAACAAGTGAGCACAGCTGTGTTCCCATAAAACTTTATTTATAAAAATAAGCAGTGCGCCACAGTTCGCCAGCTCCTGTTTGAGAGTCTCTCTCCGATGCCCAGGCTGGAGCGCAGTGATGCAATCTCAGCTCACTGCAACCTCTGCCTCCTGGGTTCAAGCGATTCTCCTGCCTCAGCCTCATGAGTAGCTGGGATTACAGGCGCTCGCCGCCACACCTGGCTGATTTTTGTATTTTTAGTAGAGACGGGGTTTCACCATGTTGGCCAGGCTGGTTTTGAACTCCAGGCTTCAGGTGATCCACCTGCCTCAGCCTCCCAAAGTGCTGGGATTACAAAGCGTGAGCCACTGCGCCCAGCTACCTGTCATTGAATTTGGAAGGATGGCATGAAGTCATTCATAACAAGGACTTAATCCATAGTAAGTGCCAGAACATTGCTGGCTGTTAATATGGTTATTATAAAGAGAACAATGCATGCATATTCCTCCTCTGAGGATCTCCTACCTGATTCCCAGACACACCCAAGGGAGTTAGAACATCTGTTTGGACTCCAGGTGGGCTGTCCACGCCTTTACCATTTTCCTGGTTGTTAACATGTTCCTGATCAGCACTGGGTGCTGTCCCAGGTGCTGAGAGGATTCTCCCACAATGCCCTTTGCTTTCCCCATCAGAGGGTTTATGGCACCCAATTCTCATTCACATTCTGTCTCTCCTTTCTCGTTCTTCTCTATCTCTCCTCTCTCTGTCTCCTTTTCTCTTCCTCTCTCCCTCTCTGTCTTCTCTCCCTCTCTCTCCCTCTCTCTTCCTCTCTCTCTTCCTCTGTCCTCTTTTCTCTCTCTCTCTCCCTCTCTCTCACATCTCTCTTTCCCTTCCTTTCTCTTTCCTCTCTCTTCCTCTCTCCCTCTCCCTCCTTCTGTCTTCCTCTATCCCTCTCTTCCTCTTTTTTCTTCCTCTCTTCTTGTCTCTTTCTCTCCTCTCTCTCTCCCTCTTTCTCTTTCTCTCTCTCTTCCTCTCCCTTCCTCTTCCTCTCTCTCCTTCTTTCTTCCTCTCTCTCTTCTTGTGTGTGTCTCTCTCTCTCTGTTCTCTCTCTCCCTCTCCCCCCAACTCTCTTTCCCTACACACATCTTAAGAGGCCTCAGCAGTGTAAGGTAAGTTTAGCGACCCTGTGGCTGTGTAGAGATAAGCAAAGGGGGGCAAGGAGCTCCAGTGGTCCCAGACTCCAGCCATTTGAGTCTTTGCAGCCCAAGCACTGCCCCAGCTTCTTGACAGCCCCAGCCATCACCAAAGGGCACACAGATAAGCTGCCTCCACCAAGGCCTGTGCAGATGGTAGGTTTTTGAGTAAAATAGATATGATCCTTGTCTGAAGCCACTGAGTTTTAGAATAATTTGTTATATGGCCATAGTAACTGGAATGATTGCTGTAGGTTTATTTTATTTTATTCATCCTTGCTGCATGCAACACATGCATGGCTCAGTAACTAGAAGGAAAGAAGAGAAGAAGGGAGGGAGAGGCAGAGGGTGGACAGGAGAGGATGGTAGGAAGGAAAGACAGGAAAGGAGGGTGTTGGTGGCCTTGCCTGCAAGCTGAGCAGACACCACGCAAACAGGTGACCTCCCAGTTAAGATGGAGGGGACTCAGGGCTCAGGAGGGGCAGAAGGTCCCCGTGTCGGAGAGCTGGGCAAGCTTTCTGCAGGAAATGATGGGGATCACGGCCATGTGAGCCGGCAAGATTTCCCTCAGCCAGGGAGGAGACTCCGGGCTGTGGGAACAGCTTAAGCAGAAGGCATGGGACAGGAATGCATATGAGAGATATTGTGGGAGGAGGGAGGGCTGCCTGGGCTGGCATGCAGGGTATGGGAGGGGGTGGAAGGGCTGAGGCGGGAGCCATCAGTAAAAGGACCCAGAGCGCGGCTCCAATGCCATGGTAGGAAGCTTGGCGTTGACTCAGAGGGCGCTGGGTACCGCTGAAGAGTGTTGAGCCAAGGAGGGTCATGTCACGGGCAGATACATGTTTTAGAATTTCTTCTTTTCTGGCTGAGATGTAGAGTATGGACTGGAGAGAAGCACAGGGGACATAGGAAAGGTAGTTCTAGAAAGAGGGGCTGTCCCACCAGGGAAAGTCAACCAACTGTTCCCCAGTATCCATTCCTCCCTTCCAGCTCATGGCACTAAAGCCACTGATTGATTAGCTGGGTGCTATCAATCTCTCTCTCATCTCTCTCTCCCTCTTTCTCTCCCCCTCATCTGTGTCTTTTCTCTCTCTCATCTCTCTGTCTCCCTCTTTCTGTCCCCCTCCTCCGTGTCTCCTCTCTCTCTCTTCTCTGTCTCATATCTCTCTCATTGCTCTCTCCCTCTTTCTCTCCCCCTCCTGTGTCTCCTTCTCTCTCTCTCTTTCTCCCCCATCTCTCTTTCTCTCCCCCTTCCTCTCTTTCTCCTCTCACTCTTCCTGTTTCTCTCTTTCTCTTTCTTCCTCTCTTTCTCCCTGTCTCTCTCTTCCTCTTTTCCTTTGTCTCTCTCTCTCCCCCCAACTCTCTCTCCCTACACACATCTTGAGAGACCTCAGCAGTGTAAGATAAGTTTAGCTACTCCACGGCCTGGCACGGTAGCTCACGCCTTTAATCCCAGCACTTTGAGAGGCCAAGGCAGGCAGATCACTGGAGATTAGGGGTTTGAAACCAGCCTGGCCAACATGGTGAAACCCTGTCTCTACTACAAGTACCAAAAAATTAGCTGGGCATGGTGGCACGCGCCTGTAGTCCCAGCTACTCGGAAGGCTGAGGCAGGAGAATCGCTTGAGCCTGGGAGGCGGAAGTTGCAGTGAGCCGAGACCACACCTCTGCACTCCAGCCTGGGTGACAGAGTGAGATTCTGTCTCAAAAAAAGAAAGAGGAGGCCGGGCACTGTGGCTCAGGCCTGTAATCCCAGCACTTTGGGAGGCCGAGGCATGCAGATCACGAGGTCAGGAGATCGAGACCATCCTGGCTAACACAGTGAAACCCCGTCTCTATTAAAAATACAAAAAAATTAGCCAGGCACGGTGGCGGGTGCCTGTAGTCCCAGCTACTCGGGAGGCTGAGGCAGGAGAATGGCGTGAACCCGGGAGGCGGAGCTTGCAGTGAGCCGAGATCGCGCCACTGCACTCCAGCCTGGGCGACAGAGCAAGACTCTGTCAAGAAAGAAAGAAAAGAAAAGAAAAAAAGAAAAGAATAAAGGGAGGGAGGGAAGGGAAAGGAAGGGAAGGAAGGAAGGAAGGAAGGAAGGAAGGAAGGAAGGAAGGAAGGAAGGGGAGGGGAGGGGAGGGGAAGGGAGGGAAGAAAGGCAGGCCCTGATGTTCAGGGAGCTGAGAGTGAAGTCACCGGCTCCAACCCAGGATCCAAACTCAAGTCTGTCTGGGGTCCTATCCCCGTCACCACCCCCCGCCCCGACCCATCCCCCAGAGACCTGGGAAGGAGCCAGGCTCCTCCGGTTTCAGGAAAGGGCTGCACAAACCACCCCGCCACGATCCCTCCCAGAGAACAAACAGCTCCCGGCCACCGGCAGTCTCCCTCCTCCTCCTGCCAGGCTGGTTCCCAGACCCACCCTCCCTGTGTCATAAGCGCCTCTCCCCGCACTCTCACCAGGGCTGGCTGTTCTCAGAGGAACGCCCAGGAAAAACCTACCCGAACCCCTTTCAGCTGGGAAGGGGACCCGCCTGGGCTTCCTCACCGCCGATGAGACCTCCCTCGTCGTACACTTAGAGCTGCCTGTGTTTTCCTTCCTTCCTTAAGCGGGCTGGGAACTCTAGACACTCAGGGATGGGCCAGCCCATTAGAGTAAGCATTCGGCCACCTCTAGGCTGCTACGGTCACTGCTGCTGTCACCATCAACGTGACTGTCTCACACCTCACTTCCTCCGGCCAGCCACACCCCTGCAGATTTAACCCGCCAGCCTCCCTAAGGTTTCCTCTGCCTGAAATCCTCTCTGCATTCCTGGCTCATTCTCGAAATTGAGGTCAAAGCTCAGATGCCGCCTCCTTCCCTGACCACCCTACCTGAAGCAGCCGCACCTGCCTGCTCCTAGTCACGCCGTTCCTTCACCTGTTTCGTTTCCTCCACAGGGTTTACCACAATCTGAAAGTCTTATTCATGCAGGTGTCTACTTGTTTATCTCCCCACCACACCTACTAGGATGACAATATCACAAGGGCTGGGGTTTCATCTGTCTCCTCCTCCTCTGTATCTCCAGCACATGAAACATGCTTGGCACACTGTAGGTGCTTAAGTATTTGCTACTACATCACTTTGGGATTTTGCATAGGACACTCCCAATGCTTAGAATGTCAATCTTTGCTTCATTGTCCTTGGCAAACTCCTATTCATCCTTTGAAACCCCATCCATTTATCCCTTAACCAGGAAAGGCTTCTGTGCCTCATACAACCACCCATAAAGCTGGATTAGGGCTTTCTCTGGGGACACCCTTGCCCTGTGCCACACTTCCATTAGCGCACATATCCCCCATGAATTGTGCACACCAGCAGGGTCTAGAGTACGGCACACATTTTGTCTCAGGAGCTACGTATTGAATAAATAAATTAATTACTTTTTTTGAGACAAGGTCTTGCTCTGTCACCCAGGCTGGAGTGCAGTGGTGCAATCGTGGCTCACTGTACCTTGACCTCCCAGGTTCAAGCAATCCTCCCACCTCAGCCTCCCAAGCAGCTAGGACCACAGATGCAGGCCACTATGCCTGGCTAATTTTTAATTTTTTTTTTGGTAGGGATGGAATCTCCCTATGTTGCCCAGGCTGGTTTCAAACTCCTAGGCTCAAGGGATCCTCCTGCCTCTGCTTCCCAAAGTACTGGGACTATAGGTGTGAGACGCCACACTCAGCCTCATTATTTAATATGTAAGTAGCTATATCTCTCTGAGACCCAGCCCCATCTAATTTATAACCTCCCTCCTTCTCAAGAACATGCCTCAGCTCCCATTGCCAGGGAATCTGACCTTTCTCCTTGTCATAGGATTTTTTTTTTTTTTTGAGTCAGAATCTCAGTCAGTCACCCAGCCTGGAGTGCATGGCGCAATGGCTCGCTGCAACCTCTGCCTCCCGGGTTCAAGTGATTCTCCTGCCTCAGTCTCCCTAGTAGCTGGGACTACAAGCGCACGCCACCACACCCAGCTACTTTTGTAGAGATGGGGTTTCACCATGTTGGCTAAGCTGGTCTCGAACTCCTGATCTCAAGTGATGGCCTCCCAAAATGCTGGGTAACAGGTGTGAGGCACCACATCCGGCTGTCATAGGAATTTGTCAGCAAATCCTACAGACTAGAGGATGTGTGTTGGGTGGTGTGGGGGTGGGGATAACGGAGGAGATGGGGGGTGAGCTCTTCAAGCCCCAGGGGAGAATTCTGTTCCGTTCCTGGGACATCCCAGGTGAGAGGGAAGAAAGGCCAGCCCCCCAAGACAGCTATCCCAGACTGGGACAGAGGCAAACCCTGACCACAGAGCCCTGTCACTCACCCAAGAACAGGTGCCAATGACAGAATAGCCAGGCCGAGGGGGGAGAGAGGTGCTTCGGTGATGGATTTCCCTGGTGACTTGCCAAGACAGGGCTTTACTGCCTCCGCCCTGGACTGGCTGAGTCAGACTGTGCAGGGGTGGACACTTTGACTGGTATTTGGGAGGCATTTGCTGTGGGTTACAGAGAGGGAGGGGCCTCCTTTGCGGCCAGAGAAGGAGGAAAGAGGCCCTGGGCCCTGGGACTTGGGACTTGGGTGGAGGCTCGGGTTTCGGTCTCACCTGCTGCTCCAGACCATGGCCTGGAGGGCCGCCTGCGCCACCCCCAAAGCAATGAGATAGCCCCTCCTCCCTCAGACCCAGGAGTCCAGGCCCCCAGCCCCTCCTCCCTCAGACCCAAGAGTCCAGACCCCAGCCCCTCCTCCCTCAGACCCAAAGGCCTCGGACCCATACCAAATGCTTCTATGAGATAGTTTTCTCCCCTTGTTCATGAAGAAATGAGCCCAGGCCCAGTCAGATCTGCATCTGTGTCACAGCCCAGGGCCACTGTAACCTTAGGCTACTGACTTCCCTCTCTGAGCCTCTGTTTTCTCCTGTCAATGGGGCAAGGGGTCTGCTCCTTCCCTCAAACCCCAACTCAGGTACAGTCAAGCACAGAAAATACTTGTGGCATGAATGTGATGAGAACACAGAATTGCAGAAGCCAAAGAAAGAGAAGCGTAAGGGCCCTCCTTCCACCCCTACCTCCCCCACCCGCTGCTACACGCACCAGGACCACCTGCTGGGTAGCCAGGAGCTCACAGTCTAGCCCCGCTGGCCACCCCTGCAGCCCCCATCCTTCACTCAGGCAGTTGCAGGGCCCAGAACACCCCTATCTTCTAGGATTGACACTGGCTGTCAAACTCATCCTTCAAGGTGATTCCTGGCCTGCCCTCCTCCTCCAGGCAGCCTGTCCTCCTCCTCCAGGCAGCCTGTCCTGACCCTCAGCAGCCTCTCCTGGCCTTGGCAGAGCCCCTCGTGTCCTCCCTTGCAGCACGCATGGGAAGAAAGGCCATCGTCCTCGCCATTGCTAACACCAGCCTTGCGTTTCCTCTTTGCCAGGTACTGTATTGACAACTCTCTATAACCTGACTTTATCCTCCCAATAAGCTGGGTGTGGTGGGTGGCTCATGCCTGTCATCCCAGCACTTCGGGAGGATAAGGCAGGAGTATCACATGAGCCCAGGAGTTGGAGACCAGCCTGGGCAACATAAGGAGACTCTACTATATATATGTGTATATATATTTATATATAGTCTGAGATGGGAGGATCACCCCAGTAGGTCGAGACTGCAGTGAGCTGTGATTATGACACTGCATTCTAGCCTGGGCCACAGAACTAGACCTTGTCTCAATTAAGAAAAAAAATGGGGATAATAGGACCCATTCCATAGGATGTGGTGAGGATTATGCATACACACACACACACACACACACACACATTTATGATGTACTGAGAAGATATAAGCACACAATAAGTATCTCCAAAATTATCAAGTGGCAAAGCCAGGATTCAGACCCACACCTGCCCGAGGCTCTCTGCCATCAGACCACACTATATCTCTTTCTCTCTGTTCCTTCATCCCCATCAATCGAAGGCAAAAATGTGCCTTCTCTGATTTCCAGGCTCACTCAGCATAGACCGTGGAGGCAACATATCTTGAATGAAGCAACAAAGCAGTAATGCACATGAATGCACCAAATGCCAAAAGCTCGTTTACTCAACAAGTATCTCTCCAACACTTTCTATGTGCTAGACCCAATTCTGTGTGCTGCAGATTAAGTGGAGGACTGATCACACAAAAATCTTTGCCCTTGTGAAGCTTGCATTTTTTTTTTTTTTTTTTTGAGATGGAGTCTTGCTCTGTCACCCAGGCTGGAGTGCAGTGGAGCAATCTTGGCTCACTGCAATCTCCACCTCCCGGGTTCACGCCATTCTCCTGCCTCAGCCTCCGGAGTAGGTGGGACTACAGGCACCCACCACCAAGCCTGGTTAATTGTTTTGTATTTTTAGTAGAGACGGGGTTTCACCATGTTAGCCAGGATGGTCTCAATCTCCTGACCTCGTGATCCACACGCCTCGGCCTCCCAAAGTGCTGGGATTACAGGCGTGAGCCACCACACCCGGCCGCTTTTTTTTTTTTTAAGATGGAGTCTCGCTCTGTCACCCAGGCTGGAGTGCAGTGGCACGATCATCTCGGTTCACTGCAACCTCCACCTCCCAGGTTCAAGTGACTCTCTTGCCTTGGTCTCCCAAGAAGCTGGGATTACAGGTGTGCACCACCAACTCTGGCTAATTTTTTTTTTTTTAGTAGAAATGGGGTTTTATCATGTTGGTGACATGGTGTGATCTCGGCTGACTGCAACCTCCACCTCCGGGGTTCAAGCAATTTTCTTGTCTCAGCCTCCCAAGAAGCTGGGATTACAGGTGTACACCACCACCCCCGGCTAATTTTCATATTTTCAGTAGAGACGTGCTTTCACCATGTTGGCCAGGTTGGTCTCGAACTCCCAACCTCAAGTGATCAATCCGCCTCAGCCTCCCAAAGTGCTGGGATTACAGGCATGTGCCACCGTGCCCAGCCTGTGAAGCTTGCATTCTAACGGAGGAGACACAGACAAAATGAACCAGGAACACAGTGGGTAAGAAGGTGAAAAGTTCTCCACACAAAAATGAAGTAGGGAGAGAGGAAAGAGACTACAAAGAAGTTGGGTTGCCGGGGGCGGTGGCTCACACCCATAATCCCAGCACTTTGGGAGGCCGAGGCGGGCAGATCACGAGGTCAAGAGATCGAGACCATCCTGGCCAACATGGTGAAATGCTGTCTCTACTAAAAGTACAAAATTAGCCGGGCGTGGTGGCGCGCGCCTGTAGTCCCAGCTACTCAGGAGGCTGAGGCAGGAGAATCACTTGAACCTGGGGGGGCGGAGGTTGCGGTGAGCCAAGATTGCGCCACTGCACTCCAGCCTGGGCAACAAGAGTGAAACTCTGTCTCAAAAAAAACAAAAGAAGTCGAGTAAGGGATGCCGCCATTTGAAACAGGGTGGTCAGCCAGTCCTCTGAGAAGGTGACATTCAGGCAAAGATCAAAGGAGGCAAGAAAGTGAGGCATGAGGGTATCTGGTAGAAGAGCATTCCAGGCAGAGGAAACAGCAAGTGCAAAGGCCCTGAGGCAGGACCGGGTCTGGATGTTCCAAGAGCAGCAAGGAGGCCAGTGTGCTGACACACAGAAGGAAGAGATGAGATCAGAATCACGTCCCTTAAGGCCTTGCAAGATGTCAGCTTTTTTTTTTTCTTCTTTTTTGAGACAGAGTCTCGCTCTGTCGCCCAGGCTGGAGTGCAATGGCGCAATCTCGGCTCACTGCAAGCTCCGCCTTCCAGGTTCACGCCATTCTCCTGCCTCAGCCTCCCGAGTAGCTGGGACTACAGGTGCCCACCACCACGCCCGGCTAATTGTTTGTATTTTTAGTAGAGACGGGGTTTCACCGTGTTAGCCAGGATGGTCTCGATCTCCTGACCTCGTGTTCCACCCGCCTCGGCCTCCCAAAGTGCTGGGATTACAGGTGTGAGCCACTGCGCCCGGCCTGTTTTCTGTTTTTTGAGATGGAGCCTCGCTCTCTTGCCTAGGCTGGAGTGCAGTGGTGCAATTATCGGCTCGCCGCAACCTCTGCCTCCCGGGTTCAAGTGATTTTCCTGCCTCAGCCTCCTGAGTAGCTGGGATTACAGGCACCCGCCACCACACCTGGATAATTTTTGTGTTTTTAGTACAGATGGGGTTTCACCATGTTGGCTGGGCTGGTCTCGAACTCCTGTCCTCAGGTGATCTGCCTGCCTCGGCCTCCCAAAGTGCTGGGATTAGAGATGTGAGCCACTGTACCCATGCAAGTTTCTTAACCCTTCTCTTCCTCATTTTCTCATCTGTGAGACGAAGACAGCCTCCCACCCAGACACACTCCCCTCACGGGGCTCTGGGGAGAAATGATGTGGAAAGCTTTGCTAGTAACCTCTACAGCATGGAGGGAGTTCTGGAAAAGTGATTTCAGAAAGGTGTTTATGCCTGGAAAGCCTGTTCATTTTTGTGATGTCCTTGGAGCTGGGCCAGGCATTATCGAGCTAAATCTTAGCTTTTGTCAGAATAGGGGGGTCATTGAGGGAAATTTCCAAAGGAAGGTGGAACGGGATGGGTGGGGAGGTAAGGGCATGAGCAGAGGCAGTGATCGTGGGCAGGAGGTGTCCATAGAAGACGGGCTGCCACTGGCCCTGGAGACAGAAGGTCAGCCCCGGGTTCAAATCCCTCCTTAACCAAGTGCTGAAATGGACAAGTTGCTCAACCTCTCTGGCCTTCAGCTTCCTCATCTGTCAAGCAGGAATCAAACCTCGAACTTCCTCCCGCTGTTAGAATTTCAAGGGAGTTTTAAAGACAGAGCTTTCAACTCTGACCTGTGAACAAGTGTGACATCAAATGTACTGTTCGTTGCTATTATTCTGTTGCTACAAGGCAGACAGTTAGTTTCCCAGCTCCCCTGCAGTCCCCCCAGCCCCTCCTAGATCTGTCTGCCAGCCCCGCCCCGGGGTCACTCCAGCCAGGCTGTGCCAGGTGAATGCTCAGGTATGCGGAGGCGGAGGCGGAGGCAGGACGGCCCTGGGAGGGAGCAGGAGGAGGGGCCGGCAGCCTGGAAGGGAAAGGACAGCGGAGAGCAGGGCAGAGCCTGAGCAGGCAGGTAAGGAGATCCGGGTCAGGAGAGAAGGGGGCCGGGGCTTGACCAATGGGTCTGAGGGACGGGGGGACTGGGGTCTGGACTCCAGGGTCTCAGGGAGGACGGGCTGGGGGTCTGAACTCCCGGGTCTGAGGGAGGAGGGCCTGGGGTCCTGGACTCCTAGGTCTGAGGGAGGAGGGGCTGAGGGCCTGGACTCCTGGGTCTGAGGGAGGAGGAGATGGGGCCTGGACTCCTGGGTCTGAGGGAGGAGTGGACTGGGGTCTGGACTCCTGGGTCTGAGGGAGGAGGGGACTGGGGTCTGGACTCCTGGGTCTAGGGAAGAGGGACTGGGGCCTGGACTTCTGGGTCTGAGGGAGGAGGGGCTGGGGGCCTGGACTCCTGGGCCTGAGGGAGGAGGGGCTGGGGCCTGGATGCCTGCATTGAGGGAGGAGGCTGGGGTAGGAATTAGAGGCTCCTACTGGCCAGGCCTTCACATGTTTGCTGGCTCCCAGGGCACCTCCAGGTGGGCAGGAGCTACCACTCAGCACCATGAGCACCGCCACAGGGTAAGCGCCCCCGGACCCCAGGTCCCAGCCCCAGCACGCCTCCCGCCTCCCCTCGCCTCCTCACCCACACCCGCTTGCGGCAGCCCAGACTGTTTGCGGCGGCCCAGACTCTGGCCCAAGCCCCGACACTCAGGAGGAAGCCAGAGCCTCTCTCCTCCCTGCCCAGCCTGGGGTTAGGGGCCCCCACTGCAGAGCAGACAGGCCTGAGCTCCAGTTCGGCCCTCACACTCAGTGCTGATGTAACCCTGGTCAGAGGACATCACCTCCTGGAGCCTCAGCCCCTCCTCTGTGACACAGGGACAATGTTGAAAAATTGGAGGGATAGTGCATTACAGGACTTAGCTGACCACCTCACTGACAGCAGGTGCTCAACTCATAGGAGTCGCTATTGCGATTGTTATGTTGTTAGTAAATATTAACCCTTTGCTAGAAAATCAGGGCTGTTTATAATGAAGACTCAAGTCCCCCAGAGTAAGCAGGGAGAAAAACAATGAGAGATGAGTCAAAATACCTGCATGGTAGGTAGTGAGCTCTCTGGCCCAGAGGTAATCAAATTGTGGTGACATCAGACTGGCAGGAGCAGGATGAGGAACAGGAGTTTGGGAAAAAGGGTTTTTCAGTTCCCCTGACGCCACCTGATCGCTGAGCTTCTGTTATGTGCATGCAAGTGGGGATTCAAGAATTCTTAGGAAAGGTAATCTTAGGAAGAAATTGAGGACGGGAGGAGACAGAGAAGGATGTGGTTGGGAAGCACCTGGCCCATGGGAGTGGGAGGGGAAGCAGATAATTCCCTGTCTACTTCAGATACCACTAATGCTATTATAACCATTCCCATTTATTGAGCAACTTCTGTGTGCTAAGCCCTGGCAGCATCTTAAGAATGATAATAACAGTTATTGAGGCTTCAAAATACTTCACCTGCATCATCTGACTGAATTTGCCCAACAGCCCTACCAGATGGTTACTACGTTACAGAAAGAAAAACTGAGGCAGGAGAGATTAAATCCTCTTCTGAAGGTCTTATGGCAAGGAGGCAGTAGACAGAGGGTTTGAATCCCGGACTATGCCATGGTAGAGATCACACTCCCCTACCACCCAGCACCACCGCCTGACCTGACCTGTCTTTTTTTTTTTTTTTTTTTTTTTGAGATGGAGTCTCACTCTGCTGCCAGGCTGGAGTGCAGTGGCACGATCTGGACTCACTGCAACCTCCGCCTCCCAGGTTCAAGTGATTCTCCTGCCTCAGCCTCCCACGTAGCTGGCACTACAGGCGCCCACCACCACACCCAGCTAATTTTTGTATTTTTAGTAGAGACAGGGTTTCACCATGTTGGCCAAGATGGTCTCAATCTCTTGACTTTGTGATCCGCCCACCTCTGCCTCCCAAAGTGCTGGGATTACAGGCGTGAGCCACCGCGCCCAGCCTACCTGTCTTCTTAAAGTCCAGCTCTGGCTCTGAGCTCTCCTGCTCAATAATAATAATAATAATAAT
Organism: Homo sapiens; assembly: GCF_000001405.40. NCBI lineage: Eukaryota > Metazoa > Chordata > Mammalia > Primates > Hominidae > Homo > Homo sapiens. The sequence continues at coordinate 55,077,954 of NC_000019.10, forward strand.
AATAATAATAATAATAATAACCCTTCCATCGCTCCCCATTACCTTCGTCATGAAGCCCTTGCTGCCCTGCTTGGCATTTCCACAGGATCTGCCCCCAGTCCCACAGTCTCTCTCATTCCTCTTTTCTTCACCAGCCCAGAAGCTGCCCCAAAGCCAAGCGCCAAGTCTATCTATGGTGAGCGGGGGGCAAGGGAGCCCCAGGCCCATAGAACTGGGTCTAAAGAAACAGGACCTGGCATCCAGGGTCTTGGAGGAGGAGGGGCTGGGGGTCTGGACTCCTGAGTCAGAGGGAAGAGGTGCTGGGGGTCTGGACTCCTGGGTCAGAGGGAAGAGGGGCTGGGGGGCTGGACTCCTAGGTTTGAGGGAGGAGGGGCTGGGGGCCTGGACTCCTGAGTCAGAGGGAAGAGGTGCTGGGGGCCTGGACTCCTGGGTCAGAGGGAAGAGGGGCTGGGGGGCTGGACTCCTGGGTCAGAGGGAAGAGGGGCTGGGGGGCTGGACTCCTGGGTCAGAGGGAAGAGGGGCTGGGGGGCTGGACTCCTGGGTCAGAGGGAAGAGGGGCTGGGGGGCTGGACTCCTGGGTCAGAGGGAAGAGGGGCTGGGGGGCTGGACTCCTGGGTCAGAGGGAAGAGGGGCTGGGGGTCTGGACTCCTGAGTCAGAGGGAAGAGGGGCTGGGGGGCTGGACTCCTGGGTCAGAGGGAAGAGGGGCTGGGGGCCTGGACTCCTGGGTCAGAGGGAAGAGGGGCTGGGGGCCTGGACTCCTGGGTCAGAGGGAAGAGGGGCTGGGGGTCTGGACTCCTGGGTCAGAGGGAGGAGGGGCTGGGGGGCTGGACTCCTGGGTCAGAGGGAAGAGGGGCTGGGGGCCTGGACTCCTGGGTTTGAGGGAGGAGGGGCTGGGGGCCTGGACTCCTGGGTCAGAGGGAAGAGGGGCTGGGGGGCTGGACTCCTAGGTTTGAGGGAGGAGGGGCTGGGGGCCTGGACTCCTGGGTCTGATGGAGGAGGGGCTGGGCCTGGACTCCCAGGCTCATTCTCTTTCTCCCCTGGCAGAGCAGAGGAAGCGTTACTCCACAGTTGTTATGGCTGATGTATCCCAGTACCCAGTCAATGTGAGTCTGGGGTCTGTGTTCCCCCAGGACATCTTCTGGGGCAAAGGTGGCCTCAGGAGATAGGGCTTTTGAAAGCAGCTAGGCCCCCAAGCAGGAAGCATGTGGAAAGTCAGTTTGCCCATCCATAAAATGGACCTCCGTTGCCTCACCTCAGTCATGGATATGAAGCCAGGGGCCTCGGGTCCACTTAATCTGCCAGCCTTTCCTCCAGGCCAGCTGTTGTGCTGGACAGTGGGACCACGGAGGCAAATCAAGACACAGCCCTGCATGAGGAAGGGGTAGACAAGGTCCAGAGGAATCCACAGAGGCGCCTGGTGCTCTAATGGAGGTGGCAGGGGGCATGGCAGGAGACCCGAGGAGGCATTTAGAAGGAGAGAGCTATAATCCAGACTCCTTCCCTGCCCGCAAGGAGCCTCCAGTCTGTGAGAAGCCAGACTCAGGTGCTAGTCACTCTGATGAAAGGGAAACAAAGGGCACTGGGAGGAGGAGCTGATTTGTGGAACAGGTGATCAAGGAAGGCTTCCTGGAGGAGGTGTGGTTAGTCTCAGGCTGAAAGTCTGATTATTCTGGGGGATTCTGAGCCCACCTGGCATCATCTTGGGCCTCACTGCTTTCTCCATGGTCCGTACCAGCACCTGGTGACGTTCTGCCTGGGTGAGGACGATGGCGTGCATACCGTGGAGGATGCCTCCAGGAAGTTGGCCGTCATGGATAGCCAGGGCCGAGTCTGGGCACAGGAGATGCTGCTGCGAGTGTCTCCCGACCATGTCACGCTGCTCGACCCGGCCTCCAAGGTGCCGGGGGGCACGTGGGTGGGAGGAGTGTCTGGGGCAGGGACTTCAGGGGGTCTGGGTGTGAATCTTGGCTCCTGCACGTCCTTCCTCTGGGAACTCTGGCGAGGGACCCCAGCCCCCTTCTTGAGCCTTAATAGCCTCATCTATTAAACAGGGCTGTTATCCCTAACCCCCTAACCGCCTGAGGTTGCCCTGACCTGCTGGCCCACACTCCCGTCGCCATTTAGTAGTACCATCATTTCGGGGCCTCAGTTTACCCCGCCATCCCACCCGGCAGGAGGAGCTGGAGTCGTACCCACTGGGCGCCATCGTGCGCTGTGACGCGGTGATGCCACCCGGCAGGAGCCGCTCGTTGCTGCTGCTCGTGTGCCAGGAACCCGAGCGCGCGCAGCCCGACGTGCACTTCTTCCAGGGCCTGCGCCTCGGGGTGAGCAGATGGGCTGGCTCTGGGGGTGGAGCTGGAACTGGGCGGAGCCTGGAGCCGGGGCGGAAATGGGTGGGGCCTCTAGGTGGGGCGGGGCCTGGGGCTAAGGCGGGATCAGAGCAAGGAAGGGCAGGGGACCTGGGAAGGAAGTTCTGGAAGGCAGTGGGGTTTGAGATTGGACCCAGGGTCAAGATAGAACATGAAGGTGGGATGAGGACATGAACAGAACATGGCCAAGAAGGATCTGGGGGAGCAGCCAGGACGAGGTGGGGGCGAGGAACCACCCGGACTGGGTCTCCATGGGCGGGGTCGTGGCTTAGGGCAGGGACAGGTGTAGGGCGAGGGGTGAGTTCGGGGCGTGGACGTGCGTGGGTTCACAGGTGTGAACGGTAGCCGCACGTGGGCTGGGACTGAGCTGAAAAATCGGCCAGGGGCGAGGCCCGGGTAGGAAGTGGGTGCGGCGTGGGGAGGCGTGGCCTGACGGTGTGATTGGCAGGCGGAGCTGATCCGAGAGGACATCCAGGGGGCTCTGCACAATTACCGCTCGGGCCGCGGGGAGCGCAGGGCGGCGGCGCTCAGGTGAGAGGGAAGAAGTTGGCAGGGTCTCTGGGAAGCCGGTTTCCCCTCCTTGTGCCTCAGTCTACAACACCAGCCTGGAACAGAACAAGAGTTTTGCATGGAGTCAAGCACACCCTAGTCGAGTCTTGTCTGTACCTCCCAGACGAGCTGACCCCTTCTCCAGAACTCTGCTTCTTTTCTCTGTTCCCTGTCCAGGCCCTCAGTTTCACTCTAGAGAGGTGCTATCCCTCCGTATATCGGATTTCTCCCTACCTCGTTGAACTTGTTCACTCCCTTTGAGCCTTTTGAGCCTGTGTGTCTCGTTCTGCGCCCTGGATTTCCCCCTCCCTGGACCCCTCAGTGGACCCAGTCTTGGTGTCCCCGTCGCCCTCCGCAGGGCCACGCAGGAGGAGTTGCAGCGCGACCGCTCGCCCGCCGCTGAGACCCCGCCCCTGCAGCGCCGCCCGTCAGTCCGCGCAGTGATCAGCACCGTAGAGCGGGGCGCGGGCCGCGGACGACCCCAGGCGAAGCCCATTCCCGAGGCAGAGGAGGCGCAGAGGCCTGAGCCGGTGGGGACCTCGAGCAACGCTGACTCGGCCTCCCCGGACCTGGGTCCCCGGGGTCCTGACCTGGCGGTTCTGCAGGCGGAGCGGGAAGTGGTGAGCCGCTAAGGAAGGGGTCTGGGGGCAGGGCCAGGCGACTGGAGGCGGGGCTAGGGCGTGGAAGGGCGGGGCCGGCTGCGGGACGGGCGTTCTCTGGTCAGACTTCTGCGTTATGGAAGAGGGGCTGGGTCGGGGGCGGGGCTTGGTTGTGGGGCGTGGCCAGGTGTTTGGGGCGTGGCCTGATCTGGGGAAGTGTATAGGTGCTCAGGTTCAGGGCTTCGACGGGGATGGTTTTGGAACTCGGGAGCCCTGAGCGTCCCCCTCCTCTGTCCCCTAGGACATCCTGAACCACGTGTTCGACGACGTAGAGAGCTTTGTATCGAGGCTGCAGAAGTCGGCGGAGGCGGCCAGGGTGCTGGAGCACCGGGAACGCGGCCGCAGGAGCCGGCGCCGGGCGGCTGGGGGTAAGGGGCACCCTGGCGTGGGATCTGAACCCCCTCCCGATCTCTTCCAAATGTCCCCGCTCTCCCCAGGCTCTCCCCTCCCGCCACTTGCCAGGGCTGACCTCACCGCCATCTTAACCGGGTGTCCACCTCTCTCTGCCTGCCTGGTGCTGGCCCCGCGTCCCCATCGCCGCGCCCGTCTGCTCCCCTCAGAGGGCTTGCTGACGCTGCGGGCCAAGCCGCCCTCGGAGGCCGAGTACACCGACGTGCTGCAGAAGATCAAGTACGCCTTCAGCCTGCTGGTGAGGACGCGCCCGCCCCTGGGCCGGGGCGCGGGCACGACGAACCTGTCCCGTCCCCGCACCCACGCCAACCACCTCCCTCCCCACGCCCCAGGCCCGGCTGCGCGGCAACATCGCCGACCCCTCCTCTCCGGAGCTGTTGCACTTCCTTTTCGGGCCTCTGCAGATGGTGAGACCCGCCCCAGGCCCTCGGGCCCCCCTGCAGCGGGAGGAATCGGGTTCGACTTGTAGAAGGTGTGGCGGCACAGCCTGCCCCTCCTGCTCCCCTGACAGATTGTGAACACGTCGGGGGGGCCGGAGTTCGCGAGCAGTGTGCGGCGGCCGCATCTGACATCGGATGCCGTGGCGCTGCTGCGGGACAACGTCACTCCACGTGAAAACGAGCTCTGGACCTCGCTGGGGGACTCGTGGACCCGCCCCGGGTGAGGGGCGGGGCTGGGAGGCAGGGGGCATGGTGATTGGAGGAGCATAAGGCGCTGGGAGGTGGGTGGCATGATGATTGGAAAATAGGACTAGGAGAGTAGGGAGGGGTTAGAGGCGTGGCTTAGTTGTGTTGGGGCGGGGCTTAGGACAGATGCCAAGATTCAATTGGAGGAAAGGCCAGGAATTAACGTGAAGGAAAGATTTAAGACCACCAGACCAATCGGATTGAAAGAAAAGGGGGGCTTAAAGGAATAGAGGGGCTAGGGGCTACGGGGCAGGGGCGGGGCTACGCGAAGGGGCGGGGCTTCTGGAAGGTTTGGTCTATAACTTTGGTGATGGGACAGAGTCTGTGCACTGCGGGCTGGCAGTTCCGCAGGGAAAGGGTCAGAACCTGAAACCGACCTTACGGAAAACCTGATTTGGAATCAGGTGAGATTTAGAGGCTGGATAAGGCAATTTTTTTCCAGAGAGAGAGATGGATGGGGTCTCAATATTTTGCCCAGGCTGGTCTGGAACTCCTGGCCTCAAGCGATCCTCCCATCTTGGCCTCCCAAAATGCTGGGATTACAGGCGTGAGCCACCGTGCCCGGTCTAGAAATATAAATTGCTGTTGAGTTGGGCTTAGAGCTACCGGCAGGACTTGGTGAAAAGTGGCGGGGCTAGAATCGTTGGAATACAGCGAGCTTTAGGGGAAAACTTAGTGAAGTTAATGCAGGAACGAAGTTGGGGGCTGTATCAGGATCCCTGAGCTCTTGGCCCTGTCCCTGGCCGCAGGCTGGAGCTGTCCCCGGAGGAGGGACCCCCATACAGACCCGAGTTCTTCAGCGGCTGGGAGCCGCCGGTCACTGACCCGCAGAGCCGCGCCTGGGAGGACCCAGTTGAGAAACAGCTACAGCACGAGCGGAGGCGCCGGCAGGTGACCCAAGCGACACAGCAGGGCCGAGGCTGGGAAGTCCGGGGGCGCGGCCGGTCCGCCTGGCCCCGCCTGACCCGACTGTCTTACTTCCTACAGCAAAGCGCCCCCCAGGTCGCTGTCAATGGGTGAGTGTCCGCCCCAGGGCAGGGCAAGGGGGTCAAGGAGGGGTGCGTCCCGGGGGCTCCCGATGCTGACTCCGCCCCCTTTTTTTCTGTGTTTTTCCTTCTGTCTTCCTGGCTCTTCTCAGGTGGGTGAGATGGTGATGGGGCGGGCCGGGGCTGGGAGAGAGGGAGGAGCAGGGTGGGAGGGGGCGGGACCCAGACTTCTGGGGCTAAGGGAGTTGGGAATGGAGACCCGGATTCCTGGGCCTAAGGGAGGAAGGGGGCTGGGAGTGGGTAAAGTCTGAGAGGTTGGATCCCTGGATCCCCAAAAGGCTGGAAGAAGCCAGTTTGTTTTCCCAGGGCCTGGGAAGCACCATGCCTGGGCTCCCTAGGAGGACAGAGCCCTGGATATTGGAGGGGAGAGGCTGGGGAATTGGACCTTTGGGTTTTGAAGAAGAGCCCAAGTCTGGTGCTTGGGATCCTGGAGACCCAGAGGAGCAGGCTTGGGACTTCAAGGGCTTGGGGGCAAGTTTCTGGGAAAGTTAGGAAGTGGTAGTATCTCTGGGCCCCCGAGAGGGGTAAAGGCTGGACGATTAAACTCTTGGTTTTCCAGAGGCTCTAATGCAATTGTCTAAGTCGCTGCTGGGTGTCGGACTGGGTTAAAAGGTTTGAGGGTTAAAAGGATAAGATTGAAGCTTGAGACCTGGACTCCTAGGTCCCTGGGGGAGGAAAGAACATTCCAAGTCATGGTTCTACCAAGCAGTGGGGGCTCAGACTCTGGGTCCTGGGGGAGGGAAGGAGGTAGATGGACTAGAACTCTAGGGTCCTTGAGCAAATAGAGGGCAGACTGGAGGGAAGCAACGTGGGAGGAGACGAAAACAAAGCAGTGAGGCTGGAGGAGACAAAGGGGGGTCTGGGTGAGGGCCCGAGCAGAGGGTCTCAGCAGGGACAGCGTGCTGGGAGCTGCCGGCCCCACACAGGGGGTGCCGCGGCCCTGAAGACCCCCCCTCTCCCCTGCACAGGTAGGCCTGATCCAGGCTGAGGTCCCTCTTATTGGGGGTCAGAGCTGAAATCCCACCCCTGCCCCCAGCTGCCTGATATCGCAACCCTGGTCCCTGTTCACAGCTTCAAGTCACTTTCTCCGAGCCTCAAGTTCTTTTTTGCAGGGAAACTGGGAATAATGATTATCCGTTCCCGGAACAGTGAGAAGTCTGTGGTGTTGTAGGAACTAGCAGTTAAGGGCTTAAGGCTGTGACCAGGTTCAAGTTCAAGTCCAGCTGCCTGCAAACTAAGGCAGCATTATTCAGACCTGGGCTACCCTGGTCCCGGGCTGGCGATGCCACTCTCTTACTCTGTGACCTTTACATCCCTGTGCCTCAGCTTCCTCCTCTGTGAAAATGGAGGAGATCATAGGGTCTCTGGGGGAGGAAGAAACTGGGGGAGAGAGGGGAGTCCAAATTCATGGTTCTACCAACCGTTGTCATAAAGATCAAATTAACTAATATACGTAACAGAACAGTGCCCAGCACACAGTAAGTGGTACAGAAGTGGTAGCTATTGTTTTTTGAGACAGTCTCACTCTGTCATCAGGCTGGAGTGCAGTGGTGAGATCTCAGCTCACTGCAACTTCTGCCTGCCAGGTTCAAGCAATTCTCCTGCCTCAGCCTCCAGAATAGCTGGGACTACAGGCGCGTGCCACCACGCCCAGCTAATTTGGGTATTTTTTAGTAGAGACAGGGTTTCACCATGTTGGCCAGGATGGTCTTGATCTCTTGACCTCATGATCTGCCCGCCTCAGCCTCCCAAAGCGCTGGGATTACAGGCGTGAGCCACCGCGCCCGGCCTAGCTAGTGTTTTTATTATGCTTATGAGTTATGATATATAAAGCCCAGTGCCTATTAGATGCTCAATAAATGACAGCTGTTTCTAGCTGTGTGATGTGGGCAAGTCATTTTCTCGCTCTGAGCCTCATTCTCCTCTGTAAAATGGAATCGATGGTGGGATAGTACCCACTACATATGCCTACAGCACAATGCCAAGCAACGGAGGGAGCAAATATATTCAGTCTGTTATTCTTGTTTCAAATTTCTATTAACAGTATTAACCCGGCCCCTGCTGTGCCCCCAGCTTGGCTCTAACCCCAGCTCACACCAGCACCCTGCAGCCCAGAGCAATGGGGCTGGCTGCCTCCTTATCTCCAACCCTCCCGCTTCTCCTCAGTCACCGAGACTTGGAGCCAGAATCTGAGCCTCAGCTGGAGTCAGAGACAGCAGGAAAATGGGTCCTGTGTAATTATGACTTCCAGGCCCGCAACAGCAGTGAGCTGTCGGTCAAGCAGCGGGACGTACTGGAGGTTAGAGGAGCGGGAGGCTGAGGGGCAGGAATTAGCCAGCCCTAGCTGCAGACAGGCTCTGAACCCTCTGTTCTTTACCACACCCAGGTCCTGGATGACAGTCGTAAGTGGTGGAAGGTTCGGGACCCAGCGGGGCAGGAGGGATATGTGCCCTACAACATCCTGACACCCTACCCCGGACCCCGGCTGCACCACAGCCAAAGCCCTGCCCGCAGCCTGGTGAGCCAGCGCAGACGCTGGGATCTTGAGGGTGGAGAGGCTGGGACCAGATCCTGGGAACAAGGGGCGTGGGGATCAGCTGTCAAGAGTGCTGGAGCAGGTGGTGACTGGGGGTTCAGAAATGCATCTCCAGAAAGGGGAGAGGCTGGGACTCTGAGTCCTCTCCCTAACCCAGGTACTCTCCTCTCCTTCCTTTCAGAACAGCACTCCTCCTCCACCACCAGCCCCAGCCCCGGCCCCACCTCCAGCTCTGGCTCGGCCCCGCTGGGACAGGCCCCGCTGGGACAGCTGCGATAGCCTCAACGGCTTGGACCCCAGCGAGAAGGGTGAGTGGTGGGGACGCCGGCTGCGGGGAGCGGTCCTTATCCTTGCTTTCCAGGCAGAGAAACGGGGGCTCAGAAAGAGCAAAGGGACTCCCGTCCCATTCTGGGGACGCTGGAGCGCCCCCCCGCCCCGCCCTCTGGCCCCAGGACCCCTCGCCCTGAGCCCGCACTCCCTACCTCCCGGTTTCCCGCCTGCAGAGAAATTCTCCCAGATGCTCATCGTCAACGAGGAACTGCAGGCGCGCCTGGCCCAGGGCCGCTCGGGACCGAGCCGCGCAGTCCCAGGGCCCCGCGCCCCGGAACCGCAGCTCAGCCCGGGCTCGGACGCCTCCGAGGTCCGCGCCTGGCTGCAGGCCAAGGGCTTTAGCTCCGGGTGAGTGGGGCCGGGGCCCTCTCGGCGCGGGTTGATACGGACGCTGGGAGCGGAGCGTTCCGATCGGCCGGGAGTCGGGGGGCGGCAGTCGTGGAGACCACAGGGAGCCGGGATTAGCCCGAAGTGAGGGTCTGTCTGGTAGCAACACCCAATGGCAGGCTGTGATTGCCATGTTTTTTCAGACTCCGACTGGATTCCTTAGGGAAATCCCGTACCCTTTGAAAGCAGGATGCGGCCACGCCCCCCGGGTGGCAACATTGTGATTGGTGGGTGGGGTTCAGGAGGTGTCGGGCCTGCCCCCGCTAGAGCTAGAATGCTGTTCTGATTGGACCATCGCCGGGTGGGCGTGACATGATTGTCCGGGCTGGGGCATCCGCCGACCGGCCTGACCGCGCCCGGGCTGCCCTCGCTCAGGACCGTGGACGCGCTGGGTGTGCTGACCGGGGCGCAGCTTTTCTCGCTGCAGAAGGAGGAGCTGCGGGCGGTGAGCCCCGAGGAGGGGGCACGTGTGTACAGCCAGGTCACCGTGCAGCGCTCGCTGCTGGAGGTGAGCCGGACCGCTGGTCCCTGGGTCTGGGTAGGGTTGGGATGACGAGGGCTCGGACGCCAGGACAAAGCGATTTCCACCCCGCCCTCCAGGACAAAGAGAAAGTGTCAGAGCTGGAGGCAGTGATGGAGAAGCAAAAGAAGAAGGTGGAAGGCGAGGTGGAAATGGAGGTCATTTGACCTGCCAGGCGCCCTTCGCAAAGAGTGACGAGGCCCCGTGGGAGAACGGACTCCTCAGACTCTCCCCAATAGCGGAAGTCGATCTTCTGAAGGATGGCCAATCTGCTCCGGCCCTGGTCTTCCCCCATCCCGGTGGACAGACTTAACGATCCTTGCTGCAGTCCCTCCGGAGAGGATCTGGACTGGCTGGGAGTGGGGAGGGCGTGGAGACAGTCTACGGAAAGCGCTAGCAGACCCCCGAGAGGGTGCAGTGGAGCCCTGAGCATTGTAATATGCGGCCCAGCCTATAAACAGCCTCCGTGCTTAGCAGATGGTGTGCCAACTGCTGTCCTCTACCCGGCTACCAGGGGGCTCAGAAACCTGCCCCTCGACCCAGTCACAGCCTCATGGAACCTGGAAAATGTTCCACCCTCTTTGGTTTCTCTCTGAACCCTCCTTTCCATCCCCAGGGTCCCAAACCAGGCTCCCTCCTGACCTCCTAGCCAGCCTAGTCCAGCTTGCCCCACCTTCACGTTTCCCTGGCTCGCGGCTGCTGGGCATGAGGCTTTGTGTCTCCCTTCCCGCCTCACCAACGTTCTCACTTCATTCCTTCCTGCGTCCTGGCCCTGCCCTTCTCCAAACGCTCCCAAGCGTTCAACCTCTGAGGTTTGCACCTGCTGTCTCTGCTGGCTGAAACGGCCATTCCCTGCCTGGCGAACTCCTGTTCAGCCTCCCTGGCCCAGCTCAAACACTCACTGTGGGGAAGCCTGCCCTCATCCCCGAAGCTAGTTTCCCAGCATCCACTTCTCCATTTTGTCCCCCACCTCCTGCCACGGCCCTACCAGGTAGAACTGGCTGCCTCCCAAGCATGCCACAGCTTTCTGGCCACTCTTTGTTCTGGGAGATGGCAGCCAACTGAAAACTTCCTAATCCCTCAAGAACTAGCTCCTTCTCCCTCTGGCAAGCCCTGTAACTTTCTTTTCCCCATTATCCAGGTGGCTGGTAAGGTCTGCTTTTCTCTGGATCCCACTGTTTTCCAGACTGGATATTCTCTGCCTTTGGGAAGAATGGCCCTTTCTCTTTCTCCCCTGGCTCTGCCTTCCCCAGATTACTGAGGGCCTCTGGGCCTCTGGGCCTCAAGCCTCTCCCGGAGTTGTTCCAACCTGGGCCACCAGATGGCGCCCTCCAAGATGGGAAAGGATCAGAGAGACGCCCCCCCACCCCCACCCCGCCCCCCGCCCTTGGGGCAGGCAGGAGTTCTCAGTCCCCACTTTGCCACCTCCTGCCTGGTTCCTTCTGGTTCCTTCCTTCCTCTTTGGATCTCCAAGAGTCCTTCTCCTATCTGCCCCGTCCCTAGATCCTATTCACATACTTCCCTTGGCTCCCTATGGCTCACCGGATAAAACCAGGCCCCAGCTTGGCAGTCACAGGTTGCCCACTCGGCTCACCAGCTTCTCCGACCACGGGGCTCAGCTTCCCTCCTCCTGCTGCCAAGCTTGGTTCATGTGGTTGCTTCTGCCCAGAATACTCTCAGCCCCTCTACCACTTGCCCGGGGCCCCACCCCTCATTCTTAGTAGGGGAATAGGAAAGGTAGGCAATTCCCCCAAACCTCTTTGCTCCATTCCCGCACCCGCCCCCCGCCCCCCAATAAGCCCCCGTGGCTCTCGCCACCTAGGCTGCAAACTGAAATGCCTGCAGGAACCCGACAAGAGACCCAAGTGAGCCAGCCGGGCCTCAGCCCTACCCCCGTCACAGGCCAGCTTGTTTGAACATCCTGGCAGCTGTATCTTCCAATATTCTCAGAACCTGACCATCTCTCACCATCTTCACTCCCATCACCCCAGCCAGAGCCACCCTCTCTCTTGCTTGGATTTCACCAGTAGACCCTTAGCTGGTCCCCCCAATCCTCACCACCAACCCCCAGCCTGTTCTCCATGCCAGAGGGACCTGTTAAAACCTAAGTCAGGCCATGGCCATGCTCCAAAAGACACCCAGAGCTCCAATCTCACAGCTCAAGCCCTTCCCAGGGCCAAGTCTCCACACAGCCACCGTGACCTCTCTAGCTTCATTCCCTGCTTTCTCCAGCTCCTCAGCTTCCTGCAGCACACCAGGTGCCCTACCCCAGGGCCTCCACACACACAGCTCCCATCATCCCTCAAATACCTACACAGCTCCCTCCCCAGGGTCTCCACACACAGAGCTCCCATCATCCAGAGCACCCTTCCCTCAAATACCTACACAGCTCCCTCTCCACCACCTTCAACCATCTGCCTGCACCAGCTTTTCCCTGAGGCCTGCCTAGACCACTCTATTCAAAACACATGTGCACACACGTGCACCCACCTTCCCAACCCCTTTCTTTTCTCCAGAGCGCCGCCACCTTGAAATACATTTATTTTAACATCGGATGCCCCCCTCCTAAAAGTATTGGATCTTTGTTTTGTTCAGTAATGATCAGTCACACTGTACTCACTCAGTCCTGTTCTTCCTGTTGGTGTTATACTAATTGTTGAATGAATGCCTCATCTCAGAAGATGGCTCCTACTCAGCTCTAGTCAACGGTGGCTATGCAGGACTGAAAAGTTCATATTGTCACAGATTCCTGTTCTTTCAAAAGAAGGCAAAATTCTTTTTGTTTTTTGTTTGTTTGTTTGTTTTTGAGATGGAGTCTCGCTCTGCTGCCCAGGCTGGAGTGCAGTGACTCGATCTTGGCTCACTGCAACCTCTGCCTCCCAGGTTCAAGCGATTCTCCTGCCTCAGCCTCCCAAGTAGAGTAGATGCGATTACAGGCACCTACCACCACGCCTGCTAATTTTTGCATTTTTAGTAAAGAAGGGGTTTCACCATGTTGGCCAGGCTGGTCTCGAACTCCTGACCTCAAATGATCTGCCCGCCTCGGCCTCCCAAAGTGCTGGGATTACAGGCGTGAGCCACCACACCCGGCCAAAATTCCAGATTTTTACACACAAATTTCTCCAAATGTTAAATGTTGGCAATTGACTAAATTTGTTTCAAAGACACTGATGGCAAAACCCAAACTCCCCAGCTCCACATCCTTGGCCCCAGAGGTCTTGCCCGCTGATCCCTCCTGCCCCATCAGCTTCCCCTCAGCCCCCCGCCTGCGATCACGCGGGCTCCGTCTTGGAGCCTTCGCTCCCGCTGGGGGCTCATCCTGAAGCTCCTTCACCACACAGGTGAGTAAGCACCAGCCCATCCCCCGGCACCCACCCAAGTGGCCCAGTGGTTTGGTCATGGACACGCACGGCCCCCCAGCAGGAGCAGGAAACAGTGCCCTCCCTCTGGCTGGGAACACAGAGCTTGAGTGGCAACTTCACGACTTTTATTTGTGGTGCCTGTGCTTTATCTCGAAAATACCTTCTCCCCCTGCCCCAGACAGTGGGCGGGGAGGGGGCAGCAAAAAATAGAAGACGTCCCTCCCTATTGCACATGGACCCTATATACAGGCCCACCTGGCTGAGGCTGGCGGGACTCTTGGCACATTCTTGGATCCCTGCTCAGGAGGGGAGGGGTGACGGGGTGGCATCACACGTGAGATGGGGACCTCCAGGCGGCCACTCTGGTCCTGGCTACTGATCCTTGCACTTCTTGGTCCTCAGTTCCTTCCTGGTCCCGTCTCTGGCCCTGGTCCCCTCTGGCAACGTCCCCCTGCTTGGCTCGGCCTCCCACCTCCATCCTGGCCTCGGGTGGCCCCCTCGGCTCCTGGGGACTCTGCTCCCCTCCCAGTCCGGAGGTCCCAGGGGGGCTATGGCTTCTCTGAGACTTCCCCCGGAGCCCTGTCACTCGTGTTCACACGGGGGAAGGGGTGCGTGTGGCAGAAGCAGCTGTATAAATACGGGTGCGGGAAAGTCCCTCCGGGTCACTTGGAGAGTTTGCTGATGACGCGGATCAACGCTGCATTCTCATCCTTGAGGCGCTGGTTGTCAGCGCGGAGGTCAGACAGGGCCTGGGGGACGGCAAGGGTCAGCTGGGCAGCCCTGGCGGGTTGCACCCCCACCCACCCTCGGCCCTCTGCCCACAGCCCCCACAGCCCCCACCTTCAGCTCCTCCTCCAGCTCTGCGGCCTTGCGTTCCAGGGCCCTGCGCTCCTGGAATGAACAGGGAAAGTGCAGAAACTGAGTGAGGCTGAGGAGGGCAGGGGAAGGCCAGGGGCCAGCTGGGAAGGGCAATGTGGCTCCCTTGGTCCAAACTTAGGGATGTGAGGCTGGGGACGCCTCTGGCCCCCATCCCCACTGCCCCTACTCACGAATCTCTCCAGTTCCAGGAGGGCTGGCCTCTCAGCGAAGCGTTCTTGCCTCTGGTGAGGACACAGAAAGCACAGGGGTCAGCAGAAGAAGCCAGCACTGCTCTGAAGGGTCCTAGGCTCCTGCTGGGCACCCGCCCGCCCACTAGGCAGCCCACAAGCCCTTCCCCCACGGGCCAGGCCCCGCCACCGGCAGGCCCACAGCCCCATCCCCTCGCTCAGACTCCGCCTCCGAGATCTCGGCCCCGCCCCTCAAGTGAAGCCCAGCCCCGCCGGCACCCCCAGGCCAGGCTCTACCTCCCAGCAGTCTAAGCCCCACCCAGGCGGCCCTGCCAGTTCCCGTGACCCTGGCCTCGGCGCCCTTACCTGCGTGGCCCGCTCCAGCTCCACCTTGAGCTGCGCCAGCCGCAGCGTGGTCTCGGTCAGGGCCTCGCGAAGCCGCTCGTTCTCCCTGCGCAGCTCTGCATACAGCTGGGGGTCAGGTAGAGGAGGGTCAGGTGGAGGATGGGGCGATGCTGGGGGGGCGGGGAAGCCAGGAAGCTGGGCACCCAGCAGGCAAAGCCCCGACGGAGGGGTGGGATCGCACCGTCCTAAAGCCTCCGTCTGGCTCTTCCGATTCTGGCTCAGGTTCTGGGTTGAGGTCCCGCTGCCACCGCTGCCTGCGGGCCGAGGGGCCGCCCTCCAGGGTGCTGGGGCAGGGGAGGAGCGCGCGTCAGGGGCCGGCCCGGCCCGCACGCAGACCCCACCTCTCCCACCCCGCCCCTACCTGGACTCCTGGCTGCGGTCAGCCGGCTCCGCCTCCTCCCCCTGTGGGCAGGTAGACGGGGGTTCAATGGGTATGGGAGGGACTTTAGCGGGTATGGGAAGGGCTTTGCCCGCCCCCCGGCCCACCCTCTGCACCAGCTCGGCCCCACCTGAGCCCCTCACCTCCGCAGGCCCCCTCCACTCCTTTCCGACCTTGCGGTGCTCCCTGGCCGCCTGCGGTCCCGGACCCTGCCCGTCGGGCGCCTCTGCTGGGGGAGGGGCAGGAATCAGCCCAGGCACCTCCAGAGCCCCCTCTCGGTGCCTGGGTCCCCGGGTCAAGCCCCCAGGAAAGCAAGAAGACTATGGGAGAAACTGGATGATTCCCTGGGAATGACCTCCCCGAGAGCAGACCTCACCTCTCTGGGCAGGGCTGTCAGAGTTCTCCACTCCAGGGACGCGGGGCCTTCGGGAAGGGTCCTGTCGGGAGGGGGAGGCGAGTCAGGGAAGCAGGACATCCCGCACCACCCCACTCGCCCTCGCTGACCCCTCTCACCAGGCTCTGCGCCGGCTTCTCTGACTCTGGGGCCTTCCCTGCAGCCTTCTCTGCCTCCTTCAGGTCTGTAAGAGTCACACCCTGGCAGGGAAAGGGGACAGTCAGGGGACGCTGGGGTCAGGGCCCAGCCCCTCCTCCCTCAGACCCAGGAGCCCAGGCCCCAGCCCCTCCTCCCTCAGACCCAGGAGCCCAGACCCCAGCCCCTCCTCCCTCAGACCCAGGAGTCCAGACCTCCAGCCCCTCCTCCCTCAGACCCAGGAGTCCAGGCCCCAGCCCCTCCTCCCTCAGACCCAGGAGTCCAGACCTCCAGCCCCTCCTCCCTCAGACCCAGGAGTCCAGGCCCCAGCCCCTCCTCCCTCAGACCCAGGAGTCCAGACCTCCAGCCCCTCCTCCCTCAGACCCAGGAGCCCAGGCCCCAGCCCCTCCTCCCTCAGACCCAGGAGTCCAGACCTCCAGCCCCTCCTCCCTCAGACCCAGGAGCCCAGACCCCAGCCCCTCCTCCCTCAGACCCAGGAGCCCAGGCCCCAGCCCCTCCTCCCTCAGACCCAGGAGCCCAGACCCCAGCCCCTCCTCCCTCAGACCCAGGAGCCCAGGCCCCAGCCCCTCCTCCCTCAGACCCAGGAGCCCAGACCCCAGCCCCTCCTCCCTCAGACCCAGGAGTCCAGGCCCCAGCCCCTCCTCCCTCAGACCCAGGAGTCCAGACCTCCAGCCCCTCCTCCCTCAGACCCAGGAGCCCAGACCCCAGCCCCTCCTCCCTCAGACCCAGGAGTCCAGGCCCCAGCCCCTCCTCCCTCAGACCCAGGAGCCCAGGCCCCAGCCCCTCCTCCCTCAGACCCAGGAGTCCAGGCCCCAGCCCCTCCTCCCTCAGACCCAGGAGTCCAGACCTCCAGCCCCTCCTCCCTCAGACCCAGGAGTCCAGGCCCCAGCCCCTCCTCCCTCAGACCCAGGAGCCCAGGCCCCAGCCCCTCCTCCCTCAGACCCAGGAGTCCAGGCCCCAGCCCCTCCTCCCTCAGACCCAGGAGTCCAGACCTCCAGCCCCTCCTCCCTCAGACCCAGGAGTCCAGGCCCCAGCCCCTCCTCCCTCAGACCCAGGAATCCAGGCCCCCAGCCCCTCCTCCCTCAGACCCAGGAGTCCAGGCCCCAGCCCCTCCTCCCTCAGACCCAGGAGTCCAGACCCCAGCCCACCCCACACCTGTGTGGACCTCCGAGACTGGCGCATGAGACGGGAGCGAGCTTTTCTCTGGGATTCCGACTCCTCATCCCGCACAGGCATCTGGTAGGACCTGAGGGAAGGGTCCCAACCTCAGACAGGGAACCTGGGGACCCTGTCCCATTCCGTGGCTGACACCCTCCGCGGGAAGCAAGTTCTGTGGGAGGGGACTCCAACTCCCAGCAGACCTGAGGCCAGCTCTCCCTCAGGAGCCCACCCAAAGCCCCGGGACTCCTGCTTCACATCGTCTCTCCCTGCTGGGGGCGGGGGCGGCAGCTTCCTGCCCTGGCCTCTTCACCTCCGTCGGTCCCGGGAGTCCGCTGGGGGCGCCGTGGAGGCTGTGGGGACGTTTGGCTTCGCTGGGGATTCAGGCTCCGGAATCCTGGAGGGAGGCGAGGAGTTCTCCAAGCAAGGAGGAGGCTTGGTGACCTCAGACCTGCATCAATTCATTCATTCCACAAACATTACCCAGGTGCATTGTGTGCCGGCACTGGAGATGCAGCCGTGAGTGAAAGAAACAAATTATCTGGGCCACAACAGAGTCAGAGCTGAGCAGAAATACACAAAACCCACAAAAGCCATGAAAAGACCAGCACACTACGCAACCGGTCAGAAGGATAAAGGACTCTGGACAGAAGCAGCAGTGCGAGAACTGAGAGCGGGAGGGTGTGCGTGTGCGGACGGCGCCGTGGTGGCAGCAGGGTGGTCAGTGTGCACCTCGGGGTGGGGGGAAGATAGGGGAGAAGGTGACGTTTCAACACAGACCTGAGGGAGGGAGAGAGCCCCCAAGAGGAACACAGCACAGGCTCTGGAGTGGCGGCAGGAACCAGACCCCAGGGGGTACATGGTCTCACTCAGGATCACACGGACAGGCTTGGAACCCACATCTGCCACCCACCCCTGAGGGGCCCAGGCCCTGGGGACTCACAGGACAGAGGGCTCCGGCAGCTTCGGGGAGGGGGTCGGGGTAATTCTGGCAAGACGGAGCTCCTTGGCCTGTGTGGAGAGGAGAAGGGGAGGAAGGGGCAGTTCCCTCGACTGGGCAGGGGCCTGGGCCTGGACCCGGCCCAACCCTCACTCACCTGAGTGGAGGTCCCTTCCAGCCAGGAGGAGGAAGCCGAGCGCTGCAGCCCAGCCCCAGGGGCTCCCTCCGCTGTCCGCCTTTCAGGGGGACCCAGGGCACCAGAACTCCCTGTCTTCAGGAGGCCAAAGCGCCTGGAGAAGGGGGCCTCTTCAAGCTGCTGGGAGAAGGAGGAGGTCTCAGTTAGAGAGAAAGGATCCCTCTTCTCAGACCTCAAGGGTTAGCCCCCAAAGGACTGCAACAAACTACAATTCCCATCAGCCCCCGGGGCAGGCACAGCCTAAAAAGGAAGCCGGTTGTCCAGGACGACTCTGGGAACTATAGTCTTCCCCCTATCTGCCCCTGCCAGAGGTTCACAGGCTGTATGGAATCCCACCTCCGGGCCCTCCCAGCCTCACAGGACCTCTCAGGGCATCCACTCACCACGGGACTCTTAGGGCTGGGGTGCGGCGGGGAGGAGACGCCATTGAGGGTTCTGGGTTCTGCAGGGGGTGGTTCTGTGATGTGGGAACACCGGGCAGGTCACAGAAGATGCCAGTTGCCTCTAGATTCAGAGAACCCGACCCCTCCTCCCTCGGACCCAGGAGTCCAGATTCAGGCCCCTCACCGGTGGGACCTTCTTCCCCCTCATCCTCGTCCTGGATGGGGGGCCCCCCAGCCCCACCAGGCCGGCGCTCCTTGGACAAGTCCTGGAGGGAAATCTTCTCGCGACTGCTCAGACGACACACAGAGCTCCTGTTGGGGAAGGAGAGGGTGCTGGGGTACAAGCCCGGGGCCTCCAGCCACCCCGCCAGCCCTGGACTCCTCCCTCCCTATACCTTCTGTGTTTGCTGCTAGAGGGCGCTTGGGGCTCCTGGCCCCGGCTCTGGGAAGCTTCTTTTTGGTTCCGAAGCTGCAAGGAGGGAAGGGGGCTGCAGGGGAGGGGTGGAGCACACGTGCCCCACAGCAACACCACCACAAACAGCTGTGCAGGAGCTCACTGCCCAGGCGGGCACCGAGGGCTCGTGGGCTTACTGGTTTTCCTACAGATGGCCACACACCTCAGGGGCAGGAGGTGCCCTGCGTCCAGCAGGCGCCCGCAGCTGCCACGTGCAGGCACTGCCGTCTTGTCCTCACGGCCCCCACCCATGAGAAGCCTCCAGTCTCATCCCCAGAGGGGTCCTTCTAGCTCCCAGGGGAGACCTGCTTAGACCTCACCCCGACCCCTCAGCATACCCAGGGCACTGGTGGGCCCTCAGCTGCCCCGGCTCCTGCAGCCGGCACTCGCCTCCTCCTTCCCCGCGCAGTTCACCACCGTCTTCACACCTTCCCCGCAGTTCACCACCGTCTTCGCCCCTTCCCCGCGCAGTTCACCACCGTCTTCACCCCTTCCCCGCGCAGTTCACCACCGTCTTCGCCCCTTCCCCGCGCAGTTCACCACCGTCTTCGCCCCTTCCCCGCAGTTCACCACCGTCTTCGCCCCTTCCCCGCAGTTCACCACCGTCTTCGCCCCTTCCCTGCAGTTCACCACTGTCTTCGCCCCTTCCCCGCGCAGTTCACCACCGTCTTCGCCCCTTCCCCGCGCAGTTCACCACCGTCTTCGCCCCTTCTCCGCGCAGTTCACCACCGTCTTCACCCCTTCCCCGCAGTTCACCACCGTCTTCACCCCTACCCCGCGCAGTTCGCAGTTCACCACCGTCTTCACCCCTTCCCCACGCAGTTCACCACCGTCTTCACCCCTTCCCTGCAGTTCACCACCGTCTTCACCCCTTCTCCGCGCAGTTCACCACCGTCTTCACACCTTCCCCGCGCAGTTCACCACCGTCTTCACCCCTACCCCGCGCAGTTCGCAGTTCACCACCGTCTTCACCCCTTCCCCACGCAGTTCACCACCGTCTTCACCCCTTCCCTGCAGTTCACCACCGTCTTCGCCCCTTCCCCGCAGTTCACCGTCTTCACCCCTTCCCTGCAGTTCACCACCGTCTTCACCCCTTCCCCGCAGTTCACCACCGTCTTCGCCCCTTCTCCGCGCAGTTCACCACCGTCTTCACACCTTCCCCGCGCAGTTCACCACCGTCTTCACCCCTACCCCGCACAGTTCGCAGTTCACCACCGTCTTCGCCCCTTCCCCACGCAGTTCACCACCGTCTTCACCCCTTCCCCGCGCAGTTCACCACCGTCTTCGCCCCTTCCCCGCGCAGTTCACCACCGTCTTCACCCCTTCCCCGCAGTTCACCACCGTCTTCGCCCCTTCCCCGCGCAGTTCACCACCGTCTTCACACCTTTGTACTGGGAGGGCCCTTCATTCCTGCCCTTCTAGCAAACTCTTAGTGCTGTAGTACTCACGTCTTCCAGAAAGTGTCCCCAGATGCTCCCAGGCTGGTCTCCCCCCATATCTGGGCCCCCTGAGCTGACCCTGCCCCACCTATTAAACCCCTCATGGCCGTATCACCCTCAGGATGGAAGCCACCATGCTCCTCGCCTGGCACTCGTGGCCCTCCCGGGTCTGCCCTGCCTTACGCTCCCCTCCCTGGGCACCTCAGGGCACCCACACTTGCCCCCCAGCCTGTGTGAGATCTTCTCCTACATCCATCAGCCTCCACTTCGCTCCTGCCAACCTTTCAAAAGAGGAAGCTGTCTCCGCTCCCCTGCCCACGCACCAGAAGCCCTAGGCCTGGCCTTGGGAGCTTCCTGTCACCTCACAGAGCTCACTGAACGCTGGCATGGCTCTAGTGCTTTCCAGGGGCACGTACTCCCCCGAGCTCCTGACAGCACAATCCACGTGTCACGCATGACCCCTCATACAGTTGCGCACCATACCATTCCCATTTGACAGATAAGGAAACTGAGGCCCGGAAAGGAAAGTGGCTGGCTGAGACTCACGGCAGATCCATGGCAGAGCCGGGATTCCAACCCAGGCAGTCTGGCCAAGGCTCACGCCCTTCACTCCTTCACTCTAAGTTTTCCCAGCAAGGCTGCCCCGGGGATGGCTGGGGGACACCTTGTGGGTGACCAGCCCAGCCTGAGTCTAGGACAATCCTGCACATGGCTGCTGCCAAGGGCCACCCTGAGGTGATGAGGTGTGCTAAGCAACCTCATCAGGGTGTCAGACAACCCTGTCCAAATCCTTCTGCCGCCCCCACCACCAGGCAGGCAGGAAGCTCTGCAGCCCCATCTCTGTCCTGCCCCGGCTGGGGGTCTCTCCTGAGGCTGGGGCTGGGGCTGGGTCACCAAGAGGGAAATAGCAGGTCGCTGGGGTGGTGGGTGTCAGAAGTCGGGGGGGTTCCCCCTCTGCACCCTCCTCTGAGGAGCTGAGGGGACATGGGGAGTCTGGGGTAAGCCCCTCAGCCCTGACACTCACGTCCTCCTGTTTCCGGGCCAGTTCCTCCAACAGGCTCAGTACTTCCTCATCGGCCAGGTCACAGGGACGCTGCCCCTGGGTCAGGGGAGGAGCAGGATCAGACAATGAAGGAGGTGCTGGGCCCTCCCCACGCCCTGCCCCTCACCAGCCTGGGCACTGGCCCTCACCGCATGGGTCAGTGAGTCCATGCCCCCGCCATGCTCGGCCAGCAGGCGGCAGGCATCCTCCACGCCCCAGTGTGCCGCTGCGTGCAGGGGAGTCCAGCCGTCCCCGTCCCGGAGCTCTGGGTCGTAGCCAGCCTGAAGGAGCAACCTGGGGGCCAGGGAGGCTCAGGGTCAGAGGCCAAGGCGGGGCCCTTGGCCGAGGGCTGATTTCGGCCAGCGGTTTGGTAACGAGGTCCCAGGCCACGAGACTGAAACGTCCCTGGACAGGCTGGTAAAGAGCCACTGCCCAGCATCCGCTGCCACAAGAGGCCCCTCTGCACCAGGCCTTGTCCCTCCCCTTGGACCAGCAGTTACATGTTAAACCCTGACCCTGCAGGTGGCCTCTGGAACCTGCTCCTGGTGCTGGCAGGGGGTCACCCTGGCTGTGGGATTCCAAGGTGGCAGCAGCGGGGTGTAAGGAGGCAGCTCCGGAGGATGCAAGTGCAGGACCCTTGCCAGCCCCCATGCCTGTCAGAAGGATGGGACCCCCAAAGGGCTGTCTCAGGGCAGTAGTGCTCTAGGACCCGGGCTGGCTTAAAGCAGTGACTCCCAACCAGGGCAATGCTGTCCCCCAGGGGAGACCCGGCAGGTCTGCAGACATCTTTGTTGTCATAACTTAGGGCAAGGGTTAGCGGCATCGGCTGGGTGGAGGCCAGGGAGGCTGCTCCACACCCGGCTGCGCTCAGAGCGCTCAGCAGCAGCCCCACAAGGAGAGGGACCTGACCCAACATGCTGCCAGCGCCCAGGCTGAGAAACCCTCACCCGAGACAGTGTTCTGCGAGAAAACAATAACCACCTTAAACCATTCAATCTGAGGGCAAAGGCAGGGTTACAAGTCCAAGGCCACTCTCCAAGCTCAGCTTAACGGTAGGACGTGTCTATTTTTGGAGAACTGGAATGAGTTTCTGTGTCAATGAGAAAGAGCTTCACAAAGTGGGAACAGATGGACAGCCTGGGATATTCTACAAAGAGGCCTTATAAGCACAAGTCCCTCTCTCTGGTCCCGCCCACCTTGCCCTTCACCTTTCCCACGCTTTGCCCGGAGCTCACCCTGCCCCAGCTGTGCTGGGCCCTCGCTATTTCCCCAAGCGTCCGCTCGCCGCTGGCCTCTGCACTTGCTGCTCTCAGCCGGGCAGTGTTCTGTGCCCTGCAGCATCTCACGCTGAGCCCCTTTTTGGCAGTCACCACCCCCTCATCCCCCTGTCTCCTGACCCCAAAGCCCCTCCTCATCACACTTGTCTTCTCCCATAACCCTATTTATATCTTAAGCCAGCAGTTCTCAACTGGGGCAATGCTGCCCCCCAGGGGACATTTGGCCACGTCCAGAGACATTTTTGGTTCTCACAACCAGGGATGCTCCCAACATCCCATAGGTGGAGGCCAGGGAGGCTGCCCCACATCCTGTGATGCATGGGACGGCCCCGCAGCAAGAGCGATCAGCCCAAAATGTCTGTCTCCCCACGAGGCTATGAGCCGCACACAGGCCCAGATCTGTCTTGTTTACCCATTTCCCTGGCACCTAACAGACTGCCTGGCACACAGCAGGGGCTCAAAAATAAGCATCGAATGAGTATCATCAAATAAACATATACCTCTACTCTGCAACAAATGTTTTTTTGTTTTGTTTTGGTTTGGTTTTGTTTTGAGACGGAGTCTCACACTGTCACCCAGGCTGGAGTGCAGTGGCACGATCTCCACTGACTGCAACCTCTGCCTCCTGGATTCAAGCAATTCTCCTGCCTCAGCCTTCCAGGTAGCTGGGATTACAGGCGCCTGCCACCATGCCCAGCTAATTTTTTGTATTTTTAATAGCGACGGGGTTTCACTGTGTTAGCCAGGCTGGTCTTGAACTCCTGACCTCATGATCCGCCTGCCTCGACCTCCCAAAGTGCTGGGATTACAGGCGTGATCCACCACGCCCAGCCTGCAACAGATCTTTGATGAGGAGAATGCTGGTTACATTATTTTAAAAATGCAGTCAGGCTAGGCACAGTGGCTCATGCCTATAATCCAGCACTCTGGGAGGCTGAGGCGGGCAGATCACTTGAGGTCAAGAGTTCGAGACCAGCCTGGCCAACGTGGCAAAACCTGTCTCTACTACAAACACAAAAATTAGCCGGGCATGGTGGAGCACACCTGTAATCACAGCTACTCAGGAGGTTGAGGCAGGAGAATTGCTTGAACCCAGGGGACAGAGGTTGCAGTGAGCTGAGACCGCGCCACTGCACTCCAGCCTGGCAACAGAGCGAGACTCCATCTCAAAAGTAAAAATAAAATAAAAAATGCAGTCAGTAGGTCTGAGTGTAAACATGTCCCCTTACAAAGGAGCAGCAATGACACTATAGTCATGAATATTTCTAAGTCCAAAGTGCTTCACTTCCACGAATATGGATTCCATTTCTCCCTCTACTAACAGTACCCACACAGGCCCCCTGGCCGGACACAGGCCACCCAGCTGAAGACAAATCTCCAACTGTTCCTTGCAGCGAGGAGCGGTCATGTGACTAGCGTCTGGCAAATGGGATGCTGGCGTTAAGTGGTGCCGCTTGCGGACTGCTCTTTTGAAAGGAATGGATGTTTGCTCCTTTGCCCCCTCTCTCTTCCTGCTGGCTGGTATGCAGGTGCAGTGGCAGGAGATGAAGCCGCCCCCAGGACTCAGGGGTGGAAGCCGTGGGAGGAAAAGGACACGGCCTCCAGGCCTGGGCACATCACTAGGCCCAACCATTTAGAGTTTCCAGTCCCCCTTGTCGTAAGGATCAGCTCAGGGATGGGCCCAGTCAGCAACAGAGCTGGGACTTGGCCAGACACTGAGGTCCAGGGGCTCTGCTTCAGCAGGTGCTAAGCAGAAGGGACAGCGGTCTGGAGCTGTTACGGGTGCTAGGCCGAAGGGACAGCGGCCTGGAGCTGTTACAGGTGCTAAGCCGAAGGGACAGCGGCCTGGAGCGGTTAGAGGCATCTTATGTACCTCACCGAGAAAACCTGACTAAAAACTGTCAACATAGAGATGAGCAGAGACAGGGAGGAATTCATGTTAACTTCATTTTTATACTAAATAATAAAGTATATGATCACAAAAGAGAGAAGAGGGAACTGAAAAAAGAATGAGGAGCCTGAGGATGAGAACTGGAACCAACAACTTTAATAGAAAGGGGAAAGGCAGCCAAATAGGAACAAAATCTAAGACTGAGGTGAGGATGACAGAAAGGGAATGTGTACTAGAACAATTTAAACTATATATGCACCTTGGTTGGGTGCAGTGGCTCACGCCTGTAACCCCAGCATTTTGGAAGACTGAGGCAGGGAGATTACCTGAGGTCAGGAGTTCAAGAGCAACCTGGCCAACATGGAGAAACCCCATCTCTGCTAGAAATACGAGTTAGCCAAGTGTGGTGGCACACTCTCATAGTCACAGCTCCTGGGGAGGCTGAGGCAGGAGAATTCCTTGAACCCAGGAGGTGGAGGTTGCAGTGAGCTATGATCACACCACTGCACTCCAGCCTAGGTGACAGAGCGAGACTCCGTCTCAAAAACAAACAAAAATAAACTATATATGCACCAAATAATCTAGTCTTAAAATATATACAAATTGTAACTGACAGAACTATAAGAAGAAACAAAGTCCATAATCACAGCAAGAATTTAAATGCACCTCTCATAGTAACTGACAGAATAAGCAGTGGGTGAAATATCACTAAAGATAAAGAAGCACTACAAATAAAACAGCATGATTACAAGGTTGACCTAATAACCTACAGAGAACACTGTACCTGATGACACCATTCTTTTCCGACTTACATGTACTGGGGTATATAAGGTAAAACGATACATTTCAAAAGCTAGAATCATATGGAACCCATTCTCTGACCACAATGCAATTAAGCCAGGAAAATAGTAACAAAATGATGACTAGAAGTCCTATATATTTTGAAATTAGGCCAAGCACAGTGGCTTACACCTGTAATCCCAGCACTTTGGGAGGCTGAGGTAGGAGGATCACTTGAGCCCAGGAGTTCGAGACAAGCCTGGGCCACATGGTGAAACCCCATCTCTACAAAAATTAGCGGGGCATGGTGGTGTGCGCCTGTAGTCCCCACTATTCAGGAGGCTGAGGTAGGAGGATCACCTGAGCCTGGGGAGTTTGAGGCTGCAGTGAGCCACGACTGTGCCACTGCACTCCAGCCTGGGTGACATAGCAAGACCCTGTCTCAAAATAAATAAATAATAAAAGATTACAAATTGGGAAATATTTTACACTGAATGACAATAAAAAAAAGACTGCACATCAAAACTTGTGGGTACAGCTAAGGCTGTATTTAGAGGGAAATACATAGCCTTCGGTACATACATTTA
Organism: Homo sapiens; assembly: GCF_000001405.40. Lineage (NCBI taxonomy): Eukaryota > Metazoa > Chordata > Mammalia > Primates > Hominidae > Homo > Homo sapiens. The sequence goes on from NC_000019.10 coordinate 55,103,337, forward strand.
AAAAGAAAGGGAAAGGACAAGATCCACAGGAAGGTATAAGACAGCAAGATGGAACAGACTGGCCCAACTCACCTCATCACCTCAATGTAGCCCTTGGCAGCAGCCACGTGCAGGGCAGAGGCGCCTGTGCGGGGGTGCCGGGCCTCTGGCATGGCGCCCCCATTCAGCCAGCACCTCGTGTCATGAAGGAGCAATTCCTCTTCTGCCCGCTTGGCTGCTTCCACATCCACACCTAGGAGGATAAGAGGCACGAGGTAGGACTCACACCCCATGACCTGAAATACCCAGGGTCATACACTGGGCTGGCCAGGGTTCAGCCCAGTGACTTGCCCAGAGCTCTTCCCCCTGCTCCCCTCTGAGACTCAGGAGGCCCAGACTAGCCCAGTTGTTTCCCAACTGTACTCCATGCAGTCGTGTGTCCCACTCAGGGTCTCTGAGTCAGCGCTAAGCACTGGGAAAACGGAGATCACAGGCCTTTCCCCATTTCAACCAGAAATTCACCGTATTTTTATTATTTTTAATATAAAACCATGGCCGGGTGCAGTGGCTCATGCCTGCAATCCCAGCAACTTTGAGAGGCCAAGGCAGGTGGATCACGAGCTCAGGACTTCAAGACCAGCCTGGCCAACACAGTGAAACCCCATCTCTACTAAAACTACAAAAAAAAAAAAAAAAATTTAGCCAGGTGTGGTGGCAGGTGGCTGTAGTCCCAGCTACTTGGGAGGCTGAGGCAGGAGAATCGCTTGAACCCGGGAGTTGGAGGTTGCAGTGAGCTGAGATCACGCCACTGCACTCCAGCCTGGGCAACACAGTGAGACTCTGTCTAAAAAAAAAAAAAAAAAAGTATATATATATATATATATACACACACACACACATACAAAAATATAAATATAAAAAATATTTATATATATAATATATATATAACATATATATGCATCTCCTATATATATAACACCTATATATACACATTTCCTATATATATAAAACCTATATATATATCTCTCCTATATATGTAACATATATAGACAGAAGTGGTAATGGTGATAAAATGTATGAAGATGCTGGATTAAGATTATATTGGGGGGTGGCACAACGGCTCATGCCTGTAATCCCAACACTTTGGGAGACCAAGGTGGGCAGATCACCTGAGGTCAAGAGTTCGAGACCAGCCTGCCCAACGTGTTGAAACCGTGTCTCTCCTAAAAATACCAAAATTAGCTCAGCATGGTGACTTATGCCTGTAATCCCAGTTACTTGGGAGGCTGAGGCGGAAGGATCTCTTGAATCTTGGAGGCGGAAGTTGCAGTGAGATTGCACCACTGCACTCCAGCCTGGGTGATAGAGTGAGACTCCGTCTCCAAAAAAAAAAAAAATTATATTGGTAGTGACAGGAAAAGTTAGATGTAATTGAGCACTGGATTTGCTCAGTAAACTTTAGGCCATATATATATATATATGGTCTCGCTCTGTCACCCAGGCTGGAGTGCAGTGGCATGATCTTGGCTCACTGCAACTTCTGCCTCCCAGGTTCAAGCGGTTCTCCTGCCTCAGCTTCTTGAGTAGCTGGGATTACAGGCACACGCCACCACACCCAGCTAACTTTTGTATTTTTAATAGAGATGGGGTTTCATCATGTTGGCCAGGCTGGTCTTGAACTCCTGACCTCATGATCCACCCGCCTCGGCCTCCCAAAGTGCTGAAATTACAGGCAGGAGCCACCGCATCTGACCCTTTTTTTTTTTTTGAGACAGGACCTCACACTGTCACCCAGGCTGGAGTACAGTGGTGCAATTATGGCTCACTGAAGCCTCAAATTCCCAGGCTCAAGGGATCCTCCTGCCTTGGCCTCCCAAAGCCGGCATGAGCCACCACACCTGGCTGTGTCATTTCTTTAAAGGAGTCACCAACTGTTCAATCCTATTATAGCCGAATGGGTCTCAATTCAGGGAGGGGAAGGGAGGGTGACTGGCTTTTTATTCAACCACAGTCAGCGCCCTCTGCATGTCTGCTGCACATCCTTCTGCAATTTGCTTCTTGTGTTCAACATGTTGCTGAGATCTGTCTGTATCTGTAGACAGAGCCCTTGCCCAGGGGTCAGAAAGCTATAGCTTGTGGGTGTTGACCACCTGTTGTGTTTTCTTTATCTTTTGTTGTGGTGGTGGTGGTAAAATAAACAACATAAAATTTACCAACTTCCCTGTTTTAAAGTGCACAATTCAGTGGCATTTAGGATACCTCCAATATTATGCAACCATCACCACTATCTACTTCCTGAGCTTTTTCATGATCCCAAATGGATACTGTATCCAAGAAGAAGTCACTCCCAGCCAGGCACCATGGCTCATGCCTGTAATCCCAGTACTTTGGGAGGCCAAGATGGGAGATCACTTGAGCCCACTAGTTTGAGAACAGCCTGAGCAACATAGGGAGACCTTGTCTCTAGAAAAATAAAATTAGCTGGGCATGGTGGTGCACACCTATGGTCTCAGCTACTTGGGAGGCTGAGATGGAAGGATCACTTGGGCCCACGAGGTCAAGGCTGCAGTGAGCCATTATCACTCCACCGCACTCCAGCCTGGGAGGCAGCGTGAGATCCTGTCTTAAAAAAAAAAAAAAAGTCACTTCTCAGACCTCCCTCTCCGCCAGCCCCTTGCACCCAGCAATCTTTCTGTCCCTGTGGATTTGCCTATTCTGAAAGGCGATTTTTGTCAATAAACGTGGGATGGAACAGTCATTCCCATTCATTCACACACCATCCCTAGCAGTCTCCCGCTCCACAGCACTAGTGGAATAGTGGTGCCAGGCATGGTGTGTCCCGCAACACCTGAAACATTCATTGTCTAGCCCTTTACAGAGAAAGTTTGCTGACCCCTGCTTAGATCACTCATTTAGAGTTTAGTGATTGATCCATCCTCTTTGGTGTGGGCTCCGACCTCTTACTACTGCAAACAATACTATGATGAACATCTGCCCATGGTTGGGAAGGCCTCTCTCGGGCTGCCCAGGAGTGGAACTGCTAGAACAAGGCAAAGCTGGGGCCTTCGGCTATAATCCATGCTGACCAACCACTTCCCAAAGTAGCTGGAATCATCACCTTTCCCACCAGGCAGAAATCAGCTCCCGTGTCCGCCCTTGTCAGCACTTGGAGCTATCCAATGGTCGATTCCGCCTGCCTCCAAGGGTAACTCCCCCTCTTCCAGCTGACTTGGATGCTGGAATTCCAAGTGAGCTGGCTTCAAATGTTTCAAAAACACATCATGTCTTCTTCCTGCCAGTTCCATGCCCCTGTGCAAAGTGGCCAGGGAGGGTCCCTTCTGCACAGGACATGGTGCTGCTGCGTGTCCCTGCAGCACAGCTGCTGCTTGGGCCTACGAAAATCCATTCTCCCTTCCCCTGTGACCTCATCTTGACTTTCCTCACCCACACTTTGCCCCATATGGTTTCAATGTGACCGGGCCCATAGCCTGGCTCCAGGGTGCGCACATCACCAGGCCTTCCTGTCACCTTTGCAACAGTGATGGGCTCAGGAGCTGCCATCTGACCAAGGTGGCCCAGTGAGCATCACGCACAGGGCAAGAGGTGCTGTGTTTTGGCTGTGATATGGGCCTGCAGTAGGACCCATGCTGAGTGCCTCACGGAGAGAACCTGTCTAAGAGTGAAGCCAACAGAGTTCAGCAGAGTGATAGAGAGATGCTCTGGACTTCACTTGTGCCCCTGGATCAAGCTATGCCTAGAGCCCATATGGACTTCAGCTACATAAGGCCATAGACTGCCTTTAAAAAAAAAAAATGTGACCAGGCACGGTGACTCACGCCTGTAATCCCAGCACTTTGGGGGGCCGAGACGGGTGGATCAGCTGAGGTCAGGAGTTCAAAACCAACCTGGCCAACATGGTGAAACCCCATCTCTACTAAAAATACAAAAATTAGCTGGGCATGGTGGCGGGTGCTTGTAATCCCACTTACTTGGAAGGCTGAGGCAGGAGACTTGCTTGAACCCGGGAGGCAGAGGTTGCAGTGAGTCAAGACCATGCCACTGCACTCCAGCCTGGGCAACAAGAGTGAAACTCCATTGCTGCTGTTTTTCACAATAGCAAAGACTTGGAACCAACCCAAATGTCCATCAATGATAGACTGGATTAAGAAAGTGTGGCACATATACACCATGGAATACTATGCAGCCATAAAAAAGGATGAATTCATGTCCTTTGTAGGGACATGGATGAAGCTGGAAACCATCACTCAGCAAACTATCGCAAGGACAGAAAACCAAACACTGCATGTTGTCACTCATAGGTGGGAAATGAACAATGAGAACACTTGGACACAGGAAGGGGAACATCACACACTGGGGCCTGTCGTGGGGTGGGGGGAGGGACAGCATTAGGAGATATACCTAATGTAAATGACGAGTTAATGGGTGCAGCACACCAACATGGCACATGTATACATATGTAACAAACCTGCATGTTGTACACATGTACCATAGAACTTAAAGTATAAATTAAAAAAATAAAAAATAAAAATAAAAATAAAGAAACTCCATCTCAGAGTGAAAAAAATGTGGTAAAATACACACAGTATAAAATTTACCATCTTTTTTTTTTTTTTTTGAGATGCTGAGTCTTGCTCTGTTGCCCAGGCTGGAGTGCAGTGGTGAGATCTCGGCTCACTGCAACCTCCATCTCCTGGGTTCAAGCAATTCTCCTGCCTCAGCCTCCCGAGTAGCTGGGACTATAGGTGTACATCGCTATGCCCGGCTAACTTTTATATTTTCAGCAGAGACGGGGTTTCACCATGTTGGCCAGGCTGGTCTCAAACTCCTGACCTCAGGTGATCTGCCCACCTCGGCCTCCCAAAGTGCTGGATTACAGGCCTGAGCCACCGCGCCCAGCCTAAAATTTACCATTTTAACCCCAATTCAGTGGCATTAAGTAGTCACAATTGGTTGTTGTGCAACCAATCTCCAGAATTTTTTCATCTTGCAAAATTAAAATCGTGTACCCTAGGTCAGGGACAATGGCTCACACCTGCAATCCCAGCACTTTAGGAGGCCAAGGTGGGTGGATCACTTGAGCTCAAGAGTTCCAGACTAGCTTGGGCAACGTGGTGAAACCCCGTCTCCACAAAAAATATAAAAATCATTTTAAAAAATGTGTACCCACTAAACTACTTCCTATTCTCCCCACTCCTCCCAGTCCCTGACTACAGCCATTCTACTGTCTGTCTCCATTATTTTGACTATTCTGGGTACCTCACAGACGTGGAATCAGACAGTAATTGTCCTTCTGTGACTGGCTTATTTTCACTTTTCACTTAGCATAATGTCCTCAAGATACATCTACATTGTGTGTTTTTTGTTTTGTCTTGTTTTGTTTTTTGTTTTGAGACACAGTTTCCTCTTGTTGCTCAGGCTAGAGTGCAGTGGCACGATCTTGGCTCACCACAACCTCCACCTCCCAGGTTCGAGTGATTCTCCCGCCTCAGCCTCCTGAGCAGCTGAGGTTACAGGGATGTGCCACCACCCCTGGCTAATTTTGTATTTTTAGTAGAGACAGAGTTTCTCCATGTTGGTCAGGTTGGCCTCAAACTCCCGACCTCAGGTGATCCGCCCGCCTCGGCCTCCCTAAGTGCTGGGATGAAGACTGAATCATGTCCCACCGCATGGATGGGCCACATGTTGATTTTCCATTCATTCGATGATGGGCACTAGGTTGCTCCTACCTCTGGGCTATTGTGAACGATGCTATGAACACGGGTATATAAATTGCCTTTTTTGTTTTGGTTTATTTGGTTGAGACAGGGTCTTGCCCCCAGGCTGGAGTGACCGTGGTTCACTGCATCTTCCACCTCCCAGGCTCAAGCAATCTTCTCACCTCAGCCTACTGAGTAGCTGGGAGCGTACGTGCATTCCCACGCCTGGCTAATGTGTTTTGTTTTATAGAGATGGGTTCTCACTAGGTTTCCCAGGCTGGTCTCAAACTCCTGGGCTCAAGAGATCCTCCCATCTTGGCCTCCCAAAGTGCTGGGCTTACAGGTCTGAGCCACTGTGCCAGGCCTCAAATGGCCTTTTCCGGCCTGAGCCAGGAGGAACGGGTTTTGGTTCTTGCAAAGAGTCATGCCCGATTCAGCCCCTGAGTCGACTGGGCCAGAGGACTTTGCGGTGTTGGAGGGAGCGGTGGCTCCAGGCCACGAGGTGACTGGCTGAGCAGATCACGTGCTCTCACTGAACCCCAGACCCAGAGAGAGGAAAACAGCAAGTAAGCCAGGGAAAGCGAAGGGGATGGTCGTGCCTGAGGCCGGTCTGTCTTCTCTCCCAGCCCTGCCTGTGAGTGGCTGCCAGGGCCACACTATGGCCAGAGCCAGTCTGGATGCCAGCACCTCGGGGAATTCTGCATCATGTGGGCGTGTCCTGCAGGGGGTGCAAAAGACCCGCCCTCCTTAGAGCTGGGGTGCAGCCTGTGATCCAGGTCCTGCGCACTGCAGCCCCTCTGAGGCTCCTGTGTGGAGCCGGGTGTCACAGGGTGTCACAGGCAGTCGCCTTGTGATTTGGGGCCGCAGAGTCCCACCCCGAGCAGCACGGCTGAGGGTCTTTCCAGTGGCCCCAGTGGTCTTCGTTCCTGGCTGATCCTACAAGCCAATATCCCCCACCAATGTATCCCTCCCAGCCTTCTCCTCACCCCACGGGAGGGAAGAAGCATGGCCCCCTCTGAGAAGCTGATGCAAGTTATGAGCAATTTCTGCAGGAAAATACAACGTCAGAAAGTTCACAGACCCCCTGGAGGCCATTCCCGGCCTCCCTGGGGTCCAAGGGAAAAGGAGGACTGATCCAGACAGAGGGAGCCTAAATCACCCAGATCTGGATCCCTAGCTGGGCCCTGAACCAGAGCGGGAGAGGCTACAAAGAATGTCAAGGAGAAACGCAGGCAACAGTGTAGCATCAAGGTTGGTGCAGTGGGTGAGAGTGTAGCATCAAGGTTGGTGCGGTGGGTGAGAGTGTAGCATCAAGGTTGGTGCGGTGGGTGAGAGTGTAGCATCAAGGTTGGTGCGGTGGGTGAGAGTGTAGCATCAAGGTTGGTGCGGTGGGTGAGAGTGTAGCATCAAGGTTGGTGCGGTGGGTGAGAGTGTAGCATCAAGGTCAACACAGGGGGTAGCGTGTTGCATCCCTACTGTGGTTCTGCAGGAGGTTTTCCTTGTGGCAGGAGATACCTGCTGTGCATCAGGCGAAGATGTACAATGCCTGCAACACAGTCTCAGAATGGCCGGGCTCACGCCTGTAATCCCAACACTTTGCGAGGCCGAGGCCAGCAGATCGCCTGAGGTCAGGAGTTGGAGACCAGCCTGGTCAACATGGTGAAACCCCATCTCTATTAAAAATGCAAAATTAGCTGGGCATGCTGGCTCACGCCTGTAATCTCAGCTACCCAGAAGCTGAGGCAGGAGAATCGCTTGAACCCAGGAGGTGGAGGTTGCAGTGAGCCGAAATCATGCCATTGCACTCCAGCCTGGGCAAAAAGTGAAACTCTGTTTCAAAAAAAAAAAAAAGGCTCAGGAATGGAAAGGCAGGGGTGGGGTGGTAAGAAAGGAAGGGAGAGATGGAGGGAAAAAAACAGGAGGAGAAAGGATAGGAAAAAATGTGTTTATGTCTATACCTGGGAAGAGATCGCAAGGGAGGGACAGAGAGAAGGAACACAAATCTATCAAAAAGTTAAAAGCTGATGATTCTATACTGTATGATTCCCTTTATGTGAAGTGTACAAAACAGCAAATCCACAGACAGAAGGCAGAGAGGGCTTCGTGGGGTGGGGGGGAGGGGGGGGTGCATGGTTGGGGGTGATGGCTAAGCGGTTGCAGGGTTTCGTTGGGGGATGATGAAAATGTTCTACAACCAATGTGGTCATAAATGCCCGACCCCGTGAATAGACTAAAAAGCACTGAAGTGTGCACTTTGGGTGAATTGTAGGGTAGGTGAATTACATCTCAAAAAGCTGTCTAAAAAACAAAAACAAAAAAGAAAAAGCACTGGCGAATCTTAGTGAAAGTCATATGGGTAGTCACATGCTATTGCTTCAACTTTTCTGTAAATCTGAAGCTTTCCCAAAATAAAAAGTTGGAGGAGGAAGGAGACAGAATCCAGGTCCAGGGCTGATTTGACCCACTCCCCATTTCAACCAAAGAGGGGCTCCCGAACCTCAGATCTCCGCCGTCACGTGTCCCACTAGCTAGTCCTCCCGCATGGCTCTCGTGGACCCCTGAACCCACGCGGAATCCTATCCTTTCAGCCTGGCCAGCGGCCCCGTCAGGACAGCCGCGTCAGAAGTCTCGGAGGCTGCCGGTATCTCATTTCCTCGTCAGTCTCCCTTTCCTTCCACACGGTCCCCTGGAGTCTGCCGGGAACCATGCTCACACCCTTCCACTCCAACCCAGCCAGACCCTGACAACCACCCCATGAAGCGGCACCAGTGGTCCTGTTTTAGGAAATCAGGGAAGCAAGCTTCAGGGACGTGCCTGGAGTCACCAGTCACAGGCAGAGCTGGGAGGCAAGCCCAGGACTTTAGAAGACATGCTGGGGACCCAGGGATCCTGTGTGGCCATCACACACCTGCTAGAAGCAACACCCCTTCCCTAGAAAAATGAACCTGGCCAGACACAGTTTCAGGGGCTCCTGGACCCCATATGAAGGCTCCTGGGGTACGATGAGTCTCAGAGGACAGGGAGACCAGTCCCTGGCAACCCCTGCATGCCCCTACTCCCCCCCAAGTAAACGCATCCCCTCCCAGAAAGACCTGCGGCAGGGTTCCAGCAATCCTACCTAACGCACTCCTGGGTGAGTCCCTCCACCCACCCACCCCGCCCCGGCATTCCAATCCCCTCAGTTACTCAGGGGGATTGACAGTCCCAGTTGGTAGGGGTTTGAGTTCTCATCCTGTGCGTGTGCTGGGCTCCAAGCAATCCTGGAGGCAGGCCCCTACACCCCCATTTCACAGGTGAGGAAACTGAGGCACAAAGAAAGACAATCCTAGGAAGCAGGGTCAGCCTCGGTGCCCAGGCCGCCTCTAAAGCTCTCAGCCTGGAGACCACGGGTGAGGAGGTGTCCCCCACCCCACACACAGCACACCAGAGCCCACCTCGGCGGGCGATCTCCGCCTTCAGCAGCCCCTCCATGGCGTCCGACTCGGCCAGGTCCAGGGGCAGGTCCCCGTCACTGTTGACGGCGGCGATGTTGGCCCCGTGGCTCAGGAGGTACCTGGGGGTGGGGGCTGGTCAGGGCTGAGGGTCCAGGCCCCCACCCCGACCAGGTCCTGCCCGGCCCTCCCTTGCCTCACCTGGCGATATCTAGGTAGCCACAGGAGGCGGCCACGTGCAGTGGCGTCCAGCCCTCGTTGTCTGCCTGGTTCACAGTGGCGCCCTGCTCCACCAAGAAGCGCACCACCTCCAGGTTCTCATCAATGCAGGCCTGGGGGTGGGAAACAGCCGTCAGCCGCACCTACCCCAGCCACGGTGTCCCAGCAAGTCGGGACTCCAGAGGGAGCCACGAAAACAGATCCAGGGACACGGTGCTAGGACAGTGGGGAAAATGACCCAACAGCCTCTGGCCACTGGCTGTTTAAGATACGCCTGGTTGCCCAGTGGTCAGGCCGGCCAGGCCTTCAGTGCTCAGTGGAAACCACGAAAGGACTCCTGGCTATCTGCAAACAGGAAGTGAACGGGGAAGGGAGGGGGCTTCTCATCTGGGTGCGGGAACCCCACATGGTACCTGTTAGACACGGCAAAACCCCCGTCACCACCCACAGGTGGCGCTTCCAGTGCTCAGACTAGGGAAGAGGTTCCAGCCCCTCCTCCTTCAGAGCCAGGAGTCCTGGCCCCCAGCCCCTCCTGCCTTAAACCCAGCCAGGTCCTTCCAAGGGTCAAGCTCGGAAACCACCCCAGCAGATACTCTGCAGGAACGAAGCCGTGGGCCCAGGGCTATGCAGGGTGGAGGAAGGCCACCCTGTGCTGGGACAGACTCAGGGGCCTGGGCGGGACTCCCAGAGGGGTGAGACAGCTGCACACCTGTGTGCCTGGGCCCCAGGCTGTCACACTCCAGTTCACTGAGGCCCCCTCTGCACGGGGCCCTGCAGCCAGGGGCTGACACGGGCCACCGTTTCTCATTCTTCCCTTAGGGGTCCAAAACTTGGGGGGACAAAAGCCGAAGTCCAGGGGGTCGGAGGAGGGACTTGCCCCAGGCCTTGTGGACACTGGGTGGGCTCCGGGACCTGAACTGGAGCTGAGGAAGGAGTGAAGCTAAACTCCTAGATCCACGGGATAAATTACCCCCCAAGTCCCTCACCTCTCCAAAGCTGCCCATCTGGAGGAGGCGGGAGGGAGCTACGAGGGCCAAGAGCATGAGGTCATGGAAACTCGGGCTGTGAAGGGGCCGCACGTGCCCTGGGAACGGGATGAACTCGGCTCGTTTATTTCCACCCAGTTGTCATGGCGATAGGGGAGGGGGGCAAGGAGAGCAATGGGCCTTTCCCTTTCAAGGACCTGCCCAGTACAGGCATCCCTGTGAAAGATGCCTGAGGCCTGGGCACCAGGGACTCCAGAGTCCAGGCCCAACCCCTCCCCATTCAACCCAGGAGGCCAGGCCCCAGCCCTTCCGCCCTCAGATGAAGGAGTCCAGGCCCCCAGCCTCTCCCCATTCAGACCCAGGGGTCCAGGCCCAGCCCCGCCTCCCTAAGACCCAGAAGTCCAGGCCCCCAGCCCCTCCTCCCTCAGACCCACGAGTCCAGGCCCCAGCCCCTCCTCCCTCGGACCCAGGAGTCCAGGCCCCCAGTCCCTCCACCCTCAGACCCAGGAGTCCAGGCCCCAGCCCCTCCTCCCTCGGACCCAGGAGTCCAGGCCCCAGCCCCTCCTCTCTCAAACCCAGGAGCCCAGGCCCCCAGCTCTTCTCTGTTCAGCCCTAAGAATCCTGGCTCCAGCCCCTCCTACTCTAGCCCCCAACCCCCTAGCCACTAAGGCAATTGGGGTGCAGGAATGGGGGCAGGGTACCAGCCTCACCAAGTGGTTGATAAACCCACGTGGGGTACCCTAAGAACTTGGGAACAGCCACAGCAGGGGGGCGATGCTTGGGGACCTGCCTGGAGAAGGATGCAGGACGAGAAACACAGCCCCAGGTGGAGAAACTGGCCGGGAATCAAGAGTCACCCAGAGACAGTGACCAACCATCCCTGTTTTCCTAGGACTGAGGGTTTCAGTGCTAAAACTAGGCTGTCCTGGGCAAACAGCATAAGCTGGTCACCCCACACCCAGACCTGACCCAAACCCAGCTCCCCTGCTTCTTGGCCACGTAACCTGAGAAGGGAATCCCTCCTCTCTGAACCCCAGCCCACCCCAATGCTCCAGGCCTCCTGGGATACCCCGAAGAGTGAGTTTGCCAAGCAGTCACCCCACAGTTGGAGGAGAATCCACCCAAAAGGCAGCCTGGTAGACAGGGCTGGGGTGGCCTCTCGTGGGGTCCAGGCCAAGTAGGTGGCCTGGGGCCTCTGGGGGATGCAGGGGAAGGGGGATGCAGGGGAACGGGGATGCAGGGGAACGGGGCTCAGTCTGAAGAGCAGAGCCAGGAACCCCTGTAGGGAAGGGGCAGGAGAGCCAGGGGCATGAGATGGTGGACGAGGAAGGGGGACAGGGAAGCCTGAGCGCCTCTCCTGGGCTTGCCAAGGACTCAAACCCAGAAGCCCAGAGCAGGGCCTTAGGGAAGCGGGACCCTGCTCTGGGCGGAGGAATATGTCCCAGATAGCACTGGGGACTCTTTAAGGAAAGAAGGATGGAGAAAGAGAAAGGGAGTAGAGGCGGCCACGACCTGGTGAACACCTAGGACGCACCATTCTCACAAAGGGAGTTTTCCACACGGACACCCCCCTCCTCACCACAGCCCTGCCAGGACGGGGCTGGCTACTGGCCTTATCTCACAGGTAAAACTGACGCACGGAGGAACAATATAAATTGGGGACTAGAAAGGTGAAGAGCCAAAGTTAGAACTCAGGACCAACTTATTCTGATTTTGTTTTTCCAAACTGCTTCTCCTCTTGGGAAGTGTAAGGAAGCTGCAGCACCAGGATCAGTGAAACGCACCAGACGGCCGCGTCAGAGCAGCTCAGGTTCTGGGAGAGGGTAGCGCAGGGTGGCCACTGAGAACCGGGCAGGTCACGCATCCCCCCCTTCCCTCCCACCCCCTGCCAAGCTCTCCCTCCCAGGATCCTCTCTGGCTCCATCGTAAGCAAACCTTAGAGGTTCTGGCAAGGAGAGAGATGGCTCCAGGAAATGGGGGTGTGTCACCAGATAAGGAATCTGCCTAACAGGAGGTGGGGGTTAGACCCAATATCAGGAGACTAGGAAGGAGGAGGCCTAAGGATGGGGCTTTTCTGTCACCAATCCTGTCCCTAGTGGCCCCACTGTGGGGTGGAGGGGACAGATAAAAGTACCCAGAACCAGAGCCACATTAACCGGCCCTGGGAATATAAGGTGGTCCCAGCTCGGGGACACAGGATCCCTGGAGGCAGCAAACATGCTGTCCTGAAGTGGACATAGGGGCCCGGGTTGGAGGAAGAAGACTAGCTGAGCTCTCGGACCCCTGGAAGATGCCATGACAGGGGGCTGGAAGAGCTAGCACAGACTAGAGAGGTAAGGGGGGTAGGGGAGCTGCCCAAATGAAAGGAGTGAGAGGTGACCCGAATCCACAGGAGAACGGGGTGTCCAGGCAAAGAAAGCAAGAGGATGGAGAGGTGGCTAAAGCCAGGGAGACGGGGTACTTTGGGGTTGTCCAGAAAAACGGTGATGATGCAGGCCTACAAGAAGGGGAGGCGGGACGCAAGGGAGACATCCGTCGGAGAAGGCCATCCTAAGAAACGAGAGATGGCACAGGCCCCAGAAGGAGAAGGAAAAGGGAACCCAGCGAGTGAAGACGGCATGGGGTTGGGTGAGGGAGGAGAGATGCCCGGAGAGGACCCAGACACGGGGAGGATCCGCTCAGAGGACATCACGTGGTGCAGCGCCGAGAAGGAAGTGCTCCGGAAAGAGCATCCTTGGGCAGCAACACAGCAGAGAGCAAGGGGAAGAGGGAGTGGAGGAAGACGGAACCTGAAGGAGGCGGCAGGGAAGGATCTGGGCCAGCCGTAGAGGTGACCCAGGCCACAAGCTGCAGACAGAAAGCGGCACAGGCCCAGGGGAGAGAATGCAGGTCAGAGAAAGCAGGACCTGCCTGGGAAGGGGAAACAGTGGGCCAGAGGCGGCGCAGAAGCCAGTAGAGCTCAAAGTGGTCCGGACTCAGGAGAGAGACGGCAGCGTTAGAGGGCAGAGTTCCGGCGGCACAGCAAGGGCACTCGGGGGCGAGAGGAGGGCAGCGCAAAGTGACAATGGCCAGGGCCAGGCAGATAGACCAGACTGAGCTATGGGAGCTGGCTCAGGTTCAGGAGAGGGCAGGGCAGGGAAGGAGACAAAGTCCAGGACCGGCTGGAGGGGCTCAACATCGGAAGAGGGGAAGTCGAGGGAGGGATGGTAAGGAGGACTGCATGGGTCAGCACAGGCTGCCAAAGCCAGGGCCAGTTAAAGCGACTCCAATGCGGAAGAGAGTAGGTCGAAGGGGAATGGTAAGGAGGCCTGGGGCAGAGTGGTCAGCACAGAGTGGCTAAGCCCAGGGCCAGTTGAAGCGGCTCCAATTCGGAAGTGGGGTGGTCGAAGGGGAATGGTAAGGGGGACTGGGACGGGGTGTCAGCATAGGGTGGCAAAGCCCAGGGCCAGGAACGACGGGGCGGATCGAGACTGGCAACGGGGAAGGAGGATGCCCCAGGTGGCGCAGCAGAGGGTGGACCTGGCCCCGGGAGACGCCGGGCGGGGGGCGCTGACCTGGTGCAGGGCGCTGATACCGTCGGCGTTGGTGGAGTCCAGCACGGCGCGGGCGGGCGGCGGCGCGGCGGGGTCGAGCTCGGCGCCGGGGCCAGGGTCGGCGGCGCGCAGCATCAGACGCGCCTCGTCCAGGTCGCCGCCCGCACAGGCCGCCAGGAACTCGGCGGCGCGCTCGAAGCGGACGGTGCGGGCGCGGCGCTCTCCGGGGCCAGGCTCGGCGCCCGCCCGCGCCCCCCACTGCCGCAGCTGCTCCCGTCGCCGCTCCCGGGCAGCCGCCGCCGCCGCCCCCGGGCCAGCCGCCGGGCCATCCTCTCCGGACATCGCACCGCCCGCCCGCCCAGCGAGCGAGCGAGCGCCGAGCCCCAACCGCCGCCACCACCCGCCCGCCCGCCCGCCCCGGGGGCCGCCGGGAACTGCCGCTGGCCCCCCACCGCCCCAAGGATCTCCCGGTCCCCGCCCGGCGTGCTGACGTCACGGCGCTGCCCCAGGGTGTGCTGGGCAGGTCGCGGGGAGCGCTGGGAAATGGAGTCCATTAGCAGAAGTGGCCCTTGGCCACTTCCAGGAGTCGCTGTGCCCCGATGCACACTGGGAAGTCCGCAGCTCCGAGGCGCCCAGTGGAAATCGCCAGATGAGGGCCTCCTCCGGGGAATGCTGGGAAATGGAGTCTACAGGCCGGAGGGGTGCCCCACGGCATACTAGGAAGTGTGTAGCACCGGGTAAAGGGGATGAATAGCAGACTGCCCCGGGGCAGTTAGGAATTCGACTGGACAGCCGCGTGGGAGGGAGTGCGGGGAGAGGCAGAGTTGTTTTGTTATTGTTGTTTTATTTTGTTTTCTTTGTTTTGAGACGGAGTCTCGCTCTGTCGCCACGCTGGAGTTCAGTGGCGCGATATCGGCTCGCTGCAACCTCCGCTTCCCAGGTTCAAGCAATTCTGGCTCAGTCCCCAGAGTAGCTGGGATAACAGGCGCGCGCCACCCCGCCCTGCTAATTTTTATATTTTTAGTAGAGACGGGATTTCACCATGTTGGCCATGATGGTCTTGATCTCTTGACCTCATGATCCGCCCGCCTCGGCCTGTAATCCTGCTGGGATGACGAGCGTAAGCCACCATGCCCAGCTGGGTTTTATTTATTTTGGTTTTTTTCCTGACCCCTTAACTAGAAATAAGCTCCACGAGAGCGGGATCTTTTGTCTTCTGTGCACTACTTGTCCTCGGTTCTTAGAACAGAACCTGAGAGAACCTGATCGCAAATATTTTTGGAATGAATGAATGAATGGGTTCACCAGGGCACCATGGGAAACTGAGTCCGCAACCTAGAAGCCATGAAAGACAGTCCACTTCCAAGCTTCCCTGGGTGACCTCGCAGGGCATGCTGGGAAATGAAATTTGCGGTGAAAAGGTCAGGACCACGATCCTAGGGCACGCTGGGAAATGTAGCCCACAGGGCCACACCCCTAAAAGCACAGTGGGGTGCAAGGCAGGGCCCCAAGGCATTTAGGGCTCGGGGCAAGAGAAATCCACACTCCACTCCCTAATGGTAATCCCTGAGCCACACCGAGTAAAGGAACCCAAGACACAGTGTCCACAGGGACAGGGCTCTCAGAGCTTTCACTGGCCCGCGCTTCTCCTGCGCCCACCCGGACCTCCTGGGAACCGCCCAGGCCCTCGCGCGCTCTCAAGGCATGCTGGGATTGGTGGTCCCGGGCAAGGAGTTCCAGCAGGTGGGGGGCGAATCACCTTTCAGCGGGCCCAAGCGATGAGCACACCTTGATCTTCACCTTACGGATCCCGCGCCCAACTCAAGATTGGGAAGGTGGCTGGCACTTTGTGACAGGAAGAGTCCCATAAAAATCATACAGAAAAGGGCCAAAATCGGGACAGAGACTACAGACTGTTTCCCAAGCGCTGTGGGAGTTTCCCACCCACTCTGAAGTCCTTGGGTTTGCGCGGAGACGTAAACTGCGCATCCCACGAGGCCTGTTTCTTTCCCTCTCTCTTTCTCTTTTGTTGTTGTTGTTGCTGCTGCTGTTACGAAAATTTTTGTGGTTTTATTGTATCATGAGGCATTGAAACATCCGGCGACTCAATGTCTAGGCGGTGAGGCAGCCGCTTTCTCCTTCACTTTCTTTGGGTTAAGTAGAGCAACTTGTCAGTAGTTTTGTTTTTTTTTGTTGTTGTTGTTGTTTTTGAGACGGAGGCTTGCTCTGTCGCCCAGGCTGGAGTGCAGTGGCGCGATGTCGGCTCACTGCAAGCTCTGCCTCCCGGGTTCAAGCGATTCTCCTGCCTCAGCCTCCTGAGTAGCTGGGACTACAGGCGTGCTCCACCACGCCCGGCTAATTTTTGTTTTTTAGTAGAGACGGGGTTTCACCATGTTGGCCAGGCTGGTCTCGAATTCCTGACCTCGTGATCCGACTGCCTCGGCCTCCCAAAATGCTGGGATTACAGGCGTGAGCCGCCGCGACCGGCCAGATTTTTTTTTTTTTTAAAGGACAACCTTTTGCATTACTTAAGTCTTTCCAAGGCATGCGCTGGTACAACACAAACTTTTCCCATTACATGCAGCTAGTCTAGTGTCCAGACGTCATGCACAACACCTCCGTGGCATCAGCGCACTGCGCCCACTCCCACTGCGACCCTGCTCATTTGTGCATCATATCTGGAGGAGTGGCAATAGTTCTGGAAAGAGGAGGGAAGAGGAGGCAGCGTGAGGGCCCGGTGGAGAGGAGGTCAGCTGAAGTTGTGCAGAGCAAGCCTGCATATCATTGGTGCAAACCCAAGCATCATTGCATCGCTGATGTTTTGTTTTGTTTGGTTTTGTTTTGTTTTTGAGACGGAGTCTCACTGTGTCGCCCAGGCTGGAGTGCAGTGATGTGATCTCGGCTCACTGCAACCTCCGCCTCCCAGGTTCAAGTGATTCTCCTACCTCAGCCTCCCAAGTAGCTGGGATTACAGGCGTGCTCCACGCCTGGCTAATTTTTGTATTTTTAGTAGAGACAAGGTTTCACCATGTTGGCCAGGCTGGTCTCGATCTCCTGACCTCAAGTGATCCACCCGCCTCAGCTTCCCAAAGTGCTGGGATTACAGGCATGAGCCACCACACCCAGCTGATGTTCTTTAGTAGGAATATCTGGTGGAACCCCAAGATGGGGTCTTCATCCGCCACGAAGCCTGTTTCTATAGAAAGGGATAGTTCTGGTGGCTCTTAGGTGTGGTCCCTGAACCCCACACTTTCCACATACTTACACACCAACCTCCTTCCCCCAGGAAAACAAGAAGTCGGTCTTCAGGGTGTTACCGTGTAGCTCTGGTTCTGTATGTATTCTGTGCCTTTATGTATAATTGTGTGTATTTGCAATCATGTCTGTGGCTGGATGTATGTTGTTTATGAGTTTGTGTTTATGGTTTGTTTTTGTTTGTTTGTTTGTTTGTTTTGAGATGGAGTTTCACTCTTGTCATCGCCCAGGCTGGATTGCACTGGCGCAATCAAAAAAGAGTAAAATAACAGAAATCAGAATGGGCTTATAATACTCTTACCCCTCTCCACACAGGACAGAAGAGTCAATTTTATACTTTTGTGGATGTTCTAACTTCACCTGCTTATCTGAACCATCTTTATGGTGCAGACTAATATCTATTTTTCTGCTGTTACAGAAGAAGTGGGAACATTTTCTTCTTATCTTTCTGAGGTTATTTACACCAGTGAGGAGGGCCTGCAGTTCCAAGGTTAAGCACCAACATTCCACTGTTACCATTGAGAGCAAAGAGCAGACCCTAGAAGTGAAAACAAAACCTTTACCACAGGAAGACAAGAGCAAAAGATGATGTTCTTGAGTGGCATATGAAGATGCTCACAGCCAACATCACATGCCTATCAGATATTTTATGTACATCATCTCATCAACTCCAGGAGGCAGAGACTAAGAGACTAGCCCCAGTCACAGAGCTAGAAATTGGCCAAGACAAGGTTCAATCTGAGGACTGTCAAATCCAGAACTGGAATTTCTTTTTTTTTTTTTTTTTTTTGAGATGGAGTCTCGCTCTGTCACCCAGGCTGGAGTGCAGCGGCATGATCTCAGCTCACTGCAACCTCCACCTCTTGGGTTCAAGCGATTCTCTTGGGACTACAGGTGCACGCCACCACGCCTGGCTAATTCTTGTATTTTTAGTAGAGACGGGGTTTCACCATGTTGGCCAGGATAGTCTCAAACTCCTGACCTCATGATCTGCCCGCCTTGGCCTCCCAAAGTGCTGGGATTACAGGCATGAGCCACTGCACCTGGCCTTAGAAGCCTCAGTTCCTGATGGCAGTTGGGATCTGCCTTTCCTTCCCTGGACTGCCTACCTCTTGTCTTTTAGGTTACATATGAGAAAACAAACCTCCAATTCACCAAAACTATTGTTATTTGGGGAGCTGTCTCTTACTATCAGCCAAACATAACTCCTCAATGACACTGTTAGTTTAGCACTGCCATTATAATCAGGAGGGATCTGGGTCCAGCTGCGGGAACATGAAGAGGCACTAGTGGGATGACCACAGCCAGCCCCTGTTGATTCACCAGGAGACTGCAGATGCATGAGCAAGTCCAGCCAAGATCAGCCAGACAAGAACTCCCAGCGGAGCCCAGCCCAATTTGCCAACTCTCAAACTATAATTTTTTTTTTTTTTTTTGAGACGGAGTCTCGCTCTGTCTCCCAGGCTGGAGTGCAGTGGCGCGATCTCCCCTCACTGCAAGTTCCACCTCCTGGGTTCACGCCATTCTCCTGCCTCAGCCTCCCGAGTAGCTGGGACTACAGACGCCTGCCACCACACCTGGCTAATTTTTTTGTATTTTTAGTAGAGATGGGGTTTCACTGTGTTAGCCAGGATGGTCTCAATCTCCTGACCTCATGATCCGCCCGCCTTGGCCTCCCAAAGTGCTGGGATTACAGGCATGAGCCACCGCGCCCAGCCCTCAAACCATAAGTTAAATAGATGACTGTTGACTCAAGCCACTAATATTTGGGGTAACTTTTTTCTTTTTTCTTTGCTTTTTTTTTTTGAGACCAAGTCCCACTCTGTCATCCAGGCTGGAATGCAGTGGCATGACCTCGGCTCACTGCAACCTCCACCTCTGAGGGTCAAGTGATTCTCCTGCCTCAGCCTCCTAAGTAACTGGAATTACAGGCACCAGCCACCATGCCTGGCTACTTTTTGTGTGTTTTCAGTAGAGATGGGGTTTCACTATGCTGACCAGGCTGGTCTTGAACTCCTGGCCTCAAGTGATCCACCCGCCTCAGCCTCCCAAAGTGCTGGGATTACAGGCAGGGGTGAGCCACTGCGCCCACCTGGGGTAACTTTTTATGCCACAAAAGCAAACTGATGCAAGGCATTCCAAGAGGCCTTTGAGCCTCTTGCAAGTCAAGCTGATTGCAAGACACTCTGCCTTTGATAAAATGTAGTGGACAGAGAAGCAGTGGTTTCAGTGGCAGAGATGACAAATTGTTGCCCAATATTCGTTGTCCCCTTCTTTCTCAACAAAATGGAACCTCTGATTATGCTGGGTTTAGCATAGCCATCTAGAATAATGGTTACATATCCCAGTGTCGGGCCTCCGAGCCCAAGCTAAGCCATCATATCCCCTGTGGGCCTGCACATATACATGAAGATGGCCTGAAGCAACTGAAGATCCAAAAAAGAAGCGAAAATAGTCTTACCTGATGACATTCTACCATTGTGATTTGTTCCCGCCCCACCCTAACTGATACGATATATTCTGCCTGGTCCTTAAGAAGGTACTTTGTAATATTCTCCCCCGCCTTTAAGAAGGTACTTTGTAATATTCTCCCTGCCCTTGAGAATGTACTTTGTACGCCCATCCCAAACCTATAAGAACTAATGATAATCCCACCTTTGCTGACTCTGTTTTCGGACTCAGCCCACCTGCACCCAGGTGAAATAAATAGCCTTTTTGCTCACACAAAGCCTGTTTGGTGGTCTCTTCACACGGACGTGCGTGACATTTGGTGCCGTGACTAGGATCAGGGGACCTCCCTTGGGAGATAAATCCCCTGTCCTCCTGCTCTTTGCACCGTGAGAAGGATCCACCTATGACCTCGGGTCCTCAGACCAACCAGTCCAAGGAATATTTCACCAATTTTAAATTGGGTAAGCAGTCTCTTTTTACTCTCTTCTACAACCTCTCTCACTATCCCTCAACCTCTTTCTCCTTTGAATCTTGGCGCCACCCTTCAGTCTCTCCCTTCTCTTAATTTCAGTTCCTTTCCTTTTCTGGTAGAGACAGAGGAGACGTGTTTTATACGTGAACCCAAAACCCCAGCGCTGGTCACGGACTCGGGAAGACAGTCTTCCCTTGGTGTTTAATCACTGCGGGGACGCCTGCTTGATTATTCACCCACGTTTCAGAGGTGTCTGATCACCACGGGGACGCTTGCCTTGATCCTTCACCCTTAGTGGCAAGCACCACTTTCCTGGGGGGCAAGCACCCCCCACCCCTTCTCTCCATGTCTCTACTCTCTCTTTTCTCTGGGCTTGCCTCCTTCACTATAGGCAACCTTCCACCGTCCGACCCTCCTTCTCCCTTAGCCTGTGTTCTCAAGAACTTAAAACCTCTTCAACTCACACCTGACCTAAAACCTAAACACCTTATTTTCTTCTGCAATGCTGCTTAACCCCAATACAAACTCGACAATGGTTCTAAATAGCCAGAAAACGGCAATTTTGATTTTTCCATCCTACAAGATCTAGATAATTCTTGTCGTAAAATGGGCCAAAGGTCTGAGGTACCTGATATCCAGGCATTCTTTTACACATTGGTCCCTCCCTAGTCTCTGTTCCTAATGCGACTTGTCCCAAATCCTCCTTCTTTCCCTCCTGCCTGTCCCCTCAGTCTCAACCCCAAGCGTCACTGAGTCTTTTCAATCTTCCTTTTCTACCGACCCATCTGACCTCTCCCCTCTTCCCCAGGCTGCTCCTCCTCAGGTCGCTCCCCACCAGGCTGAATCAGGCTCCAATTCTTCCTCAGCCTCCTCTCCCCCGCCCTATAATCCTTCCATCACCTCCTCTCCCCACACCCGATCCAGCTTACAGTTTTCTTCTGCAGCTAGCCCTCCCCCACCTGCCCAGCAATTTCCTCTGAAAGAGGTGGCTGGAGCCAAAGGCATAGTCAAGGTTAATGCTCCTTTTCCTTTATCCGACCTCTCCCAGATCAGTTAGTGTTTAGGCTCTTTTTCATCAAATATAAAAACCCCGCCCAGTTCATGGCTCGTTTGGCAGCACCCCTGAGGCCCTTTACAGCCCTAGACCCTGAAGGGTCAGAAGGCCTCTTATTCTCAATATGCATTTTATTACCCAATCTGCTCCTGACATTAAATAAAGCTCCAAAACCCCCACAACAGGACTTAATTAACCTCGCCTTCAAGGTGTACATTAATAGAGTAGAGGCAGCTGCATAGCAACATATTTCTGAGTTGCAATTCCTTGCCTCCATTGTGAGAGAAACCCCAGCCACATCTCCAGCACACAAGAACTTCAAAATGCCTACGCCGCAGTGGTCTAGCATTCCTACAGGACCTCCTCCATCAGGATCTTGCTTCAAGTGCCAGAAATCTGGCCACTGGGCCAAGGAATGCCTGCAGCCCGGGATTCCTCCTAAGCTGTGTCCCATCTGTGCAGGACCCCACTGGAAATTGGACTGTCCAACTTGTCCGGCAGCCACTCCCAAAGCCCCTGGAACTCCGGCCCAAGGCCCTCTGACTGACTCCTTCCCAGATCTTCTTGGCTTAGCGGCTGAAGACTGACACTGCCCCATCACCTCGGAAGCCTCCTGGACCATCACAGATGCTCTGGGCAACTCTTACAGTGGAGGGCAAGTCTGTCCCCTTCTTAATCAATACGGAGGCTACCCACTCCACATTACCTTCTTTTCAAGGGCCTGTTTCCCTTGCCTCCATAACTGTTGTGGGTATTGACGGCCAGGCTTCTAAACCTCTTAAAACCCCCCAACTCTGGTGCCAACTTGGACAACACTCTTTTATGCACTTCTTTTTAGTTATCCCCACCTGCCCAGTTCCCTTATTAGGTCAAGACATTATAACCAAATTATCTGCTTCCCTGATCATTCCTGGGCTACAGCCACACCTCATTGCCACCCTTTTCCCCAGTTCAAAGCCTCCTTCACATCCTCCCCTTGTATCTCCCCACCTTAATCCGCAAGTATGGGATACCTCTACTCCCTCCTTGGTGACCGATCATGCACCCCTTACCATCCCATTAAAACCTAATCACCCTTACCCCACTCAACACCAATATCCCATCCCACAGCACGCTTTAAAAAGGTTAGGCCGGGCGAGGTGGCTCACGCCTGTAATCCCAGCACTTTGGGAGGCCGAGGCGGGCAGATCACGAGGTCAGGAGATCGAGACCATCCTGGCTAACATGGTGAAACCCCGTCTCTACTGAAAATACAAAAAATCAACCGGGTTTGGTGGCGGGCGCCTGTAGCCCCAGCTACTCGGGAGGCTGAGGCAGGAGAATGGCGTGAACCTGGGAGGCAGAGCTTGCAGTGAGCCAAGATCGTGCCACTGCACTCCAGCCTGGGCGACAGAGCAAGACTCCATCTCAAAAAAAAAAAAAAAAAAAAAAGGTTAAAGCCTGTTATCACCCACCTGTTACAACATGGTCTCTTGAAGCCTACAAATTCTCCTTACAACTCCCCTATCCTACCCATCCAAAACCAGACAAGTCTTACAGGTTAGTTCAGGATCTGTGCCTTATCAACCACATTGTCTTGCCTATCCACCCCATGGTGCCAAACCCGTATACTCTCCTATCCTCAATACCTCCCTCCACAACCCATTATTCTGTTCTAGATAAACCTAGCTGACCCCATAAATCCTAAATCCTTTCCCCACTCCCCTTTCCATTCCTTAAAAAACAGCCCTGGCCGGGCACAGTGGTTCACACCTGTAATCCCAGCACTTTGGGAGGCCGAGGCAGGTGGATCACAAGGTCAGGAGATCGAGACCATCCTGGCTAACATGGTGAAACCCCATCTCTACTAAAAATACAAAAAATTAGCCGGGGGTGGTGGCGGGTGCCTGTAGTCCCAGCTACTCAGGAGGCTAAGGCAGGAGAATGACATGAACCTGGGAAGCGGAGCTTGCAGTGAGCCGAGATCGCGCCACTGCACTCCAGCCTGGGCAACAGAGTGAGAGACTCTGTCTCAAAAAAAAACAAAACGAAACAAAAAAACAAAAAAAAACAGCCCTAAAAGCTGCTCCCACACTAGCTGTCCCTAACTCATCCCAACCCTTTTCATCACACGCAGCTGAAGTACAGGGCTGTGCTCTCAGAATTCTTACACAAGAGCCAGGACCGCGCCCTATAGCCTTTCTGTCCAAACAACTTGACCTTACTGTT
Source organism: Homo sapiens (assembly GCF_000001405.40). Classification (NCBI taxonomy): domain Eukaryota; kingdom Metazoa; phylum Chordata; class Mammalia; order Primates; family Hominidae; genus Homo; species Homo sapiens. Next base: position 55,126,642 of record NC_000019.10, read on the forward strand.
TTAGCCTAGCCCTCATGCCTGTGTGTGGTGGCTGCCGCTGCTTTAATACTTTTAGAGGCCCTCAAAATCACAAACTATGCTCAACTCACTCTCTACAGTTCTCATAACTTTCAAAATCTATTTTCTTCCTCATACCTGATGCATATACTTTCTGCTCCCCGGCTCCTTCAGCTGTACTCACTCTTTGTTGAGTCTCCCACAATCACCATTGTTCCTGGCCCGGACTTCAATCCGGCCTCCCACATTATTCTGGATACCACACCTGACCCTCATGACTATCTCTCTGATCCACCTGACATTCACCCCATTTCCCCATATTTCCTTCTTTCCTGTTCCTCAGCCTGATCACACTTGGTTTATTGATGGCAGTTCCACCAGGCCTAATCGCCACACACCAGCAAAGGCAGGCTATGCTATAGTATCTTCCACATCTATCATTGAGGATACTGCTTTGCCTCCCTCCACTACCTCTCAGCAAGCTGAACTCATTGCCTTAACTCAGGCCCTCACTCTTGCAAAAGGACTACGCGTCAATATTTATACTGACTCTAAATATGCCTTTCATATTCTGCCCCACCATGCAGTTATATAGGCTGAAGGAGGTTTCCTCACTACGCAGGTGTCCTCCATCTTTAATGCCTCCTTAATAAAAACTCTTCTCAAGGCCACTTCTCTTCCAAAGGAAGCTGGAGTCATTCACTGCAAGGGCCATCAAAAGGCATCAGATCCCATTGCTCAGGACAACGCTTATGCTGATAAGGTAGCTAAAGAAGCAGCTAGCTTTCCAACTTCTGCCCCTCACGGCCAGTTTTTCTCCTTCACATCGGTCACTCCCACCTACTCCCCCACTGAAACTGCCACCTATCAATCTCTTCCCACACAAGGCAAATAGTTTTTAGACCAAGGAAAATATCTCCTTCCAGCCTCACAGGCCCATTCTATTCTGTCGTCACTTCATAGCCTCTTCCATGTAGGTTACAAGCCGCTAGCCCATCTCTTAGAACCTCTCATTTCCTTTCCTTCGTGGACATCTATCCTCAAGGAAACCACTTCTCAGTGTTCCATCTGCTATTCTACTACCCCTCAGGGATTGCTCAGGTCCCCTCCCTTCCCTACACATCAGGCTCGGGGATTTGCCCCCGCCCAGGACTGGCAAATTGACTTCACTCACATGCCCTGAGTCAGGAAACTAAAATACCTCTTGGTCTGGGTAGACACTTTCACTGGATGGGTAGAGGCCTTTCCCACAGGGTCTGAGAAGGTCACCACAGTCATTTCTTCCCTTCTGTCAGACATAATTCCACGGTTTGGCCTTCCCACCTCTATACAGTCTGATAACGGACCAGCCTTTATTAGTCAAATCACCCAAGCAGTCTCTCAGGCTCTCGGTATTTAGTGGCTCCTGGTTTTACCTCAAATCGCCTTAAGTCTCTCTTGAAGTGGATAGATCTTCAGTGGCAAGGTACCCTCCAATACTTTCACCCTGATGAAGTCCTATTCTTTACTTCTATGCTCACTGTTATTCTGGTTCCCATTCTTTTTTTTTTTTTGAGACAGAGTCTTGCTCTGTTGCCCAGGCTGGAGTGCAGTGGCGCGATCTCGGCTCACTGCAAGCTCCGACTCCTGGGTTCACACCATTCTCCTGCCTCAGCCTCCGGAGCAGCTGGGACCACAGGCGCCCGCCACCACACCCAGCTAATTTTTTGTATTTTTAGTAGAGATGGGGTTTCACTGTGTTAGCCAGGATGGTCTCAATCTCCTGACCTCGTGATCCGCCCGCCTCAGCCTCCCAAAGTGCTGGGATTACAGGGGTGAGCCACCACGCCCGGCCTTGGTTCCCATTCTTATGCCATCCTCTACCTCTCCCCAGCTATCTCCACCACACTATCAATCTCACTCTCTCCCAGCCATTTCTAATCCTCCTTTAACAAACAATTACTGGCTTTGCATTTCTCTTTCCTCCAAAATTGCCAAGGCCTCGACTTACTCACTGCTAAAAAAAAAAAGGACTCTGTATATTTTTAAATGAAGAGTGTTGTTTTTACCTAAATCAATCTGGCCTGGTATATGACAACACAAAAAAACTCAAAGATAGAGCCCCAAAACTCACCAGCCAAGCAAGTAATTATGCTGAACCCCCTTGGACACTCTCTAATTGGATGTCCTGGGTCCTCCGAATTCTTAGTCCTTTAATACCTGCTTTTCTCCTTCTCTTATTTGGACCTTGTGTCTTCTGTTTAGTTTCTCAATTTATACAAAACCGCATCCAGGCCATCACCAGTAATTCTAGAAGGACAAATGCTCCTTCTAACAACCCCCAGTATCACCCCTTACCCCAAAATCTTTCTTCAGTTTAATCTCTCCCACTCTAGGTTCCCACGCTGCCCCAATCCCACTCGAAGCAGCCCTGAGAAACATCGTCCGTTATCTCTCCATACCACCCCCAAAAATTTTCACCGCCCGAACACTTCACCACTATTTTGTTTTGTTTTTCTTATTAATATAAGACAGGAATATCAGGCCTCTGAGCCTAAGCTAAGCCATCATATCCCCTGTGACCTGCACGTACACATCCAGATGGCCTGAAGCAACCGAAGATCCACAAAAGAAGTGAAAATAGCCTTAACTGATGACATTCCACCACTGTGATTTGTTCCTGCCCCACTAACTGATACCATATATTCTGCCCCACCCTTAAGAAGGTACTTTGTAATATTCTCCCCGCCCTTGAATGTACTTTGTACGCCCATCTCAAACCTGTAAGAACTAATGATAATCCCACCATCCTTTGCTGACTCCCTTTTCAGACTCAGCCCACCTGCACCCAGGTGAAATAAACAGCCTTGTTGCTCACACAAAGCCTGTTTGGTGGTCTCTTCCCACAGACGCACGGGACACCAGCATCCCTACCAACTGGGTATGATAATGTAATTAACTTCTGTCAATGAGACTGAGTAGGAGTAAACATGTCTCCTTCCATTTTACCCCAGTCTGCGGTCTGAAACAGAGTGGGAACTATCTTACCCTATGGGCAAAGGCAACCCCCTGGGGAAAGGAGCTACACAGTAGGATGAGCTTGGACCCAGGCAATGTTACAAAACAGAGCCATCATCCCAACTCAGACTTTTACATGTGAAAGAAATCAACTATTGTCAGCCAGGCAAAGTGGCTCACACCTGCAATCCCAGCATTTTGAAAGGCTGAAGCGGGAAGACTGCTTGAGCCCAGGAGGTTGAGGCCGCAGTGAGCTGTGATTGCACCACTGCACTCTAGCCTGGGTGACAGAGGGAGACCCTGTCTCAAAAAAAGAAGAAGGCCGGGCACGGTGGCTCACGCCTGTAATCCCAGCACTTTGGGAGGATGAGGTGGGAGGATCACGATATCAGGAGATCAAGACCATCCTGGCCAACATGGTGAAACCCCGTCTCTACTAAAAATACAAAAAAAAAAAAAAATTAGCTGGGTGTGTTGGCACGGGCCTGTAATCCCAGGTACTTGGGAGGCTGAGGCAGGAGAATCGCTTGAACCAGGGAGTGGGAGCTTGCAGTGAGCTGAGATTGCGCCACTGCACTCCAACCTGGTGACAGAGCGAGACTCCATCTCAAAAAAAAAAAAAAAGAAAAAGAAAAAGAAATTAAAACAAAAAAAGAAAGAAAGAAAAAGAAAATCAACTGTTGTGTTGGTCCATTTGGGCTGCTGTAACAGAACACCGTAGACCTGGTCATTTACAAACAATACAAATGTATTGCTCACAGGTCTGTAGGCTGGAAAGACCAGGATCAGGGCGCCAGAAGACTCAGTGTGGAGGGAGGGCCTGCTCTCTGCTTCACAGATGGTGCCTTCTTGCTGTGTCCTCACACAGCCAAAGGGGCAAGGGGCTCTCCCTCAAGCCTCTTTTATAAGGACATTAACCCCATTTGTGAGGGCTCTGCCTTCATGACCTAGTCACCTCCTAAAGTCCCGTGGAATACTATTGCATTCATGATCAGGTTTCAACATGTAAATTTTGAGGGGATACATACATTCAAAGCATAGCAACTGTCTGGTTATTTGGGATTTAGGGCCCAGTGGCCAGACCCACATGGTCACTAATAAGACATCCCAAATGGAAAGTCGGAAAGGCAGAACAGCAAACAATACTTATTGTCACTGAACTGACTCTCCCATACGAAACTTTACGTGTCACTTTTTAAATTTACTTTTGCATTGTGTGTGTGTGTGCGTGTGTGTGTGTGCGTGTGTGTGTGTGTGTGTGTGTGTGTGTGATGGAGTCTCGCTCTGTCGCCCAGGCTGGAGTGCAGTGGTGTGATCTTGGCTCACTGCAACCTCCCCAGTTCAAGGCGATTCTCCTGCCTCAGCCTCCTGAGTAGCTGGGATTACAGCCACCACTATGCCCAGCTAATCTTTTTTTCTTTTTTTTTGTAATTTAGTAGAGATAGGGTTTCCTCGAGTTGGCCAGGCTGGTCACAAACTCCTGACCTCAAGAGATCCTCCTGCCTCCAGCTTGCAGTGAGCCGAGATCACGCCACTGCACTCCAGCCTGGGTGACAGAACGAAACTCTGTCTAAAAGAAAAAAAAAAGAGATCCTCCCGCCTCTGCCTCCCAAAGTTCTGGGATTACAAGCAGGAGTCACCTCGCTTGGCCTGCTTTTGAATTTCTTAATTTGGATATGCTTAACATATCATAAGATGTACCAACTAAAGTACAATTCAGAGTTTTTCAGTATATTCACGTTGTGCAACCATCACCACTATCTAATTCCAGAACATGTTCATCATCGAAAAAGAAACGCCATTCTCTTAGCCGTCATCTCTACCCACCGTCCCCTAGCCCCTCAAAAACACGAACCTCCTTCCTACTTCTGTGGATTTGCCTATTCTAGAAAATTCATATAAGTGGAATCATATGTGACCTTTGATGTCTGGTTCCTTTCGCTTAGTATGTTTTCAAGGTTCGTGCGTGTCACACCACATGTCAGCACTTCATTCCTTTCCGTGGCTAGACAACATTCCACTGTGTGGATGAACCAACGTATGTTTATCCGTTCATCAGTTAATGAGCATTTGAGTTGCTTCTGCCTTTTGGCTATTATGAAAAACTAGCGGTGGGCCAGGCGCGGTGGCTCACGGCTGTAATCCCAGCACTTTGGGAGGCTGAGGCAGGCGGATCACCTGAGGTCAGGAGTTCGAGACCAGCCTGGCCAACATGGTAAAATCCCGTCTCTACTAAAAACACGAAAATTAGCTGGCGTGGTGGCAGGCGCCTGTAGTCCCAGCTACTCGGGAGGCTGAGGCAGAATTGCTTGAACCCGGGAGGTGGAGGTTGCGGTGAGCCGAGATCTTGCCATTGCACTCCAGCCTGGGTGACAGAGTGAGACTCTGTCTCAAAAAAAAAAAAAAAAAAAAAAAAAAGCTGGGCATGGTGGCTCACACCTGTAATCCCACCACTTTGGGAGGCTGAGGCGGGAGGATCAGCTGAGGTCAGGAGTCTGAGACCAGCCTGACCAATATGGTGAAACCCTGTCTCTACTAAAAATACAAAAATTAGCCAGGCATGTTGGTGGGCACCTGTAGTCCCAGCTGCTTGGGAGGCTGAGACAGGAAAATTGCTTGAACCCGGGAGGTGGAGGTTGCGGTGAGCCGAGATCATGCCACTGCACTCCAGGCTGGGTGACAGAGCAAGACTCCATCTCAAAAAAAAAAAAAAAAAAAGATGCTGCGGCCGGTGCAGTGATTCACACCTAAAATCCCAACACTTTCAGAGGCTGTTGTGGGAGGATCACTTGAGCCCAGGAATTCAAGGCTGCAGTGAGCCGTGATCACGCCACTGCACTGCAGCCTGGGCGACAGAGCAAGACCCTGTCTCTAAAAATTAAAAATAAAAATGCTACTATGAACATTCATGTACAAGCTTTTGTGTGGACAAAGGTTCTTGGTTCTCTTGGATATACATCCAGGAGGGGAACTGCTGGGTCCTGCAGAAATGCTTTCACTTGTTGAGGAACCGCCAGGCTGCTTGCAAAGCTGTTGCATTTTCCATTCCCACCAGCAGTGTGTGAAGGTTCAGCCTGCCGTACTTTAATGATTATTGGTGACACTCTTTCAAGTAACTTGTTGGTAATAAGAAGTCAATTAACCAGGAGAGACCAGCTGCATCTCAACCATAATAACATCAGAGAACCCAGCGGGTGTCTGAGGGGAGCGTTTATTTCAAGCTACCGATGGGACAAACACTCCCAGGCTTCCCAGGTGCCACTGTCCGGGGCGGCATCCTCACTTCCAGCGGCCTCCAACGCGGCCCTTCCCTGCCCCCTTCCGGCTGTAGAAGAATGAGGTGGTATCAGGAAAAAGGGGCCCCTCCAGTCTCTGAAATGGGCCCCAGGCCCTCAATTCAGGAAGCCCATTCCCCAAAATATTAGCCCTCCCTGCCCAGAGGAAGCAGTGAGCAAAACAACTGTCACCTCTTTTGGGTTCTATGACTGGGGGGCAGCGGCTGGTGGTCAAAGCCTCGCTGACATGTGGGAGCTGATATTTGGGGGCGAGTGCAGGGTGTTCATGGGGGAGCTGATGAATGTTTATGAGTCAGGGGCCAGGGTGGGGGGAGGAAGGGTTGGATGATCTGGGCATGGGTGGGTAACACGCAGGAAGGGCTGGGGTGAAAGAGACAGGAAATGGGAGAAGAGGAGAAGGGAGAGGGAGAGGAGGGAGGAAGGAAGAGGGAGTGGAGAAACAGAGAGATTCAGGGAAGACCCTCTCGGCTGGGCGCGGTGGCTCACGCCTGTAATCCCAGCACTTTAGGAGGCCAAGGCGGGTGGATCACGAGGTCAGGAGTTCGAGACCAGCCTGACCAACATGGTGAAACCCCGTCTCTACTAAAAATACAAAAATTAGCCACGCTTGGTGGCGCGCACCTGTAATCCCAGCTACTCAGGGGGCTGAGGCAGGAGAATCGCTTGAACCCGGGAGATGGAAGTTGCAGTGAGCTGAGATCACTCCACTGCACTCCAGCCTGGGTGACAGAGCGAGACGCAGTCTCAATAAAAAAAAAAAAAAAGAAAGAAAAAGAAAAAGGAACTGAGACCCAGGATTCCGAGAGCAGAGAGAGGAGGACAGAGAAGGAAGGACAAAGAGAAAGGGGCAGAAACTCAGGCAGTGGGGGATGGAGCCCACAGAGGGAGGGAAAGAGGCCTGAGAGTCAGCGGGAGGGTAGGGACAAGAGCAAGGGCTTGAGACGGTCACACTCACAACTTCTGGGCGTGGCTGATGCGGTTGTACAGCACGTTGATCTGCGGAGGCAGAAGACAGATGCTGGGACAGCCGGTGGGGACGTGGGGACGGGCCACCCACCCCTGCCTGGAGTTTGCTGGTCCCTCCCAGCCCAGCCCTGCCCTCTCTCCCTCCCTCCCTGCGGAGCTGGGTCTCACCTCATATTTCTGCTGTTTCAGCTTCGCCATCAGGTCGAACTTCTCAGACTCCAGCTGGTGGATCCAGTCCGACAGCTCCTGGGCTTTCTCCCTGGCAGGGCAGGAGGGCTGTGATGGAGGCAGCCAGGCAGACCGGGCCCTAGGCCCAGGGACGGAGAGGAACTTGGGCCCAGAGAGGTTGTGGGAACCACCCAAAGCCACACAGCGAGACTGTGAGTTCAGCGTTGTCGGCACCATTTTGTTCATATTTGAGGCCGAGAGTTTTAAAATCTGTGCCCACTTTCTCCACATCCGAGCTGGAGCTCTCGCATTTCCCAAGGGGAGAGAAGGGTGTCATGATTAAGAGACCAGGCTCGGCACCTGTAATCCCAGCACTTTGGGAGGCAGAGGCCAGCAGAACACTTGAGCCCAGGAGTTCAAGACCAGCCTGGGCAACAAAGAGAGACCCCGTCTCTGCTAAAAATAATTAAAAAAATTAGCCAGGCAGGGTGTTTCCGGCTACTTGGGAGGCTGAGGCAGAAGGAACCTGGGAGGTCAAAGCTGCAGTGAGCTGTGATTGCACCACTGTATTCCTGCCTGGCAACAGAGCAAGACAAAAGAAAGGAAAGAAAAGGAGAAAGGAAAGTGGGGAGGGGAGGGGAGAGGAGAAGAGGGGAGGGGAGAGGAGAAGAGGGGAGGGGAGAGGAGAAGAGGGGAGGGGAGAGGAGGGAAGAAGAAGGGGAGGGAGGGAGGGGAGGGGAGACGAGGGGAGGGGAGGGGAGGGGAGACGAGGGGAAGGGAGGGGAGGGGAGAGGGGAAAGAAAAGGAAGAAAGAAAAGACCGAGCCCAGGCTCTGCAGTTAGAAGCCCCTGGTTCAATTCCCAGCCATGCCATTCTCTGGTTTATGAATATGTCACATGACTTCCTTTAGAATCCTGTTTCCTTCTCTAGAAAATATGGAAATAAAACTGTGGAAGAGATGGCTGCTTGCCTACCTGTTAGCCCTTCTCCCTTTCTTCTAGAAATAGCCTCTTGTGCATTAGGCTGAGTTGAAAAACTACTTTGCCCAATCTCCCTTGCAGGTAGGGGTGGCTACTCAGACGAAAGCAGGTCACTGGGTGCGGCTTCCAAAAGAGACTGTGTGGCTCTTCTCTTGCGTCTTCTTTCTGCTGCTTGGATCATCCATGTGAGGCTGGAGCTAGCAGCTATATTGGACTAAGTGATTTTGAGGATGGAAATATTGGGCTAAAAGTAGTGAGTGAAGCAGAAAACATAGGAGTCTGGTCTCTGATTTTGTAGAATTGCCATACCAGCCCTGGACTAAAACCTACCTTTCCTTCCTTCCTTCCTTCCTTCTTTTCTTTCTTTTCTTTTTTTTTTGATAGGGTCTCACTTTGTCACCCAGGCTGGAGTGCAGTGACACCATCACAGCTCACCGCAGTCTCAACCTCTCAGGCTCTAGTGATCCTCTCACCTCAGCCTTTTTTTTTTTTTTTTTTTAAGACAGAGTTTCGCTCATGTCGCCCAGGCTGGAGTGCAGTGGTGCCATCTCGGCTCACCGCAACCTCCGCCTCCTGGGTTCAGTGATTCTCCTGCCTCAGCCTCCAGAGTAGCTGGGATTACAGGCGCCTGCCACCACGCCCGGCTAATTTTTGTATTTTTAGTAGAGATGGGATTTCATCATATTGGTCAGGCTGGTCTCCTGACCTCAGGTGATCTGCCCGCCTCAGCCTCCCAAAGTGCTGGGATTACAGGTGTGAGCCGCCGCGCCCGCCCGGCCAACAATACTTTACATGAACCATGTGCACAGGAAGGAGGGCCCACAGCGCCCCCCAGAGGGCTTCCAGGAGCCTGCTGTGCACATCCTTTCCCGTCTCCACACTCAGTGTCCCCACACGGGTAGTTTGAAAGGAGCAAGGTGGAAGTATTTACGCCCTGGGAATGGGCATGTGCTAAATCTAGACATTTTGCCCCCTGGAGAGCAGCTGTTAAACATTTACCATGAAGCCACTTTACAGCACACTAGCAAAGAGTACGGACTATTGCACCAGACTGCCGGGTTCAAATCCCAGCTCTTCCACTTGCTAGCTGTGCAACCCTGGAAGGGTTACTTAACCTCTCTGTGCCTCAGGTTCCTCACTATTAACACAAGGATAATAATAGTATCTACCTCACAGGGTTGTAAACCCTCCACAGGAAGCTGCTGCTGTAATTATTATTTTTTTAAGGATGGGGTCTCACTACATTGCCCAGGCTGGTCTCCAACTCCTGGCCTCAAGCAATCCTCCCATCTTAGCCTCCCAAAGTGCTGGAATTACAGGCATGAGCCACCGGGCCCAGCCTGTAATTATTATTACTATCTCACTGCCCTTTCACAGCTCTGTGAGGTCAATTTTGTGATTATATCCTTGTTCTGCCAATGAGGAATGGGAGCCCCAGAGAAGTCAGATAACGTGCGCAAGATCACAAAGTAGCCGGCAAAGCTGGCACTGAGCCCTGGGCAGGGGCTTTCGGTGCAAGCGGCAAACCCGATCACGGCGCCACTCTGGGGTGGTTGAAGTTTCTGAGCCACAGCCCAGGCCAGAGAACATGGAGAAACAGGCGGGCTCCTGAAGGCAAGCCCCCACCAGCCTGCCGTCCTGTAGCTTATCATGAGAGGCAGGCTGTCTTGGCTATAGATGCGAGGGACTCAGCTGGAAAATTCTCACCCGCATTCCTGGCTTGAATTTAGGTAAAAGGCACAGCCCATCCTGAGCTCCAAGGCACATCACGGAGTTAACAAAATCTCCTAAACTTGGGGGAGGGAAGTCATCTTGTCTGGCTTCCTTGGTAACACCTGTCAGATGCTACAGGCCACGGCAGCCACGAAAAGTGGGTTCAGTGACATGTTTCACAAAGAAGGCAGCAGAGGCCCAGAGAGGGGAAGCCACTTGCCCAAAGTCACATAGCACTGGAGCTGAGACCCGGAGTATCTGCCCACCCAGATCTGGGTGTGAGCTCCTTTATCCCCCTGTCTCACACCCAGGCCCCTACACCCCGAGCCCCCCACAGCACCTACCGGAGCTGTTCCTCCCCCATGTAGTCAATGTCCAGAGGCTTCTTACGCTCGGAGAGGATGCGCACCTTCATCTCCCGCCCCGTCTGCCGCTTACCACGCTTCTGTTCTGCCTGAGGGTGGGGGAGGCGGAACAGTAAACTGGGGGCCACATCCCACAGAGCACTGCCGTGTCGGGACCCACACGTCGGATCCCACAGACCATTTCCATGTTGGGACCACAGGTCTGCACCCCAGGCCCATCTCCTTCAGACCTAGGAGTCCAGCCCCACTCCCTCCTCCCTCAGATTCAGGAGGAGTCCAGACCCCCAGTCCCTTCTCTTAGACTGAGTCCAAGCCCCAGACCCTCTCGCATTAGGAACCAGAAGTCTGGCCCCCAGCCCCTCCTCCCTCAGCCCAGGAGTCCAGACCCCAGCCCCTCCTCCCTCAGACCCAGGATTGCAGGCCCCGAGCCCCTCCTCCCTCAGACCCAGGAGTGCAGGCCCCCAGCCCCTCCTCCCTCAGACCCAGGAGTCCAGGCCCCCAGCCCCTCCTCTCAGACTGAGTCCAAGCCCCAGACCCTCTCGCATTAGGAACCAGAAGTCTGGCCCCCAGCCCCTCCTCCCTCAGACCCAGGCGTCCAGGCCCTCAGCCCCTCCTCCCTCAGCCCAGGAGTCCAGGACCCCAGCCCCTCCTCCCTCAGACCCAGGCGTCCAGACCCCAGCTCCTCCTCCCTCAGACCCAGGAGTTCAGGGCCCAGCCCCTCCTCCCTCAGACCCAGGAATCCAGGCCTCAGCCCCTCCTCCGTTAGGAACCAGAGGTCTGGCCCCCAGCCCCTGCCCCCTCAGAACTCAGACCTCAGGCTCCTGCAGGCTGACTCACCTTGACCAGGTAGCCGCCAAAATGGGCCCCCATGTTGGACAGCACCTTCTTTTTCTTGGCATCATCCTCTGCCCGCTTCTTGGCCTCTTCCTCTTCCTTCCTCATCTTCTCCTCCTGTGGGAAGTAAGGGGTTAACCTCATGGACTCCCCTGTAGGACTGAGGGAGGAGGGCCCTGGGATGTGGAACTGGGGCACAGGGATCAGCAGACCCAGTGCCGCAGAGGCTGCTGGGACATCAGAACCAGCAGAAACGCAGGGGTACCCACTCCCGGCCCTGCCACGTCTCCCCGTGTGACCACCTACAAGTCCCTTCCCCTCTGTTTTTTTTTTTTTTTGAGACGGACTCTCGCTCTGTTGCTCAGGCTGGAGTGCAGTGGTGCGATCTTGGCTCACTGCAACCTCCGCCTCCCGGGTTTAAGCAATTCTCCAGCCTCAGCCTCCTGAGTAGCTGGGATTACAGGCACCCGCCACCGCGCCCAACTAATTTTTGTATTTTTAGTGGAGACGCGGTTTCACCATGTTGGCCAGGCTGGTCTCAAACTACTGACCTCAAGTGATCCGCCTGCCTCGGCCTCCCGGAGTGCTGGGATTACAGGCGTGAGCCACCGCACCTGGCCCCCTTCTCTGGGTCTTAATATCCTCCCAGAAAAAATCGAAATGAAGGAGAAGAAGAAATGCCTGCTTTTTCTGCATGTCTCCACCCTGAAATAGCCGATAGTGAACTCTGCTGTACGACCTCACTCCAGATGCTCAGCCTGTCTGGGCCACAGTCGCCCTTAGTCTCAGGATATGAGAATGTCTGTTTTGAGGGGGTCAAGGGAAGTAACTGGTGATAAGACCAGGGACTGGGGAGATTAAAGAGGCTGATGGCCTTGAGCCTGAGGAAGGGGTTCTGGAATATTGAGCGAAGGCATTACGACATTCGAGAAACTCTTCATTGAATGTTCCAGAAACAGTGGTTTGTCCAGGCTGAGCCCCGTCTCCTTATGGTGGACATGAGGCTTTTTGTACACCCAGCACTCCGTACCTGAATTAGTTTCCTTTCTGTTTTTGAGATGGAGTCTCGCTCTGTCACTCAGGCTGGAGTGCAGTGGTGCAATCTCTGCTCTGTTCACTGCAACCCCCACCTCCTGGGTTCAAGTGATTCTCCTGCCTCGGCCTCCCAAGTAACTGGGATTACAGACATGTGCCACCATTACCAGCTAATTTTTGTATTTTTAGTACAAACAGGGTTTCACCATGTTGGCCAGGCTGGTCTCAAACTCCTGGCCTCAGGTGATCCACTTGTCTCGGTCTCCCAAAGTGCTGGGATTACAGGCGTCAGCCATCGCGCCTAAACTTAGTTTCCTATCACTGCTGTAATTTGCAAATTTAGTGGCAGAAAAACAATGCAGATTTGTTATCTTACAGCTCTGCAGATCAGACATCTGAAATTGGTCCCCCTGGGCTGGAATCAAGTTGTGAACAGAACCAATTTATTCTGGAGGTTCTAGGGGAGAATTCATTCCCTTCCCTTTTCCAGCTGCTGCCTGCATGTCTGGGCCCATGGACCTTCTTTCATCTTCAGAGGCAGCCATGCAGCATCTTCAAATCTCTCAGTCTGACCCTCTGGCCTTCCTCTTATAAGGACCCTTGTGATGATCTTGCCCTTCCCCACAGGTAATCCAGGACAACCTTCCCATCTCAAGATCTTTAATTTAATCACATCTGCAAAATCCCCTTCACAGCTGGGTGACGGGCAGGTGGCTGTAATCCCAGCTACTCGGGAGGCTGAGGCAGGAGGATCACTTGAGCCCAGGAGTTTGGGAACAACGTGGGCAACATAGAAAGACCCTATCTCAAATAAAAAAAAATAATAATAATAGTAATAATGATGACAATGGCCAGGCATGGTGGCTCATGCCTGTAATCCTAGCACTTTGGGAGGCCAAGGGGGTGAATCACCTGAGGTCAGGAGTTCAAGACCAGCCTGAACCAACATGGAGAAACCCCATTTCTACTAAAAATACAAAAATTAGCCGAGCCTGGTGGCAGGTGCCTGTAATCCCAGCTACTCAGGAGGCTGAGGCAGGGGAATTGCTTGAACCAGGAGGCGGAGGTTGCAGTGAGCTGAGATCGCGTCACTGCACTCCAGCCTGGGTGACAGAGCGAGACTGTCTCAGAAAAAAAAAAAATTAAAATTAAAAAAAAAGGGAAAAGAAGAAAATGGAGAATCCAGGCCGGGCACGATGGCTCATGCCTGTCATCCCAGCACTTTGGGAGGTGAAAGCAGGTGGATTGCTTGAGCTTAGGAGTTGAAGACCAGCCTGGACAACATGGCAAAATGCTGTCTCTACAAAAAATAAAAAAATAAAAAAAACTAGTGGGGCAGAGTGGCGCAGCCTATATAGTTCCAGCGACTCTGGAGGCTGAGGTGGGAAAATCATTTGAGCCCAGGAGGTCCTAGTTATAGTGAGCTAGGATCACACCACTGCACTTCAGCCTGGGTGACAGAGCAAGACCCTATTTCCAAATAAACGAATAAAAAATAATAATAGGCCGGATGCGGTGGCTCACACCTGTAATCCCAGCACTTTGGAAGGCTGAGGTGGGCGGATCATGTGGTCAGAAGATCAAGACCATCCTGGCCAACATGGTGACACCCCATCTCTACTAAAAATACAAAATTTAGCCGGGCGTGGTGGTGCGCACCTGTAGTCCCAGCTACTGGGGAGGCTGAGGCAGAAGATTCGCTTGAACCTGGAAGGCAGAGGTTACAGTGAGCTGAGATCGTGCCACTGCACTCCAGCCTGGGCGACAGAGCTAGACTCCGTTTCAAAGAATAATAATAATAGTAATAATAATAATAATAATAATAATAACAAAATGGGCATCCGGCTGAAGAAGTAACATTTGGGCTCTCAGGGCAGGGGAGGCACCCACCGCCAGCTTAGCCTGACGTTCGCGTTCCTTCTCAGTTCTGAAGCGCTGTTGCTCGGCTCTCTCTGACCGGCGCCGCTCCTGGGAAACGGAGAAGCATAAGGGGGTGCAGGGACGTACCCCCAGTCTTCCTTCCCCAGAGTAGGCTAATAAACAGATTGGAGTGTGGCCACCGACTTGGGTGAATTCGCGAAAGCCTAAGGCTCAGCTCTGTACTAGGAGGAAAACTATTATCTGCATCTCCCAAGATGCAAGGGATCCACATGGAGGGAGGAAGACCGGGGGGAACCCGGACTCTCGGCTCACAATGCGCTCCTTCAAGGCAACCAGCTCCTCTTCCTCCTTCTTCCGCTGCTCGAAATGTACATCGATGAGTGTCTGCAGCTCCAGCAGGTCTTTCTCCATGCGCTTGCGGTGGATGTCCTGCAGGACACACGGGCAGCCCGTCCTAGGAGACCCTGGAGGGGGCAGCAGCCTCCCAGCACCTCCCCCATGCAGGATGGTGAACTGAACCGTTTCCCAGGACGGTATCCAGCAGGTGGCAGCAATGCCTCGTGTTTGACACTAATCAGCTCTTCCAAGGACAGGCTTCCCAAAGACGGGAGTGGGGAGTGGGGACCGGCGCCTTTTTTTTTTTTTTTCCTCCCAGGCTGGAGTGAAATGGCGCGATCTCGGCTCACCGCCACCTCCGCCTCCCAGGTTCAAGCGATTTTCCTGCCTCAGCCTCCCGAGTAGCTGGGATTACAGACACCTGCCACCACGCCCGGCTAATTTTTGTATTTTTAGTAGAGACGGGGTTTCACCATATTAACCAGGCTGGTCTCGAACTCCTGACCTCAGGTGGGTCACCTCAGCCTCCCAAAGTGCTGGGATTACAGGCATGAGGCCCCGCGCCCGGCCGGCGCCTTTTCATGATTGACACAAAGGCCCCTTAAAGACTAGCAACTGCGCCTGCGGAGGGGTCTCTTGTCACTTACATCGAAGTCAACGCGCTCCCCTTCTGGGATCTTTGGCGGGATCAAAGGAGGCACCACGGGGCGGCTGAGTGGACAGAAACACAGAGACCATGAGTGGCCCGACCTCCCTGAGCCACCTCCCACCTCCGGGATGTGCCGTCCAGTGAGGTAGCCGCCAGCCCCGGGAGGCTCCTGAACGTGGAGGGTCCCAGCTGAGGCGGGCTGTCAGTGAAACACACAAAAGAAGGTAAAATACCTCACTACTCATGTTTTTTTGGTTGTTGTTGGTTTTGTTTTGTTTTTTTGACGGAGTCTTGCTCTGTCACCCAGGCTGGAGTGCGGTGGCGCCACCTCGGCTCACTGCAAGCTCCGCCTCCTGGGTTCACGCCATTCTCCTGCCTCAGCCTCCCGAGTAGCTGGGACTACAGGCGCCCACCACCAAGCCTGGCTAATTTTTCTGTATTTTTAGTAGAGACGGGGCTTCACTGTGTTAGCCAGGATGGTCTCGATCTCCTGACCTCGTGATCCGCCCGCCTCGGCCTCCCAAAGTGCTGGGATCACAGGTGTGAGCCACCGCGCCCGGCACTAATCATGTTTTATACTGATTACATGTTGAAATGATAAAACATTATATAACAGATTAAAAAAACTGTGCTATGAAAATTAATTTTTCCTATATTGTTGTACTTTAAAAAATATGCCTAGTAAGAATTTTTTTTTTTTTTTTGAGACAGAGCCTCACTCTGTCACCCAGGCTGGAATGCAGTGGCGCCATCTCTGCTCACCACAACAACCTCCACCTCCCAGATTCAAGCGATTCTCCTGCCTCAGCTTCCCGAGTAGTTGGGATTACAGGCGCCTGCCACCACGCCTGGGTAATTTTTGTATTTTTAGTAGAGACGGGGTTTCACCATGCCGGCCAAGCTGGTCTTGAACTCCCGACCTCAGGCGATCTGCCTGCCTCAGCCTCCCAAAGTGCTGGGATTACAGGCAGGAGCCCCTGCGCCCAGCCATTTTTAAATTTTTTGTAGAGATGGCGTTTCACAGCCTGGGCGCGGTGGCTCACGCCTGTAATCCTAGCACTTTGGGAGGCCAAGGTGGGCGAATCACTTGAGGTCAGGAGTTCAAAACCAGCTTGGGCATCATGGTGAAACCCCATCTCTACTAGAAATTAAAAAAAAAAATTAGCTGGGCATGGTGGTACGTGCCTGTAATCCCTGCTACTCAGGAGGCTGAGGCAGGAGAATCGCTTGAACCCCGGAGGCAGAGATTGCAGTGAGCCGAGATCGTGCCATCGCACTCCAGCCTGGGTGACAGAGGGAGACTCTATCTCAAAAAAAAAAAAAAAGAGATGGCGTTTCACTATGTTGTCCAGGGTGGTCTTGAACTTCTGAGCTCAAGTGATCCTCCCGCCTCAGCCTCCCAGAGTGCTGGGACTATAGGCGTGAGCCACTGCGCCCAGCCTTTAGTAAGAAATTGTAAGTGACGTGTGTGGCTTGCCATCTATTTCTATTGGGTGGTGCCGCTCTGAGGCTCAGCCCTCAGCCTGCTCTGATTTCCTGCCACTTCCTTGGAATTCTCTTTTCTGGGTTTCTGAGACAGTGAAGAGCGATTCCAAGATGAAGCAGACAGGACTTAGGGGATGCTGGGCAAGGGGAGGGAAGAGGTGAGGACAATCCCCAAGGGTCTCTGGGCCAGGGGGCCAAGTGTACAGCAGGGCCGTCATCTCCATCTTGGAAAAGTCGATAAGCTCCATCAGGGCGTCATGTGTGGGAATAAAATATGGCTTACCATATTGTACAGGAATGAATACCGGCTTGCCTCCCACCCCTCTGGCTGTTCCATCCCTATCTCCTGCCCCGACAGCCCCGTGAGCTGCCAGTGAGCTTTCCTTTTCCCTTTTCTCATCATCAATGCCATTCACTCCAATGACTTCAGGTATCATCAACTGCTGAGGACTCGCCAACTGTCTCTGGTCCAGACTCTCTCCTAAGCCCCAGACTCAAGCTAACAGGTATCTCCTGAACTTTTCCCACCTTCCCACACATGACGTCCTGATGGAGCTCACCAACTTCTCTGAGAAGGAGATGGCAGCCCCACTGTCCACTTTGTTCCCCAGCCCAGAGACCCTTCGGGGTTGTCCCCATTGCTTCCCTCCCCTTGCCCAACAATCCCCAAGTCCTGTCCCTTTGCCTTGGAATCCCTCTCAGTCCATTCCCCCACCCCACCCCACCCCCTTTTTTTTTTTTTGAGATGGAGTTTCACTCTTGTTGCCCAGGCTGCCGTGCAATGACACGATCTTGACTCACTGCAACCTCTGCCTCCCGGTTCAAGCGATTCTCCTGCCTCAGCCTCCCAAATAGCTAGGATTACAGGTGCCCACCACAATACCTGGCTAATTCTTTTGTATTTTTAGTAGAGACAGAGTTTCACCATGTTGACCGGGCTGGTCTCAAACTCCTGACCTTAGGTAATCCGCCCCCCTCAGCCTCCCAAAGTGCTGGAATTACAGGCATGAACCACTGCGCCCGGCCCCATTCCCTTATTTTTATTTATGTTTTAGAGACAGGGTCTTGCTCTGTTGCCCAGGCTGGAGTACAGTGGTGTAATCATAGCTCACTGCAGCCTCCAAATCCTGGGTTCGAACAATCCTCCTTCCTCAGCCTCCTGAGTAGCTGGAATCACAGGTGTGTGCCACTGTGCCCGGCTAATTTTTTAAAATTTTTTGTAGAGATGTGGGGGATCTCATTTTGTTACTTAGGCTGATCTTGAACTCCTATCCTCAAGTGATCCTCCCACCTGCCGCTGCGCAGGCAGAGGGCACAGTGTGTGCAAAGGCTCAGGGGTATGAAAGCACAGGCATGGCTAGAGAACCATGAAACGCTGTGTGTCTGTCAGTGGGGAAGGCAGATGCCGGAAAGGTCCGCTGGAGCCAGATGGGGAAGGCTTTGAATGCAGGCTAGTTGCTTTGACTGCGTCTTAAGAGTAGTGGGGAGTTGAGGAAAGATTCTGAGCAGAGGAGGGGCAGGGTTAGCTCTGGTGTTAGAAAAGTCTCTCTCGAGTCATGGAGGAGGATGAGCCACAAGTTGTAGGCAGGGAGGCCAGAGAGGAGGCTGGGGTGATGGTAAAGGCGCGAGGGGAAGAGGGACCACTGGGTGGAAAGAAGGAAACAGACTGGCTGGGCATGGTGGCTTGCGCCTGTAATCCCAGCACTTTGGGAGGCCAAGGTGGGAGAACTGCTTGAGGATAGGAGTTCAAGACCAGCCTAAGCAACATAGCAAGACCTCATCTCTACAAAAAGAAAAAAAAAAAAAAAAACCAGGTGTGGTGGCACATGCCTGTGGTCCCAGCTACTCAGGAGGCTGAGATGGGAGGATTGCTTGAGCCCAAGATGTTGAGGCAGTGGGCCAGGATTGGGTCACTGCACTCTAGCCTGGGTAACAGGGTGGAGACTATGACCACGATGAAGAAGAAGGGGAAGGAGAAGGAGAAGGGGAAGGGGAAGAAGAGGAAGTGGAGGAGGAGGAGGGAGGAGGAGGGAGAGGAGGGAGGAGGGAAAGGGGGAGGGAGGAGGAGGAGGAGGAGAAATGTCGACTGCTGTTTCAATTTCCTCCCTCCATCTCTGCCTTTCTCACACCTTGTCTCTGGGGGTAGAGGGAATATTTAGGAAGATGTATGACTGGGGCCCCCCACCCTGTAGGATCTCACCTTGGTTTGGGGCGTTCCTCTTCTGTTGGTGGTGGGGGATAAAAAGAGATAATTAGCAAGAGTTTAGAGGAGAGGGGCTAGGCCTGACACACCCTGGGGAGGGACCCCCCAAGCCTCGGCCCCCAGGACCCCAGGGAAGGACTCTGGAGTCCAGTTCTGGAGGAGGGGGGATGGGGAGAAGAAAAGAGGGAAGGAAAGTCAGGGTGGCTGTAAAGGAGGAAGAGGGTCACACGCATCAGATATACATTCAGAACTGGTGTGGGGACCCCCCACCCCCACTGTCTGCACACCCAGGAGTGCAAACCCCCAGACCTTTCTCTATTTATATGCCCAGAGCTCCTGCTCTCCTCCATTAGGACCCAGCAGTGCAGGGGGTCCCAACCTCTGTCTTCATTCAGTGACCCCAGCGCTCTCTCCCCAGCTCGCCCCCTGCCCACCGCCCCACCGCCCCCCCGCCCCCGGCCCGACCTTGGAGACCCTGACTCCCAGCGCTCGCCTCCTCTGCAATCCTAAATTCCAAGCCCCAACCTTTGAATGTATATGGGGGAGAAAATAACAGACAAGGTTGGAGGCGAAGATAAGGGGGGATGGGGTGGTGCTTCTCCGCAAACATCCAACCCTTCTGTAAAGATTCCTCCAGACTGGGGAAGAAGGCTTGGGTGTCGGTCCCTTTAAGAAGGAAGGGAAAGGGTTAAAGCCACTGCGGGGCCATTTCCCTTCCCGGCCCCGAGAGGGCGCAGGAGCTCTCAGGGGCTTAAAGGACCGGGCCTGGGGGCGGGTTATGGGGGCGGAGGGAGGGAAGGGTGGTCTTGGAGGTTGGGGCCCGAGGATATCGGGGGTCCCCCCGGGCCCCCGACATCGGTCTCGGGAAGCGAAGCAGCCGCGGTTACCTGGCTCTGCCACCGGCTCCGGCTCTTCGGGGGCTGGGGAGGGGAGGGAGGAGCAGCGAGGGTTTGGGGAGCGAGGGGGGAGCGGCCACGCCCGGGCGCGGGAGGGGAGAGAGGGAAGAGACGTGAGAGGCTGTTAGAGGACCGGGAGCCGAGGCCGTCGGGAGCCCCATCCCGCCCCCTCCTCCCGGGCCCAGCGTCCCCGCCCCCCCACCCCCCAGCTCCAGACCTGCGGAGTCCGGGACCTCACCTTCCTCCTCCTCCTCCGCAGCCTCCTCTGGAGATGGGGGCACAGAAGAGAAGGCGTTAGGAGCTGGGGGAGGGATGGGGGCGGTGGCCAGAGACCAGGGTTCCAGTCTCTGCTGGACGGGGGTCCCTCTGGCCTCGGCTGCGATGGGCACGTTCCCCCTGGCGGTGCAGGGATGGCGCGAGGAGACGCTCCAGACCCGGAGAGGGCGGGCGAGGGCCCGAGGGCTGAGCCGCCCCTTCCCCGCCAAAGTGCCACACTCCTCGCCTCCCCTCCCAAGAGCTCCTGGGCGTGTCCCCATCCCATAGGGCCGGCCCACTCCCTACTCACCTTCCGGCTGCTCCCTGCGGACGGGTGTGGGGAGAGAGGAGGGAGGGGAGAGTTAGACCTGGGGTGGGAGAGCCTCTCCACCACTGCACGCCCCAACCCCTCCCAGTGCAGCACTCACTCCTCATATTCCTGCTCCTCGGTGTCCGACATCCTGGTGCGGCCTAAGGACCAGAGAGAAGAGGCCCAGTGGGGTGGGGCCCCAAGGAGGGGGCGACCTAGACTCCTGGGTGTGAGGGAGGAGGGGCTGGGGGCCTGGACTCCTGGGTCTGGACTCCTGGGTGTGAGAGAGGAGGAGCTGGGGTCTGGACTCCTGGGTGTGAGAGAGGAGGAGCTGGGGCCTGGACTCCTGGGTCTGAGGAAGGAGGGGCTGGGGGCCTGGACTCCTGGGTCTGAGGGAGGAGGGGCTGGGGTCTGGACTCCTGGGTCTGAGGGAGGAGGAGCTGGGGCCTGGACTCCTGGGTCTGAGGAAGGAGGGGCTGGGGCCTGGACTTCTGGGTCTGAGGGAGGAGGGACTGGGGTCCTGAACTCCTGGATCTGAGGGAGGAGGGGCTGGGGGCCGGATTCCTGGGTCTGAGGGAGGAGGGGCTGGGGGGTGTGTGGGAGGGTGGGTGTGGACTCCTGAGACTGAGATGGGTTGTCCTGGACACCTGGGTCTGAGGGAGGAGGGGCTGGGGTCTGGACTCCTGGATCTGAGGGAGGAGGGGCCAGGGGCCTGGACGCCTGGGTCTGAGGGAGGAGGGGCCGCGGGCCTGGACGCCTGGGTCTGAGGGAGGAGGGTCTGGGGGCCTGGCCTCCTGGGTCTGAGGGAGGAGGAGCTGGGGCCTGGACTCCTGGATCTAAGGGAGGAGAGGCTGGGAGTCTAGACTCCTGAGTCTGAGGGAGGAGCGGGCTGGGGGCCTGTACTCCTGCGTCTGAGGGAGGAGGGCTCAGGTCTGGACTCTTGGGTCTGAGGGAGGGGGCCGGCTGTCCTAAAGCATGCATGAGGACAGACCTTGGTAGGTGTGGTCCTGGCACAGCCAGGAGGCTGCAGACCCTGCCCCCTCAGCACAGCTGTCCTCTTTTGTCTTATGACAAGTCCATGGGAACCTGATCCAGTTGGGATTAGGAAGAGGCATTTGAGAAGGGACAGTGGCCTGAAGACAATAGCTGCCCCACCCCCAGGAGCTATTTTGGGGGGATGTCATAGATGGTGAAACCGAGGACATTTCCTAAGAAGGGATTTGAGGAAGGGGGGCTTCTGGGAGAATTAGTCACCCGCATCCCCTCTCCCACTCGCCCCACCCCACTGGCTGGTTTCCTCCCCACCTGTCTCCCCTTTCACCTTCCCATACATCACGTAGGGGGCAGGGGCATAAAGGGCACCTTCTGTCCGTAGACCTCACCCTGACCCCTACATTCTTAGACCTCAAAGTCTTTGAGACACCCTAGGCCACAGGGTGCCTAGCCCCAAATCCCAATACCCACAGATTCTGAGACCCCGATTTATGATGCCCGTGTTTCTGAGGCCAGCAAGTCCTCACAGCTCTGGATTCTGAAATCCCAGTTCTTGATAGTCCAGATATGGGCCGGGACATCCTAAGACCACCCCCAGGTCTTGAGACCTCCTAAAATCTGAAACCTCAAGAATATGAGACCCCCAAAATCTTGATACCCAAACTCGGAGGCCCAGTTCATGATACCCCAGATAATGGCACTCTAAGTTTTCATGCTTTCTATCATAATGTCTCAGATTCCGAGCCCTCCACTACCAAAACCCCAATTTCTTCTGAGACCCCCCCAATTCCTGATACCCTCAGAGTCTGAGGCCCCAAATCCTGACACCCAGATTGTTTGACCTCCAAGTCCAGATATCCCTGACTGCTGAGATTTCCCCCAGATTCCCAGAACCCCAAGATCCTAGGAGGTTTTATTCTGGGACATCCAAGTCCTGGCAGCCCCGGGTTAGGATTTGTGTAACCCACAAATCCTAGTATTTTCCCCTCTATCCTGAGTCCCCCTAAAGTCTGAGCCTCTCAAGTTCCCAGACCTCCAGTTGTATGCCCCACCTACCTCTGCACCATTTCTCCACACCCGACATCTTCCCCACCTGCCTCCTGCCCCCTCCCCCAAGGACATGGTTTTTGAAGACCACAGGGCTCCGCAGAGCCCCTTACCTAGGCTGTGTCTGAGATGCTGTGAATCTTGAGGCTGAGCCTTGCTGAGGGCACTGAAGCTCCGGGGAGTTTATAGCTGGAGGCTCGGGCCCGCCCCGAGGGGAGAGGGAGGGGGAGAGAATTCCTTTGCTCAAACACAAGCCTGGGAGTTCAGAGACAGCCCTGCTGCCCCTGGCTCCACACTCAGAGTCCAGAAGCCTCCGTGGGCCCCTCCCCAACCCCATGCCAACCCCATCTGCATGGCCCAGGAGCCCCGCCCCTGCTCCCACCCCACACCCCAGGCTCCCGTGGTGCTCCAACTACCTCCCTTATAGCTCCCTGTGCTTTGACGTCCCCATGCCCGGCACACAGTAGGTCCTTGGAGGACCTACTAATGACACATGGGCTATAAGGAATGTTTCCTGTTTTCTTCTCTCTGTTCCCTCTTTCTATCTAGGTCTCTTTCTGGACCCCCATTTCTGTTGTCTCTGTGGCTCTCCATCTGTGTGTCTCTGTGTGTCTGTCTCTACTTCTTAGTCTCCTCCTCTGTCTCTGTCCATCTTTTTGTCTCCTCCTCCCACCCCCACCCCTTTGTCTGCCGCCAGGATTCCATCCTGGTGACAACAGGCACTAAAGCCGGGAAGCAGGTGTGGGGAGGGGGAGGGGGAGGGTGGGGTGTCAATTAGGGTGAAACCTACCCTCCCTCCCCACCTCCATCTAACGCTGATCTTTTTTGGTATCCCCCTCCCGCTTCCCAGCCAAGCCATGACCTTGAGTTCTAGGTTCAAGCCAGCCCTGGAGAGCAGGCTTCCTCACCCTCCCCGCCTCTCCGTACCTCTGTCTCTGGTGGTCTCGGTCTTTGTGTTTCTGTGCATTTCTCGGGGCCCCTTGCTGGGTCTGTCTTGGGCTCTCTCTGCATCTGTCGCTTTCTGAGCCCCTCAGTGTGTTTCTCGGCATGTGTCTCCGGGTGGTTTTGTCTCTGCATTTCTGTGGGTGTCTCTGCATGTCTGCCCCTCTCAGCGTTTGTGTCTGTGGGGGCTCACAGTCTCTCTGTGCATTTCTGTCCACCTATGACCCCATTTCTGTCTCTTTTTGGCTCTGGGTCTCTGTGTCTGTGTTCACGTCTCTATCTTTCTAGTTCTCTCCATGTCTCTCTTAGTGCCCGCAGTTCCCCCTCTGTGGCTCTCCATTTCCATCTCTTATAGGGTCTCCATGTCTCTGCACCTTGCTGTGAGTATATCTCTGTCTCTCTTTTCTCCTTTCTTTGCACTTCCTTCTATGCATCTTGTGGTATTTTCTCCCTCTCTCTTTGGGTCTTTGCCTGGCTCCTACTCTCTCTACTCCCAACTCAGTCTCTCTGTTGTCGGTCATGTCTCTCTGCCTGTCTGTTTCTCTGTGTCTCTCTCTCTTTGACCTTTAGTCTTGGCATCTCTGTGCACTCCACATGGGCCAGAGGAGCTGTGACAATAGAGATCAGAAGACTGATGGAATGAACTGTTTGTGGCAATAAGATACCAAATTATAAACAAGACCTAAGGCCATGCCAGGCAAGGGTTAAGCCACGCATCCCTACACTTATATAATCGACTATGTTCCAACTGCCACAAGGCTTTTCCTTTTTCTAGCAGCTAAACAAGCACCGGCCTCAAGATAAGCAATATTACAACCATTGCAGCCATCCATTGCCAGATGCTGACTAGCTGAACCCCCTGTTCCACAAGGCATAACTACAGCATTAGTTGAACAAGAGACTGATTTCAGTAACTTTCTCCTGATAAGATGCCGCAGACCACGGACTGGTTCTGGCTGTTGACAGAGGCTGTGCACTGAGTGTCTTCATATCCCTGCTTCGTGTTTCGATACGAATGCATTCAATGGAATGCACTTAAATGTTAAGCCTCCACCACCAAGTGAAGGTGGGATGCATGTAAAATGTGTTTGCGGCCAGTCGCGGTGGCTCACGCCTGTAATCCCAGCACTTTGGGAGGCCAAGGAGGGCGGATCACGAGGTCAGGAAATCGAGACCAGCCTGGCCAACATGGTGAAACCCCGTCTCTACGAAAAACACAAAAATTAGCTGGGCGTGGTGGTGCATGCCTGTAATCCCAGCTACTGGAGAGGCTGAGGCAGGAGAATGGCTTGAACCCAGGACGCAGAGGTTGCAGTGAGCTGAGATCGTGCCACTGCACTCCAGCCTGGGTGACAGAGCAAGACTCCGTCTCAAAAAAAAAAAAAAATGAGTGTTTGCTTGTCACACATGCGTGTGTCCATGTGTCCACCTGTCCATGAATATTCATAGCTCCTTCTATAACCAGTTGAATACGTGCACTTAGCTAACCCACTCAGCATAAATTCCTGCCTTGCCCTTCCCTCCCTTAAAGTGCCTGCTTTTGTTTTTTGGCAAGAAGCCATGCTTCTGGTCTTCAGGTTGTGATCCGCTTCTTAAGAAACAAAGCTCCGCTCTCCAAATTCATGAACCCCGGGATTCTTTTCAATAACACAGCCAAGAGTGCTTCACATGGGAGACCCATCTGGTCCCCAACCTGCTGTGTGGCTTTGGGGGAGCCCCACCTGCAGTCTTCCCATCTGTCTCCTGCCTAAGCCCTGGGTAATAGACATGGAGTCACTTTCAGCTCAGAGAGAAGCTTTATTCCTCAGGGCCCTCCTCAGGGCAGGGGCAGTAGGCAGGAAGGCTCAGCTCTCAAACTTTTTCTTGCGGCCCTCCATTCCACTCAGTGCATCGATGTTCTTGCGCCAGTCTCCCACCTCCCGGTTTTCCTGGAGGATGGCGATGAGTCAGAGGTTAGGGTCTCTTCTTGGTCTCCAGTCTCTCAAGAATCCCTGTCTTCCCTCCAGCCTGTGGGGCCACTCTACCCTGGATGCCTAAGTATCTAGTTCTGGAGCACTTCCTGTCTTTTCAAGATAATCCCTGCCAATTTTCCCCATGCACTTCCTGTCTCCCTCATGCACTTCCTGTCCCCCTCATGCACTTCCTGTCTTTCCCCAGCACTTCCTGTCTCCCTCATGTACTTTCTGTCTTTCCCCATCCACTTCCTGTCTCCCTCATGCACTTCCTGTCTTTCCCCTCCACTTCCTGTCTCCTTCCTGCACTTCCTATCTTTCCCCTCCACTTCCTGTCTGCCTTATGCCCTTCCTGTCTCCTTCCTTCTCTTCTTATTATAGTAGTCCCTCCTTTTCTGCAATTTTACTTTGTGTGGTTTCAGTTACCTGAGGTAAACCATGGCCCAAAAATATTAAATGGAAAATTCCAGAAATAAACAATTCATAAGTTTGATGGATTCTCAGGTCAATAGTAGCCTAACGCCAGGTCATAATGCCTATGTCATCCACCTCACCTCATCTCAGCACATAGGCACTGTCATTTTACATCACAAGGAAAAGAAGGGTGATTACAGTGCTATAAGATATTTTGAGAAAGAGACCACATTCATGAGTTTTATTACAATCTGTTATAATTGTTCTATTTTATTATTATTATTATTTGAGACAGGGTCTGGCTGCCTCATCCAAGCTGGAGTGCAGTCGTGCAATCTCGGCTCACTGCAGCCTCAACTTCCTGGGCTCAAGCCATCCTCTCACCTCAGACTCCTGAGGAGCTGGGACCACAGGTGTGTGCCACCATGCCCAGCTAACTTTTGTTCTGTTTTGTTTTGTTTTGAGATGGAGTCTCCCAGTGTTGCCTGGGCTGGAGTGCAGTGGTGAGATCTCGGCTCACTGCAACCTCTGCCTCCCGGGTTCAAGCAATTCTCCTGCCTCAGCTTCACAAGTAGCTGGGATTACAGGCACCCACGACCACGCCCAGCAAATGTTTGTATTTTTACTACAGGTGGGGTTTCACTGTGTTGGCCAGGCTGGTCTCAAACTCCTGACCTCATGATCCGCCCGCCTTGGCCTCCCAAAGCGCTGGGATTACAGGCACGAGCCACCACACCCGGTAACTTTGGTATTTTTTATAGAGACATGGTCTCGCCATGTTGCCCAGGCTGGTCTCGAACTCCAGAGCTCAAGCAATCTGCCTGCCTTAGCATCCCAAAGTGTTGAGATTACAGGCATGAGCCACCACGCCCAACCTTCTTTTGTTGTTATTTATTGTTAATCTCTTACTGTGTCTAATTTAGAAATGAAACTTTATCATAGGTATGTATGTGTGTATAGGAAAAAAAATTACATATAGGGTTCAGTACAATCCATGGTTTCAGGCATCCACTCCTATCTTTCCTGTCTTCTTCTTTAAGATAGGGTCTCACTGTATTGCCCAGGCTGGAGTGCAGTGGTGCAGTCATAGCTCACTGCACCCTCGATCTCATGGGCTCAAGCGATTTTCCTGCCTCAGCCTCCTGAGAAGCTGCATGCCACCACCGTGACTGGCTAATTTAAAAAAGAAATTTGTAGAAATTAAAACAACAACATGGTGGTGTGCACCTGTAGTCCCAGCTACTCGGGAGGCTGAGGCATGAGAATCACTTGATCCTGGGAGGCAGAGGTTGCAGTGAGCCGAGATGGTGTCACTGCACTCCAGCAACCGAGATGGTGTCATTGCACTCCAGCCTGGGCAGCAGAGACTCCATCGCAAAAAAAAAAAAAAAAGGAAATTAAAAAAAAATTTTTTTTAAACCTCAAAGATTACAGGCATAAGCCACTGCACCTGGACCTTCATGTACCTCTTTGCTCTTACATGGACTTCCTGTAGCCCTAATGCACTTCCTGTCTTCCCCTTCTACTTCCTGTCTTCCTCTTGCATTTCTGAGGACCCCTTACTAGCTGCTTCTACCTCCAACTCCAAGCACCATCTGCCCTCAGGCCTAGGGTTGTTGGCACCCACAGCCCTTCCCCTCAGCATCCTCTTTCCTGGCCTTAGCCCACACTCACCTTCTCGGTGTCCTCCTTCTTCACCTGCTTGAGGTGGGCCCGCAGGTCCAGGGACTCCTTAGCCCGGGCCCCCAGCAGCGCCTGCATCATGGCATCTGCAGAGATCCTCACTCTCCGCAGGGTGGGCCGCTTAAACTTGCCTCGAAGGTCAAAGATCTTCTGAGTCAGATCTGCAATCTGGGGGCACACGAGGGGGTGGGTACTTCTCCTTCCATTTCC
This sequence comes from Homo sapiens, assembly GCF_000001405.40. Lineage (NCBI taxonomy): Eukaryota > Metazoa > Chordata > Mammalia > Primates > Hominidae > Homo > Homo sapiens. Next base: position 55,154,249 of record NC_000019.10, read on the forward strand.
CGCACACCCAACTCCTCCATCCTACACTCCTTTTTTATTCTCCTTATCTCGTCTTCCAGTACCGAGGCCTTACCAGTCTCTTCCCGGCTTAGGCTCCCAGTCTAGGCTTCTAATCCTGGAACTGAATCCCCCTCCTCATATGCTCCAGCCTCACCTCTCAAAACCACTGGCATAACCTGGTCCAGCTACATGCAAATCACAATTCCCTGGCCAGTGCCTGAGCTAATTTACCAACATGTGATGCCCTGAGCATGTTCACTAACTTATTTTCTGTTTCCCAACCCATGGCCTTGCATGTGCTGTTCCCTCTGCCTAGAACAGCTTTCCTTGACTATATTGTACTCATCCTTCTGCCCCAGCCCTGCCAGGCTCACAGTTGTCCTGGGTCTCCTGGGATGTGCAGCCAAAAGCAGCTGCAAGGGGTCAGGCAGAGACCAAGTCCCAGCCATCTCACCCTACCCCGAAGGTACCCGAGCTGCCCATGCGTCCCACCTCCGTGATGTTCTTGGTGACTTTTGCCTCTATGTCGTATCTCTCTTCATCCACCTTGTCCACACGGGCGTGGAGCTGTCGGCACAAGTCCTGGAGGAGGAACGTGGTGTGTGTTGTTGGGGGAACCAAAAACAGGGAGACCTGGACTCCTGGGTCTGAGGGAGAAGGGGCTCGGGGCCTGGACTCCTGGGTCTGAGGGAGGAGAAGGGGCTGGGGGCCTGGACTCCTGGGTCTGAGGGAGGAGTTGGGGGCCTGGACTCCTGGGTTTGAGGGAGGAGAAGGGGCTGGGGGCCTGGACTCCTGGGTCTGAGGGAGGAGGGGCTGAGGGCCTCGATTCCAGGGTCTGAGGGAGGAGGGGCTGGGGACTGGACTCCTGGGTCTGAGGGAGGAGGGGCTGGGGACTGGACTCCTGGGTCTGAGGGAGGAGGGGCTGGGGCCTGGACTTCAGGGTCTGAGGGAGGAGGGGCTGGGGACTGGACTCCTGGGTCTGAGGGAGGAGGGGCTGGGGCCTGGACTCCAGGGTCTGAGGGAGGAGGGGCTGGGGCCTGGACTCCAGGGTCTGAGGGAGGAGGAGCTGGGGCCTGGACTCCAGGGTCTGAGGGAGGAGGGGCTGGGGCCTGGACTCCAGGGTCTGAGGGAGGAGAGGCTGGGGCCTGGACTCCAGGGTCTCAGGGAGGAGAGGCTGGGGCCTGGACTCCAGGGTCTGAGGGAGGAGGGGCTGGGGCCTGGACTCCAGGGTCTGAGGGAGGAGGGGCTGGGGACTGGACTCCTGGGTCTGAGGGAGGAGGGGCTGGGGCCTGGACTTCAGGGTCTGAGGGAGGAGGGGCTGGGGCCTGGACTTCAGGGTCTGAGGGAGGAGGGGCTGGGGCCTGGACTTCAGGGTCTGAGGGAGGAGGGGCTGAGGGCCTCGATTCCAGGGTCTGAGGGAGGAGGGGCTGGGGACTGGACTCCTGGGTCTGAGGGAGGAGGGGCTGGGGCCTGGACTCCAGGGTCTGAGGGAGGAGGGGCTGGGGGCCTGGACTCCAGGGTCTGAGGGAGGAGGGGCTGGGGCCTGGACTCCAGGGTCTGAGGGAGGAGGGGCTGGGGCCTGGACTCCAGGGTCTGAGGGAGGAGGGGCTGGGGCCTGGACTTCAGGGTCTCAGGGAGGAGGGGCTGGGGACTGGACTCCTGGGTCTGAGGGAGGAGGGGCTGGGGCCTGGACTCCAGGGTCTGAGGGAGGAGGGGCTGGGGCTTGGGCTTCTGTCTGGGATAGGAGGGCCACATGGTCCTGAAGGAGTAGGTTGGAGCCAAGACTCCACAGACCTGCACACAAAGGGTGTTAGGGGCCAGGAGTCCCACGAACCATATATAATTGGGTAAGGACAGCCATATTGGACGCCTGGGTCCCGAGCAGAAGAGGGGATAGAGGCTGTACTGCTGAATTCCGGGACTAGAAACCTCGCATCCTTGGGAGCCGGTACCTGCAGCTCCGCGAAGCCCAGCCCGGCCAACTCCAGCGGCTGGCAGCGGGTGCTCAGAGCGCGCCCCTTCTCTCCGCGCCGCTCCTCCGCCTCTCGCTCCAGCTCTTGCTTTGCAATCTGCAGCAGCAGAGTCTGCAGAGGGGTGGGAGGGAAGCGCAGCCCACCCGGGGCTTCAGGATAAAGACCAGGCGTGGGGAACCGCCTCTGCCCTTCTAAACCCTCCAGTTTGGTCTCCACTGTTCCAAGGCCCCGTCCCACCCCGAGCAGTACTCCCCGCTAAAGCCACGCCCCGAGCGGCCAAACCCCGCCCACTTCCGCCCACCTACCCCGAAAGCCCCACCCATTCTCAAGCTCCGCCCCCTGAGCACCTGCCTGCTCTTTCCCAGTCCCGCCCGTCCTCACCTTCAGCTGCAATTTTCTCGAGGCGGAGATCTTAGATTTTTTCTGCCAGGGTGAGATGGAGCAAGGAAGGATCATGGAGGGGGATTCGGAGACGACGGTGGAGGGGACCTCAAGACACCCCCAGCAAACCCAGCCGGTCCAGATTTGGGCCCACGTCCAACTTGAGCCCTGAGTCTACGGGAGGCCACGCCCCTCATTCCCATCCACCAATCTGGGTCTCTTCCTTTGGATAGGCACTTCCCATCTATCCCTAAGCAAGTCCGAGGGCAACGGAGTTCCGCCCGCAGGCTGCTGTCACCAATCCGAGCATGACCCTCTGCAAAACTCCGCCCCTGAAGCCCCTCCGCGTAGTCCCCGCCCCCTTCGCAGCCCTGGCTCCTCCCCCCACTCCCAGGGTCTTGGATCCCTCCGGCGCCTGTACTCTGCCCCCAGGAAGCCCCGTCCCACCTTGGCGTGCGGCTCCGTGGCATAAGCGCGGTAGTTGGAGGAGCGGCGTCTGATTGGGGCTGGTGCAGGGCGAGGTTCCCTAGCCTGGGTTAGGAGGAGTGGGGACCCCATCACCACCAAGACCCCACCCAGCCCTTACCGTACCGCACCCTCTGCTAGGGCTGCAGCCTCCCGCCCCAGACCCCTCACTGCAGCGCCCACCCTGGCCCTGGGGGTCCCAGCCACGCCTTAGCCCGCTGCTCTCACCGCATCGCTGCTCCTGGAAGGAGAGAAACCAAGGAGGGGGGTTAGTGGTGGGCTGTGTCCTGTCTCCTAAGGGACCCCTGGAGTCCCCTCTGAACAAGAGGTCGGGGGACCGCGCTTCCCCTTCCTTGGGTTCCAGGAGTCTGACTCGCAAACCCACTTCCTCTCTTCACCCAAGAGTCCCTACGCCTACCTCGCAGGCCAAGGGTCCAGCCTCTCAGCTGCGACCCCTCTTGGGAACCCGGGAGGTCGCCCCCAACTCCCACTGCCTTGGGGCATCACTCACCCATCCGCCATGCTGAGACTCAGGCCGGGAATGGCAGGAGGCAGGGCGAGGACAGGGGCGTTTGGAGGGTCAGTGAGGGGGCCGCCCGGGTGACCTTCAGGGTCCCAGGGACCGTCAGTCTCCTCCGGGCTGCTTGAGACTCCCCGAGGACACTGAGATAAAGGGCGAGGACACAGACTAAATATACTGTCACCTCCTCCTCCCCCTGCCCACTATGCCAGATAACGGGGGCGCGTGAGGGGCGGGGTGGGCCCTGCTCCAGCTGGATCACCAGCCACCTCCGGGCACAGGAATCCGGACCCTCCTCCCTCTGATCCTGGAGTCCTAGACCCCTCCTCCCTCAGACCCAGAGAATGCCCGACCTCCCAACCTCCTCCTCCCTCAGTCCCAGGACCCTGGGAGACCCTGGCCACTCCCTCACACAAGGAGTCCAGGCCCCCAGCCCCCTTTTCCCTCAGACTCAAGTGTCTGGGCCCCCAGCTCCTCTTCCCTCAGACCCAAGAGTCCAGGCCCCCAGCCCCTCCTCCCTCAGACCCAAGAGTCCAGGCCCCCAGCTCCTCTTCCCTCAGACCCAAGAGTCCAGGCCCCAGCCCCTCCTCCCTCAGACCCAAGAGTCCAGGCCCCAGCCCCTCCTCCCTCAGACCCAGGAGTCCAGGCCCCCAGCCCCTCCTCCCTCAGACCCAGGGGTCCAGGCCCCCAGCCCCTCCCTCAGACAAGGGAGTCCAGGCAGGCCCCCAGCACACTTCCTCTCTCAGACTCAAGAGTCTGCACCCTCAGCTCCTCCTCCCTCAGACCAGGAGTCCAGGACCCCAATCCCTCTCCCCTCAGACCGAGGAGTCCAGGACCCCAATCCCTCTCCCCTCAGACCCAGGAGTCCAGGCCACTCAATAAATGTTGTTGATTAATTTGAGGATGCAGCTGTGCTCGGGGCTAGCTCTCAGTCAATAGCACTGGGAAATCCATCCCTCGTCCACTTGGAAACCCAGGAATCTGGTTTCTGGCTTCCTCTGTCCAGCACTCCTGGGCCTTTCTCTCCCAGCCCTGGAGACGGACATAGGACAGGAAAGACGCTTGGACACACAGAAGGGTGGACACAACTTGCTTTACTTGAACCATCTGGGTGCTGACCAGGCCCTGGTGAGGAGACACCCCAGCCCCTAGTCAGCCACAGGGTGCCTGGGAACAAGGGGGCCAAAGTCAAGGGCCTGAGACTCAGTGTCAGATCCTAGGCTGGGCTTAGAGCCTCAGAAGTGGAATTTGGAATTCTGAGAGAACAATCTAGAATTCTAGGAATAGACCATAGAATCTCAGAAATGGAATTTGAAAGTCTACCAACACTCCCGGGGTGGGGGTGGCGGGTACTGAGTGGGAATGATTAGAATAAAATTGAGGACTCTAGCAGCGGACTTAGAATGGTATCAGCGGGTTCTCATCCTACAACCTGACTTTGGAAGTTGGAGATAAGGGGTGTCTAGGGGTTGGGTCAGACTCCAGTTTTGGAGTCTGACTCACAGTTGGGCGGAGCCAAGGCCCCCTGAGGCTGAGCCAGAACCTCTGAGAGTGAACCTGGAGACTCAGAGGGCAGCTGGCAGGGCTCACAGTGTGGGGTCCCACCCTGCAGAGGCTGGGTCAGGCCCTCAAGGGCTGGGTTGCTGGCTTCAAGAGGCTGGGCCAGGATGTCAAGGGGCGGAGTTCCGGGTTCCACAGCTGGGACAGTGTTGCCCAGAGCTGATTCCTGGGACTTGCAGAAACGTGCGAAGGTCTCTGAAGGCCTGGCCCCGGTCTGTGGAGCAAATCCAGCTGCCTGAGCTAGCTCCCTGACCCGGGTGTTGAATCCCTGCAGCTGCTCCTGCCGCACGTCCACCAGGTACCTGCAGATGGGAAGCGCCCTGTCAGGGACCCAGATTTTGATCCCCAGCCAGGATGTTCCCCACCCTCCACCCCACTGACTCACCGGGCTAATTCCACAATCAAGTTCCCTCCGGGTGCCACACAGGCCCCAAGCTCAGGGATGAGAAGATGGACCATACTGCAGAGAGGACGGAGGACAGGCTGAGATTCAGCTCCAAATCCGGAGGGAGGATGGGGCTCTGGGATCCCAGACAATGAGGGAGGAGGGGTGGCAAAACTGGAGTCTGGGTCCTGGGGAAAGAAGGGAGCAGGAGGTCTGGACTCCTGGGTCTGAGGGAGGAGGGGCTGGGGGCCTGGACCCCTGGGTCTAAGCAAGGAGGGGCTGGGGGCCTGGACTCCTGGGTCTGAGGGAGGAGGGGCTGGGGGCCTGATCCTGGGTCTTTGTGAGCACAGCTGCCTCCCCGCTTACCCACAGGCCACATAGAGGAGCTGGAATCGGCCGTTGTAGCAGCTCTTGTGGTGGAGAGTCTGAGCAGAATTGAGCGGCAGGAAGTGGACGGTGAAAGATTCCGGGGTCGGGGCTGCTGGGGGAAGGGGATAGAGGGGTCACCTCTGACAGGCGGAGCCATAAGGGCGGAAAACCAGAGAGATACACAGAGCTGGGCAGAGCTGGGCAGGCACACAGGACTTGGAGATAACACTTTTTGTCCTCTTGCAGCTTTTTAAAAAATCCTCTAAGGTAGGCTCCTGGAAAGTTCTGGGAAGGTCAGCCTGGCAGGCAGAGACTCACTGTACAGATCAGGCAACTGAGACTCTAGAGAGGGAAAGAGGGTGGGTGGCCAGGGCCACATGTGACATGCCCTGTCAGACAGACACGCAGGGAGGGCCAGGTTGGAGGATGGCTGGAAGGAGGCCCAGCCAGGATCCAGGGTGTGGGAGGCTGTCCAAGGGGGAGCTGGGACCCAGCACCCTGTGAGAATATTCTTGGATAGCTTAGCCCTCTGCAGATAAGATTAGAATTCTGCTAGTGGAATTCAGAATTCTAAGCATGCTCTCAGAATTTAGGAAAGGGAGAGAAAGAGAGAAAAAGAGACAGAATATCAAGAAGCCGTCACTTGCCCAGGCATTCCAAATCATGTCAGTCCACACTCCAGTGTGAAACACCTGGAGGCTGGAGTCCCTGGCTTACCTGTTGTTGTCCCTGGCTTACCTGGAGTCCCTGGCTCCGGGCTTCCCTCCGCGTGCTGCTGCTCCTCCAGGTCCCCCCCGGTGGCTCTCGCGCGCCCCCAGGCGGCCACGTCGCGGAGCAGCTCCGTCACGTTGTGTTGAGTGATCTCCCCGGCCGTCTAACAGTAGAAGGGGCGTGGCCAGACGTCGGGGCCAGGATGGCGGGGCGGGGCTTAGAACGCTGGGAGTCCTCGGTCCAGGACTAGAACTCCCGCAGCTGCTTGGAGGATGTGAAGTGGGGCGGGACCTATCCCGCGGGGATGGGGCCTGTTCTCTGAATGGAGTCGTTCCCACCAAGCGACGGGCGGGGTCTGGAGCTGGGGGCGGGGCCTGCTGTGGGGGCGGGGCCTTGCGCACCCACCGACCCCCAGCCCCACCTCTACCCCCAGTCCCAGCCTCGCCGCGCACCTTGACTGGCTGGCCGTTGCTCGTCCGCAGGAGGCTCTCGTCGTCCGCTTCGATGCCGAAGGCCACGAAGGGCCCCGTGGCGATGTCCCCCCAGTACCCGCGCGCTGCCACGCGCTCCCCACGCTGGAAAAGGAGGGAGAGAGGAGGCAGGTGAGGTCGATGTTGGGGCCCCTGACTCCTAGGACTCCGAGCAGCAGCAGTGGGCCAGGACAGGCAGTGGACACGCACGTAGCTCAGGAGGCGACCGGACGCCAGGGTCCGGTTGGGCACATGATAGGCGCTGGAGTCCCTGAGTTCAAAGGCGACGCCTGTGTCCCGCCAGCGTCGGAACTCCTGGGGGTGAATGACTTGAGCCTGGGGTGGGGGGCGGGAAGAAGGGAGCCCTCAGTGAACCGAGCGTGGAGAGACCCCTACACCAGCCTCCCTCAGACCCAGGAGTCCAGGTCCCCAGGCCCTCCTCCCTCAGACCCAGGAGTTCAGGCCCCCAAACCCTCCTCCCTCAGACTCAGGAGGCCCCCAGCCCCTCCTCCCTCAGACCCAGGGGTCCAGGCCCCCAGCCCCTCTCCTGGGCCCCTCACCCCGCGGTCATGCAGCTTCATGCGCAGGTCCCAGTCGCTGACACCGCGCCGGGCGTCGTAGCGGGAGCCCAGGTAGTGGCGCAGGCGCGAGTCCCAGAGGCGGCTCATGGGGAACGCCTGGGGCCCTTTCTCGCCGCCAGCCCAGAAGCGGAATACGGCCTCCAGGGCATCCCGCTCGCGGAACTGCGGGGCCAGGCACGCGGTGGGACAGAGGAAGGCAGAGAGGGATGCAGGGAGAGCGGATTCTAATTGACCCTCTCTTCCATCCCAGAACAGGGGAACGATTCCCCCGTTTCTCGGATGGAAAAACTGAGGCTCCGAAAGCAGAAGCCACCTCCTGCCCCCAGGCCAAATCCCACAGTGGGAGTCGGGGAACTGGGATTCGAACCCCCTAGCCCGCCGCCTGCTCCATCAACGCACGTCCTTTGGACTGTGCGCTTCCATTATTCCCGCGGCCACCCGATCCCAGATGGAGGCCGGGCGGCGGCACCTTGAGGGCGCGGAGGCTGAGCCAGGGCAGCTGTTCCTCCAGGCGGTCGGGCTCGGGGACCAGGTGCGCCAGCAGGTCGGCCTGGGCACGCACGAAGGCGGCCACTGGCGGGCGCAGCAGCGCGTTCCCCCACACTTCCAGGAAGGTCTCGCTTCGCTCTACGGAGAGAGGGAGATAATTGCGGGAATGTGTGGAGGAGGGAGCCCAGAAATTACACCCTTAATATGTTATTATGTCATAGTCATCTAATGAAAACAATGAACCCCCGCAAACTCCCCACGCATCCCAAAAACTACATGAAGAACAGGGCCGGACATGGTGGCGGGCGCCTGTAATCCCAGTTACTCGGGAGGCTGAGGCAGGAGAATCGCTTGAACCCGGAGGCGGAGGTTGCAATGGGCCGAGATCATGCCATTGCACTCCAGCCTGGGCAACAGAGTGAGACTCCGCCTCTAAAATAAATAAATAAATAACCACCTAGAAGAGGGAATTAGAGTTGCAGATTCCACACTCACCGCAGACAGAGAATATTTGGGGGAAAAGATAACAACACAACAGTAAAAAATAATACAAATTGTAAAATATGGTGTAAGCATTTACATTGTATTACATATTATAGGTAATCTAGAGATGATTTGCGGTGTATGGGACCATGTGTACAGGCTATTTGTAAGTACATCTTTTTTGTTTTGAGACAGTGTCTCACTCTGTTGCCCAGGCTGAATGCAGTTGTGCCATCATAGTTCACTGTTACCTCGACCACCTGAGCTTAAGGGACCCTCCTCCTCCAGCTTCCCAGCTAGCTGGGGCTAGGCATTAGCTACCACACCCAGCTAATGTTTTATTTCTTTTTCTTTTCTTTTTCTTTTTTTTTTTTTTTTTTTTTTTTTTTTTTGAGACGGAGTCTCGCTCTGTCGCCTAGACTGTAGTGCAGTGGCGCGATCCCGGCTCACTGCAAGCTCCGCCTCCCGGGTTCACGCCATTCTTCTGCCTCAGCCTCCGGAGTAGCTGGGACTACAAGCGCCCGCCACCACACCCGGCTAATTTTTTGTATTTTTAGTAGAGACGGGGTTTCACGTGTTAGCCAGGATGGTCTCGATCTCCTGACCTCGTGATCCACCCGCCTCAGCCTCCCAAAGTGCTGGGATTACAGGCGTGAGCCATCGCGCCCGGCGGCTAATTTTTTTTTTTTTTTTTTTGTATTTTTAGTAGAGACGGGGTTTCACCGTGTTAGCCAGGATGGTCTCGATCTCCTGACCTCGTGATCTGCCTGCCTCGGTCTCCCAAAGTGCTGGGATTACAGGCGTGAGCCACCGCGCCCGGCCAATATTTTATTTCTTGTAGAGACGGGGTCTCACTATGTTGACCAGGCCAGTCTCAAACTCGTGGTCTCAAGCAGTCCTCCCACCTCAGGCTCCCAAAGTGTTAGGATTACAGGCGTGAGCCACCGCCCCTGGCAATACTATACAATTTTATAAGGGACTTGAGCATCCTTGGATCTTGGTATCTGCAGGGGTCCTGGAACCAGTCCCCAGTGTTACTGAGGGATGACTGTATATACCTTTGCATATAATATATATACACATAGACATACAAATAGTTTCATGTTAGTTGTTTAAGAACTTAATAGAAGAGAACTATGTGCCTTTAGTAAAATAGATCAGTTTAGTTCTAACTGTTTAAGAACTTTGAACAATCTGTACTGTGCAATGTACTCTGAATTCCCTGGGTCATTAATGACTGATATGGTTTGGATCTGTGTCCCTGCTTAAATCTCATGTTGAATTGTAATCCCCAATATTGGAGGCGGGGCCTGGTGGGAGGTGATTGGGTCACAGGGGCAGATTTCTCCCTTGCTGTTCTCGTGATAGTGAGTTCCCACAAAATCTGGTTATTTGCAAGTGTGCGCCTCTTCCCCACTGCCTCTCTTGCCCCTTTTCCTGCCGTGGAACAGATGCCTGCATCCCCTTCGCCTCCTGTCATGATTGTAAGTTTCCTGAGGCCTTCCCAGCCATACTCCCTGTACAGCCTGTGGAACTGTGAGTCAATTAAACCTCTTTTCTTGGGGCCGGGTGTGATCGCACCCGCCTGTAAACCTAGCACTTTGGCAGGCCAAGGCGGGCGGATCACCTGAGGTCAGCATCTCGAGACCATCCTGGCCAACATGGTGAAACCCCGGCTCTACTAAAAATACAAAACCTTAGCCGGGCATGGTGGTGCATGCCTGTAATCCCAGCTACTTGGGAGACTGAGGCAGGAGAATTGCTTGAATCCAGGAGGCAGAGGTTATGGAGAGCCAAGATCGTGCCATTGCACTCCAATCTGGGCAACGGGACAAGACTCTGCCTCAAATAAATAAATAAATAAACAAACAAACCTGTTTTCTTTTTCTTTCTTTCTTTTTTTTTTAGATGGAGGTTTTGCTTTTGTCGCCCAGGCTGGAGTGCAGTGGTGTGATCTCGGCTCACTGCAACCTCTGCCTCCCGGGTTCAAGTGATTCTCCTGCTTCAGCCTCCCGAGTAGCTGGGACTACAGGCGCCTGCCACCACACCCGGCTAATTGTTGTATGTTTAGTAGAGACGGGGTTTCACCATGTTGAGCAGGATGGTCTCGATCTCCTGACCTCGTGATCTGCCCACCTCAGCCTCCCAAAGTGCTGGGATTACAGGTGTGAACCACTGCACCCAGCCTCTCCTGGAATTTTCTAAGTGGCTCTAAGATGTATTATATTTAGCCCCATTTTACAGGTAGGAGGAGCTGAGGCTCTAAGATGGCAAATTACATCAGAGGGGACCATCATCAATAAATATATTGGATTTTTTTTTTCATCAGAGGTACCACACTGGAAAATACCAAACATTTTTGGTTTTTAGATGGAGTTTCGCTCTCTTTTTTTTTTTTTTTTTTTTTTTTTTGAGACGGAGTCTCGCTCTGTCACCCTGGCTGGAGTGCAGTGGCGCGATCTCAGCTCACTGCAAGCTCCGCCTGCCGGGTTCACGCCATTCTCCTGCCTCGGCCTCCCAAAGTGCTGGGATTAACAGGCGTGAGCCACCGCGCCCGGCCGGAGTTTCGCTCTTGTTGCCTAGGCTGGAGTGCAATGGCGCGATCTCGGCTCACTGTAACCTCCGCCTCCCAGGAAAATAACCAAACTTTTTAATTGTACCATTGAAATGCCAGAATCCCTCTAGGGAGGGGGAGGAGACCAGCGGTCAGAATGCCTGGGTCCTAGCAACAGACCTTGCAGCCCCATCTTCTCCGGTTCCTCCAGGGCTAGGCTGAAGATCAGCATGTGTCGGGCCACAGCTTCCAGATTATTCTCCAGCACAAAGAACTAGAAGGATGGACAGGGCAGAATAATTCTGAGACCTGTTTGCCTGGGTCCTAGGAGACCCAGGAGAGCAGGCCCTCAGCTCTCTCCTTCCACACACCCGAGTTCTGTACACCAGCCTCTTCCTTCAAACACAGAAGTCTGTGTCCCCAGAGCTCTCTTCCCTTCCATTACTCAGAAGACCTCATCCTCGAGCTCTTCCCCACTATAGAACCCAGGAGTTCCAAACCCCAGCCCCTTCCTTCCCCCAAGACGCATCGGTTCGCTCCCAGCTTCTGCCTCCCTCAGATCTAGGAGTCTCCAGCCCCTTCATTCCTGGACCTGAGGTTTTAGAATTTCAATCCCTTCCTCCCTCAAGGACTCGGGAATCTGGGCTCTCATCTTCATCCCAGCTCACGTTGAACCTCCTGCGAGGCCAGAACTTCGCTCGGGACAGGGTCCGCAGCAGGTGCCGTCCATCCACAGAGCCCAGAAGCAGCACATCTAGCTCGGGGTTGCTGTGCACTGTATCGGCCTGGGAGTCTGGGTCCACAGGAGGACCTGGCAAGATGACAGCTGGCTGGGGCACCATGGTGGTTGGCAGAGCGTCCACCGTAGCATCCCCTATAAAAAATGGACTACAAATCCCAGTAGGCGTTCCGCCCGTGGCCTAGGTTCTAAGGGGAGGTGTTTCCTCTGAGTATTCTGGGATTCGCAGTCCGCAGACAGGACCTCGGGGCTGCCCCTGGGAGCGCGCCCTCTGCCGCTGGAGCGTTGGAGAACGTTAGCGCCCCCCTTGCCACCGACGCTGGGACTACGAGCTCTAAAAGGCCGTCTGCTCAGGCTGGGAAGGCAGACGGTGTATCAGACCTTGCGTGCTGGGACTCACTTTCAGCCTGCAGGTCCAGCGCCGGGGACAGGCCCCACCAGGACACGGAGCCGAAGCCGCTGCCGGAGCCGGCAGGTGTGGTCATCACCCTGCGGAAAAGACATTCTGGGAATCGCACACATTGCCCGCCCCGCTCCCCTCTCACCGCCCCTCACTTCTCGCCCCTTTGCCTCCACATGATACCTTGCCCACACCTTTATCCTCCAAATATCCCGGGACGCCCCTTCCTCTCTGCTCAGTGCAGCACTGTGGACCCGCGGCACTCCACAACCGCTGCCCAGAGTCCCCGCCCTTTTCGAGGAATCAAGCAATGGAAGCATGTGGGATGGGACCACAGCGAGCAACTGACCAATGAGAGTGAGCGAGGCCCGCCCTCTACAAACTTTTGGCCAATGGGAGCACTGAGGGCCAGCCTTCCCCCACACCTAGGAGAAGAGGGCGTGTGGACGCGGTTGTCATGACGACGGCGCCGGCGGGGGAAGGGGCGGTGCTAGAACAGGTTGGGGCGGAGTCAGGGTCGGTCCAAATTTCTGGAATGGGGGAGGCCTGGGCTGATTAAAATTGAGAGTGAAGGGAGCTTAATCTTATTTCTTGTTTTTTGTTTTTTTGTTTTCTTCATATGCCTTTGCTCATACGTAACGGAATTTTCATCAATTCAAATAAAGTGAAGTGTCTAGACTTTAGATGGCAGGCTTCTGAGCCCGCTCCCCGCCCCAGCACAACGTGGGCTCTACCACACAGAACAGCCCACAGGTGGGACACTGATGTGCAGGTCATTAAAAATTCAGGGATTTGTGAGCTGGTTATTGTTACACGAAGCCATAATTTAAACTTACAGCTAGATCCTTTTGTAGTTTCTAAGCGGGATGATTGGGTGTTCACGCGCATGCGTGAGATGTGCCTCCCTCAAACCTTGTTACGACATCGGCACATTACTCTTCTGACATGAACAAAAAAATTACAGGTAAATTCTGTAATCGTACAGTTAAATCAACTGCATTAAAATAAGGGTAAGTCGGCCGGGCGCTGTGGCCACGCCTGTGATCCCAACACTTTGGGAGGTCAAGGTGGGCAGATAACTTGAGGTCAGAAGTTGGAGACCAGTCTGGCCAACATGGTGAAACCGCGCCTCGACCTTAAAAAATACAAAAATTAACCGGGCGTGGTGGCACGCACCTGTAATCCCAGCTACTCCGGAGGCTGAGGCAGGAGAGTCTGTTGAACCTGGGAGGCAGAGGTTGCAGTGAACTGAGATCGCGCCTCTGAACTCCAGCCTGGGCGACAGAGCAAGACTCTGTCTCAAAAAAAAAAAAAAGAAAAACCAAAGTCTGAATGAGGCACATCTCTAGATCACCCCAGCACCCAGCACTGGGCTCAGCGCCCAAGGGGACTTGGCTCTCTGCCTCCTCTCCTTGCCCAGACACATGAGCTTAGACCAGTCACCCTTTCTGAGCCTCAGTCTGCTGCTCTGTGAAATGGGAATGTAGCGTGCAGCGGGCAGAGGTGCAGCGGATCTGCCTCCTGAGGGCAGATCTGGGCACTGGGAAGACAATACCTACTGGGGAAACGAAGGTTGAGACCTCAGACATTCCTGCAGAATCAGGCTGGCTAACCAGCCCCTTCCAGGCCAGCTCTAAGCCTGCAAGAGCCCCAGATCCTGGGTTTCTCTCTGGAGAATTAATGCCTTTCCTCCCTATTTCTCCCACTCTCCCAACAAATTCTCAGCAAAGGAACCAGAGTGACATTTTTTTTTTTTGAGATGGAGTCTTGCTGTGACACCCAGGCTGGAGTGCAGTGGCGCGATCTCGGCTCACTGAAACCTCCGCCTCCCGGGTTCAAGCGATTCTCCTGTCCCAGCCTCCCAGGTAGCTGGGACTACAGGCATTTGCCACCACACCAGCTAATTTTTGTATTTGTATTTTATTTTGTGTATATATATATATATACACACACAAAATAAAATACAAATATATGTATATATATTTATATATACACAAAATAAAATACAAATATTTTGTATATATATACAAAATAAAATACAAATATACATATATATACATATATATATATATATATATAGAGAGAGAGAGAGAGAGAGAGAGAGAGAGAGAGTTTCACTCTTGTTGCCCAGGCTGGAGTGCAATGGCGCGATCTCGGCTCACCGCAACCTCCGCCTCCCGGGTTCAAGCCATTCTTCTGCCTCAGCCTCCCGAGTAGCTGGGATTACAGGCAGGCGCCAGGACGCCCGGCTAATTTTGTATTTTTTGTAGAGACAGGGTTTCTCCGTGTTGGTCAGGCTGGTCTCCAACTCACGACCTCAGGTGATCTGCCCGCCTTGGTCTCTCAAAGTGTTGGGATTACAGGTGTGAACCACCGAGCCAGGCGATTTATTTATTTATTATTTTTTTTTTAGAGACGGAGTCTTGCTCTGTCGCCCAGGCTGGAGTGCAGTGGCACGATCTTGGCTCACTGCAACCTCCGCTTCCCGGGTTCTAGCAATTCTCCTGCCTCAGCCTCCCAAGTAGCTGGGATTACAGGCGCACGCTGCCACGCCCAGCTAATTTTTTGTATTTTAGTAGAGACGAGGTTTCACCGTGTTGCCCAGGCTGGTCTCGAATTCCTGAGCTCAGGCAATCCACCTGCCTTGGCCTCCCAAAGCGCTAGGATTACAGGCGTGAGCCACCGTGCCCAGCTCCAGCGATTCTTTTTTATTTTTAGTAGAGACGGGGTTTCACCATGTTAGCCAGGCTGGTCTCGAACTCCTGACTTCAAGAGTTCCGCCGGCCTCAGCCTCCCAAAGTGCTGGAATTACCGGTGTGAGCCACTGCACCTGGCCCAGAGTGATCTTAAACATAAATCAAATAATGTCTCCCACCTCTTCAAATCCTCCAAAGTCTTCCCGCTGCACCTGGACACATTCCCCGCTCCTTAGCTTGGCTCCCTATGCCCTATGCAATCTGCAGTCATCCACCCCTGAAGCCACATCAGCCTCCTGGCTCCTTGGAGAACACACCAAGCCGTTTGAACCCCAGGGCCTTTGCAACTTGGGATTCTTTTGCCTTAAATTATCTTCCCCCTCATCTTTGTTTTCTATATATTTATTTTTGAGACAAAGTCTTGCTCTGTTATCCAGACTTGAGTTCAGTGGTGTGATCATAGCTCACTGCAGCCTCAACCTCTCAGGCTCAAGCAGTCCTCCCACCTCAGTCCCCTGAGTAGCTGGGACCACAGGCAAGTGCCGCCATGCCCGGATATTTATTTATTTATTTATGTAGAGAAAGGGTCTCACTAGTTGCCCAGGCTGTTATTTATTTACTTATTTGAGATGGAGTTTCACTCTTGTTGCCCAGGTTGGAGTGCAATGGCGCTATCTCGGCTCACTGCAACGTCCACCTGCCGGGTTCAAGCCATTCTCCTGCCTCAGCCTCCTGAGTAGCTGGGACTACAGGCATGTGCCATCACGCCCAGCTAATTTTGTATTTTTAGTAGAGACAGGGTTTCTCCGTGTTGGTCAGGCTGGTCTCAAACTCCCGACCTCAAGTGATCCGCCGGCCTTGGCCTCCCAAAATTCTGAGATTACAGGCGTGAGCCACTGCGCCCGGCTGTATTTATTTATTTATTTATTTAAGGCAGGGACTTGCTCTGTTGCCTAGGCTGGAGTACTCCAGCCTGAAACTCCTGGGCTCAATCGATCCTCCCACCTCTGCTCCCCAAGTAGCTAGAACTATAGCCACGTGCCAGCATACCTAGCTAACTTTACAAATTTTAAAAATAGAGAGGTTATCCAGGCTGGTGTCTAACCCTGGGCCCCAAGCAATCCTCCTGCCTCCCAAAGTGCTAGGATTAAGGCATGAGCCATCGTGCTTGGCCTTGTTTTCTTTTTAAATTGGTGTAAAACACACACACTATTAAGTTGATTGGGAATGACATTTAGTACACTTGCAATGCTGTGCAACCATCACCACTGTCTAATTCCAGAACTTTCTCATCACTCCAAAAGAAAACACGTACCCCATTTATCTCCCCATTTCTCTCTCCTCTGTCCCTGGCAACCACGAATCTACTTTCTGTCTCTATGTATTTGTCAGTGCAGGAGATTTCTTTTGGATGGAATACTGCACTATGCAGCCTTCTGTATCCGGCTTCCTTCACTTGGCATAATATTTTCAGGACTCATCTATGCTGAAGCATGAATCAATGCTTTCTTCTGTTTTTATGACCAAATAATATTCCACTGTTGTTCTCCCTAACCTTTGCAAGCTTCGTTCCTTCTTGTCATTCAAGTCATGGCCCAGACCGCACCTCCTCAGCAAGGCTGCCCCTGACCACCCTCCCTAAGTTATGTCAGCCTTTTTACGTTTTGGTCCCAGTGTGGACGGCCATTTGTAATGGTTTTATTCTTCTATCGCTCTGCTTTCTTGTTGAGACAGAGACCCAAGGACCCCATTGCCATCATCTAAATCAATCCCAGGATTTAGAGACAGGCTCTCTGGCTGTGTGATTCTGAGCATTTCACAGGAATTCTCTCTCTCTCTCTCTCTCTCTTTTTTTAGATGGAGTTTTGCTCTTGTTGTCCAGGCTGGAGTGCAATGGCGCGATCTCGACTCACTGCAACCTCCACCTCCTGGGTTCAAGCGAGTCTCCTGCCTCAGCCTCCCTAGTAGCTGGGATTACAGGTGCTTGCCACGACACCCAGTTAATTTTTGTATTTTTAGTAGAGACAGGGTTTCAGCATGTTGGCCCAGCTGGTCTTGAATTCCTGACCATAGGTGATCCGCCCACCTCAGCCTCCCAAAGTGCTGGGATTACAGGCGTGAGCCACTACGCCCAGCCCCAAATTTTCTAAAGCACAGTTTGGACTCATTTGTCAACTGGGAATAATGATCATGTTTATTTCATGAGTTTGCTGTGAGGATTATTATTGGCAGTAATAGTAGTAACATAAAGGGCTGTCTTCATAAAGACATGCTCTACAGCCACACACACACACACACACACACACACACACACACACACACTCACACACATGAAAAGTTACTGAATTCCTTTGGAGAAAAATTAAAAATCTCATGGATATTATAATCTGTGTAGCTGTTCTATTTTCACTTTCCCGATTGGCTACCAGGAAGCTTAGGAGCAAGTAAGTTTGTTTGCTGCCTCCTTTTTTGGTACGTGGGGGTAATTTTTGCCTCATTCTCCACTTAATCTGCTGCTCAGAGAGTTCTCTGGCCAAATCTTATAGGTCTTTGTTCACCACCCAAAATTCTGTATGGGATGAGATAAGGTAGAAGCCAATGGAACTATCATCTTTGCTAGAAACAGAGTAGGAGGCAGCATTCGTTGAAAGAACAATGAGGTCAGATGCGGCGGCTCATGTCTACAGTCCCAGCTACTCACACAGGAGGATTGCAGGAGTTTGAAACCAGCCTGTGCAACATAGCAAGACCCCATCTCTAAAAAAGAAAAGAAAAGAAAAGAAAAAATTAGCTAGGCATGGTTGCATGTGCCTGTGGTCCCAGCTACTCAGGAGTCTGAGGCAGGAGGATCCCCTGAGCCCAGGAGGTTGAGGCTGCAGTGAGCTATGATTGCCCCACCGCACTCCAGCCAGGGTACACAGAGAAACCCTGTCAAAAAAAGAAGAAAGAAGAGGCTGAGGCAGAAGAATCGCTTGAACCCGGGAGGCAGGGGTTGCGGTGAGCCGAGATTGCACCATTGCCCTCCATTCTGGGCAACAACAGCGAAACTCCGTCTCAAAATTAAAAAAAAGAAGAAGAGAAGAAAAGAAATAGAAAAGAAAAGAAAAGAAGAAGGGCCGGGCGCGGTGGCTCACGCCTGTAATCCTAGCACATTGGGAGGCCGAGGCGGGCGGATCACGAGGTCAGGAGATCGAGATCATCCTGGCTAACACGGTGAAATGCCGTCTCTACTAAAAATACAAAAAAATTAGCCGGGTGTGGTGGCGGGCGCCTGTAGTCCCAGCTGCTCGGGAGGCTGAGGCAGGAGAATGGCGTGAACCCGGGAGGAGGAGCTTGCAGTGAGCCGAAATCGTGCCACTGCACTCCAGCCTGGGCGACAAAGTGAGACTTCATCTCAAAAAAACAAAAACAAAAACAAAAAAACAAACAAACAAAAAAAAAACAAGAGAAAAAGAAAGAAAAGGAAAGACAGAAAGAAAACAAAAAGGAAAAAAGAAAAGAAAAAAGAAAGAGGTGAAGTTGAAATCATTGGCTTTCCTTGCTGAACTCCAACCTCTCTCGCAGGCTCTGGAGATTGTATTCCCTGGCTCCGCGCCTCTCCTTTGTTTTGATGGCAGTAAGTCGCTTGGGGGGTCAGGTCTGTGTTTGGATATTCTGGGGCCCCAGCACTCAACAGAAGACCTCAGGGAATATGGAATGGAAGGAAGAAAAAAAAGAGAGGGAGGGAGGGATGCAGAAATGGGTATGAAAATCGATGTGAGTCATGGGTGAGCAAGCGAGTGGATAAATTCATGGACAAGCAAGGGAGTTCTCGCGGACTCCTCACAGCCAGCGTGTGGCAGGAATTATTATTATCCCAACATTCTCCAGAGGAGGAAACCCAGGCTCAGAGTGGTGAGTGAGGAATGAACGGGTGAGAGTGTGAGGGAGTCCATGGGGTCAGGCCAGTCTCTCAGAGGCTTTCAGGACGAACAGCACTCACACCGCCCTGCGAGCGCCCATTCCTGGAAACGAGGTTTCCTCTTGGGTCCCAGCCCTTGCCCACCCCCATCAAGGAGCATGGGCCCAGGCCACCGGAGCTGCTGAATATTTATTTGGCCCCAGGAGCAGTGCAGGGATGGGCTGTGTTGGAAGAGAGAGGAGAGCAGACGAGGATGGCTGATTGTCAAAGCAGGGGGCAGGACCCGGGGGCAGGAGAAACCAGGCTGCCTTCCCTTCCCGGGGTCCCTGGGGCATCTGGGTGTGTCCGCGAGGGTCGGGGGAGTGTGCTGGAAAGTTGTCGTGATTGGCATCGTTGGGGGTGAGAAGACAGGAATGGTTCAGATGGTTGGGGTGGAAGGTGGGGGGAGGGTAACCGTCAGAGGAAGCTTAAGGGTGGGGCTGGCTTGGCTTTGGCCGGTCTCGGGAGTCTGGGGTCAGGGGCTAGAGTCCAGGCTTGGCCGGGGGCTTGGGGTGGGAGTCAGGGCGCAGGCAGCAGCCTCACTCGGTCCGGGGGCCGCAGCGAGTGCCACTGGGCAATGGGCCGCCGCGGGTTGGCCAGCATGTCCGCCCAGTGCCGCAGGCCAGCCCCGCCGGCGGCCGCCCCCACGGCCACCCTCCCGATGGCCTCGTTCTTGCCCAGCTTGTCGTAGTCCAGCACGGTCAGCTCCACCTGCACCTTCTGGGGTGGGCGCGGGAGGAAGAGGAGAGAGGAGCGTGAGGGGAGGAGGCCCCGGAAGGGGCGGTGTCCGTTTTCACGGCTGAGGGTACCTCTCGCTGCCACCCGAGGGCTCGGGGCCCCGGAGCTCGGGACGGGGGAGGGGGTGGGAGACGAGAGGGACGGAGCCTGCGGCGAGGAGGAGGCTCTGGCGCCTTTCTTCCTGCGCAGCCAGGTTTCTAAGGAAATGAACCCTCAGGACTCGGTTGCGGAGCGGGTGTGTTCGGCGCCTCCTGGGGGAGCAGCCTCCTAAGAGCCGCAAAGCTGCAGAACTTTAACAGGGGCCGGGCTAGGGTAGGCGCCGTCCCTAAAGAAGTGAGGGGAGGTCTCTTTTTCTTAGAACCACGTTCCTGAGGAGGGCGGGGCATCCTGGTCCTGCTTAGGGTGGGGAATCTGGTCCCGCTTAGGAGTGGGGCATCCTGGTCCCGCTTGGGGGCGGGGCATCCTGGTCCTGCTTGGGGGCGGGGCATCCTGGTCCTGCTTGGGGGCGGAGCATCCTGGTTCCGCTTGGTGGGGCGGGGCATACTGATCCTGCTTAGGGTGGAGCATCTGGTACTGCTTAGGGGTGGGACATCCCGGTCCCGCTTAGAGCAGATAGGACACCCACACCCAATTTTAAGGAGTCTCTTCCTGGAGTGGAAGAGGCTTCCTGGTCCTCATAGGAGGAAACAGACTGAGAGCATAACCTCAGACCCCCTCACCTGGTTTCTAGGGAGATGCTAAAAAGTCTCCCTCCGCCTAGCAATGGCGATTACTAAAGGTCTGGGCTCTTGGAGAAGGGCAGGTTTGAGCTCACCTGGACTTGGTCACAGGGCACCTCGAAGCTGAAAGCTTCGTTGTAATAGGGGTTCAGAGTGTTCTTCTTGATGGTGGTTTTCTTCTTCCGCACCTTTTTGCCGCCCTGCAGCAGGTGGACCTTGACGTATGGATCTGGGGAGAGGAAGGAGGAGTCTTATAGCTCCCCACTGCTGGGTTGTTGGACCAACATAGAAACACTGCCTACACCCTTCGGGTCTCCCTAGCTCTATGCCAAAATCCATGCCTTCCACAGCAGCCAGGTCCTCCCTGTCCCCGAAGAAACCCTCGAGGCTCAGAAACTGTCAGAACGAGAACCCACCCCACGCCATCCCCACACACCCCACTCCCTTGCTTCCCACACACCTGACAGTCCTCCTACGTCCATCTTCTTCAGGTTTTTAGCCTCCAGGACGATGACGGTGAGCTTCCCGGCCGTGGGGACATAGCGGAGGGAGAAGCAGATGTCCCCAAGCTTCTCCTGCTGAAAGGAGAGGGGCCCATCACCAGAGCCCCGGCTCCACATCCATGCCTCCTCAGGGGTACAATCCACGCCGCCCTGAGGGTCTGGAAAGCCTATGATCTGATTGGCTCAGGATGTTGTGGGCGGGACTGGGCCTGGGGGCGTGGCTCGGGGCGCGACCGCGCATGCTCACCTCCTCCCGCGGAGCCGCCTGCAGCTCCCGCCAGGCCTGCACTGGCCGCCCCAGGTCCACGGAGCTCATAGGGACCCGCACCTCCCCGATGGCGTCATTGCGAGAGAAGCGGTCGAAGTCGTACACCGCCATGACCAGCACCCTGCCCCCCAGCTCCACGTAGGGGACCTGGAGTGCACAGAGAATCCGCAGTAGAGAGCAGGAAGTCAGAGATAGGGTGAGGCACAGCACAACCAGAAGGAAGGCATGGAGTGAGGCAGCGAGGGTCGAAGCGAACAGTTGGGGGAACTCAAATGGGAAAGTCCAGGGATCCATGCGGAAAAAAATCACGGGTCAGTGGAACCCAAATCGTACCGCCCAAGGACCAGGCTACAGCCCAGGAGTCAGTAGTGCCCAGGGTCCAGTGGAATAGCCCCAGAGCTGGTAGCTGCCACCTGAGCTGTGGCCGCCTCCAGGAAAAGCGGAAGGGGTCGGTCCCTAGTGTTCCAGGGACTGGGCACAGGCTATGGAACACGGGGCCTGAAGGCAGGAGCTCACCTTGAAGGCGAAGGTCTCCCCAAAGTGAGGGTTCAGCGTCTGCCGATGCACCTTGGTCTCGTACCGCCTCCGTTTGTCCGGCAGCAGGTAGACCCGCACATAGGGGTCCGAGGAGCCACCAAGATCCAAGGCTGCCAATCCCATTGCTTGCAGAATGCCCACCAGCAGCTGCAGGGCCCAGGCACAGTGGGGGAGGTGGGGAACACTAGTCTTAGCCTCCCTTCCATGGCTCCTTTCAGAAGGGGTTGGAACCCCCGGGATCCTCCCTCCAAAGCTTCCCCTTCCTCCACACCCACCTGGCCACTCTGGAAGTCATAATCCAGGGAGTACTGCAGTCGTCCTAGCTCATGCTTGTCTGCCACCTGCTGCCCTGGCCCGGATGGTGCTGGCTCCAGCTCCTCTACTTCTGGCTGCACCTTAAGGAGCCAGGGGTAAGGGTGGGTGAAGTCTTCCCCTGATAGCAGTATCCATCAGGCTCAGAAGCCAAGGGAGGCTCACAGGTCCCTTGGGCTATACCTGAGCTCTCACAGGCTAAGCAGATTCAGTATTTGACTAGTGCTGTCTGCCACAGGCAGGAAATAGACGTGGTAACACAGATGCAGTATGTTTGTGAAGGTTTGATTAGTGGTGTCTGCTATGGGCAGGAACTAGACATGTGCTTGTCATGCTTAGATTAAAACAAGTGCTGATAGTGTCCCATTGCCCACAGGAATAATGCAGGTTTTATTTCACATGCTAATGGATGTACTGGGGTGCTAGTCCAAACTGCCATGTTTACTTGTGATCTTAGCACAGCAAAACATGGAGGAGAAATGGCATATTTACTGTGTACTTGCCATTCTAAAGTTGAATGAAAAAGCAGAAGGTGTCTCCTTAACCTAGGCCAGCAATTCTTAAAATTCAATGTGAACCTGAATTCCCCTGAATCCTGTGGCAAAATGTCTGAGGTCACCTCTTCAGGGATTCTGACTTGATAGGTCAGGTGCTAGTGCCAGAATTTGCATTTCAACAAGTACCCAGTGTGATTCTGCTGCAGACGGTCTTTGAACATCACTGGTTTAAGGGACAGGGATGGGGCTGGACACCAGGACCCTAAATAGCATCCTTTACGGATGCTAATTGAACAGCTCCTTATTGAGAAGGAAGGAGGGGAAATACCAAGTTAGTGACCACAGACTTGAGGCTCAGAGAGGGACAGTGAGTTCTCCAAGGTCACACAACCAGGAAATGGTCCTTCTTGGTTGGAAACCTAGGGCTGTCTGGCTCCCAGGCAACCACTGCACTCTGCACTGAGAGACTTAATTTTCAGACCCTGCAGTGACCACTTTCCATTCCAACGGCCTCATCCAATGCAAATGTCTTTTATCCTCTCCAGGCTGCTGCTGCACTGGCCTCGTCCCTGGATCCCTCGCCGCAGATCTGTCCTACACAGGGTTCCAGAGGAGTCATCCTAACACCATCTGACCCTGTCCCTCTCATGCTCAAAACATATTTGTAGCCTTCATCACCTTCATGACATGGATACTGCTGAGTTCTCCAGACACTTCACTCCAGAGTGCAGCTATTGTGAGAAATGACTCTTTGTTCCCCAAATAAGCCTCAGAATCTGGATATGGGGCCTGAATCTGGATATGGGGCCTCAACACATGCTCCAACTTGGACTAGAATGTCCTTCTCTCTGGTCTCAGTTAACTCTGTCCCTCAGGTCTCAGTGCAGAAGTCACCTCCACCACGAAGCCTCCTCTGTCTGACCCTCTGTTTTAAACTTTTTCCTACTGTAAATATGTCCCATTTTCTGAAAAAAATCAGCATATTTTAAAGTATTCTGGCACAAAGCTGGTTTTCAGCTTTCAGAGCCATTTATTTATTTATCTATTTATTGGAGACAGAGTCTCGCTCTGTCACCCAGGCTGGAGTGCAGTGGCGCGATCACAGCTCACTGCAGCCTCCACCTCCCGGTTTCAGTGCCTCAGCCTCTCGAGTAGCTGGGATTATACCACACCACCATGGCTGGCTTTTGTATTTTTAGTAGAGACAGGGTTTCATCATGTTGCCCAGGCTAGTCTTGAATTCATGACCTCAGGCAATCTGTCCACCTCAGCCTCCCAAGTGCTAGGATTACAGGCGTGAGCCACCGCACCCGGCCCAGAGCCAAATATTTATATGTTTCTGTAGGTTTCTATACAGTGGGATGCCTTTTCTGTGCTCCTATGAGACCCTGTAGTATGGCACATATTACCCTGTGTGGTGAGTGTCTGTGTCAGTGCCTGACTCTCCCACCAGACTGGGAAGTTCTTGGGAATAGCAACTAGTTCTGTTCCATCTCTGGGTCCCCAGAGTCCAGTTGAGGGCTAGACACACAGGGAGGATGAGCCAGTAAGGTGGGTTCCTATAGGACAGAAGGGAGCAGGGACTGGGACCAGCTGGGCCATTGAGAGGAGCAGGGTGCGGGAAGGGGCCAGGTGGAGGGGCTGGGCTGGGCCACACCTTGTCTATGTAACTCTGGCCCAGCCCCTTCACTTCCTGAAGGTGGACCTGGGCTTGGGCCTGGCTCTTCTTGCCTGTCCGCCTCCGACAGCTCTTCCGGTAGAGACAGAAACAGCAGCTGAAGATGAGGAGGCCTGAGACCAGCACGATGGTGGCCAGGGCCCAGGGGGGCACTGCAGAGGGGTGGAGACAACACACATTGAGGCCTGGGCAGCACGCAGGCTGATTCAGTCCTGATTACACGTGGAAGCTGGAATGCTGGCCTCCTTTTCCCTCCAGCCATTTTCATTGCATTTCTTCCTGTGTTTTTCTTCCACCTAATGTGGCCTATAGAGAGATTCGATGCCCCAACCCAGGCTGACACCATCTGGATTTGCTTGCTTGTTAGTTCTGCCTTTCCTTACCCGACCCCGCCCCCCATTTCTGCTCAACTCCTGATGCTTTTACAAGAAGCCCTGCTCCTCATCGGGCCTGTTTCCTTATCTGTAAAAGAAGAGCTAGGTGGACCTTCCAATTCTAAGATCCCATTCCATGCAACACCCCTTGATCCGGTTTCGATTTTTTTTTTTTTTTTTTTTTTTTTTTTTTTGCAAATCTGTTCCTTCCTTTTACCCCATTTCGTTCGCATTCCAGTCCAGGATGACGACCCGGGATCCCAGCCGGATTTTCCAGCCCGCCTGCCCGAGTACACCCGTCCGAATCCCGCCCCTCGGAATCCTGGCCAGGCTTTCTCTCTGCTCGGCCCCCCACCCCCGGGTCTTGCTCACCTGGGCCGTGGCTGATGCGACTGGAGTCGGGAGGCGTGTCGGGCGATGGAGGCCCCGGGGTTGGGGGCTCCGGGAACATGGTGGCGGGGTCCTGGAGTCTTTTCTGCAGAGACACTCAAGCACCCTAGTCCCCCATTCCCACCCCAGACGTCCTTTGAGCCCCACGCACAACAAAGAACTCCAACTCCCATGAGGCCTTTGCGCGAACAGCCGCGCAGAAACCGGACAGCCACCGCGAGTCATGCTGGGAGTTGTAGTATCAGCCTCCCCGCACTTGAGAGGGGGTGTCCAGGACCTAGTTCCATCCTAAAGGGATACCCTCTTCCTCCACGGCCCCACAGGCATCCCGCTGACTTCTGCCTCGTCCTCGCCCCTCCGCAGGGTCTGAACCGGAAGCGGGCGAAGGCAGACGTGGGAACCAGCAGACCGCGTTGCCCAGAGCAACAGCCGGGCTCCTCTCAAGCGGGGTGAGAGCAAAGCTGGTTGCCCGGGCAACGGGTTGTTGCCAGGACAACGGGCGGGGCTGACGCACAGACGCGGAGTCCCGGCGGGGCAGGCTCGCTCCGGGGCCCACCGGTGCCTGGGAACCCCCCAATAGCCCGACTGGGATCCTGAGGTCCCGCGAGGTGGGGAGCGGGCAGCCTGTGGTCCGAGCGCCCACAGCCGACTGCTCCCTCCGCACCTGGTCCTGGGAGCTGAGACGCAGGTTCCCTCTTCCCTCTCCCCAATTTTGCTGGAGGGCGGGTCGGGGGCTGCCCGGTGCCTGTGCTGAGCCCCCTCATCCTTCTTGGCCTGTTGGTCTCTCCACGCATCCGTGCTGCTCTCGTGACCGCCTCGGTCTCCACGCTGCCTCTTGACCCCACATAGGCGTCTTCCCTGTGTCTGCCTCCCCAACCCGCCTGTCTCTCTTCCCTATCGCCTGGCCTCTGTCTCCAGGGTCTCTCCCTCTCCCCTCCGCCTGCGCCCCACTCCCCGCCCTCGGCTCTTTGTCTTCTCCATACCTGTCTCGCGTCCCCAGATCCCTGTCTCTCCGCTTCAGGCTGCTGCCCTCCCTCTGGTTGTCTCCCCAGTGCCCCAGCCCCCACTCGCACACCCCTTTCCTCTAGGGATGCGGATGCGGATGGGCTGAGGGCGGGGGTCCCAGCAGCTCCTACCTGCTCGGCGGCTGGACGGGACACTCCCGGGAGACGCCGAGGCGCCAGCCCCGCCCGGACCCCACCCCCTGCACGTGGGCGGTGGCGCTGTCCCGGGTGCTGATCGCGGAGCTCTCCGGGGCGGGGGAGCCGCGGAGCGGAGCAGGATCCCGTGCGCGCGTGTGTGCCCGTGTGCGTGTGCGCGCGTGTGTGGTGTGTATTGTGTGTGCCCGTATTTGGTCTCGGGTAGGCGGAAAGCCCTGCCCCGCCCCTCCTCCCGCCTCCACCCGGGAACCTCGATGACGCCCACAGATGTTTATCCTGGTGCTTTAGCATTTTCTGCCTTCTGGTCCAGTCGTTGGCCGTCCAGACCACTCCACTCCTCCCGCCCCAACACACACGACACACACCCTGTATAGCCCAAAGAACGGCATGCCAGGATACTCAGTCCTAGGACCTAGGAGACCCCAGACCCCCATTGGAGACCCAGACTCTGCAGGGTTCAGCATCAAAGTCCCCAGCTATCAGCCCCCAGACATCGCCCTCTAAGTTCCCCTAACACCAGTCCCAGGAGGCGGCCAGTGCGGTGGCTCATACCTGTAACCTCAGCACTTTGGGAGGCCGAAGCAGGAGGAATGCTTGAGCCCAGGAGCTGGAGACCAGCCTGGGCAACATAGCAAAATCCCGTCTCTACAAAAATGAGCCAGCGTGGTGGTGCGCACTTGTGATGGCAGCTACTCTAGAGGCTGAGGTGGGAAGATCACCTGGGCCCAGGAGGTCAAGGCTGCAGTGAGCCACTGCACTCCAGTCTGGGCAACAGAGCAAGACCATGTCTCAAAAACAAAAACAAAAACAGAACAAAACAACAACAACAACAACAGAGAAGAGTAAAAGAAAAGCTCAGAAGGCAAGTCCCCAAGCACCTAGCTCCAGCGAGCCCTGTCCATACTGCCCAGACCCTGGACACAGACGTCTGGACACTGCCTTCTCTGAGAGACTCAACCACCCAAACCTACATTTTTTCATGTGCAAATGTGTGGGTCCCTCTAGTCCCCTCCTGGACGTTCGCCTCGATCCCTAGATACCAGGAACCCATCCCTACTCCCAATCCAATATTATTTCCAGACCCAGAAATCCATGGGACAACTGTCTCTGGGGAGAACAGTGATTTAATAAATTATGGGATAGAAGGAAAAATACATGTGGATGGTGGGGTGCAGAGAGACCTTGGGCACAGGGACTCCCTCCGACCCCAGATTATAGAAGACTGATTTGGTTTCTGAAGTAAAATCAAGGCAGGATCCTTCCTGCCTTTGGTCCTCAAGTAGCCAGAACTCCAGACCCAAATTCCTTCCTGCCTCAGAATCCAGGCCCCAGCCTGTTTCTTTCTGCATCCTGGAAAGACCTAGGGAATCCAAGCTATCATCCCTCTCCTCCTTCAGGGAACCAGGAATCCAGATCCCCAGCTCCCATAGGACTCATCTGAAGCCCACCAGACCACTCTCTCCTGGGGAAACCAGAGTTTGGGATACCAGCCCCCTCCTCCCACAGCACCCAGGAGTCTGGGAGCCCAGCCCTCTGCTCTTCCAGGAATCTGGGCTCAAGTGGGTGTCCAGAGCTTGAGGATGCCTGGGCTGCCGACCCAGCCCCCTCGTCACTTAGACCTCCAACTTGTGGGCCTGGATGGCGGCCACGTTCTCGTAGATGAGGTTTTCGACATCCTCATACGGGACTTCCTTCTCGGCTGGGGCCTGGGCTGACTGTTGGAGGAACCGCAGGATGCACTGATGCAGGAATACGTACTGAGCCTGGGAAGCAGGCACGGGAGTGAGAGGCGTCCCCCCAGGTCTGAGCTGCGTGGAGCCCCAGGGTCCCTCGTCCCACTGCCTCCCGTCCTGTGTTGCTGAGGGACTGCCTCACCTCAGTCTGCACCATCAACGGCCGACTCTCTCTCATCTTCCTTACAAAGCTGAAGGGCCCAAGGAGACCCTCGGACTGCAGCTGCCGGAGCAGGACGTCCAGGGCAATGAGGGTTCCTGTGCGACCCACGCCAGCACTAGGCAGAACAAGGGAAGGGTCAGACCAAGGGGCAGGAGTGTGAGGGTCCGGGGTCATGGCTGATTGGAGGGATCTGTGTTTGAATGATGACAATAACTATGCCTGCTCACACCTGTAATCCCAGCACTTTGGGAGGCTGAGGCCGGTGGATCACCCAAGGTCAGGAGTTCCAGACCAGCCTGGCCAACCTGGCAAAACCGTCTCTTCTAAAAATGCAAAAATTAGCCGGGTATGGTGGCGCATGCCTGTAATCCCAGCTACTTGGGAGGCTGAGGCGAAGAATCGCTTGAACCCAGGAGGTGGAGGTTGCAGTGAGCCAAGATCACACCACTGCACTCCAGCCTGGGCGACAAGAGCAAAACTCCCATCTCAAAAACAACAACAACAACAACAACAAAACTGCCTGGAGTTCCTTCCATCTGTTAGGCTCTGTTCTAAGTGCCTGATGGGCCTTCTTCACTCCTCCCAAACCTAAGAAGTCGGATGTACTAGCTCCATTGTACAAATGGGGAAATGGAGGCTGAGTGAGGTGAAGTCCCATTCCCCAGGCCACTCAGCTAATAAGTGGCAGAGCCGGGGTTCAAATACAGGAAGAGGAACTCTCCAGCCAATCATTTAGTAATTCCTTTAAACACAAAAATTAGTCTTTTGTTTTGTTTGAGACAGGATCTCTCTCTGTCACGAAGGCTGAAGTGCAGTGGCATGATCTCGGCTCACTGCACCCTTGACCTCCTGGGCTCAAGTGATCCTCCTGTCTCAGCCTCCTGAGTAGCTTGGATCACAGGCATGCACCACTGCATCTGACTAACTTATTAACTTTTTAATAGAGACGGGGTCTTGCCATGTTGCCCAGGCTGGTCTCAAACTCCTGGACTCAAGTGATCCTCCCACCTCAGCCCCCCAAAGTGCTGGGATTACAGGCATGAGCTACTGTGCCCAGTGAAAAAATTAGCTATTTTAGGCTGGGCACAGTGGCTCACGCCTGTAATCCCAGCACTTTGGGAGGCTGAGGTGGGTGGATCACGAGGTCAGGAGATTGAGACCATCCTGGCCAATATGGTGAAACCCCGTCTCTACTAAAGTACCAAAAAAAAAAAAAAATTACCCGGGTGTGGTGGCGGGCGCCTGTAGTCCCAGCTACTCGAGAGGCTGAGGCAAGGGAATCACTTGAACCCGGGAGGCGGAGATTGCAGTGAGCCGAGATCACATCACTGCACTCCCAGCCTGGGCGACAGAGCAAGATTCCGTCCCCCACAAAAATAAATAAATAAATAAATTAGCTATTTTAAGCTGGGCGCACTGGCTCACGCCTGTAATCCCAGCACTTTGGGAGGCTGAAGCAGGCGGATCACCGGAGGTCAGGCGTTGGAGACCAGCCTGGCCAACATGAAGAAACCTCATCTCCACTAAAAATACCAAAATTAGCCAGGCGGGGTGGCAGGCACCTGTATTCCCAGCTACTCAAGAGGCTGAGGCAGGAGAATTGCTTGAACTTGGGAGGTGGAGGTTGCAGTGAGCGGAGATCGCACCGTTGCACTCCAGCCTGGGTGACATAGCGAGACTCTGTCTCCACAAAAAAAAATAGCTATTTGAACGTGAGCAATTTGTCACACTCACAACGCTGTGCAGCCCCCACCTCTATCTACTTGCAAAACACTTTCATCACCCCTAAAGCAGACACCACGCCCATTAGGCCGTCTCTCCCTATTGCCTGTCACCCTCCAGGGCCTGGAAGCTACTAATCTCTTCAGTGTCTCTGTTGCTTTGGCTGATCTAGATATGCTTCTGGATATGCACACTAATGGAATGATGTGATGACATCCACTCAGCTCTAAAATGGGGAGGACATTGCCGGGCACAGTGGTTCACGCCTGTAATCCCAGCACTTTGGGAGGCCGAGGTGGTCGGATCACTTGAGGTTGGGAGTTTGAGACCAGCCTGACCAACATGGAGAAACCCCGTGTCTACTAAAAATACAAAATTAGCCGGGCGTGGTGGCACATGCCTGTAATCCCAGCTACTCAGGAGGCTGAGGCAGGAGAATTGCTTGAACCCAGGAGGCAGAGGTTGCAGTGAGCCGAGATCATGCCACTGCACTCCAGCCTGGGCAACAAGAGCGAAACTCTGCCTCCAAAATAAACAAACAAATAAATAAATAAAATAAAATAAAATAAAATGGGGAGGACACCCTTTTGCCATGAGACTGTCATGAGGAGCAGTAGAACTGTGTAAATGTTCACTGTGACTGAAACCAGAGCCCCAGTCTCAGGGGCTGTTACTCTTCCTCATCTCCCTAATAGTTACCGTTAGGTGAAATCTGACCTACGGGACTTCAGCATAAATATCAGGAAAGGGTCAGGTGCGGTGGCTCACGCCTGTCATCTCAGCACTTTGGGAGGCAGAGGCAGACGGATCACGAGGTCAGGAGTTCGAGACCAGCCTGGCCAACATGGTGAAACCCCATCTCTACTAAAAATACAAAAATTAGCTGGGTGTGGTGGTGAGCAGCTGTAATCCCAGCTACTCGGGAGGCTGAGACAGGAGAATTGCTTGAACTCGGGAGGCAGAGGTTGCAGTGAGCTGAGATTGCGCCATTGCACTCCACCCTGGGCGACAGGGAGAGACTCCATCTCAAATAAAATAAAATAAAATAATAAAATAAAATAAAATAAATAAAATAAAATAAATATCAGGGAAGCAGTTGATGGGGGAGGCCCTGCACTCCAGCACAGGGAAGTGTCTCCAGTGTTTCTCAGAATCTGTGGCCACATCCCCATCCTGTGGCTTCATCCTTTCTCCCTTCTCTTCTGCATTCAACCTTCTCTGCCTTTACCTTTTCATCTTTCTTTTTTTCCTTTTTTTTTTAATCGAGACAGAGTCACCCAGGCTGGAGTGCAGTGGTGCGACCTCAGCTCACTGCAACCTCTGCCTCCCGGGTTCAAGTGATTCTCCTGCCTCAGCCTCCTGAGTAGCTGGGATTACAGGTGCCCGCCACGACACCCGGCTAATTTTTGTATGTTTAGTAGAGACAAGGTTTGTATGTTGGCCAAGCTGTTCTCAGACTCCTGAACTCAAGTGATCCACCCGCCTTGGCCTCCCAAAGTGCTAGGATTTACAGGCATGAGCCACCGCTCCTGGCCTGCCTTTTCATCTTTCGTTCCCATCTTTTCATCCTTATCCCCTTTCTTTTCTTAATCTGCTTCACGCCCCCCTTTATCTTCCACATCCACCTCCTCCTTCTCTCCCTCTTCACCTCCCCTGTACGTTCCCAGGGTCCCGTCTAACACAACTGTCTGAGCCCCAAGGGAGCGGTTCTCTCAAGGGAGAGGGTCCTGGGCTGGTCCCCACCTGCAGTGCACAATGGGTGGGCCTCCCTCCATGGTCTGATCCAGCCACTGCCGAAGCATCCTCCAGAAAGCCAGCAAGGTGTCTGGGGAGGAGGGAACGCCGTGATCCGGCCAGGCCTGGTAGTGGAATTGGCGCACAGACAGTGTCTTCTGCTCCTCCACCTGGAAGGAGGGAGCACTCACAGGCTCTGGAGATGAATGTAGGGAGGACCTGGCTTCTAGCACCAGGAGCGGGTTCCCTGGGGCACACTGCAGCTCCTCAGAGGAGTGGGTGGAAGGTTGGAGTTGGTGGAGGGTCCTGGATGCATGGCATATGTCACAGGGGAAGGCTGAGGGCCAGGACGGGGCTGGACACACGCACCTGGAGGAGCAGCAGTTCCCGCACCGTCCAGTTCTCCATCACTTCCTCACCTACCAGGGTTACCCGCAGGTGCCCATGGGTGCAGGGCTGCGAGTCCAGAGGCCAGTAATGCTCACACTTCACCTGGGGGAGGAGGAGGGGTCAGAGAACACAACTCCTCTTACCCAGGTCTGTGGGGTCTGCTTTAGGCCCCAAATGTGAACCAGCAGATGGGCTGGGGGGAGAGTGGGGAACAGGTCTACACTGAAGACGCCTGGGGTTACCCTGGAGGAATCCGTAAGGTCTGGGTGTGGGGTCTACATTGGATGAGTGTTCGGGGCGGGGTCCTGCACCCAGTCAGCACCCAGGACTCAGATCTCTCACCCGGCCGGCCTCCATGCAGTTGGTCAGCATGACCAGGGTGTGGCTCTGCTGTTCCCACACCAGGCGCCAGAAGTCACCCACTGTCTGTGGCAGGGGACCCTGGGTTGCAATGAACTCCTGGGGGCTCCAGAGACCCTGGTTGAGGAAGGCAGGCGGGTCAGGGGGGCCTTTAGTTGATCCCCGAGCTCTTATCTCTCCAGGCGTGCTGGGCACCCTTTCAATCCCAACCACGACCTTACGGGCATGAAGCTGGCATTGATGTAGTCAGAGCCTGGCTCCTCATGGATGGGCTTCAGGGGCACCCGGGACCAGTCATCTAGGAGAAGAGGCCAGCATTAGCCAGGCAGAGAGACCCAGAGAGGCACAGAGACAAGACCACAGGCAGAGAGACCCAGAGAGGCACAGAGACAAGACCAAGACCCATGGACAAAAGTCATGCCGAGACGCAGGCAGACCTTGGGAGCTACACAGGGACTGAGAGGGGCGGAGGGACCTCAGCTGCAGGGAGCAGGCCAGGAGGACTCTCAAAGGGACCCACAGCCGGGTGCAGTGACTCACACCTGTAATCCCAGAACTTTGGGAGGCTGAGGTGGGTGGATCACCTGAGGTCAGGAATTTAAGACCAGCCTGGCCAACATGGTGAAACCCGGTCGCCATTAAAAATACAAAAATTAGCCAGGCATGGTGGCGGGCGCCTGTAGTCCCAGCTACTAGGGAGGCTGAGGCGGGAGGATTGCTTGAACCCGAGAGGTGGAGGTTGCAGTGAGCGGAGGTGGTGCCACTTCACTCCAGCCTGGGTGACAGCAAGACTCTGTCTCAAAGAAAAAAAAAAGGTGGGGGGCCGGGCGCAGTGGCTCACGCCCGTAATCCCAGCACTTTGGGAGGCCGAGGCGGGCAGATCACAAGGTCAGGAGATCGAGACCATCCTGGCTAACACGGTGAAACCCTGTCTCTACCAAAAATACAAAAAATTAGCCGGGCGAGGTGGCGGGCACCTGTAGTCCCAGCTACTCGGGAGGCTGAGGCAGGAGAATGGCGTGAACCCGGGAGGCGGAGCTTGCAGTGAGCCGAGATCGCGCCACTGCACTCCAGCCTGGGTGACAGAGCGAGACTCCGTCTCAAAAAAAAAAAAAAAAGAAAAAAAGAAAAAAAAAAAAGGAAGAAAAAAAAAAGGAGACCCACGGTAGGGGGCAGGACTTGTTTCTCAAAGCGGGTAGGAGAAGGGGACTGGGGTGGGGTGCCGACTAGATCAGGGCTGGGACAAAAGCAGCAGGAACCCGAGACTCACAGGGCAGCACATTTCTGTAGCGGTTCTTGGCGTTGTTCTCTGAAGCCGAAGCCACCATCTGAGACTGGCTGTGGCCCACCAGGGAGAGTTGCTGGGGATGCAGGGAGAGGGGGTACCTGGTGTTGGATTTTCTCTACTTTCCCTCGGGGGTACCCCCGAGCTCCCCTTGCCTTCTTCGGCATCACCCCTTGTTTATTCGTTGCACCCTGAGATTATATGGCACCCACAAAAACAGAATAGATGTGTGTGCCACCTGCCCTGTGGGGCACTGGGGAGGATTTAGGGAACCATGGGACTTCTTCAGGCAGGCAAGAAAGCAGGTGTCAGGGGAGAAAGGACTCACTGGGTGGGGGCAGAGAGAGTTACTTTAGGACTGACCCACCATTATTTTAAGATTTCAGTGAGTGGAAAGATAACATGGCTGGGAATCTCTGCACAATCCAATGACATATGTGATGCTACTTTTGCTTAATCCCGAAAGCCGTGAGGTCTGGCCAGGGGGTGGGGGGTGGGGGTCTGGGCCACCGGAGGGAGACTGAGCTCAGCCCCTCTGTCCTCTCCCCACCTGGTACTCGTCTGCAAAACCACAGTTGCTGTCCCTCTCATTCTTCCTGACGTGGTCAGCGAAGTCTTCAGCTGGGATGTCCCCTGGGGAGCTACGGGTTTTGGGGGAGCAGGGAGAAAAGACCGTAACTTCTTTTAATCTTGCACTTTTGAGGGCTGGGCATGGTGGCTCACGCCTGTAATCCCAGCACTTTGGGAGGCCGAGGCGGGTGGATCACCTGAGGTCAGGAGTTCGAGACCAGCCTGGCCAACATGGTGAAACCCCATCTCTACTAGAACTACAAAAATTAGCCGGGCGTGGTGTTGCACGCCTGTAGTCCCAACTACTCGGGAGGCTGAGGCAGAAGAATCTCTTGAACCCGTGAGGCAGAGGTTGTGGTGAACCGAGATCGCACCACTGCACTCCAGCCTGGGTGAAAGGGCGAGACTCCGTCTCAAAAAATAAGAAATAAAATAAAATAAAATAAAAAATAATAAACATACTCAGACAGCCCTACACTTACACTTCTCATGCAGACCAGTTTTTTTCTCCTTCCTGTCATCCTATCACCATGGCTTGGAGTCTATATCCACTACTCCAGGGAACACCTTTCTCCAAAATCGTCGTGGCCTCCCTGTCTGTAATTGCAAAGGCCACGTTTCAGCCCCCACCGGCCTGACTGCTCAGCAGCATTTAGCACCACTGCCTGTGCCTGCCTTTTCTCCTGGATCTGCACTGTTCCGGAACACCCAGCCCTGGCTTGGCCCCCACCTACCCAGCTGCTGCTTGTTCATTTCCTGGGCAGGCCCCTCCTCCTCTGTCCGTCTTAAAAGGTAACTGTTCCCCAGTGTCCAACCCCAAGCCACTTTTCTTGCTGGACGCACACTTCTTACAGGGTTTGGCCCATTCCTGTAGTTTCACTTTCTTTCTTTTTCTTTTCCTTTTCCGAGAAAGAGTCTCATCCTGTCGCCCAGGTTGGAGTGCAGTGGTGTGATCTCAGCTCACTGCAACCTCAGCCTCTGGAGCTCAAGTGATTCTCCTGCCTCTGCCTCCTGCGTAGCTGGGATTACAGGTGCCAGCCACCATGCCCGGCTAATTTTTGTATTTTTAGTAGAAACGGGGTTTTGCCATGTTGATCAGGCTGGTCTCGAACTCCTGACCTCAAGTGATCCTCCCGCCTCGGCCTCCCAAAGTGCTGGGATTACAGGCGTGAGCCACCACGCCTGGCCTCTTGTCTGGATTATTACAAATCTCTTCCACATGTTAGACTTCTTCCTAAACATGTTAGACTGTGTCACTAGCCTATTCAAAATCTCCCAAGAACTCTCAGCTCACAATAAATCCAAAGTCCTAACTTTCAACTACAGGCCTGTGCCTGCTGTGGCCCCACTGACGTCTCTCTGACCTCACTTCCCACTGCCCTCCCCTTCCTCACTCTGCTCAGTCGGAGACGCACGATGTTCTCTGAACCTCACGTGTGCTGTTGCCTCAGGCCCTCCACGCGCCCATCCCTGTCCTGGGAGCGCCTTTCCCAGATGCATGCTCGGCTCCTCTCCCACTTGCGTAGGCCTGTACTCAGATGACTTCCTCTTAGTCATCTTGTTAGCAAAGCTTTCCTTGAATATCCTGCCGAAAATATTCCTGCTGGGTGCAGCGGCTCACGCCTGTGATGCAAACACTTTGGGAGGCCGAGGTGGAAGGGCTGCTTGGGGCCAGAAGTTCAAGACCAGCCTGGGCAACCTGGTAAGACCACCCCCCCGACCTCCATCTCTACAAAAAATTAAAAAATTAGCCAGGCATTGTGGTGCGTGCCTGTGGTCCCAGCTACTGGGGAGGCTGAGATGGGAGGGTCACTTGAGCCCAGGAGGTCGAGGCTGCAGTGAGCTATGATTGCGCCACTGCACTCCAGCCTGGGCCACAGAGTGAGACCCTGTCTTGACAAATTAATAAATAAAATAAAATAAAATAAAATAATTCATCTGATTTTCTCTCTAATTTATTCTAATTTTCACATTAGAAGAATATCAAAATAGGCCAGGGGCTGTGGCTCACGCCGGTAATCCCAGCACTCTGGGAGGCCGAGGCAGGTGGATCACAAGGTCAGGAGTTCAAGACCAGCCTGGCCAACATAGTGAAACACTGTCTCTACTAAAAAATACAAAAATTAGCTGGGCGTGGTGGTGCATGCCTGTATTCCCAGCTACTCGGGAGGCTGAGGCAGTAGAATTGCTTGAACCCGGGAGGCGGAGGTTGCGGTGAGCCGAGATCATGCCACTGCACTTCAGCCTGGGTGACAGAGCAAGACTCCACCTCAAAAAAAAAAAAAAAGAATATCACAATATTCCTCTACCCTTCCTATCCCCTCCTTTTGCCTTGTCTCCAAGTTTATTTATATATTTTATATATTATAAATTTATATATTATATATTATATAATTTATATATTATATTATATATAATGTATATTTTATATTGTATAATATATATAATATATAATATATTATATATATAACATATAATATATTATATATTATAAATTTATATATTATATATTATATATATTATAAATTATATATATATATAATTTTTTTTTGAGACAGAGTCTCACTCTGTTGCCCAGGCTGGAGTGCAATGGTGCAATCTCAGCTCACTGCAACCTCTGCTCCCGGGTTCAAGTGATTCTCCTGCCCCAGCCACCTGCGTAGCTGGGATTACAGGCGTGAGCCACCATGCCTGGCCCTGTCTGAAAGTTTATATCATATTTTTTATGATCTTTTTTAATTTTTTATTACTATTATTTTTTTGAGACGGAGTCTCGATCTGTCACCCAGGCTGCAGTGCAGTGGCGTGATCTCAACTCACTGCAAGCTCTACCTCCCAGGTTCACGCCATTCTCCTGCCTCAGCCTCCCAAGTAGCTGGGACTATAGGTGCCCGCCACCAAGCCTGGCTAATTTTTTGTATTTTTTAGTGGAGACAGGGTTTCACCACGTTAGCCAGGATGGTCTTGATCTCCTGACCTTGTGGTCTGCCTGCCTCAGCTTCCCAAAGTGCTGGGATTACAGGCATGAGCCACCGCACCCAGCAATCTTGTTTATTGATATCTCCTGTACTAGAATATAAGCCCCTGGCGGGCAAGAATCTTGGTTTCATTTGCTGTTTGTTTGGCACCTGGAACAGTGCCTGATACATGCTGGTGCTCAGCTGATATCTGCTGAATGAATGAATGTCCGGGAGTTGAGACCAGAACTGAATTCGCTGGCCCAGGCTGCTTGGGGAGTGAGTCACGATGGAAGGGCCGTGGTCCCTGTCGCAGAGGCATGGGCCCCTTCTGAGACCTTTGTGGGTAAATGCATTGATCCACCCTCTGACCTAGCTGGCAGCCAGCAAACACCCCTTGATTTGACCAGATTCTTTCCAATGCACCCCCCAGACCTTCTGCTCACCTAAAGACCAGATCCCTGAGTTCTGGTTTCTGCTGCTTCTTCTTATTCCTGGGAAAAGGACGTTAGGATGAGAGGCTCAGGGGGTGAGGCTGCAACCAGCGGTCCTCCTCCTTCTTCTCCAGCCCCCACCCTCCAGGCGGTCAGCCCTGTGCTGAGTCTCACCTCCTCTTCAGGAAGAAAATCAGCAGGCCCACGAGGATGAGAAACAGGAGGATGCCCACAAAGGCTCCGGCAATGACCCCTGTGGGGAGGAGGCATCGGGAACCCTCAGAGCGCAGGTCTGAGCTGCTCATCTGTCTCCAACCCTGCCCAGCCTTTCCTCTTCCCCAGGAGCCTGGTCCAAAGACAGCTGACCCCCGAACATCACACGGTGTGAATTGCGTCGGTCCAGTTATACTTACGCGCTTACCCATGGATTTTCCTCCACCCCTGAGACAGCAAGACCAGCCCCTCTCCTACCTCCTCCTCCTCCTCCGCCTACTCAACGCGAAGACTACAAGGAGGAAGACCTTTATGATGATCTACTTAATAAATAGCGAGTACATTTTCTCTTCCTTAGGATATTCTTAGTAACATTTTTTTCTTTAGCTACTTGATTATAAGAATACAGCATATAGTACGGCCGGGCGCGGTGGCTTACGCCTGTAATCCCAGCACTTTGGGAGGCGGAGATGGGCACATCACGAGGTCAGGAGATCGAGACCATCCTGGTTAACACGGTGAAACCCCATCTCCACTAAAAATACAAAAAATTAGCAGGGCGTGGTGGTGGGCGCCTGTAGTCCCAGCTACTCGGGAGGCTGAGGCAGGAGAATGGCGTGAACCCGGGAGGTGGAGCTTGCAGTGAGCCCAGATCACACTACTGCACTCCAGCCTGGGTAACAGAGCAAGACTCTGTCTCAAAAACAAACAAACAAACAAAAAGAATACAGTATGTAGTACATATTACAGATGAAATGTATGTTGTTTATGTTATTGGTAAGGCTTCCAATCAAGAGTAGGCTATTAGTAGTTAAGTTTTGGGGGAGTCAAAAGTTATGTGCAGATTTTTTTTTCTTTTTCTTTTTCTGAGACAGAGTCTTGCTCTGTCACCCAGGCTGCAGTGCAGTGGTGCGACCTCGGCTCACTGCAACCTCTGCCTCCCGGGTTCACGCCATTCTCCTGCCTCAGCCTCCTGAGTAGCTGGGACTACCGGTGCCCGCCACCACTCCTGGCTAATTTTTTGTATTTTTAGTAGAGTTGGGGTTTCACCGTGTTAGCCAGGGTGGTCCTGATCTCCTGACCTCGTGATCCACCTGCCTCAGCCTCCCAAAGTGCTGGGATTATAGGCATGAGCCACCATGCCCGGCTGTTATATGCAGATTTTCTACTGTGTAGGGGACAATTGTTCAAGGGTCAACTATCCATCATTTTCACAGGTGACCTGGTTGCTGAAGAGTGACTCCTGGCCAGGCATGGTGGCTCACCCCTGTAATCCCAACACTTTGGGAGGCTGAGGTGGGTGGATCACTTGAGCCCAGGAGTTTGAGACCAGCCTGGGCAACATAACAAAACCCAGTCTCTACTAAAAAAACAAAAGTTAGCTGGGTATGGTGGTGCACACCTGTCATCCCAACTACTCAGGAGGCTGAGCATAAGAGTCACTTGAACCCGGGAGGTGGAGGCTGCAGTGAGCTGAGATTGCACGACTGCACTCCAGACTGGGTGATAGAGTGAGACTCTGTCTCAAAAAAAAAAAAAAGAAAAAGAAAGCAAAACAAAACAAAAAGAACCCCAACAAAATAGCTGGGCATGGTAGTACATGCCTGTAGTCCCAGCTACTCAGGGGACTGAGGCAGGAGGATCACTTGAGCCTGGGAGGTGGAGGCTGTGGTGGGCATGATCGTATCACTGCACTCCAGCCTGGGCAACAGAGTGAGACCCTGTCTCAAAAAAGAACAAAACGAAACAAAACAAAAAAGTGATTCTTGCCTTCCTTAGCTTAGACTAGTGGTTCTCAACAAGGGTGATTTTGCTCCCAAAGAGACACCGGGCAATGTCTGGAGACGCTTTTGGTTGTCACAGCTTGGAAGTGGGAGTGCTGCTGGCACATAGTGGGTGGGAAGCAGAGGTGCAGCTCAATATCCTACAATGCGCAGGACGGCCCCCCCACAACAAAGAAGGATCTAGCCGGAAACGTCTGTAGTGCCGAGGCGGGGGAAACACTTTGCTGGTTGTGAAATCATCCCTGGCATGGACGGCTTCTGTTCTCCCCAGATTGAGGCTTCATCTTCTCAGAGGTCCTGCTGGCTGGGGAAGGACTCCCCGGCAGCGGAGCCTACCCAGATCTGGTGGTGTCTTTTTTTTTTTTCTTGGTTTGTTTTTTGAGACGGAGTTTTGCTCTTCTTGCCCAGGCCGGAGTGCAATGGTGCAATCCCGGCTCACCGCAACCTCCGCCTCCTGGGTTCTAGTGATTCTCTTGCCTCAGCCTCCTGAGTAGTTGGGATGACAGACACGCGCCACCACGCCCAGCTAATTTTTTGTATTTTTAGTAGAGACAGGGTTTCTCCATGTTCGTCAGGCTGGTCTCGAACTCCCAACCACAGGTGATCCTCCCGCCTCGGCCTCCCAAAGTGCTGGGATTACAGGCGTGAGCCACCGCGCCTGGCTGATCTGGTGGTGTCTATGGGTGCTCTCAGGCTCTGATGGCACAGTTCTCCCAAGATCTGTCATTAGATGTCTCGTCTTAGGGTAGGCTCAAGCCTATGGCCCATCTTCATCAGCCTTGAAGGCCCCCAAGCTGCAGCTTCTCAGCAATCCTGGGAAGAGTGTGTTTGTTGACAGGGAACTGAAGGGTCTTACAACCTGTACGGGAGACTTGGCCTCACAGAATGGACTTGGCCTCACAGAATTGGACTAGAGGACCTGTTCTCTCAGGGATCCTTGTTACTAAGGGAGAGAACTTTCTAAGCAATGGGGTCTGGCAAAGCCCAGTTCAAACAGCATCCACTGGTCACCACATCAACCCTCAGTCTCTCTCCAGATTGGAGACCCAATCTCATAAGAAACCCTATTCCTAGGAAGTGATTGATGGGGCAAAGTGAAGCTTATGGCCATGGTCTTGGTACATGGCCAGGTCTTTCCAAAGCTTAAGCTCCAAAGTTTTTCAGGTACCCCATTGATTACTGCAAGATGATACAACCACATTAGGAAAAATAAAACCCGGGGTGGGGGGTAGTTAAATGTATAGTTCCCATGTGATCCCTCAGTTCCACTACTGGGTATAGACCCAAGAGAAATAAAAACATACGTCCACACAAAACCTATCCACAAACGTTCCTAGCGGCATTACCCATAATGGTCAAAAGTGGAACTACTCAACTGACCCATCAACTGGATCAATGAATGGATAAAAATGAATGGGTAGGCCAGGTGCGGTGGCTCACACCTGTAATCCCAACACTTTGGGAGGAGGAGCCAGGAGGATTACTTCAGGTCAGGAGTTCGAGACCAGTCTGTCCAACATGGCAAAACCCCATCTCTACTAAAAAAATTTAAAAATTAGCTGGGCATGGTGGCTCATGCCTGTAATCCCTGCACTTCAGGAGGCCGAGGCGGGTGGATCACCGGAGGTCAGGAGTTTGAGACCAGCCTGGCCAACATAGCAAAACCCCATCTCTATTAAAAGTATAAAAGTTAGCTGGGCGTGGTAGGAGGCGCCTATAATCCCAGCTACTCAGGAGGCTGAGGCAGGAGAATCGCTTGAACCCGGGAGGTGGAGGTTGCAGTGAGCCGAGATTGCACCACTGCACTCCAGCCTGGGCGACAAGAGTGAAACTCCGCCTCAAAAAATAAAAAATAAAAAATAAAAAGTTAGCCAAGCATGGTGGCACATGCCTGTGATCCCAGATACTTGGGTGGCTGAGGCACAAGAATTGCTTGAACCCTGGTAGCAGAGGTTGCAGTGAGCAGAGATCATGCCACTGCACTCCAGCCTGGGTGACAGAGTGAGTCTCAAAACAAAAACAAAAACAAAAAAACAAATTATGCTCAGTGAAAGTGGCCAGTCACAAAGAAACACATAATGTATGATTGCATTTTTTTTGTTTTTGAAACAGGGTCTCGTTCCTTCACCCAGGCTGGAGTGCAGTGGCCCCGATCATAGTTCACTGCAGTCTCAACCTCCTGGGCTCAAGTGATCCTTCTGACTCAGCCTCCTGAGTAGCTAGGACTACAGACACACACCACCACAGCTGGCTAATTTTTTAAAATGTAGAGATGGGGTCTCACTCTGTTGCCCAGACTGGTCTCGAACTCCTGAGCTCAAGTGATCCTTCCACCTCAGCCTCCCAAAGTGCTGGGATTCCAGGCATGAGCCACTGTGCCCACTCTATGATTGCATTTTAATGAAACGTCCCAGAGAGGCAAATCTATAGAGATTGAAAGTGGATGAGAGATTTCCGAGGGCTGGGGGCTGGGGAATGGGAGAACTAGGGGGTGGTGGCTCAGCGGGGTGAGCTTTCTGTTGGGGGTAATGAAAATGTTCTAAAATTGATAGTGATGATGGTTGCACAATGTTGTGAATATAAGAAGAGTCACTGAATTGTAACTTTAAGTGGTGAGTTGTGGATGGCGCGGTGGCCCACACCTGTAATCCCAGCACTTTGGGAGCCTGAGGCAGGCAGATCACCTGAGGTCAGGAGTTCGAGACCAGCCTGGCCGACATGGTGAAACTCCATCTCTACTAAAAATCCAAAAATTAGCCGGGCGTGGTGGCACGTGCCTGTAGTCCCAGCTACTCAGGAGGCTGAGGCAGGAGAATCACTTGAACCCGGGAGGCAGAGGTTGCAATGAGCCAAGATCGTGCCACTGCACTCCAGCCTGGACAAGAAGAGCAAAACTCCATCTCAAAATACAAAATAAAAAAGATGTTTCAAAGGAAATGAGAAACAAAAGAGTCCCACTGATTTCCTCACAATGGGGCCTGATGGGGTCTACCGAGAATTTCATCATAGCTGGCTGGCCCGCGCGGCTCCGCTCACCTGCACTCTCGGTGTGGCAGACCACAGAGTGAGACACGACCTTCATTCCGTCCCAGATGGTCGTGATGGTGGCTGGGTAGGACCGAGCCGGCCCGAGACCCAACACAGACACAGCCTCCCCACATGAAGATCTGTCCTGGGAGCCCCGCTGTCCTCCCACCTCCAACTCAAAGGCCTCGTAGCCTCCCTGGGGGCAGGACCAGATCAAGTTGACTCCATAGCCCGCTGAGGTGCTGACACAGGAAGTGATGGTGACTGTGTCTGGGTCTGGGTGAAGGAAGCAAGAGGTCAGCAGTGCCATCCAAGGTGGCTTTCCACCCCCTCCACCCCTACCCCCAGTTTTCTGAGACGAGCCCATCCCTTCCTCGCCAAATCCAAACTACCTCATCTTCCCTCCTTTTCTGTCCTCCCCGAATGGACACAAATAAGTCCTTTTAAACTACAACTCCCATGAGGCCTTGGGCTCCTCCATCACTGCAGCTCATGAAGTCATGGCCTGTGGCCTGATGGAATTTGTATTCCATTCATCTCTCAGCTCGCAAGGACTGTGAGCTAAGCCCAGTTCACCACTTGAAGGCAGGAAGGGGATTCTCACATGTGGACGCACAGAGGCTCTGCGTGGAACTGGCTACGTCATTCCTCTCTGCCCACACGGTGAAATTGTACAACGTCCCGGGTTCCAGGGCCTCCACTTTGTACCACGTCTCATTGGTCCTGCTGGTCTGGTTGACCCAATTCGCTTGGGGATCTTGCCCCCTCCGGGGATGTCCCTTGCTGGCCCACTGGACCCAGTATACGTACAACTGAGAGTGGGGGTCTCCAGGGGCCTTCCACCACAGCATGACTGAGTTCTTAGTCTGAGTTTCATTCTGGAGATCTGTGACCTCATTGGGAGCTGAGAAGTGAGAACAGAGGCCTAAGGGGGTATCCTCGAAGACCCTCCTACCCCAGCCTGTCTGCCTCTCCCCCACAGCAAAGCTGAGATATCCATTATTGATGGCTCCAGTGGCTAAGGAGGCTGAACCACAGGAAAGAGTCTAGATACCCAAAGACCATGGGGACCAGAATCTCCTAGCCCTCTCCGTCCCCTGGCTACAGCCCTGGGTCCCACCCTGTCATCTTTCTGTTCTTCCCAAATGCACACCAATTCCACCTACTGAAACTACAGTTCCCATGAGGCTATGGATTCTCTGTATCGCTTCAGCTTATGAAGTCATGGCCCCATGGTGTGATGGGATTTGTAGTCCTCCACCTCTCATGGCCCTCGAGATCTGATCTCTGTATTTTCTTTCCCACAGGAACCCCAGGTAGGGTGTCTTCTCACTCTAGACACACCACGTTTGTAGAGGGAGCTGATAAATTTCATCTTTTTAGCCCAAATGACCAAGGATTAAAGAGTTCCAGGTTCAGGCCAGGCATAGTGGCTCACTCCTGTAATCTCAGTGCTTTGGGAGGCCGAGGCGGGAGGATCACTTGAGCCCAAGAATTCGACACCAGCTTGGGCAACATAAGGAGACCCTCTCTCTACAAAAAATATTTTTTTAAATGAGCTGGGCATGGTGGCGCATGTTTGTGGTCCCAGCTACTCAGGAGGCTGAGGTGGGAGAATCAGTTGAGCCCAGGAGGTCGAGGCTGCAGTAACCATGATCACACTACTGCACTCCAGCCTGGGCAACAGAGCAAGACCCTGTCACACACACAAAAAAGAATGAACCTAGTCTCCAGAGTGATTTTGATTTTTCTCATGAGTGGGACCCACCGTGCCTAGGCTGAGAGGTGGGGCCCTCTCGCTTCATCTAATTCCCTGGGACCAGCTGTTGGCTATTGTCCAGCTGGTGACTTTGTCAGCTCCTGAGAGGTGGTGCTGGACAATTGAGGGCTCCCCCTGACCCCAAAGAGTCCATTTCCCAAAGGGAGAAAAAACAGGTCCCACAGCTTGGAAAGCCCTGTCTGCTAAGAAACGACACCCACTAGGAACGGGACCTACAGGTTTAAGCTCCGGCCGGTGAGGCTGGAGAGGCCCATGGGTACTCTTCATCTCCCAAGGAGCTCCCAAAGTCCTTTCATCTTTTTCCTTCCCCCATCCTAATAGGGCTGGGTTCAGAACCGACTGTGTCTCACCAGTGGCTGCAGTGAGGGTGCTGTTATAGCCTCTGACCTCATTCCTCTCGGCCCAGACGGTGAGGTGGTACAGGCTGCCAGCTTCCAGTTCCTTTAGGGTGATGTCAGTACCTGAGGTGCTTTGGGTCCTGGGGTCAGTCATGCCTTCCCTGACCCATGAGACCCAGTAGCTGTAGGAAGACTGGCCTGGGCCCTGGGGAGCTGTCCAGCGCAAAGCAATGGTGCTGTTGGTCCAGTCCTGCTTGCTGAGGCTTGTCACTGCGTTGGGGACTGGGAGAGGGAGCAGA
Organism: Homo sapiens; assembly: GCF_000001405.40. Taxonomy (NCBI): domain Eukaryota; kingdom Metazoa; phylum Chordata; class Mammalia; order Primates; family Hominidae; genus Homo; species Homo sapiens. Next base: position 55,198,930 of record NC_000019.10, read on the forward strand.
GTCAGGATTTCCACATCCCCTAGTCCTCAAGAGTCCAGAACACAGTGATACGCCCTGTCCTTGTGCAGCCCAGCTCATCCAGAAACACTTCCTGGCAGGGCACAGTGGCTCAGGCCTGTAATCCCAGCATTTTGGGAAGCTAAACCGGGAGGGTTGCCTGAGCCTGGGAATTTGATACCAGCCTGAGCAAAATAGTGAGACCCTATCGCTACTAAAAATTAAAACAAATTAGCTGGGCATAGTAGCACATGCCTGTAGTCCCAGCTACTAGGGAGGCTGAGGTGGGAGGATCGCTTGAGCTTGGGAGGTTCAGTCTGCAGTGAGCTATGATTGTGCCTCTGCACTCCAGCCTGGGAGACAGAGCAGGACCGTCTCAAAAGAAAGAAAGAGAGAGAGAGGCCGGGCGCAGTGGCTCACGCCTGTAATCCCAACACTTCGGGAGGCCAAGGTGGGTGACTTGAGGCCAGGAGTTCAAGGCAAGCTTGGGCAACATGGCAAAACCCTGTCTCTACTAAAAATACACAGATTAGCTGGGTGTGGTGGTGCGTGCCTGTTGTCACAGCTACTTGGAAGGCAGAGGCAGGAGAATTGCTTGAGCCCAGGAGGCAGAGGCTGCAGTGAGCTGAGATTGTGCTATTGCACTCCAGCCTGAGTGACAAAGGAAAACTCTGTCTCAAGAAAGAAGAAAGAAAAGAAGGAAAGAAAGAAAAGAAAGAAGGAAGGAAGGAAAAGAAAGAAAGAGAAAAGAGAAAGAAAGAGAGAAAGGAAGGGAGGGAGGAGGGGAGGGAGAAAGGAAGGAAGGAGGGAAGGAAAGAGAAGGAAAGAAAGAGAAAGAGAAAGAAAGAAAGAGAGAGAGACAGAAAAAAAGAAAGAAAGAAGGAAAGAAAGAGAAAGAGAGAAAGGAAGGAACAAGGAGGGAAGGGAGGAAGGAAGGCTTTAAAGGAAGGAAAGAGAAGGAAAGAAAGAGAGAAAGGAAGGAAAGAAAGAAAGGAAAGAGAGAAAGCGAGAAAGGAAGGAAGAAAGGAAGGAAAGGGAAGGAAGGAAGGGGAAGGGAAGGAGAAAGAAAGAAAGAAAAGGCCTGTGTCCCCACAGCCCCACACTCAGCGGGAGAAGTCTGGATGGGCTCTCTTCTTCCTCAGGGCAGAGCCAGCCCCCAGCTGTGATTACATCTGTCCTGTGGACTTGGAGAGGCAGATGTCTGCAGAGCCTACGGACTACAGAGCCAGAGCCCAGAAGAGGTGCCACGCCGCTCCTGCTGGTTCTTAACCTCTCACCAAAACAGGGAGTGGCCGTTGAGGGTTCCTACCTGTGGAGATGCTGACATTCTGCCTGGAGCCACGTGCTCCATTTTTTTCTGCCCATACAGAGAATGTGTACAAGGTTCCGGGCTCAAGTCTCTCAGCTGTCACACTGGTATTTGTTGTGTTTCGGGTCTCTGTGCCACCACCGTCTCCAGTGTACTCTACCCAGTAGGTGTAGTCCTGAGGGTATGGGCCATCGGGGACTTCCCAGCATAGGGCGATGGAGCTGTTGGTCTGAGTCTCCATATGGAGGTTTCTCACTGGGTTGGGGGCTGAGAAAGTAGGAAGAAGATCCTATGTTGTCGGAGATACAGAACAGAACGGGGCAGGAGTGGGCCCCTCACTGCCCTCAACCATCTTAGCTCTTGTTCAACTGCTGGTGCCAGCAGATGCAGGGTGTATGTTCTAGACCGTGTTTCTCAGACTAATGTGCCGGGCGTGGTGGCTCACGCCTGTAATCCCAGCACTTCGGGAGGCTGAGGCAAGGGGATCACCTGAGGTCAGGAGATTGAGACCATCCTGGCTAACACGGTGAAACCTGTCTCTACTAAAAATACAAAAAATTAGCCGGGCGTGGTGGCTGGTGCCTGTAGTCCCAGCTACTCGGGAGGCTGAGGCAGGAGAATGGCGTGAACCCGGGAGGCGGAGCTTGCAGTGAGCCGAGATCGCGCCACTGCACTCCAGCCTGGGCGACACAGCGAGACTCCGTCTCAAAACAAACAAAAAAAACAAACAAAAAAAACAAAATAAAAATCTCCAATGGAATAGCATTAAGAGGTAGGGCCCTTGCAAGATTAGGTCATAAAGGTGAAGCCTTTATGCCTGGGGTTACTGCCTAAGAGAGGCCCAATGGCCCAGCACAGTTTCACATTTCATGTGAGATTACATGCCTGTAATCTCAGCAATTTGTGGGGCTGAGGTAGGGAGATTGCTTGAGGCCAGGAGTTAGAGACCAGCCTGGACCACACAGCAAGACCTCATCTCTAAAAAAAATAAATTAGTCAGGCATGGTGGCCCACGCCTGTAGTCCCTGCTACTTGGGAGGCTGAGGTCGGCGGATTGCTTCAGCCCAGGAATTTGAGGCTGCAGCGAGCTACGATCCTGCCACTGCACTCCAGCCTGGATGACAAAGCGAGACTCCAGCTCTAAAAAAAAGAAAAAAATAAGAGAGACTCAAGGGAGCTTTGTGTGGTGATGAAGACAGTCTCTCACTTTCCAATATGGTAGGCATTAGCACCGTGGAGGATGAAGGGGGGACTGGGAGCCCCTCAACAGGCCTTTTGAGCACATGAAATGTGAAACTGAATTTGCAGTTTCATGCAACTTTAATGAGTTTAAATTTAATAGCCACGTGTGGCTAGTGGCTACCATATTGGACAATGGAGGTGTAGACACAGGGAGCTGTCCACATCAGGGTCATGGAGCTGATGATCTGAGTTTCCATCCTCAATATGTGACACAGTTGGGAACTAGAAGAAGAGTCAGAGGGTCAGAGTGTCCCCACTCACAGTATCTAATTCCTTGAAAGCTCAGGTAACATGCCTTGGCCCCTACACATTCCTCTTGGTGCAGGAAGGTGCCCCTTGGCATTATGGTCCACATTCTAGAGAGTCCTAGACACAGACTGGCCCCAACTTAGCAGCTGGAGGTACCATGGACATTCATTCCTTCTTCATCTCCTGAGCTGAGACTGCCCCAGGATGTGGACATGAGTACCTGGCTCAATATGGCCCAGAGGGACTATGGAATAGACAATCGTCTACATTCTACTGCTTACTGTCCCTTAAACAAATAAGAGATCAAACAAATGGCGACTGCCTCTCACCTGTGGTGGCATTTCGAGTCTCCCGGGAGCTGTTGATTCCATTCTTCCCCACCCACACGGAAAACACATACAAACACCCGGGTTCAAGTCTATCCACGGTGATGTTGGTGTGTGCTGTGCTTCGAGTCCCTGCTCTGCCACCATCTCCAGTGTACTCAACCCCGTAGGTGGAGTTCTGTGGGTCTGGGCCATCGGGGACCTCCCAGGTCAGGGCGATGGAGCTGTTGGTCTGAGCCTCCACTGTCAGGTTTCTCACTGGGTTGGGAGCTGAAAACCAGCACAGGAGGGAAAATCAGTTGTAGTTTCTGGCCCTCAAACTTTCCAGCCCTTCCTTAACCATTGCATCCAGCAGGTGGAGGCAGGGAGGCCCAGTTCTGCACTGTCCAGTGTGGCAGCCACGAGTTCCACGTGAGTGTTGAGCACCGTGAGGTGGCTTTTGTGAAATGAGATGAGCCGTTAGTGTAAGATCCACACCGGCTTTCGAAGAGTTCGTATGAAATTAAGAATTAAGAATGTCAACTATCTGATTGATCCTATACACACACACACACACACATATATATACACATACACATATATATACACACACATATATATACATACACATATATATATATATTTTGTGGGTATATACTCAGTGTGTATATTTAATGATCCTTTCCTTATATTGATTACATGTCAAAATGATAATATTTTGTATCTGCCAGGCGCAGTGGCTCACACCTGTAATCCCAGCACTTTGGGAGGCTGAGGTAGGCGGATCACCTGAGGTCAGGAGCTCAAGACCAGCCTGGCCAACATGGCGAAACCCCGTCTCTACTAAAAATACAAAAGTTAGCCAGGTATGGTGGCATATGCCTGTAGTCCCAGCTACTCAGGAGGCTGAGGCAGGAGAATACTTGAACCCAGGAGGTGGAGGTTGCAGTGAGTCAAGATCATGCCACTACATTTCAGCCTGGGAGACAGAGACTCTGTCCCAAAAAAAAAAAAGGGCTGGGCACGGTGGCTCACGCCTGTAATCCCAGCACTTTGGGAGGCCAAGGCGGGTGGATCACAAGGTCAGGAGATCGAGACCATCCTGGCTAACACGGTGAAACCCGTCTCTACTAAAAATACAAAAAATTAGCCAGGTGTGGCGGTGTGCGCCTGTAGTCCCAGCTACTCGGGAGGCTGAGGCAGGAGGATGGCCTGAACCCGGGAGGCAGAGCTTGCAGTGAGCCAAGATTGCGCCACTGCACTCCAGCCTGGGCGACAGAGGGAGACTCTGTCTCAAAAAAAAAAAAAAAAAAATTGTATCTGATGGGCTACATAAAATATCTCATAGTAATTTAGTTTCTTTCTTTCCTTCCTTCCTTCCTTCCTTCCTTCTTTCTTTTTTGAGACAGGGTTTCTCTCTGTTGCCCAGGCTGGAGTGCAGCAGTCCAATCAGAGCTCACTGCAACCTCTGCCTCCCGGGCTCAAGCGATCCTCTCACCTCAGCCTCCCGAGTAGGTGGGACCACGGGAACACGCCACCACAGCTACTTTTTTATTTTTTTTGTAGAGACAGGCTGACCAGTTTCTTTGTACTTATTTTTATGTGGCTGATAGAAAATTGAAATTCTCACCTGTGGCTTCCACTGTGTTTCTATTGGACTAAAGAACCTGTCACATTTTGTCAGCTCCCAACCACCCCCTACCACTGTCCTTATAAAAGAAATAAAAATAAAACAGCGGCTGCCTCTTACCTGTGGCACTAGTGACAATCTCCACAGAGCTATTTACTCCGTCTTTCTCCACCCACACAGAACACGTATACAATGACCCGGGTCCAAGGCCATCCACGGTGACTCTGGTGTCTGTTGTGTTTCGAGTCTCTGTTCTGCCACCATCTCCAGTGCACTGAACGCAGTAGGTCGAGTTCTGTGGGTCTGTGCCATCGGGGACCTCCCAGCTCAGGGAGATGGAGCTGGTGGTCTGAGCCTCCACTCTCAGGTTCCTCACTGGGTTGTGAGCTGAGAAATTAGGAAGAAAGATCTAATATGAGCAGGACTACAGAACATAACGGGGGCAGCCAGTGAGCTTTTTGTTTGTTTGTTTTTTCGAGACAGAGTCTCTGTCTGTCATCCAGGCTGGAGTGCAGTGGCACGATCTCGGCTCACCACAGCCTCCGCCGTCCGGGTTCAAGCGATTCTCCTGCCTCAGCCTCCCGAGTAGGTGGGACTACAGGTCTGCACCACCACACCCGGCTTATTTTTATATTTTTTCACCATGCTGGCCAGGCTGGTCTCGAACTCCTGACCTCAGGTGATCCTCCCACCTCGGCCTCCCAAAGTGCTGGGACTACAGGCGTGAGGCAACATGCCTGGCCAAGTGGGCATTTTTGATCATCAGAGTTCCTAGTTGTCCCTCAACAGCTGGTGCCAGTAGATGCAGAGTTTATGGTCTAGACCAGGGCTTCTCATTCTTTGCTGTGTGCACATCTCACAGGGGACCTTGTGAAATGCAGGTTCTCACTCAGCAGGGCTAGGATGGAGCTGAGAGACTGCACTCCCCCCCACCCTTTTTCTCCCCCACCAGTGTCACTTGCCAATGTATTTCCATCAGCTCTCAGAGACCCGGATGCTGCCCACACATGGACCACACTTTGAGTAACAAAGACCTGAGCCAGCGCTTTCCAACTGAGCTTCTGCAACGATGGAAATGCTCTCCCACCTTCCAGTATGGTAGGAGAACAGAGAAGGAAATGGAAGCCCTTCAACAGGGCTTTCAAACATATGAAATGTGAAACTGAATTTGCAGTTTCATGCAACTTTAACGAGCTTAAATTTAATAGCCATGTGTGGCTGGTGGCTACCATATCGGACAATGGAGATCTAGCCAGAGGGAGCTCTCCACATCAGGATCATGGAGCTGATGATCTGAGTTTCCATCCTCAATATGTGACGCAGCTGGGGACTAGAAGAAGAGTCAGAGGGTCAGAGTGTCCCCACTCACAGTATCTAATTCCTTGAAAGCTCAGGTAACATGCCTTGGCCCCTACACATTCCTCTTGGTGCAGGAAGGTACATTCTAGAGAGTCCTAGACACAGACCGGCCCCAGCTTAGCAGCTGGAGGTACCATGGACATTCATTCCTTCTTCATCTCCTGAGCTGAGACTGCCCCAGGATGTGGACATGAGTACCTGGCTCAATGTGGCCCAGAGGGACTATGGAATAGAAATCCGCTACGTTCTCCTGCCTACTGCCCCTTAAACAAGTAAGAGCAAAACAAATGGCGACTGCCTCTCACCTGTGGTGGCATTTCGAGTCTCCCGGGAGCTGTTGATTCCATTCTTTCCCACCCACATGGAAAACGCATACAAACACCCGGGTTCAAGTCCATCCACGGTGATGTTAGTGTGTGCTGTGCTTCGAGTCCCTGCTCTGCCACCATCTCCAGTGTACTCAACCCCGTAGGTGGAGTTCTGTGGGTCTGGGCCGTCGGGGACCTCCCAGGTCAGGGCGATGGAGCTGTTGGTCTGAGCCTCCACTCTCAGGTTCCTCACTGGGTTGGGAGCTGAAAACCAGCACAGGAGGGAAAATCAGTTGTAGTTTCTGGCCCTCAAACTTTCCAGCCCTTCCTTAACCGTTGCATCCAGCAGGTAGAGGCAGGGAGGCCCAGCTCTGCACTGTCCAGTGTGGCAGCCACGAGTTCCACGTGAGTGTTGAGCACCGTGAGGTGGCTTTTGTGAAATGAGATGAGCCGTTAGTGGAAGATCCACACCGGCTTTCGAAGAGTTCGTATGAAATTAAGAATGTCAACTGTCTCATTGATCCTTTATATATATTTGTGTGTGTGTGAGTATATACTTGGTGTATATATTGAATGATCGTTTTTATATTGATTACAAGTCAAAATGAAAATACCTTGTATCTGCCAGGTGCAGTGGCTCACACCTGTAATCCCCGCACTTTGGGAGGCCGAGGCAGGCGGATCACCTGAGGTCAGGAGTTCGAGACCAGCCTGGCCAACATGGCGAAACCCAGTCTCTACTAAAAATACAAAAGTTAGTTGGGCATGGTGGCACATGCCTGTAGTCTCTGCTACTCGGGAGGCTGAGGCAGGAGAATCACTTGAACCCAGGAGGCAAAGGTTGCAGTGAACCAAGATCATGCCACTGCACTCCAACCTGGGCGACAGAGCAAGACTCTGCCTCAAAAAAAAAAAAAATTGTATCTGATGGACTACATAAAATCTCTCATAGTAATTTAGTTTGTTTTTCTTTTCTTTTGTTTTCTTTTGTTTTCTTTTCTTTTTTTTTTTTTGAGACAGGGTTTCTCTCTGTTGCCCAGGCTGGAGTGCAGCGGTCCAATCAGAGCTCACTGCAACCTCTGCCTCCCGGGCTCAAGCGATCCTCTCACCTCAGCCTCCCGAGTAGATGGGACCACGGGAACACGCCACCACAGCTACTTTTTAATTTTTTTGTAGAGACAGGCTGACCAGTTTCTTTTTACTTATTTTTATGTGGCTGATAGAAAATTGAAATTCTCACGTGTGGCTTCCACTGTGTTTCTATCCAACTAAAGAACCTGTCGCATTTTGTCAGCTCTCAACCACCCCCTACCACTGTCCTTATAAAAGAAATAAAAATAAAGCAGTGGCTGCCTCTTACCTGTGGCAGTAGTGACAGTCCCCACAGAGCTATTTACTCCGTCTTTCTCCACCCACACAGAACACGTATACAATGACCCGGGTCCAAGGCCATCCACGGTGACGTTGGTGGCTGTTGTGTTTCGAGTCTCTGTTGTGCCGCCGTCTCCAGTACACTGAACCCAGTAGTTGGAGTTCTGTGAGTCTAGGCCATCGGGGACCTCCCAGCTCAGGGAGATGGAGCTGGTGGTCTGAGTCTCCACTGTCAGGTTCCTCCCTGGGTTGGGGGCTGAGAATTGGGAAGGAAGGTCTGACAAAAAGGGAACCAGGTCAGTACAATCCCTCCCAACCCCTGAGCTCACGCCCCAAGTCCAGAAACAACGGCGCTCATAAACCCCTACCATGGACCACTGGACCCCACGGGGACCCCCCAGAGGCTCACGGCAGTTGCGGTCCCACCTCTTCGAGTGGGCAGTGAGTTCAGGCAGGGGTCACTCACCAGGCGCCCTGGCCCCTGTCCAGCTGCACAGGCCCTGGAGGGAACCCAGAGAAAACGGAGTCAGCCTCTCAACCACTCCTCCGCCCAGTGAGGCCGAGGGGCTGGGAGGAGCGGCTGGTCCCCGCCCCATGAGTCACCCTTGCATGGGAAGGAGGGGCCGGTGTTAGGCTGGGCTGTCACGACCTCGACCGTCTTTCCTGGGTCGAGGAGAGAAGGGGGAGCATGGCAGGAGCAGAGCTTAGGGAGCTGGGGTTGGCTCCACCCGATAAGGCTGAGAGATAAAATTAATGATTTCATTTCCTGAAATATATGTCCTTGGAAAACCGAGGGCAGAGAGCAATGAACAGACTGGGAAGGGAGAAAAAAACCAAGGTTGGGGATCAGGAACCTTGGCCTGAGGGTGGAGGGCCTGGGGGCCTGGGGGCCTGGGTCTGAGGGAGGAGGGGCTGGGGGTCTCGACCTCTGGTTTGAGGGAGGAGAGGTTGGGGGCCTGGACTCCTGAGTCTGAGGGAGGAGGGGCTGGGGTCTGGACTCCTGGGTCTGAGGGAGGAGGGGCTGGGGGTCTCGACCTCTGGTTTGAGGGAGGAGAGGTTGGGGGCCTGGACTCCTGAGTCTGAGGGAGGAGGGGCTGGGGGTCTGGATTCCTGGGTCTGAGGGAGGAGGGGCTGGGGGTCTCGACCTCTGGTTTGAGGGAGGAGAGGTTGGGGGCCTGGACTCCTGAGTCTGAGGGAGGAGGGGCTGGGGTCTGGACTCCTGGGTCTGAGGGAGTAGGGGCTGGGGGTCTGGATTCCTGGGTCTGAGGGAGGAGGGGCTGGGGGTCTGGACTCCTGGGTCTGAGGGAGGAGGGGCTGGGGGTCTCGACCTCTGGTTTGAGGGAGGAGAGGTTGGGGGCCTGGACTCCTGAGTCTGAGGGAGGAGGGGCTGGGGTCTGGACTCCTGGGTCTGAGGGAGGAGGGCCTGGGGGCCTGGGGGCCTGGGTCTGAGGGAGGAGGGGCTGGGGGTCTCGACCTCTGGTTTGAGGGAGGAGAGGTTGGGGGCCTGGACTCCTGAGTCTGAGGGAGGAGGGGCTGGGGTCTGGACTCCTGGGTCTGAGGGAGGAGGGGCTGGGGGTCTGGATTCCTGGGTCTGAGGGAGGAGGGGCTGGGGGTCTGGACTCCTGGGTCTGAGGGAGGAGGGGCTGGGGGTCTCGACCTCTGGTTTGAGGGAGGAGAGGTTGGGGGCCTGGACTCCTGAGTCTGAGGGAGGAGGGGCTGGGGTCTGGACTCCTGGGTCTGAGGGAGGAGGGGCTGGGGGTCTGGACTCCTGGGCCTGAAGGAGGAGGGACTGGGGGTCTGGACCCCTGAGTCTGAGGGAAGAGGGGCTGGGGGTCTGGACTCCTGAGTCTGAGGGAGGAGGGGTTGGGGGCCTGGACTCTTGGTTTGAGGGAGGAAGGGCTGGGGGCCTGGACTCCCGGGTCTGAGGGAGGAGGGGCTGGGGTCTGGACTCCTGGGTCTGAGGGAGGAGGGGCTGGGGGCCTGGACTCCTGAGTCTGAGGGAGGAGGGGCTGGGGTCTGGACTCCTGGGTCTGAGGGAGGAGGGGCTGGGGGTCTGGACTCCTGGGCCTGAAGGAGGAGGGACTGGGGGTCTGGACCCCTGAGTCTGAGGGAAGAGGGGCTGGGGGTCTGGACTCCTGAGTCTGAGGGAGGAGGGGTTGGGGGCCTGGACTCTTGGTTTGAGGGAGGAAGGGCTGGGGGCCTGGACTCCCGGGTCTGAGGGAGGAGGGGCTGGGGTCTGGACTCCTGGGTCTGAGGGAGGAGGGGCTGGGGGCCTGGACTCCTGGGTCTGAGGGAGGAGGGGCTGGGGTCTGGACTCTTGGTTTGAGGGAGGAGGGGCTGCTTCCTGTCCGTGAGCACAGCTGTGTGTTGCCTGAAGCCAGTGTCCCCCGCAGCAGACACGACAGTGTCTAAGGGCCCGGGTGAAGCTGGTGTCCCCCACAACAGACACGACAATGTCTAAGGGCCCGGGTGAAGCTGGTGTCCCCCGCAGCAGACACGACAGTATCTAAGAGCCCAGGTGTAAGACTCTCCTACAGTCTCTGCCAAGCCTGAAGCCCTCTTCCTTCTCCAGGGGATCTTCAGCACCTACTTCCTCAAGATCGAGGTGCAGGCACCCAGCTCCTTCTCCCTCAGACCTGGGAGTCCCTGCCTTGGGAGCCCGCTCTGGGCGGGGAGCACTTACCAGCAGCACCAGGTTCCCCCAGACCCCGAGGCCCCCGCCAGCCCCAGCCATGCCTCCAGACACTGCCGGGGACCCAGGAGTCCCAGGCCTAGTCCTTCCACCTGCTGGACTTTACACTCAAGAATTTCCCCTTTACCAGATCATTGGTGAAGCCAGAGGCCAGGGCGGGAAGGGGAGGAGGAGGAAGTGGAACCCAGCTCCCAACCCTGCCCCGCTGGCCCTCACCTTCCTCCCTCACCGCTGCCTCTAGCTCTGACACTGGAGATGCCTCCCATCCTTTCTCCAGCCCCCAGCCCACTCCACTTTGTCCCCCGAAATCTCCCTCTGCACCCCAGGTACCGGGTGCCGCGCCCCACTGCTGCACGGATGCGGGACGTGGGGCAGAGGATGAGAGCAGGGGGTGCTGAGAGAAAGGCCAGCTGACTCCCTCGCCTCCCTGGTGGGTGATCACACATCAAGAGCAGCCTGGGGCTTAGACCTCATGCCCCTCGTCCCTGGAGCACGCTCTTCCATTCAGCCTCTGACGCCTTTCCCCTCTCCGTCTCCCACAAGCCCCTGCAGCTCTCACAAAATGAGCCCAGCGGGCTCCTGCCTCTTGGCCTTTGCCTAGACTGTCTCCCCCACCAGATGCACCTGCCTACTTTCCCCCTAACAGTCTCCTACCCACTGCTCCATTAGGATTCAGCTTGGAAATGACCCATGCCGGGCCTGGGGCCTTTCTAGCCTGGTCAGGACCCTGTGCACTGTCTTCCACACCCCAGACTCTCTAATTTGCATATCCATCTGTGACCCTGAGCAAATGACTTAAATCCACAGTGACTCAGATTCCTCATCTCTAAAGAATGGGCACCCTTGTAAATATGCTAAGAGAAATAGATGAGTTACTACGTGGAAAGTCTTGGAACAATGCCTGGCCCATTTTAAACAGTTGATAAATATTAGTCATGTTTATTTTTAGTTCATCCCTAGGCCACCTGTGCTCAGAAGGGGCCTGACACCCAGGGCTTTTCAAGGTGTTTTTGTTGACTTACTATGTGCACACGTGGACTGCCTTCATCTCACATATAGTGCGGAAATGAAGAATAGAAACCCCAGCCGGGCATATTGGTGTGTGCCCAGCTACTCAGGAGGCTGAAGTGGGAGGATCACTTGAGCCCAGGAGTTTGAGACCAGCCCGGGCAATATACAAAACCCCATCTTTACAAAGAAAAACAAAAAGAGAGAAAAAATTACCCAGGCATGGTAGTGCACGCCTGTAGTCCCAGCTACCGGGAGGCTGAGGTGGGAGGATCACCTGAGACTGGGAAGTCAAGGCTGCAGTAAGCTGCGATTGTGCCACTGCACTCCAGCCTGGGTGACAGAGTGAGCCCCTGTCTCAGAAAGCAAAACAATGGCCAGGCGCGGTGGCTCACACCTGTAATCCCAGCAATTTGGGAGGCCGAGGTGGGCAGATCACCTGAGATCAGGAGTTCGAGACCAGCCTGGCTAAGATGGTGAAACCCCATCTCTACTAAAATGCAAAAATTAGCTGGCTGTGGTGGCAGGCACCTGTACTCCCAGCTACTCAGGAGGCTGAGGCAGGAGAATGGTGTGAACCTGGGAGGCGGAGCTTGCAGTGAGTCAAGATAGCGCCACTGCACTCCAGCCTGGGTGACAGAGCAAGACTCTTTCTCAAAGAAAAAAAAAAAAAAAAAAAAAGCAAACAAAACAGCTGAGCATGGTTACTCACGCCTATAATCCCAGCACTTTGGGAGGCTGAGACGAGAGGATTCCTTGAGCCCAGGAGTTCAAGACCAGCCTGGGCAACATAGGGAGATCCCGTCTCTATAAAAAGTAGAAGTAAATTAGCCAGGCATGGTGGTGCACACCTGTGGTCCCAGCTACTCAGGAGGCTGAAGAGGGAAGATCAGTTGAGCCCAAGAGGTGGAGGCTGCAGTGAGCTGTGATTGCACCACTGCACTCCAGCTGGGGTGACAGAGGGAGACTCTGTCTCAAAATTAACAAATAAATAAATAAGTTCTCACACCACCACTTTGAGAAGTCAGTTTCTCTGTCTCTGAGAGCCTCAGTTTCCCCATCTGTATACACAAAGGTTTGGTTGCGAGAAGTTTCCTTTCAGTGGGCACCGGATGTAATTCATGCCAATCACTTGCTTGGGTTTCTGTTTTAACCTTTCTCTGTTTCTCGTCTATATCTTAAAAAAAATTTTTTTTTTATTGAGACAGGGTCTTGCTTTGTTGCCCAGGCTGGTCTCGAACTCCTAGACTCAAGTGATCCTCCTACCTTGGCCTCCCAAAGTTCTAGGATTATAGGCATGAGCCACCACACCCAGCTGTCTCCCCTATACTTTTTGATGTCTCTCTCTCTCTCCTGGTCCTCCTCCTCCTCCTCACTGTCTCTTCCCTCTATCTCTCTTCCCTCCCATCTAGATCCCCAACTTATAAACATGCTCACCCTCCCTGTCTATAAAAAAATGCATCACTTACATTGACTCCACACCCACCGTCCTACCACACCCTACTTGCTTTCTCTTCAAAACCCAACTCCTCGGCCGGGCATGGTGGCTCACGCCTGTAATCCCAGCACTATGGGAGCCCGAGGCAGGTGGATGACCTCAGGCAGGAGGTCAGGAGTTCAAGACCAGCCTGGCCAACATGGTGGCCATCTGTACTAAAAATACAAAAATTAGCCGGGCATGGTGGTGCATGCCTGTAATCACAGCTACTCAGGAGGCTGAGGCAGGAGAATCGCTTGAACCCAGGAGGGGACACTGCAGTGAGCCGAGATCGCACCACTGCACTCTAGCCTGGGTGACAGAGGGATACTCCATCTCAAAAAACAAAAAGAAACAATAAAAAAATCAACCACTCCACAAAATGACCCACATTCCCCAGCTTCCAAAGTCCTCCTGGAGCAGCTGCCTGTGTATGGGGAAGGCAAACCAAAAACAAAACCTGTAGGACCTCGGACTCGGGCCCTCCAACTCCAGTCCCTCCTTCAGATGAATGCAGCCCCAGCCAACATCTTAGCAGCAACCTCAGGAGAGACTCGGCCGTGCTCCTCTTTTCCCCTTAAGAACAGAAATTTCCACGGAGCCACTAATGAGAGTCCCATTAGCACGACCCTCATCACCTGAGTTCTTTTCAATTCCTCTTACCTGTGTGATGAGAAGCACCAAGAGAGCGTTGCTTGGTGTATGTAATGATACCATCTCTAGGTCTGGTGAGCAGGAACCAGAGTCACCACAGTGGGGCAGCAGAGGGCCTGGGCTCAGGTTTCCCAGAAGCAGAGCCTGAGGCAGGGATTCAGATGCTCATGAACTGTTTGAGGGTTTGCTTTCAGAAGACAGAGAGTGATGAAAGCAGTATGGGGCAGAGGAAGGAGCCAAGTGAGGCTATCACTTCAGAGGGATCCCATCACAGAGACAGGATCTGAACTTTTAACCTCTAATCTTTGTCTATGGGCTTCTCCAGGGGTGAGAGTTTCATGACTTTCCTAGTAAAACACGTTCCTCTCAGGTCAAGAGCAAGTTTTTTGTTTTTTTTGTTTTGTTTTGTTTTCAGATGAAATCTCGCTCTCACTCTGTCACCCAGGCTGAAGTGCAGTGGCACCATCTTGCCTCACTGCAACCTCCACCTCCCGGGTTAAAGGATTCTCCTGCCTCAGCCTCCCGAGTAGCTGGGATTACAGGCGCCTGCCATCACACCCAGCTACTTTTTGTTGTTGTTGTTGTTGTTTGTTTGTTTGTTTGAGACAGAGTCTGGCTCTGTTGCCCAGGCTGGAGTGCAGTGGCTCGATCTCAGCTCACTGTAAGCTCTGCCTCCCGGGTTCACGCCATTCTCCCGCCTCAGCCTCCGAAGTAGCTGGGACTACAGGTGCCCGCCAACATGCCCAGCTAATTTTTTATATTTTTTGGTAGAGATGGTGTTTCACCATGTTAGCCAGGATGGTCTCGATCTCGTGACGTCGTGATCCGCCTGCCTTGGCCTCCCAAAGTGCTGGGATTACAGGCGTGAGCCACTGTGCCTGGTCAATTTTTGTACTTTTAGTAGAGACGGGGTTTCACCATGTTGGCCAGGCTGGTCTCGAACTCCTGACCTCGTGTGATCCGCCTGCCTTGGCATCCCAAAGTACTGGGATTACAGGTGTGAGCCACTGCGCCCAGCCAAGACCAAGTCTCTTGAGAATGTGGCATCTGCAAGCAGCCAACACTGCTTAAGAATGAGTGCTCAGTGCCTGCAAAGGAGATCTGGGTGAAGCACCAGCGACGTCCACCCCTAAAGCCTCACACCTGTTACCAGTCCTGAGCCAGTTCTCAGTCTTGGAACCCCTTCCATGTAGCGGATGCTTTTCCCTCAGGGAGGACTCACCGATACTAGTCAAAGTACATACTGTAAACCTTCCTCCCAGTTTCTCCTAAAGGCCAATATCCATGGTCGCTGGGGATTAGAGAAAGAGAAAAGGCTACTGGACTCTGACTCTGAATCAATCCTAATTTGGAGGCACACACAGGTCACCGTGAATCATGGTCTGACTGGTGTGCTTGGGGCTGTCAGGTAACGAACGGAGGGTTCACCTAAAGACCATCACACAGTGGGTCAACGGGACTCTAAAGACCCTGTGTGGCTCCTTCCTCAGGCCTTGAGAGTGAAGTTGAAATCGACATTCTCATAAAATGGCAGACACAATGCTTTGGCTTCCCTGATCTGTAGTGTGAAAGCTTTGATGGTGGGAAGAAGAAATGGAAGCCCCTAGAAATTCCCCCATCTATATTGGGCCAGTCTTTCATTGCTATAAAGAAATACCTGAGACTGGGTAATTTATAAAGAAAAGAGTTTTAATTGGCTCGCGGCTCTGCAGGTTGTACAGGAAGCGTGGTGCTGGCATCTGCTCAGCTTCTGGGAAGGCCTCAGGGAGCTTTTCCACTCATGGCGGAAGGTGAAGAGGGAGCAGGCACATAACATGTCGAAAGCAGGAGCAAGAGAGAGAGGACGGGAGGTGCCACACACTTCTATTTTTTTATTTTATTATTATTAAATTTTTGAGATGGAGTTTCCCTCTGTCACCCAGGCTGGAGTGCAGTGACACCATTTTGGCTCACTGCAACCTTCACCTCCTGGGTTCAACTCCCAGCTAGTTTTTGTATTTTTAGTAGAGATAGGGTTTTGCCATGTTGTCCGGGCTGGTCTCAAACTCCTGACCTCAGGCGATCCAATGCACCTCGGCCTCCCAAAGTGCTGAGATTACAGGTGTGAGCCACCGCGCCCGGCCTTGCCACGTACTGTAAAATACCCAGATCTCTTGTGAGCTCACTCATCACCATGGGGATGGTACTAAACCATTCATGAGGGGTCCATCCCCAAGATCCTAACACCTCCCACCAAGTCCGGCCTCCAACACTGGGGATTCCATTTCAACATGAGATTTGGTGGGGACACAGATCCAAACCATAGTATCATCCTTCCCAAACAGTCAACCCAGGGAATCACAGAGATCAGCGCCAGCATCAAGCCTTGGAAAACACAGGGGTGGGATATGGGAGGGTGATTCCTAAACATTATCCTTTGATTCACATGATTAATCTATGCAGGAGCTTATGGATCTTGGAAGACAGAAGTAAGAAATGGTGATACTGGCCGGGCTCAGTGGCTCACGGCTGTGATCCCAGCACTTTGGGAGGCCAAGGAGGGCGGATCACGAGGTCAGGAGATCAAGACCACGGTGAAACCCCGTCTCTACTAAAAATACAAAAAATTAGCCGGGCGTGGTGGTGGGCACCTGTAGTCCCAGGTACTTGGGAGGCTGAGGCAGGAGAATGGCGTGAACCCGGGAGGCAGAGCTTGCAGTGAGCAGAGATGGCGCCATTGCACTCCAGCCTCGGAGACAGAGCGAGACTCCGTCTCAAAAAAAAAAAAAAAAAAATGGTGATACCCTCGGAAGTGGCTGGTCTTCTCAGGGTAAGGTCTCCTTCAGCAAATCAGCACAGCCCCTGGCACCTGATATTCAGCTAATGAACTGGAAAAGGCGTTTTGCCTATAGAAGTTAGCCTGAATGAA
The DNA here is from genome assembly GCF_000001405.40 of Homo sapiens. Taxonomy (NCBI): domain Eukaryota; kingdom Metazoa; phylum Chordata; class Mammalia; order Primates; family Hominidae; genus Homo; species Homo sapiens. The sequence goes on from NC_000019.10 coordinate 55,215,439, forward strand.
GAGTGTTCTTTACTCCAACAGTGACAGAAGGTCAGTGTGATTCCCTTTAGACTGTCTGGGACCTCGGTCATCTTATCAACCCATAAGACATCACGCTGTTCCCCCTCACTCCTGGATAGCAATTTATCCTCACTGGAATGGACACTTACAGGTGTTTATTAATTTCTCAGTGATTTGTTGAATGAATGAAGGAATGAATGAATGAATGATGTCTTTACCTTGAGATTGGAGTTCTTTCAGATTTGCTCTCTGCCCACCTCACCAGCCTCTTCTCCTATCTTTACTCCAGCTACACAGATGTCCGTGCATGTTTTTCTTAGCACTCCAGGTGGATTCAAACCTCAGGGCCTTTGCACACACTGTTCCCTCTGCCTGGTAAAATATTTCTCCACCAGCCAGGGCCTACTTCTCTTTCTACTTCTGGTTGACCCCAGATACAGTTGGCCACTCCCTCCTATGTTTGGAGCCAAACTAAACAAATCTCTTATTATAATACTCATCACATTGTCTGTGGCTTTGCCTATTTTTCCTTTCTTTTATCAGAGTGGAAGAAGCTTCTTTGGGTAGAGACAAGTCTATTCATCTTGGGGGACATCAGGCCAACTCCACACCGAAGGCTGATGAAACTTCAGGCAATATCCCTTCATCTGAATCTGATGACGTGTGTCACGTTTTCCAGGTCCACACTCAGGGATCTGGTCTGCGTTTTCATGTAAGCTTTCTCCACTCTCACTTTCCCTGGACTCTCATCCAGGATTAGATTTTTTTTTTTCTTTTAAATGGAATCTCATTCTGTCACCCAGGCTGGAGTGCAGTGGCACCGTCTCGGCTCACTGCAACCTCTGCCTCCTGGGTTCAAGCGATTCTCCTGCCTTGGCCACCACGCCTGGCTAATTTTTGTATTTTTAGTAGAGACGAGGTTTTGCCATGTTGACTACGCTGTTCTCGAACTCCTGACTTCATGTGATCCACCCGCGTCAGCCTCCCAAACTGCTGGGATTACAAGCATGAGCCACCACGCCTGCCGCGATTAGATCATTGATCTCATTGCAGGTGAACCAGTCCAGACCCCCATCCAGGTTTTCCAGCTTGCTCGCTCCTCACGCTGTGGCTGTGTCCTGTGTTGCCGTGTTTCCGCTGAATCCAGCCCTTGTTTTCGCTCTTCCTGGCCTTGCGGGCAGCCAGGATTGAAAGATCCAGGAAGTGACAGGGGCCTGACTCATCAACTTGTAAGAGAGCTGGGGTTCTCCTAGATCCATGCTCGCACTGAGGTGAGAAATGAGAAGCCAGGGCCGGGAGCCTCCTGGGGGTTGGCTGCCAACGCCAGGCAGGCGGGGAATGGTGATTTTCGCTTGTATCGTGGAGGATGCCACGCACAGACGTGAATAGAAAGAGCCTGGACCGTGTCCTGAGGTCAGCGACTGAGGTCCTGGGTGGGGCCAGCCAGGACCTGCCCGGGGGCTACTGCCCTCTGAATCAATACCTCCAGGGACCCTACGTTGACACCCATGGCCTCCCACTCTCCACCCCTCAGTCCTGCGTGCGGCACGTAGTGCTCACTGGGCGTCTGTGTAGGGGGTTGAAGGCTGAGGCTGGAACAAGGGCGTGGCGGTCGCAGGCTCCAGGGCACGACGGTCCTTCCTCTTCCCCTTCTCAGCCACATCTGGGGCTCCGTCCCTGCAGCCAAGGCTCCCTGGCGCTGTCCTTGGTGCTGACGCGGTTCTGGAAGTGCGGTGCCAGGGTGGCTGGTGCGGCTCCCGATGGAAAAGCCCCACCAACCCCACAAAGCAGACTCGGGAGAGAACACGCCACCGTCTTTAGCGAATCTTACCAACCCAGGGCCAAAGCGCCCTGCACCCCAGAGCAGCACTCGTGGTGGGAACACAGGCTGATGTAATAAACAGAAAAGTGACTGCGGGGGATGGGGAAGGCGGGATGTCCTTAGCGTCCCATGGAAAAAACATATTTCCTCCAGATGGGATCATCGATAACTTTTTTGAGTCTTGAGTAAATAACTTCGGGCGGGGCGCGGTGGCTCACGCCTGTAATCCCAGCACTTTGGGAGGCCGAGGCGGGTGGATCACTTTAGGTCAGGAATTCGAGACCAGTGCGGCCAATATGGTTCTGAAAATCCCGTCTCTACTAAAAAGACAAAAATTAGCCAGGCGTGGTGGCAGGCTCCTGTAATCCCAGCTACTCGGGAGGCTGAGGCAGGAGAATAGCTTGAACCCGGAGGTGGAGGCTGCGGTGAGTCAAGATCGTGCCACTGCACTCCAGCCTGGGCGACAGAGCGAGACTCCGTCTCAAAAAAAGAAAAAACAAAAACAAAACAAAACAAAACAAAAACTATGAGAAAATTCCATCCCCCATTGTTCGGAACCCAGGAATCTGGGCGCTGTGTGGTTTTCCATAAAAACTGGTATATTCGTTTGCTAGGGCTACTACAACAAAGAGCATAGACTAGGTGACCCAAACAGCAGAGATTTGTTTTCCCACCGTTCTGGAGGCTGGAGGTCCAAGATGAAAATGTGGGCAGGGTTGGTTCCTCCTGAGGCCTCTTTCTCCTTGGCTTGCAAATGGCCGTGTTCTCCCTTGTCCTCCATGTGTCTGTGTCCTAACCTCCTCTTCTGATAAGGACACCAGTCAGGTTGGATTATGGCCCACCTTAGTGTGACTTTTTTTTTTTTTTTTTTGAGACAGCATCTCACTCTGTCTCCCAGGCTGGAGTGCAGTGGTACGAACACAGCTCACTGCAGCCTCTACATCCTGGGCTCAAGTGATCCTCCCACCTCAGCCTCCTGAGTAGCTGGGACTACAGTGGCACATCACCATGCCTGGCTTACATATATATATATATATATATATATATATATATATATATATATATATATATATAATGTATATATATATAAAATGTATATATATGTGTATATATATATAATGTATATATATGTGTGTATATATAATGTATATATATATAATGTGTATATATATAATGTATATATATATAATGTGTATATATATAATGTATATATATATAATGTGTATATATATAATGTATATATATATAATGTGTATATATATATAATGTATATATATATAATGTGTATATATATATAATGTATATATATATTTATTTATTTATTTTAGACCGAGTCTTGCTCTGTTGCCAAGGCTGGAGTGCAGTCCCGCGATCTCGGCTCACTGCAACCTCTGCCTACCAGGTTCAAGCGATTCTCCTGCCTCAGCCTCCTGAGTAGGTGGGATTACAGGTGCCCACCACCATACCCGGCTATTTTTTTTTTTTTTTTGAGACAGAGTTTTGCTCGTCGCCCAGGCTGGAGTGCAATGGCATGATCTCAGCTCACTGCAACCTCTGCCTCCCGTATTCAAGAGATTCTCCTGCCTCAGCCTCCTGAGTAGCTGGGATTACAGGTGCCTGCCACCACACCCACCTAATTTTTTTGTATTTTTAGTTGAGATGGGGTTTCACCATGTTGGCCAGGCTGGTCTTGAACTCCTGACCTCAGGTGATCCACCCGCCTCGGCCTCTCAAAGTGCTGGGATTACAGGCGTGAGCCACCATGCCTGGCCTAATTTTTTTATTTTTAAGTAGAGACAGGGTTTCACCATGTTGGCCAGGCTGGTCTTGAACTCCTGACCTCAAGTGATCCACCTGCCTCTGCGTCTCAAAGTGCTGGGATTACAGCCGTGAGCCACCATGCCCAGCTTGGCTAATTAAAAAAAAATCTGGGGAGATGGGGTTCTCACCGTGCTGCCCAGGAAGATTTCAAACTCCTGGGCTCAAGCAATCCATCTGCCTCAGCATCTCAAAGTGACCTCATTTTATCTTAATCACCTCTTCAAAGACCCTGTCTCCAAATACAATCACATTCTGAGGTACTGGAGGTTGGGACGCCAACTTACAAATTTTTGAAGGAGGATGAAATTCAGTTCATAATAGCAGGGATGAGCTTTATGCCCCCTGAAAAAGACATACTTCCCCAGGTAGATTCATCTGTTAGTGTTTTTTGTTTTGTTTTAGACAAAGTCCCACTCTGTCACCCAGGCTGCAGTGCAATGGCACGATCTTGGCTCACTGCAACCTCCACCTCCCGGATTCAAGCGATTATCCTGCCTCACCCTCCTGAGTAGCTGGGATTACTGGCGCCCACCACCATGCCCAGCTAATTTTTGTATTTTCAGTAGAGATGGGGTTTCGCCATATGGGCCAGGCTGGTCTGGAACTCCTGACCTCAAGTGATCCACCTGTCTTGGCCTCCCAAAGTGCTTTCTTTTTTCTTTTTTCTCTTTTTTTTTTTTTTTGAGACAGAGTCTCACTCTGTCGCCCAGGCTGGAGTGCAGTGGCGTGATCTCGGCTCACTGCAAGCTCTGCCTCCCGGGTTCACACCATTCTCCTGTCTCAGCCTCCCGAGTAGCCGCCACCATGCCTGGCTAATTTTTTGTATTTTTAGTAGAGACGGGGTTTCACCGTGTTAGCCAGGATGGTCTCGATCTCCTGACCTTGTTATCTGCCCACCTCAGCCTCCTGAAGTGCTGGGATTACAGGCATGAGCCACCGCACCCGGCCCCAAAGTGCTTTCAAAGTATTGATTCAAAACTATGGCACAATCCCAACCCCACCCCCACTGCTCAGAACCCAGGGAGCATTGGGTTTGGTAGATTCCTTCTTCCACACCCAGAATAAATTTTCTCAGCTCCATTCCCCAAATGATGCTGACTTGAGGCAGGGGAAGAATGCTTTGGTAGCTCAGGGGAAAGGACTGTGGAGTTCCTGTCTTTCCCTCTTCCAAGATCCAAGGGTGCTAGCGACCTTTCTGTGTTCATGGTCAGAAGCAAGGAGGGAGAAAGACCAGGAACCACACAGCTCTTTGTCATCTCACAGGCAGGAAGCATCCAACAGAGGCCAGCTCTGGGGGGCATGCTGGGCCACATCATTTTTGCCAGTGTCCTGGAATAAGGAAGTGTAGGATAGTGAGGAAGGCAGACCGTGGGGCTCCTCCCTACCATGCTCATCAGGGCATCCAGGTGAGGGATGAAGCTGTCCTAAAGTCTTTCCAGAACTCACACACACGTGTCCCCACCTCTCCCCTCCTTGATCATGTCTCCATTTTACGTATTTACTGATCATCTTCTGCTATTGTTAAAGTCTAAGCTGAGGGGTGAAACCACAGCAGAAAGCAAGGAAGGCTCGACCCCAGATCACACAGGGAGAGGTGGACAGACAGCATGGCTCCGCCCATTTGCAGCCATTTCTGGGCCTGTAGGCTCTGGCAGCTCCTGGGATTGCTGTCCTCGGTGCTGAATACGCGTTTGTTGGGGGCACACCTGACAAGTTTGTCATTTTCAGGGAAAACCCAGTCTCTCTCGGCGCTGAGGAGAAAACATGGCACAGCCCTTCTCAGTCCTCTAGCAACCCTGGACTCTGCAGGAGAAAAGAGAGATTCCCTACATTTGTTTCTATGAGAGAAGGGAAGGCTGGAGCAGGGGAGTGGGGGAAATCTCTGCAGTCCTCTCGGAAAGCAAACCCTTCTACACCTGTGATCCCATGTGATTTAGCAGAGCCCTGAGTTAAAACTAGGCCATGATGACACTTGGTGACACAAACATCTGACAAAAGAGCTGTACCCTTTATATTTTCAAAGACTTTCTACAAATTAAGGAAGGCAGAAGACCCATTTAATGGGCAATGGACTTGAAGAGACACTTTACCAAGAATATCCAAATGGCCACAAACACACACACATACACACAAATGGGAATGTGTTCAACTTCATTAGTCATTATGGAAATTAAACCACAAGGAAGCACCAGAACACTGCAGCAGAAGAACTAAAATGGAAAAGACGAACAACCAACTATCTGCAAGAATATGGGGCAAATGAAGCTTCCTCACATTGCTGGCAGGATGGTAAACTGGTAAGCTGCTTTGAGAAATGGTTTGTCAGTAACTACGAAAGCCTAAGGTACGTATACCATCACTCAGCGATTCCACTGCTAGGCAGACATCTGAGGGAAAAAACTTCCTGTGTGCTCCAAAAGACATGGACAGAAATGTTCATGGTAGCTTCATTCATAGTATCCCAAAACTAGAAACATAAAATGTTCATGAAGGGAGGGATGAAACAATAAGTTGTAATACATTCATGCGATAAATAGTACACAGCAATAAAAATAAAAACACCCAGCATGGATCCACATTTCATCCACAATGTTGAGTGAAGAAAGCCAGAATCAAATAACTACATACTGTATAATTCCACTTAGAGAAGTTTCAAGGACAGACTACACTAATTTACGATGATAAAGATCAGGAGACTGGTCACTCTTGGGGAAGGGAGGTACAAACTGGAGGGGAGACAGGAGAACCTGCTAAGATGCAGAAAATTTATTTTTTTTTAATTTTATTTTTGAGATGGAGTTTCGCTCTTGTTGCCCAGGCTGGAGTGCAATGGTGCGATCTCAGCTCACCACAACCTCCGGCTCCTGGGTTCAAGCAATTCTACAGGCATGCACCACCACACCCGGCTAGTTTTGTATTTTTAGTAGAGACGGGGTTTCTCCATGTTGTTGGTCAGGCTGGTCTCGAACTCCCAACCTCAGGTGATCTGCTTGCCTCGGCCTCCCAAAGTGCTGGGATTACAGGCGTGAGCCACCACACCAGGCTATTTATTTTGAGACAGAGTCTCACTCTGTCACCCAGGCTAGAGTGCAATGGCACGATCTAGGCTCACTGCAACCTCCACTTCCCGAATTCAAGCGATTCTCCTGCCTCAGGCTCCCGAGTAGCTGGGATTACAGTCATGTGCCACCATGCCTGATTTTTGTATTTTTAGTAGAGACAGGGTTTCACCATGTTGTCCAGGCTGGTTTTGAACTCCTGACCTCATGATCTGCCTGCCTTGGCCTCCCAAAGTGCTGGGATTACAGGCGTGAGCCACCGTGACCGACTATTTATTTTTTGAGATGGAATTTTGCTCGTCGCCCAGGCTGGAGCACAGTGGTGCGATCCTGACTCACTGCAACCTCCACCTCCCGGGTTCAAGTGATTCTCCTGCCTCAGCCTCCTGAGTAGCTAGGATTACAGGCATGCACCACCACGCCCAGGTAATTTTCTTGTATTTTTGGTAGAGACAGGGTTTCATCGTATTGGCCAGGCTGGTCTCGAGCTCCTGACCTCAGGTGATCCACCCGCCTCAGCCTCCCAAAGTGCAGGGATTTCAGGCATGAGCCACCTCGCCTTTCAGCCCACACAATGAAGGTTTATGAAGCCCCAGATTCCAGGGCCTCCACCACAACCCCATCTCTGCCACACTTCTGGTCCCACTGGGGGCCGTGGTCCCTGCCCACTGGACCCAGTAGGTGTAGGTGTGGGGGTCTGGGCCCCGGGGGGATATACACCTTAGTGTAACAGAACTCAGGGTCTGAGCCTGTATCCTCAGATCCATGACCTGGCCGGGTAAGGAAAGGAAGGGAAGGGGGTCAGGGTTCCTGCAGGAAGGTTATCTGAGTGGCCTTAAACAGACCCAGTTGTCTCTTACTTGTAGTTCTCAAGAGTAACAGTAGAATGTGCTGGGAATGCAACATCCGGAGATATGGAGGGACTGGCCAGGCGGCCTGGGCTCCATTCCTGCCTGCCCTAGAAACAGGATGCCCTTCAATGCTTGAGCCCGGTGACTCAGGTTTCCCCCAGAGTAGAAAACCCAGGGCTGGGTACTTTTTGGGGTCCCTCAGCTGCCATACAAGTGAGGCACACACAGTTGTGACCCTATCCTCCCTAGGCCACTTTCCTAAGCCTTGGGGGACCAGCTTACAACGGACCCTGGGATTCTGCTGTCCCTTGCTGCCCATCTGTGAGAAACAAGCCCACTTCATGTAACTTTTTGCGTGTGGCGTTCTGTCTCATCACTCTGGCAAGTTGGTAACCAGTGCACAGTGAACCTGCTTCACAGACCACACCCCATAGTCCCTGGGCCTCCAGAGCAAAGGGAAGCATCCCCTCCTTCCCACAGCCCTGCTTGCTCTGGAAGGATGCACCCTATCAGTGGGGCCGATGCCAGAGGCCTCCTGAGGCCTCCTACTCCCCAAGCCCAGAGTGCTCTCACCCCTCGCCCGTGGCCTCTGTGAGCGTCTGGCTGGGGCTGTTGACCTCATGCTTCTGGGCCCACATGCTGGGGTACTGCGTCCCTGCAGCCAGGCCCTCCACAGGCACCCTGATGTCTGAGGAGTCACTGGCCCAGCAGAGCCAGTAGGGGCAGGTCTTGGAGTCTGGGCCTGCGGGGCCCTCAGGGTGAGGGAGCTGGTGGTCTGAGCCGGTGTGACCAGGCCAGGGACTAGTTTGGGAATGTGGAAAGGAGAGAGTCATTTGATAAAGTTTGTTTGTGGCTCTAATGAGAATAAAGTGCACAGCCTGGCACTTTTTACAAATGTGCACACGCACGCACGCGCACACACACGCAAACACACATGCACACACAAGTGCACGTGCACACACACGCACATGTTGCTGGGCAGTGGAAAGGTGGCCCCTCTTACCTGTAGACATGCTCAGGACGTCCCTGGGGCCACCTACTCCTTTCTTCTTGGCCCACACAGAGGTGGTGTAGAGGGTCCCAGGCTGAAGCCCTCCACCACGAGCCAGCAGTGTGACGTGCTTGTGTTCCCGCTGGCCATGCCCCTGGACCCAGTAGATGGAAGTCTGCCGGTCTGGGCCCTTGGGGCTGCCCAGCTCAGGGTGATGGAGCTGGAGGTCCGAGCCTCCACACTCACGATTCTGTCTGCTTTGGCGGCTGACATGGGTAGAAGCCTCTGCGGCAAACAGAAGACGGAATCCCACGGCCCTTCCTAGACGTGCAGGATGGAGGCTGATGGGGTCACTAACCTGCTGCTGTGGCCTCTGTCGTGGTCCCGAGGGCCTGGGGAGGGCCCAGATGGGGAATCAGACCCACGGTGGTCTGACCTGCAGGATCGGGATGAAGGCTGCTGAGTCCCACCCCGCCTCATCCCCACCAGCCACCCCGGCTTGGGAGGGAAGATGGAGCCGGCGTTTTGCCCCTTGCCCCAGGTCTGGGTCCCGGCAGGGCTGGAAGGAGCCTGAGAGGGATGTGCGCAGCACCTCCGAGAGTCCCGCTTTAGAGAAACACGAATCAGATCATGAGAAAGCAGACCTCTGAGAAGTCAGATGAAAGGTCGTCGGGGGACCAGAATCAGGGAGGAGGGACACGACGCTGGGGCTGCTGGATGCCGACAGGAGAGCAGCGTCCCGTCGCTCTGGACTGCCGACCCCACAGAGCCCAGGGACCAAAAGCCAGAATGTTCCCCAAACACCAGGGATTATGGGCCCAGCCCCTCCTCCCTCAGACTCAAGAGTCCAGGCCCCCAGCCCCTCCTCCCACAGACTCAGGAGTCCAGCCCCTCCTCTCCCAGACCCAGGAGTTCGGGCCCCCAGGCCCTCCTCCCTCAGACTCAGGAGTCCAGACCCCAGCCCCTCCTCCCTCAGACGCAGGAGTCCAGGCCCCCAGCCCCTCCTCCCTCAGACCCAGGCCCCCAGCCCCTCCTCCCCCAGACCCAGAAGTCCAGGTCCCCAGCCCCTCCTCCCTCAGACTCAGGAGTCCAGACCCCCAGCCCCTCCTCCCTCAGACCCAGGAGTCCAGACCCCCAGCCCCTCCTCCCTCAGACTCAGGAGTCCAGGCCCAGCCCCTCCTCCCTCAGACTCAGGAGTCCAGGCCCAGCCCCTCCTCCCTCAGACTCAGGAGTCCAGGCCCCCAGCTCCTCCCTCAGACTCAGGGGTCCAGGCCCCAGTCCCTCCTCCCTCAGACTCAGAAGTCCAGGGCCCCAGCCCCTCCTCCCTCAGACCCAGGAGTCCAGGTTCCAGCCCCTCCTCCCTCACCTCCAGGAACCCCTCATGTCTGCAGGCCCCACGTGCCCCTGGAATCTGCACACCCAGACCCCCGTCCCTCCTGCTACACTTCACTGCGCAATTTCCTCTTTCCCCACCTTTCGCCAGGTCTGAGTGGAGAGGGTAGGAGATGAGGAGGAAGTGGAGGTTTCGAACCTGAGTCCAATCCTTCAGATCCTCCTCATGCCTGACCCTTCCTCAAGGAAATCCCTCAGCTTCCACTTCTCCTCACTCCAACTGTGGATTCCTGTCCTCACTTTCCTTCCTGGTCCCCGTCCTCCAGGCTCCCCACCTTCCCTTCCCACCTCTGTACTCTCACATCTGAGTCCCTAAATGCAGGTCATGGATGGAGAAGTCACCTCTCTGCTGTAAGAGTCCCTAAATGCTGGCCATGGATGGAGAAGTCCCCTCTCTGTCGTAAGAGTCCCTAAATGCAGGTCATGGATGGAGAAGTCACCTCTGCTCTAAGAGTCCCTAAATGCAGGTCATGGATAGAGAGGTCGCCTCTCTGCTGTAAGAGTCTCTAAATGCTAACCATGGATGGAGAAGTCGCCCCTCTGCTATGAGTCACTGAAAGCACATCATGGATGCAGAAGTCAAATAGGGTCTTGGAGAGCAGCTTGGACCCTGTCAAGTCTTCAGATGCAGAATCTGAGGACCTGAGGGATAGCAGCTTGCCGAGGTCACACAGCCTTGACAAGGAGCACAGCTGGGTTCCTCCTTCCCATTTGATTCCTACCCCCTTGCCGCCCTCCCTCCTCCAAGACCCCTCATCCTCAAGCCTCCCACCCTTCTCCCGATACTGCATGTGACTGCAGCGGGTTGTATCCCCTAGAAAGATATGTCCAAGTCCTAACCCCAGATACCTCTGCAGGTGACACTACTTGGAAATAGGGGCTTTGCAGACATACTTAAGGATCTTGAGATAGAATCACCCTGGGTTTAGGGTGGGCCCTAAATCCAATGACCTGTGTCCCTAGAAGGATGCGGACACAGAGGGAGGCTGCCAGTTGAAGACAGTCACATGAAGACGGAGAGACACAGCCACAGGCCGATGGAAGCCAGGGATTCCCGGGAGCCTCCAGAAGCCGAGAGGGCAAGGACGGATTCTTCCCTGGAGCCTCAAGAGGGACCATGGGCCGGAAAACACCCGGATTTTGGACTTTGGGTCTCCAGAACTGCAGGAGAGTCCATTCATCTTGTTTCAAAGCATCTGGCTTGGGGTAATTTGTGACAGCAGCCTCAGGAAACTAACACAAAGACCAAACAGTCCTCTTGGCTCAGTTCTGCACAATCCTCACTTTATCCCCCCGAATCCCCCCACCAGAGGGCCATGGAGGGTCCCACTGGGCACCAGGCCTGGTCCATGGGGAGCGACAAAGAACCTTCTGCTGTCATTAACCGCGATGGTTTATCACAATCATGACCCTCCCCGAGGCCTCTCCTACGGTAACAGCAACATCTACGGTTCCACACCCACAGGGAAAACGGATTCAGAGCAGCAGCAGGGGGCGGGCAGGCTGTGGGGCCGACAGTGAACATGGAGGCAGGCTGGTGGCTGGGAGGGCTCCATGTGGGCCTGGCTGAGGAGCCAGGGATCTGGAGTCAGAACCGGGGGAAGGCAGCTGGAACCCAGTAGTGGACTTGGAATTCCGCAAATCGTCCTCAAACGTCTTCAGCCAGAAGCGACGGCGGCAGCGGCGCCTGCAGACAGGCGTCAGGAAGCTTCGCTGCTGAGGGTATTTCTCAGGCTGGGCTGGGCTGGGAGGCCCAGGTCCTTGCAGGAGGAGAGGGCCTGAACACCGGCCCTTCAAGCTCCCTAGTCAGTCAGTCTTGGGCACCGGGCTCCTGAGGGCTGACAGTGTGATGAGGAGCTGGGCAGCATAGTAGGTGGTCATGATCACCAGGTGGGCATGGGGCAGGGGCTGGGCGAAGGTGTCCCAGGCCAGCACGCCATCAGAGAGCGTGAAGAGCAGCGCGCCCCAGCCGGCACTCCCGCCCTGGGCCAGGCCGCGCCACAGCATGGCCATCAGGATCAGCCCATAGGCTGCCACCGGCAGGACCATATCCGGCTCGAGGTGCTGGAGCACAAGGCTGAGGTAGGGGCCAGGGGCCAGGATGATGAGCAGCAGCAGGCCGGGCTGCAGGGGAGAGAAGCCGAAGGCCCAGACGTAGAGGAGGTGGGCGGTGGCAAAGGCGGCCATGCCTGGCGGGAGAGGGGTGGGGTACCAGTGAGGAAGGCCCATCCTGGGAATGGCCCCGAGGTCACCCCTCAGGGCCTAAGAGAAGGACCATCCCAGAGCACCAGGCCCCACCCTGGCCGAGCCTCCTTGCAGGTCTCCCCACATGCAGTGTCCATCCTTGCTCTGCTCAGAACTGCCAGGAGGCCCCACCTTCCCTTGGCCTCCAAAGCCCCATGGCCTCCAGCTCTCCAGCCACTCTGCGCCAGCCACCCTGGCCTGCTGGGCTACAAGCACCTGACACGTCCCTGCCCCGGAGCCTTTACACTCGCCCTTCCTCCACACAGGCATACAGCCCTTCAGCTCTGCCCAAATGTGACTTCCTCAGTGAGGCCTTCCTCAGCAACCCTGCTTCAAACTGCAGTACCTCCAGCAGGTCCTCACTGCCCTCTGCGCCACCTCAGCTACTGCCCTAACACCGCCTGCCCCCACCCCTCGCTGGAGCGTGAGCTGCCTCGGTCACGGCTGCGCCCCCCACTGTGCCTTTGACCACTGGAGCTCTCACAGGAGCCCTCTGCACCCAGGCTCCCATCCAAGTGCTGGGGCCTCTCTCACACGGGCATCTGGAAAGCGTCACAGCACCTTCCACTCACCAGGGACGAAGGCTGCCGGCCAGATGAGGCAAGCGTCCCCCACAGCCGAGCACACAAGGGCTCCCTGGAGGAGCTGGGTGTAGCCCCCGCTTGGGGACATGACCCACAGGAACCCAGCCAGGCAGAGGACGGGCAGGCACTTGACCAGGGCAGCGAACCAGGACAGCTGGTCCTCGGGAATCCAGAGGCAGAAGTACACGCAGCAGGAGAGGATGAAGGGGCTCAGCCACCTGCAGACATCTGGGCGCTTTGGGGAGTGGGGAGCTACTGAGCCGAAACCCAGCCCAGCCCCCATTCTTGGGACTCAGATCTCATGGCTCCTGTCCCACCCCCACCTGGGACCCCAGCTGTACAGGCTGGACCCATTCAGGGACCAGGCTGCCAGAACCCAGCTTCCCAGGGCCCAACCAACTCAAGGACAGCAGCTCCCAGACCCGCCGGCTGCTGGGGTTCCAGGGCCCTGTCCCCCCAGCCCCAGGCACAGCTCAGAAGGCTCTCACCTGGGCTGAGCAGTGAGTCTTCAGGGTCTGCCCCGCTTTGCCAGCGTCCATGCTGGCCTGATAGCCCCAGAGCGACCTAATCTGGGAGCGAGTGGCTTCAGGGGGTGGAGGGGAGGGCTCATGGTTACACGTTAACCCAAGGAGCGTCCTGTGGACTCTGTGACTGATAACAGGGCCCAGGGAGATGTTGTCCTCACCCTGGGGATGGCCCTGCCTGGCGCCCGCTGATAAAGCACTGTTGGCACTGGGGGTCCCTCTGCCCTAGCCTGCTGGGACATGGCTTCCTCCTCCTATCTGCCTGGGGAGGTTAGGCCCACAAATGCCTGTCCCCTTGTCCTGGGCCCCAACAATCAGAAGAGATGGGGTGCAGAATTCCAACAGCCACCCCATCATGGGAAGCGGGAGAGGGGCTGGCTGGCAGGAGTGCCCCTGGAGGGATGGGAAGGCGAGTCTGTCCTTCACTTGCTGCCCTAGCCGTCTCCCTCCCTGCTCCATGAAACCTTTCCTCATTCTGCTCAACCCCACCAAGCCCTCAGGGGCTCCACCACAAACACTGCTTCAATGGGTGACCAGGAGGGACCACCACGAATGCGGGGAACAAGCACCCTCTCCTGTTAGCTGAGCGAGCCCCCAGGTGACCTCCAAGCCAACTGCCACCCCAGTGAGGACGCTGTCCTCATGGCCCGGTCCACACGCTCCGGTTTCCCAGCGCCGCTCACCGGTGCCACTCGCTGCACACGCAGCCTACACTTCTACCTTCTACCTGAAAGACTCAGACCTACTGGGCGCCAGTACCCAGCCTCAATGCTGGGCTTGGTTACTGGGGGTAAGCAGGGGCAGGAGCAGGGATTTGAGCCTGTCGGTGGCTTCTATCCTCTGCCCAAGGCCCTGCCCACAGGTGGGGTAGACCTGGCAGGAGCCCTCACAGCCAGTGCCTGGCCCAGCCTGGGGCCTCTGCAGCCACAGGGCTCCCTCTGGCAGGACAGTGTGGGGGCAGACTGGGTCAGGAGCACCCCCAGCCTCTGGGGTGCAGGGATAATACAGGCTCCCCACCCCGCATCCCAGAACGTAAGGTCTGACCAGCAGAATCGTAAACTGCCTTCCTTTATTTATATTTGCAATATGAAATAGAAGCTCGGCACAAACGCACGCACACTCACACCAGCCTGGGAGGAGGGAGCTGGGGACAAGGTCACTTGGCAACAGGGCTGGGACCTCAGACCCTCAAGGCCCCTGGGGCTGTTGCCGGGGAGGCCCCTGCTCCCCAGAGCCGGACTGGCCTGGTTGAAAGTGCAGGGTCTGGGCAAAGGCACGGCCCCCACTCGGGACCCTCTGGCACCCCCACCCACGCTGGGCCGTCCCCCATGGTGGACCTGAGCTAAAAGGCCGGGTGTGGGCGTGGCCGTCTGCGCTGCAGCGTGGGACAGCTGGGCACGTGGGTGGCAACCTTGGGACCCCTAACACCAGCTCCCGCTGGGACGGAACAGGGAAGGCTGTGCTTTGGAGCCGCCAGCCCAGTTCGGTGTCCTCACTCTCTCTCGCTCTCCTCCCTCTCTCTATATAATATATAATATATGTTTCTCTCTCTCCATTCTCTCTATTTGACTCTCTGTATCTTTATTCTAGGAGGCAACGCTCCAAAACTTCTCTTCTCAGTGCAAATGGGGGTGGGTTGGGCCTGTCTCCCTGGCACCAGCCTCCTGGGGGTCCAGAGGAGAGAATGTGGGGGTGTCAGGGTGATGAGGGCAATGGGGGCCATCGTGGGACCCGCCCTGCCCCCACCCCGGGAGATCCACGGGAGGACGGAAGATTTGGCCGCCGCTGCCGCACCAGGCAGCTATCTGGAAACAGAGGGAGATGTCGTGTGAGGGTCTAGCAGGCCCAGCCCCACCTACCCAGCCCGAGGCTGCAGCCACACTCACTGGGAGCCTGGGGATGCAGGCCCTTCCGGGGCAGAGCCATTGGGTATCGGAGGAGGCGTGAGGGCCTGGGCACTGTCAGGGGAGAGAGGGGATGTGCAGAGGTCACTTCCTGCCCCACCAGCCCCACCCCCACCCCCCCGCCCTGCTGCCCTGGTGCTCACCTCTGGCTTTGGGGAAGCCCCAAGGGCTCTGGGCTCTTCTCCCCTTCTGTGGTCTGGGGGGGCTGGTGGGCCCCGGAGGCTGGGACAGAGGTAGAGGGGTCTCTGGTTGCACTGTGGGTGAGAGGCAGGTGCGGCTGTCAGCGTGGCCCCCACCGTCACCTGCTGACACCCTCACATCCCACCCGACTGAAGTCGGCTCACTGGGTGTGTGTCTGCCACCTGCCCCACGGGGAGGGGCCTCCCGAGGACGCAGCTGGCTCAGCGTGGAGGGACAGCACAGCCCTGGACAGGAAGACAAGCACCCCTCTTCCCGCCTCCTGTCCCTGTGGAGGAGGTACTCGAGGCCGGCTGAGACAGCCCCAAAGGGTCTTCTGCATGCTCTCACCCTCCCAATCCTTCACACCCTCCAACGAGCCCTTCCCAACCCTGGGGCTCAAGGGCCCCAAGCATCCCAGGCTACTAAGAGAAGAACCAGCCTACAGAGTGCAAGGGGCTGGGGCACAACATGAGGCTGCGCCTGGGGGTCCTGCAAAGGAGGCCTGGAGCAGCTCAGGGACAAGATGAACCCAGAGCCCACCTCAGCGAAGAGGAGAAAAGACTTCTCCCGATACTAGGCAGCCCCACCTCGCTGCTCACCTGTCCGAGGAGCTGGGGGCAGAACGGATCCCGTGGAAGGTGGCCTGAAGGTCCCCGATGCTAACCAAGGCCTGGCAAGGGGCTGTGGGGGATAAGAGATCTCAGCTGCAGCTCCCAGCAAGCTCGGAGCTGGCCAGGCTGCTCTCTCTGCCCAGGGCCGCGGGTGGGCAGGGCAAAGCGGGGCTCACCTGAGGGCTCCGTGACTTTGCTGCCTTCTGTGGCTTCCTGAGGTGCTGAGGGGGGTGTGGGGTCCTGAGACCTGGTAGGCGAGAGAGGCAGCCCAAGGGGGCAGCTAGGGTTAGCACTCGAGCCTATGAGAGGACGGGGACCCCATGGCCACCTCCTGGCCTCGGGATACCAGCACCATTTAGCCCGTTCCATCCGGTTCTCACCTGAGCTGCAGGGCGTCACGGGCAGGAGGGCTGGCCAGGCTCTGAGTGGGGAGGCCCTGGGGCACACTGAGGGGCCCCTGTGGGGCTGGAGGCCCAGTGTGCAGCTCTTCCTCCCCGGAGACTCGGGGGCTGGTCGGGGCATCTGTAGGCACTGGGTCAAAGGTGGCTGTCCAGCTGGGGCCTGGGATAGAGGTGGGGGAGCGGGATGGAGGGTGAACTCAGTAGCAGGCAGACAGCCCTGTGTACACCTGACCACACCGCCCATTCATTCACCTGGAGGCTGAGGGCCAGGGCTGGGGTAGGACAGAGGGGTGGCCCCTCCACGGGCTGCACAGCCAATGCCCTCCTCGTCTTCCTCCTCCTCCTCGTCCTCCTCTTCTTCGTCCTCACTGTCTGTGCTGCCTCCACTCCTGCCCCAGAAACCACCTCGTCAGCTAGCTGTGTGGGACAGACCGGCCGACACCCATCCTGTTCCCTGCAGCCCAGGGTCAGCCCAAGGAGAGCGGGCTGGGATGACAGGCAGGTCACAGAAGGGTCCAGGGAGCCTGGGGTGTGACGACACCAGGAGAGGCTGGGAGAGGGAGTTCTGAGCCAACGGCAAGAACACAGGCGGGCAGGGACAGAATGCGGCCGTAAGGAGACCGTCCGTCGCCAGTCATCCGTGGAGGGCAGGCCCTGGGGAAGTGGGCTGAGCCTCAGCCATGGCAACCAGAGCAGACAGACCCACTCACCAGCTCTCAAGCCACCTCCCAGCCGTCACCTCACACGGTCACCACAGTGACAGGCCTTCCCACCAGCAGGCCCACCCTCTGGACAGAGGCTTCACACTACTCTCTCCCTCCAACTAGAAACTCCAAGAAGGCAGAGATGGCTGAGTTTTGCCACTGCTGTATCCTCAGCCCTGAGAAACCACCAGGCACCCATAGCTGCTCCAAAAACACTGGCTGAATGTTGACTAACACACACCTGTGAGCATGAAGAAAATCCAAGCAACCTACGTGCTGATCAACCGGGGAAGGGGTAAGCAAAGTAACACTAAAACTAAGCTTTAACAACGAGGGTGCACTCTGAAAAACGCCATCATTAGGCGATTTTGCTATTGTGTGAACATTCTAGAGTGCACTTACACACACCTGGATGGTGGCGCCTCCTGTACACCTAGGCTCTGTGGTATAGCCTATTGTTCCTAGACTACCGACCTATACAGCATGTTACAGTACTGAATACTACAGGCAATTCTAACAATGGTAAATGTTTGTGTATCTAAACATAGGAAAAATACAGCAAAAATAGAGGATTATAATCTCACGGGACCACTGTCATATGTGGTCCATCGCTGACCCAAAGATGCAGTATGGGACTATATACTATGTCTAAAATGCTGACCCAATATTTTTGTCTTAACAGAGTAACTGACTACTTTAACTGGAAAGTAATATATCTGTATATAGTTAAAAGTAAACTAAAATACTCAACGACTAAGGAGTATAAAGGAAGCCCCTCAACCTAACATAAGGCATCTACAAAACCCCACAACTAACAGCATGCTTACATGGCAAAACGCTGAATGCTTCCCCCTAAGATCAGGAACAAAACAAGGATGCCTGTTCTTGCCACTTCTGTTCAACATTGTCCCGGAGGCTAGCCAGGGCAACCAGGCAAGAAAAGGAAATTAAAATCATCCAGATTTGAAAGGAAGGAAAATGAACTCTATTCACATGACATGATTCTGTACATAGAAAATCCTAAGGAGTCCACTAAAACTATCAGAACTCATACATTAGTTCAGCAAGGTTGCAGGATGAAAGATCAACATACAAAAACCTATTGTATTTTCATATACTTGTAACAATCTGAAAACAATTTCAAGAAAATTCCATTTACAATAGTAACAGAAAGAAGAAAACAGGAATAAACTTAAAAGAAATACAAAGCCTCATACTCTAAAACCTACGAAACATTGTTGAAAGAAATTTTAAGACCTATATAAAAAGACATCCATGTTCACGTATTAGAAGACGCAAGGTGGCTTCTTGGTTGAAATTGACAAGCTGATCCTAAAATTCATATGGAATCTCAAGAAATCCCAAATAGGGCAAAACAATCTTTAAAAAGAAGAACAAGGTTGGAAAACTAAAACCTCCCATTTTCTTTTTTCTGTGAGATGGAGTTTCGTTCTTGTCACCCAGACTGGAGTGCAATGAATGGTGCGATCTCAGCTCACTGCAACCTCTGCCTGCCAGGTTCAAGCGATATTCCTGCCTCAGCCTCCTGAGTAGCTGGGATTACAGGCACCCACCACAGCCGGCTAATTTTTGTATTTTTAGTAGAGATGGGGTTTCACCATGTTGGCCAGGCTGGTCTCAAACTCCTGACCTCAGGTGATCCATCCACCTTGGCCTCCCAAAGTGCTGGGATTACAGGTGTGAGCCACCGTGCCCAACAAACCTCCCATTTTCAAAACTTACTATAAAGCAACAGCAACCAGGCCAGTGTGGTACTGGATAAAAACAACACACAGACTGATAGAACAGAACAGAGAGGGAAGAAACAAACTCATACATATGGTCAAATATTTCCTTTTTACACAGGTGCCAAGATGATTCAGTGGAGAAAGGACAGTGTCTTCAACAACTGGTGCAGGGAAAACTGGTTATCTATATGTAAAGGGATGAAGGTGGACCACCTCACATCATATACAAAATTTAGCTCAAAATGAATGGAAAACCATAGAAATAATGCTATAAAACTCTTAGAAGAAAAGAGAGGGCTAAGTCAAGATGCTGGATTTGGCAGTGACACACTTGTGCACCAACAACACGTGCAAGGGTATTCACAGCGGCCGCACTCACAGCGGCTGCACTCACAGCAGCGAGCAACAGGAACCTGCCCAAAGGCCTGTCAACTGCAGAACAAGCAATTCAGCTGCAGCTCATCATGCATGGCACTGCCCCACTGCACGAGAGCCAGGGGCACCCAAACACACAACAGGGAAGGAGCTCACAAGCAGAGTGTTGAGCAACAGAGGTCAGACATAAAAGGAGATGCTGTATGCTATATCAAGTGAAAACAGAGACAAAACTCATCTACAGGGTTAGAAGCCAGGACAACTTTACCCTCAGAAGGGAGGATACTGGCTAACAGAGGGGATGTGGGTACTGGGAAGGTCCTGCTCCTGGGTCTGGGCACTGAGGAAGGATATCCATTGGCCACACACTCAGGATCTGTATGTACACTTGTCTATACGCATGTTACATGTCAATAAAAAGTGAAAACAGCCTAATTCCGAAATCAAAAGTCATGAGTCAAAAACTCAGTTGCAGATGATGACTTAGTGTTCAGGCTGTCAAATCTACATGGCATGAACCCATTTCATCACAGCGACTCTGGGGCCGGCCAGTATTAAGAGAAAAAAAAAAAACAATGTAACATTTGCACTAAAATGTCATCACAGCCTGATTGGAGAGGGACGTCATCATCTCTCATTTTACTGGAATTAGAGAAGAGAGAAGCTGCCTGGGACCATCTTACCCCCCTTTCTAGGAAAACGTGTGAGAGCTAACACGAGGAAGTGAAGTGAAGGGATGAAGGAAGGAGACAGGGAGGCGGGAAGAGAGAGACACACACAGACCAAGCCATACCTCAGGACCTGCCTATTTTTTCAGCCACAGAGATTATCCCTTTCTTTTCATAACTTAACTCATTTGAATTAGATTCCTTTTTTTTTTTTTTTCTGAGACAGAGTCTCGCTCTGTCGCCCAGGCTGGAGTACAGTGGCGCAATCTTGGCTCACTGCAAGCTCCGCCTTCCGGGTTCACGCCATTCTCCTGCCTCAGCCTCCCAAGTCGCTGGGACCACAGGTGCCCGCCACCACGCCCGGCAAATTTTTTGTATTTTTAGTAGAGACGGGGTTTCACCATGTTAGCCAGGATGGTCTTGATCTCCTGACCTCGTGATCCGCCCGCCTCAGCCTCCCAAAGTGCTGGGATTACAGGCGTGAGCCACCGTGCCCGGCTGATTTTTTTTAATTTGTTGATTCTTTTTTTTTTTTTTTTTTTTGAGACCAGGTCTCTGTCACCCAGACTGGAGTGCAGTGGTGCGATCTCAACTCACTGCAACCTCCGCCCCCCAGGGTAAAGCGATCCTTCCACCTCAGCCTCTCAAGTAGCTGGGACTACAGGCACACGTCACCACATCCAGGTAATTTTTGTAGAGACAGGGTTTCGCTATGTTGCCCAGGCTAGGTCTCAAACTCCTGAGCTCAAGCGATCCATCCACCTTGGCCTCCTCCCGAAGTACTGGGATTACAGGCTTGAGCCACTGTGCCCGGCTAATTTGTTGATTTCTTAATGCATCATCTACCTTTTTTTTTGAGACAAGTCTGGCTCTGTTGCCCAGACTGGAGTGCAGTGGTATGATCTCGGCTCACTGCAACCTCTGCCTCCCTGGCTCAAGCCATCCTCCCACCTCAACCTCCCGAGTAGCCAGGACTACAGGTGCACACCACCATGCCCATCTAACTTTTGTATTTTTTGTAGAGACAGGATCTCCCTATGTTGCCCAGGGCTGGTCTCAAACTCCTGAGCTCAAGCAATCCATCTGCCCTGGCCTCCCAAAGTACTGGGATTACAGGCACTCAGGGATTACATGAGCCCACCATGCTTGGCCTTGAATTAGATTTCTATCACTCAAAAGTGAAAGTGCCCCCAACTAATACACACACCAATGCAGGTTCCTTATTTTCTTCATTCACTTCAGCCTCAGTCCAAATGTGTTGGGGGGACCCCTTGGCCCTGCCGTGTGGTGGAAGCTTGGAGAAGGGAAACTGGAGGGGGACTCACCGGACACCAGGTGGCTGGCCCAGACGGGCCCCCCTGGCCAGCTGGCTGCCCTGCCAGGCGCCATCTTCTCCATCAGACTCCCCTGAGCCCTGGGCCTCTTCCTCGTCCTCCTCTTCCTCATCATCATCAAACTGCTGGATGCGGTCCTTGTAGCATATCTCAAGTAGGTTGGCGTTGGGCTGCAGGGCACAGGGGTGGGAGGATGGGCCACACTGCCCACAGCCCCACACCCCTCCACCCGCCACAACCAGGGGACAGGGCAGTACTCACGTTCTCATCGTCAGCATTGAGGGAGAAGGTGATGTTGGCTGTCTTGTCAAAAGGTGCGCTAGGAGAGAAGGCAAGGCATGGTGAGAAGGTCCACCTGGGGGTGGGGGCAGCACAGGACAGGCCACATTTCTTTCTTCACTCAACACAGAGCTGACCCTCATTACTTGCAGATTTGGTATCTGCAAATTCACACACAACCCGAACCACTGGTCCTAAGGGGCAACGCATACATGAATATCAACATCTCACATATGATCACTTTAAATCCTTAAAACCACTCATTGAGGTAGGCTGTTTCCCTTGGCTCTAGAAGTGAGAAAATGGGGCTCGGAAATGTTAAGCGACTCTCCTCAGGCTCTTCCAAGGACAGGTGCCAGAGAGGGATTCAGATCCATGCCCTTGTCCCCATCCTTGGGGCATCTGTAGGAGGCTGACACTCACACCAGCCAGGCACAAGCAGAATGTGAGACTACAGCCCAATAAAGCACATCCCCTAACCTCAAGATGTCTACGGTCCGCGGCTGAAATTCTAAATTATGGGAAAAAGAATCACGTCAAAACTTAAACTGTGCCTGCCAGGGCCCCACCTCCCTCACCACGAGGGTCTAATGATCAGGGTCCACATTCTGTCCCACGTGTTACGGACAGTTCAAGGGATCATTTGTCTCAAATTCATGAAAAATTCTGCCACAAAGATCAATGGATAAAGGACAGTTAATTCTTAAAGGACACTAAGTATGTGACAGACATTACTCACGCACTTCATTCTCACAACCACCTTCCAAGGCAAGTGTCCTTAGTCCCTCCTAGACACTGAGAAGCAGCGGAGCAGAGACCACGCTGGGCACACAGTGGGTCTAGGGCAGGGCAGCCCATGTCCCCGTGGCACTGGCAGCCTCAGCTGACCTGGCTTCTGCTACAGGAGCTATGCGGGGCAGCATCTTCAGCCTTGAGATGATCAAACCAGTCATCCACTTTCCATTCCGGAAATCTTTCTGGGTTTAGTTTTGTTCACTTAACTTCTTAACCCCTCTGGAATTTTCTTGGTAGAGGAAAAGCTAACAGTTTCATCCCGAAAGGGGCAGCTGGTGACCCCAATGCCATCTACCAGTCAGTCCCTTCATTCTCCTGCCAGGGTGGGGTTTTCTTCTTTTTTTTTTTAATTAAAAAAGCAGAGATGGTCTCACAATGTTGCCCAGGCTGGGCTGAAATTCCTGAACTCAAGCGATCCTCCTGCCTCGGCCTCCCTAAGTGCTGGGATTAAGATGTGAGCCACTGTGTCCAGCCCAGTTTTCACTTGAGCATCTTCTCCAGGGGTCTCGGCACAGGCCACTGACCCACAAAGACCAACGCTCTGCAAGTCTCCATGCTGGGCACAGAAGCAGCCAACACAGGATATCACGTCTGCATCTGAGAGGACCTCTGTCCAGCTGTGGACTAAGCCAGGAACAGCTGACTATCCCTCATCGTGGTGTCCCTTACGCTGTGCTGTACAGGGACCCCGGGGCAGCCATGGGCAGCCATCCAGCTCCCACACACTAACCAGCTATGTCCTGGGGCCTCAGTCTCCCTGGCCGTAAATGAGCTCATCGTGGGGAGCAAGACAGAGTCTCGCTCTGTTGCCCAGGCTGGAGTGCAGTGGGACAATCTCGGCTCACTGCAACCTCCGCCTCCCAGGTTCAAGCGATTGTCCTAACTCAGCCTCCCAAGTAGCTGGGACTACACGCACCTGCCACCACGCCTGGCTAATTTTTGTATTTTTTAGTAGAGATGGGGTTTCGCCATGTTGGCCAGGCTAGTCTCGAACTCCTGACCTCAGGTGATCTGCCTGCCTCGGCCTCCCAAAGTACTGGGATCACAGGTGTGATCCACTCCGCCCAGCCACTTTTTTCTGACTCCAGAAGCAACAGATGCTTGTGGCAAGAAACTCAGAAAAGTTCATGATCATAACACCCAGAGGTGACTGATATTAAGATGTGGTTGACCCACAAATCAAAACAAGCAGAATTGGTAATTGGAAAAAAAAAGTTTTGTTACCCCGAGGCCTGTGGAGGGGAAAACTGGACCCCCATGTCTGGCAGACTCCTGAGCCAGAGGGCATCCATGGAGGTGCAGCTCTGCCCCACAGTCCCTGCGCCAGGACTGCTGGTCCCCACTACCCTGAGCCCCTCCCGCCTGGAACCCCTAAGGCTAGCTCCAGGAGTGGGAGGGACCCGCTCTGTGTCCCCAGCACAGAAGATGTTTGTGCCCCACCCTCATGGCCTGCCTCTCGGAGAGAAGAGACTGCAGAGCTGGAACTCATGTAACAGGAGGCAGACACACGAGGCTGCAGACACACACACAAGGCCACGGCCAACGCGTGCCCAGGAGGGGCCACAGCTGCAGGCTGAGCCCACAGGGCATGTAGGTGCGTGCAGGGGACAGATACAAGTAGGCGCGCCTGCTGCTGCAGAGGCAGGACAGGGCTGTGACCCTGCGCAGGAGACACTCACTTCACACTCTCCTCCTGCTCCCCAAACTCCTCATCATTGAAGCCGAAGTGGTCAATGAAGGCAGAGGTCATGCGCTGCATCTGGAAGTCCATGAAGGCCTGTGGGGGTGCGGAGGTTAGGGCTGGAGGGAGTTGGGCAGGACCCCACTCCAGCATAGCCCAGCACAGCCCCACATAGCCCCACGCCCACCTGCTGCAGCACAGCCTCCTCAGGGAAGTTGAACTCCTTGAGCCGGTCGTCCTCATCGTCACTGGAGGAGTGTAGGTGGTGGGTGTTCACCTGGGGAGAGGAGGGGGCGTCAGGGCCTGCTGGAGCCCCCAGACCAGGGTGGGCAGGCAGCTATCGGTGGCGGTGGGAGGCTAAGACTGGCCCAAGAGAGAGAAGCAGCAGGAGGAGTGCAGGAAGAGAAGCTGGGCCTCACCAGGTCCACCATGTTCTTCTTGTTGGTCTCCGCCAGGGGCCCCGATACGAAGGCTTCCCACTGCTCCTGCTGCTCGCTGGGCAGCTCTGCTTAGGTGAGAGGGGTGAAGACGTGAGGCATCTCGGGGCTTCAAGCCCCCCACCTAGCCCTCAGGCCGGCCTGGGGACCCTCACCCTTCAGCAGCTGCCGCAGCTGCTCTGCATTGGGCCCCTTCTCCGTGTTCTGCACCAGGGCACCGGCCACTCTTGTCAGGTGACCCATGTAGCCTTTCCGAGGGCCTCCCGCACACCTGGCAAGAGTGAAGGCCGCGGCTGCAAGCCAGGACTGGACCCAGGGATGCCCAGCCCCAGCCCGGCCCCCCATCCAGGCAGCCCCAGCCCCTGGAGACATGAAGGGCAGCAGGTGCTCACTGTACACGGTCGTTCTCCTCCCAGGACGTCAGGATCCGCTCCACCAGGCGGCACTGCTGCAGCAGCTGCGGGAGAGCGGGACAGGATGGCCTGGAGGGGTGGTCTGCACACATGTGGGGAGCTCTGCACTGCAGCAGGGGTCCCTTCCTCAGCAGATGCTTCACCAGGCCCCCGCTCATCCAGAGACGGGGATGGGAAGGAGGGATGCAAGCTGGGGCTTGGGACCCTGGCATCCACCCAAGTCTCTCTGGTCTTTCTACAAAAGAATATGTGGTGCATACACACACACACACACACACACACACACACACACACACACACATGCATGCACTAACGGACACACACATGCTCACACATACATGTTCACATACTCGTGTGCACTCACACACATACATGCTCTCACACACGCTTGCACTGACACATGCTCACACACGCACGTGTGCGCACTCATGCACACTCAGCTGCTCGCAGGTCTGCTCCCGCCCACCCCTAGCTCTTCAGCTCAAGTCAGGAGCCCACTGCTCCCTGCACCTGCATGTTTCATCCGCGTTTCTCCCTGGCCATGCCTCCCACACCCCATCTGGGCGCTGGCACCTAACACTACCCAACAAACACTTGTGGGAGGAAGGAGTGAGGGGTAGGCCTCTGGAGAGGGTGCGCCCACAGGGGATGGGCCCAGAAGGAGGGGGACCAGGGAGTCCCAGCTCACATGTTTCACAACAGGGTTTTGGATGGGCGTCTCAGGGCTGCTGTCAGGAGGTGGCCCCAAGCTCAGCATGGTGCTCACGCATCCCTCTACTTGGGCATGCAAGAAGTTGTTGAAGACATAATGGAAGAAGAGGTCCTATGGGAGGACACAGGATTGGTACCAGAGAGGCCCCGCCCCAGCCGAGCCCCCAACCCCTGAGCCCCCAGCCGAGCCCCCACCCCAGCCCCCGAACCCTCAGCCCAGTCCAGTCCCCGCCCCAGCCCCTGAACCCCCAGCCCGGTCCAGTCCCCGCACCAGCATGGTGTTGGGCACGTCCAGTGCCAGGAGCTCGTGCGTCAGGGCTGCATCATTGGCGCTCAGGGCACTGGCCAGGAGCTTGACCACGTGCAGCCGCGTGTTGCCCAGAGGCGGAGCCAGCATGCCCCATGTCATCTGTAGCGGCTCCAGCTGCAGACACAGGGAGGCCTGATTCCCAAGGGCTGCCCTTCCTGCTTCCCCCGCCTCCCCGAGGACCAGAACCCACACCCCTGACCTTGGGAGGCTCCAGCAGGAGCTGGTGGAAGCAGCTGAGCCGCGGGCGTAGGGCGTGCAAGGCGCCCACACTGGACACAGTGCTTTCCAGGGCCCCCTGGGCCAGGAGCTCCAGCTGCCCATCCACACTGCTGAAGAAGCTGTTCACGGTCACGGACTCGGACCTGCAGCAGGGCAGGGTCGAAGGCGGAGTGAGCCTAGATGGCCTGTGCGCCCACACAGGAGTAGGCACAAGGACCACGTCTGCAGGGTCTGGAGGAAAACGAGGAGCCACATGCCCCCAGCGCCGCTCTCTTCTGAGGCCCTTCAGACAACACCTGGCTGGGGTGGGGAGCCCGCCAGGCGGCAGCATTGGCAGTCCACTGTGAGAGCACGGGTGAGGGGTGGAGGCGGGAAGGCAAACCCAACAGGCTAGCGGCCTGTGTGGTAAGGCAGGGGCACGGGGGCCTGGGGTCCCTCCCAACACAAGCTGCAGCAGTGGCCTCAGCCTCAGTGCCCTCACTTGTCAAAGCAGACAAGAAGATTCCTCCCTCGGCCCCGTACTGTCCACTGTGCAGGGAGCACAGGCAGCCACAGAGCAAGGTGCCACGGGCGGGGATTTCTCTTGGTGGACACCGAGACCCGCCTCTGAGGGGCCGGAGAGCCCCTGGGGATGGGCAGCATGCATGGTCTGTGGCCCGTATCCCTCACCTCGGCCTCCTGGGCTCCAGCAGGGTCAGCAGCACCTGGATCCCACTGACGATGACAGACTGGCTCTGCTCCCCCTCGAACATGTTGCTTAAGAGCTGCTCAATCGTCTCCTGCCTGCGGGGGCAGGGGCAGGGGTCAGGGTGAGGGGCCAGGGGCCCAGGGCTTCCCCAAGTCAGCTCCCCCCAGCCTTAGCCTTGCCCGCACACCCACTTCTCCAGGGTGGCCAGCAGTTGGTCAGGCTCTGGGCTGTCCTGGACTTGGATCATCTGCTCCCGGCTCAGGCGGATGATGTCACACAGGGACTGGGATGCGTTGGAATGTTGCTGGAACGGGGAGAGACAGGTGAGGATCCTGGTCGGGCCACCGGGCCCTCTGCAGCCTGGTGCTGGGAGCCCCTCCCATGAGCTGACCATCCAGGGAAAAATGGTCACCCAGACACAGGGACACGTGTTACGAAGGAGGAGGGCACAGAGGCACCAACTGCTGGAGGGAAGATGGTGGAGAGAACAGGAAGCCCGGAAGGCTCCCCAGGACAGGAGGCATCCACACAAGGCCCTCATGACCGCATACAGGGCTGGCAGCACCGCCCACAATGACCCAGAAGGCTCTGACTGATGAGTGAATATGCCCAAGCTGGTCTATCCACACAGGAGAGTGCTAATCAGCCAGGAAAAGGAGTGAAACTGATACATGCAACCACATGAATGAGCCACAAAAACATCATGCTAGAGAAAGAAACCACACACAGATCACGTAGTACATGATTCCAATTATATGAAATGTCCAAAGACAAATCCACAGAGACAGAATAGTCTGGTGGTTGCCGGGGGCTAAGAAGAGAAAGGGGAAGATCAGGAGGAGCTGCTAATGAACACAGGGCATCTTTTTTATTTTTTCTGGAGAAAGGGTCTCGGCTGGGTGTGATGGCACATGCCTATAATCCCAGCAGTCTGAAAGGCCGAGGTGGGGCCGGGCGCGGTGGCTCACGCCTGTAATCCCAGCACTTTGGGAGGCCGAGGCAGGTGGATCACGAGGTCAGGAGTTTGAGACCAGCCTGGCCAACATGGTGAAACCCCATCTCTACTAAAAATAAAAAAATTAGCCAGGCGCAGTGGTAGGCGCCTGTAGTCCCAGCTACTCGGGAGGCTGAGGCAGGAGAATCGCTTGAACCTGGGAGGTGGAGGCTGCAGTGAGCCGAGATCGTGCCACTGCACTCTAGACAGAGCGAGACTCCATCTCAAAAAAAAAAAAAAAAAAAGAAAGGCCAAGGTGGCAGGATCACTTGAGCCCAGGAGTTTGAGACCAGTCGGGGCAACATAGCAAAACTCTATCTCTACAAATACAAAAAAATTAGCCAAGAATGGTGGTGTGCATCTCTAGTTCCAGCTGTTCATGAGGCAGAGGCAGGAGGATTGCTTGAGCCCAGGGGGGTCAAGGCTACAGTGAGGCAAGATCACGCCACTGCACTCCAGCCTGGGCAACAGAGCAAGACACTGTCTCAAAAAAAAGACACGGCCTCTACATCACCCCAGGCTTGAGCGCAGTGGTGCCATCACAGCTCACTGCAGCCCTGAACTCCTGGGCCCAAGAGATCCTCCCGTCTCAGACTCTTGAGTAGCTAGGATTACAGGTGTGCACCACCAATGCCAGCTAATTTTTCAATTTTTTGTAGCGACAACGTCTTGCTATGTTGCCCAGGCTAGTCTCAAACTCCTGGGCTCAAGCAATCCTCCAGCCTCACCTGCCAAAGCGCTGGGATTACAGGCAGGACTTGTTTTTTGGAGTGATAAAAAATAATCTAAATTCAACAAGATGATAAACGCTTTGAATACCCTAAAAGCGCTGAATCGTAAGCTTCGGTGGGTGAGTGGTATGCTGTGCAATTTACATCTCAGTAAAGCTGCTACAAAAGAGAGAAAAGAGAGAAGCATAAGCAGAGCTGAGTCTACCCAACGGGCAGCTGCCAGGGCTTGGCAGTGTGGCCCTGGGCCATGCCTCAGGGTCCTCACAGGGACAGGCCCCAGCCTGGGTGAGCCCAGAGCCATCTCTGCTCTGTAAGCCTGTGCGCCTCTGAGGCAGAAGTTGGCATTGGGAAGGACATGTTGCTCCCAGTGGCCTCGGATATCTGAGGCTCTTGACAAACACCCACTCTACACTAGGCCCTGTGCTGGGCACCAGGACAGAGATGGAGACCCAAGCTGGAGAAACACATGGACATGGGGTCCCCCAGAGCTAAAGGGGAGGATGTGAGGGCGCTTGAAAGCAAGGCTGCTGGACGGACACTTAGAAGGACAGCAAGGGGTTCAATCAGGCAGGAGACAGGGAAAAAGCTGCCAGGCCCAGCAATAGCACAGGCCAGGGTGGGCAGGGACGGATGTGGGGCCAGCGCTTGGACAGGCGATGAGGAGGGCCCCTCCCTGCAAGGCATTATGTGCCAAGTTCCTGGGTCATGAAAAAAACCTTTCCAGCACTTTCGGAGGCCACAGTGGGAGAATCACTTGAGTCAAGTTTCTTTCCTTTTCTCAAAGGGCATGGATACACCTGGTTCTCAATGCTCTCTTTTCTCACCAATTTCTTTTCTTTCTTTTTTTTTTTTTGAGACAGGGTCTCACTGTGTCACCCAGGCTGGAGTGCAGTGGTGTGATCATGACTCACTATAGCCTTGACCTCCCGGCTCAAGCAATCCTCCTACCTGAGCTTCCCAAGTAGCTGGGACTACAGGTGTGCAACACCACACTCAGCTAAGTTTTTACGTAGAGACGGGGTGTTACTATGTTGCCCAAGCTGGTCTCAAACTCATGGGCTCAAGTAATCCTCCCACCTCGCCCTCCCAAAGTGCTGGAATTACAGGCGTGAGCCACTGCGTCCAGCCCCAATTCCTCTTTTAAAAGTGGGGAAGTGGGCATGGGGAAGGAACTCTAAGGGGAATCCGCAGGGGCATCGGCAGCACTCACATTCTCATCCTTCGACGGGTGGATCTGCTCAATCAGCCGCTGGACGATCTTCTCCTCGTTGAGCCACTGAGGGTGAGAAGGCGAGGGATGCATCGCTGTCCACCACGCCCAGCCCCCCACCCCCAGAGGAGCCGGCCCTGCTCACATTGACAACATCCTGCCTCAGCTGAGGCCGCTCCACACAGGTGAGCAGGCGCAGCAGGAGGTCCATGATGGCCGAGGTGCCAATGTGCTGCAGCAGCAGGTCCACGAAGTCATCCTTCTTCCGAAGAAAGGACACGAGCTGGGGGCACACGGGCTGCGTCATGCACAGGGCCTGGCCCAGCCACCACCCCTCAACCCACGGTGGCGCCAGGGTGGGGGCCAGGGCACCTGGTCTGTCTTGCGGTTGATGAGGATGCCCATGACCTTGCTGAAGAAGCTGGCCAGCAGTGGGTTGAGGCTGCCGGTGCTCTGCAGGAAGCCGTAGAGCCGGTTCAGAAGGGACTCATCAGCACCCAGGGCATCATTGATCTGGGGCACATCTGAGGTCAGAATCTCGCAGGCCACACTGGGGTACCTGGGAGGCAAGCACAGGCGGGTGGGGGCTCGGGTCGGAGGCCGGGGGCAGGGGGCGGCAAGGCTCCACCCTCTTCTCTGCACCGGGCACTGGGTTTCTGGGAACTGCAGAGACCCCTGTCCAGGAAGGGGAAAGGGCAGAGGACAGGGTGACGCAGAAACAAGGGCCCACACCAGGCCTCCTCCACCCTGCTAACACCCAACCATCCCATCCTAGGCTCCTTACCACCCCCAAGACAAGCTGGTCCTGAAGCTCCTGCGCTTCCCAATCCCCCAGCAGCTAACACTCATCCCTTTTGCCTCTCAGCGGCTTCACTTGCAACCCCGTATGCTGCCCCAGCTCCGGCTGACTCCTGGAACCTTGCTCAACTTCCAACCTCACCTCCTGCCTCCCTCCTCCAAACTTTCACACGGTGCCTGACGGCTCCAAGACAAGAGCTGCCCCACCAGCGTGCCACTCAAGGCCCTGAGGGGCCACAGTCTGCTCCAGGACTGTGGGGAGGTACCCCTTGGGAGGCTGAGGCAGGCATATCACTTGAGGTCAGAAGTTCAAGACCAGCCTGGGCAACATGGCGAAACCCTGTCTCTACCAAAAATACAAAAATTAGCTGGGCGTGCTGGCTTATAGTCCCAGCTACTTAGGAGGGTGAGGCAGGAGAATCACTTGAACTTGGGAGGAGGAGGTTGCAGTGAGCCGATCATGCCTCTGCACTCCAACCTGGTGATAAAGTGAGTCTCAAAAAAAAAAAAAAAAGTGTCTTTTCAGCATCGCTTGGATTAAAAAATAAGTAAAGTGTCTTCAATAGCAGACAAGTGTTTCACAAACATACAAAAAAAGTTTAATAAAAAGTAAATAAAATAAAAGGCGGCGAATAAAGAGAAAAACCAGCCGGGCATGTCGTCACATGCCTGTGGTCCCAGCTACTCGGGCAACTGAGGCGGGAGGATCACCTGGGCCCGTGAATTTGTGGCTGCCGTGACCCGTGACTGTGCCACTGCCCTCCAGAGCACAGGCTTGGTCTGCACCCGGTGAGCTGTGAGGCCTTGTGCAGGAGCCTGGCTGCTCCCAGCCTCGTCTTCCTCATCCCCAAACTGGAGTTTACTGACACTGACGCATTTCAGGGTAGCTGTGAGGCTTGCGTAGTGAAGGTATGTGTGATGCTGATAGGGACGGGCTGGCCAGGAGCTGGGGAACTCACTTGTAGCGCAGCCGCTCCTCACCGCTATCTGGCGGCTCCTGGGTGACCCAGGCCACCATTGCTTGCAGGTGGGGTGGCTGCAGCAGGAAGTCCAGCAGCTTGCGGTTGACGACCTTGCACTCCTGCAGCACGTCTTCCTCGTCCAGCAGCTCGGGCAGGCTCAGGTCCTCCCGCTCCAGCAGCGTGTCCAGGTGCGAGCTTGTGTGCAGGTCAAACTTCCAAAACATGGCGCCCTGCAGGCATAGACACAACCAGCGCCGCGTCAGACGCCCCAGGGAGTCCCCACTGGACGAGGCACTGACCACAGGGGCTGAGTGCCCACCTTGGGCACAGCCTCTCCCCAAGTCCCAGCCCTCTGCCTCATGCTGAGCCCGGCCCCGCCCCGGGACTGCCCGCAGGCTCACTGCCTCCATCACTCAGGCTTAAGGCTCCCAGTGAGCACCAGGCTCCTGCAGTTGCCCTCGAGCCTGCCCCTCTTCCCCCATCTCCAGCCTCCCGGCCGCCTCGCCTGAGGTCCAGGGGGTCATTTCACACCTGAGGCCTCAGGCCTGGTGAAGTCCCCAGGTGTGGACCATGTGCAGGGCCTGCGAGAAGAGGCTGGACCCTGTGCACTGAGGGGCCTCGGGCCCTGTCTCCCCATGAGGGTCTGGGTCCACTATCCCTACTTTTGGGAGAGACACTGCAGAGGCAGGGCCTTAACCTCTGGCTTCAAATTTGCTTCAACCTGTATTTGCTCAACAAACTCAGATGCCCGATGACTTCCAGCACACGGCTGCTGCTTGGCCCAGCAAATCCCCCAAGGCTACGTGGGAGGCATGGGGCGGCGGCAGGGGGAAGAGAGGAAGTCTGTGCATCTCCAGGCTGTGGCCGTTGCCTGGACACCACTCACACACAAACACACCCCAACCATCCTCTCACCCAGCACCTGGGCTGGAACAAGGAAGAGGAAAAGTTGGAAGGGAGGGGCTCCCAGAATAGTCACTGACCAGGACCTGAAGGAACCCAGGGTGGGATAGACAGATTCTGTGGGGGAAGAACAAAGCTGGCAACACCCGGCCCTGACCCTGTCCCCATCTGGAGCTGGCTCCCGCCCTCTGGAGGACAGTGCCTGGTTCCTCAGCCTGGTTCCAGCCCCTAAACGCTCGTGCATGGGAACTCACTGGCAATAAGGAAACACACACAGAGTATTAACAAGATGCCAGGCAACTCCATTCTGAGCCCCTGCCCTGTACTACATCACTGCTCCGCAGAGCCCTAGAAAGCCTCCACACAGACCTTCCACTACAGACCTGACCTGTGACCTGTGCTCTGGGCACTTGATGACAATGGTCCTGGCTCTGCATGTGTGCTGTGCACATGATGTCCAAGCTCACCAGCAGCCCCCAAGAAAGCTGTCATCACTCCGCCACACAGGACAAGGGGCAACCAAAGCCCGGTAAGTCAGGCGGCATCCTGGAATCTCGAAGGCCATCTGGTCCCAGCAGACAGCCTTCACGGAGCTCTCACCAGTTAAGACACTGACCAGAGCTCACGCTCATTACCTGCCTCCTGACAACCGCATCACCAGCTAAGGCAGAGGCCACTGCTACCCCCAAGTCACTACAGAGGATGCTGAGAACAGAGCAGAGCCGGCACAAGAGGCCAAGGGTGCCTCTCCCGCAGGCCCTCACCACCATCACTCCCAGGCACAGATGCTAGTCCCTCTCCTCCAATGCCCTTCTGCAGCTTCTTCCAGTTCAGTCATTCCCTCTGCACAGGCCTCCACCATCTCCTCGAGCCCTGCTGACCTGTCACCTCAGTGCCCACCAGCCCCCAGGCCTGACTCAGCCCCAGGCCCCAGGGAAGAGACAGGGAGACGTGGAGCACCAGGCCCAGGGAAGAGACTTCATCGGAGCTTAGGAGAGCAGCCTGGGCTGACAAAACGCAGGACAGAGTCCCACACATGGCCTCAGGCAGGTCGAACGCCTCTTGGGCCTCCTTTCCTCTCCTTCCTGGCTAGCTTGAAGCCAGGCCAGCCTGGGGCCAGGATCTCCTTGCTCATCCACCCTGACCACCCTAAGGCTGGGCTCAGCACAGAAGGTTGCAGTCCAGACCTTGCTCCCAGTCTGCCCGTCTGCCTCGGTAACTCTAGATTGGCAACAATCTTGATATAACACTATATGGGTCCCTACACCTGGCCAATGACAGTTGAGGGTGGAGCAGAGGGAAGAGTTCCGTGACCAACGACAGTCATGGCGGCAGCAGGAGGACTAGGGGAGATAGCAGCAGCCTCCAGGCATTTGAACCCCTGCTCCTCTGGGGGGCCTGCCAGGTCCCAGTCCACAGCACCCAGTGACTCACCACTTACCCCTCACCAGTCCACTTTTCCCAATAATCCTTTGTTTTTGAGGAGTCTCACTCTGTTGCCCAGGCTGGAATGCAGTGGCACAATCTAGGTTCACCTCAACCTTCACCTCCCGGGTTCAGGCGATTCTTCCGCCTCAACCTCCCTAGTAGCTGGTACTACAAGCATCTGCCACCACACCCGGCTAATTTTTCTATTTTGGTAGAGATGGGATTTCACCACGTTAGCCAGGCTGGCCTTGAACTCCTAACCTCAGGTGATCCGCCCACCTGGGCCTCTCAAAGTGTTGGGATTACAGGCATGAGCCACCATGCCCAGACTCCCAATATTCCTTCTAAGGTTGGGTGTGGTGGCTCACGCCTATAATCCCAGCACTTTGGGAGGCCCAGGCAGGCAGATCACCCGGGGTCAGGAGTTTGACACCAGTCTGGCCAACATGATGAAACCCCGTGTCTACTAAAAATACAAAAATTAGCCGGGCATGGTGGTGTGTGCCTATAGTCCCAGCTACTCGGGAGGCTGAGGCAGGAGAACTGCCTGAACCCGGGAGCGGAGGTTGCAGTGAGTCGAGATTGCGCCACTGCACTCCAGCCTGGGTGGCAGAGCAACACTCTGTCTCGGAAAAAAAAAAAAATCCTTTTAAAGCACAAACATGAGTACCCGCACCTGCTCGGTGATGTGCACTCCACCAAGCCTGCATCCAGGCTCTCGTGCCCCTGCCCAGCCAGCTCACTGACTGACCTCCATGCCCACGGTGACCCCAGTGCCCTGGGGAGGCCGTGCCCCATGCCACCTCGCCAGTGCTCCTGGGGCTGCCACTTCAGGTGTCTCCTGCACAGCCCGTGGCTGCCTGAGGCACAGTGCTGGATGGATATCCAGGAGGCCCTGCGGGTCTGGGTGGATGGGGGCATTCCAGGCAATGATGTCGATGGTATCAGCCACTGCGCTCCAGCACCTGCACTGCGCTGACTACTCTGAAAAGGACTTCACAGCCATCACCTCCACCAACTCTCACAACCACCCTCCAGGGAATGGCCTTATTTTACAGGAGAGGAAACTGAGGCACACCAAAGTAAATGCCTATGCCCCGATCCAGGGGTTGGCGGGCAGTGAAGCTGGCACTCTCAGCTTTCAGAAGTTGTATTTTCAGGGTGCAGAGCCCTTGTCCCAGCACAGGGCCTGTGTAGTGGACACTTAAGGGATGAATGAGCGAGTTCCCGCTGAGCCGGCTCCAGCACTTGCTCTGCCTGAGGGACTAGCCCTGGCCACAGTGACCCCGACTCTCACCTCAGGGAGGAGCCTGCCATTTCCAGGCCCACCCTGAAGGGACCTGTCTGGATGGTAAACTCCCTGTCCACCTTGTCCCCAGCTGCTAGTGCTTACTCAACAGACATCCCTGGATTCAGGATGGAGGGCTGTGGTCCTCAGGACCCTCCCAGCCCAGCTGTGACAGCACAGTTCGGCCAGAGGCCTGAGTTCTCCTCCAACCCAGCACCACCAGAAATCTAGGGACTTATCAGGCCTCCCACCCCGACCCAGGCACCGCTGACCTCCCCAAACATAACCATCCCACCCCTTCTGCCTGCATGACCACCACTTGACGGCAGGCCCCCCACACTCGACCGCAGGCGACCCCTGCTCGTTCCCTCTCCCCACAGCCATGCAGAGCTTGCTGAAGGGAAAATCAGAACCGCCCTCTCATCGGGTCAGCGCCTGGGACCCTCAATGACCTCCCACTCCCTACTTGCCCTGGCCAAGCTGGCCTTCTGTTTTCAGAACACACTAAGCTTGGGTCTACCCCAGCGACTTTGTCCTAATAACTCACTTTCTCATCCTCAGATCTCTTACTAAGCATTCACCTCACAGAAGGGCCTTCCCTGGCCTGCCTGGCTCAAGCAGCCCCCAGCCCCGCCTTTGTCCACCACTGTCTCCCTGTCTCCCTGAGCTGTGCGTTCTGACCTGCCGCCTGGAAGCATCTCTGTGACACAGCAATGAAGCACTGGAGGTACACACTCGTGGCCCTACAATGCTTCCTCTAGAACCTTCCCCCTAGGTTACCATGGGCACCTGAGGGCAGCACCTAGCATGGAACCTGGCCCTGGCAATAAACGCTCACAAGTATTAGCTGAAAAGCAAACCTCATTTTCACAAGGCCCCAGCTCCTCCCAGGCAGGAGGCTGCCGTACCTGTCAGGGCGTTAGACGAAGTGAAATCACTCCCACTCCGGCCCCTCCCAGCCACTCCTACGGGGTCCCTAAATCAGGAGGTGGGGGAAAGTGCAAGATCGCCCTGGGCAGGCAATGGGTGTGTATTTTCCCCTGTGTCAAGAGTGACGAAGGCACCACCACCTCACAAGGAAATACAACTGTTTCCCTTCCTTGCTCCGGGAACCTCTGTGTGCACAGTGGTAACTCCCCACCTCCCCACTTCTGCCCAGATGCTAGACCTCCTCAAGGGACCATCCCCTACTTCCCAGCCCGCTTGACAAGGAATGCGACAGGCCGACCACCAAGTGTCCATGTCACAGATGAGAAAACTCAGGCTCAGCAAAGGTGACTCACCAGCGTGCTGAGGGAAGCGGGAGGGGGAATGGATTTCCTGATCTGGGTGTACCTGGGACCAGAATAATCTCAAGGGGCAACCGCCAAATTTATCATGACTCTGCCAATTTCCGGCCTAAGGCTGTGGCGAGCAAAGCACCGAGACGTGGCAAGCACACACACACAGCCTCTTTCTCCGTGGGAGACCAAGCAGGCTGATAGGCTGCCCATGCCATGCCAGCAAAGCCAGTCCCAAGGAACCACACACTGCAGGCCTCCAACTATGTGAAGCATCCAGAACAGGCAAATCCATAGAGACAGAAAAGAGCTTACAGGCTTCCAGGAGCTGGCGGGGATTGGGCGAAGTTCCTGAAAGGAAAGGGTGATTAAAAAAAAGTTCCAAAATCAATTGTGGTGATGTTTCCACAACGTTGTGAATACACTAAGAACCACTGAATTGTACCCTTTATTTATTATTTTTTTTCTTGAGACAGAGTCTCTCTCTGTCACCCAGCCTGGAGTGCAGTGGCGCGATCTCGGCTCACCGCAACCTCCAGCTCCTGGGTTCAAGCATATCTCCTGCCTCAGCCTCCCGAGTAGTGGGGACTACAGGTGCGCACCACCATTCTTGGCTGATTTTTTTTTTTTTTTTTTTTGAGACAGAGTTTCGCTCTGTCACCCAGGCTGGAGTGCAGCGGCGCGATCTCGGCTCACTGCAATCTCCGCCTCCCGGTTTTAAGCAATTCTCCCACCTCAGCCTGAGTACCTGGGATTACAGGAGTGCGCCACCACACCCAGCTAATTTTTGTGTGTGTTTTTTTAGTAAAGACGGGGTTTCACCATATTGGCCAGGCTGGTCTCGAACTACTGACCTTGTGATCCGCCTGCCTGGGCCTCCCAAAGCACTGGGATTACAGGCATGAATCACCACGCCCGGCCTAATTTTTGCATTTTTTTAGTACAGACGGGGTTTCACCACGTTGGCCAGGCTGGTCTTGAATGCCTGACCTCAAGTGATCTGCCTGCCTCGGCCTCCCAAAGTGCTGGGCTTACAGGCGTGAGCCACTGCGCCTGGCTGTACACTCTAAATGGATGAACTGTACAGAATATCTCAATAAAAACTGTTGGGGGAAAAAAAAAAACCTGCCTCAGGCCATCGGCCATGGCAGGGACAGAGCCAGGGCCAGGCTCAGGCCTTGCACTATGTCCCAGCGTCCGCAGAGCTGATGAGATGCCGGCCAGCCTGGCAGAGCTGAAGCTGCCAAGGCTCAGCCCTGGGGCACTCACCCAGGTTACCCCTTCCCCATCCCTCACCACCAACAGCTCTAAGCTAAGTGAGCCCCTCCACAGTGGGGACGGGATAGGAGCAGCACCAAGCCAGCATCTGTAGAAAATCCATGGACCCGCACTTGCAGAGACACTTGTCTCGGCTCCACATCAAGACCAAGTAAAGAATTCTTATTATTCCGACAGAGTCTCATGTGGAAGAGGGGCCCAGAGGGGTGGAGCCACATGGCTAGCAAGAGGCTTCCAGTGTGCCCTGGTCTCTAAACAACAGGCAGAAATTCTCACACTGAGGCCCACCGTTCACTTCTAAGATACCTGATTAAAGGGCACAGGCATGGCCCTCGGCCCCCAAACCCCCTACCCCTGGTACAGACTAACCATCTGCTTCGGGGAAAAGGTCAGGCTTCCCCTCCAAACCGAGCTCCCCAGACAACTGGGGCAGGGGCAGCCAGAATGAGACGGGAGGGTGCTCGCTGGTGCACGGCATCCAAGAACTTCGGCCCTGAGAACCCAGGCAGCGCCCTGAACTCTCCATCTCAAGTGGCTCCTCTGAAAATCAGAATAGACTGAAAGGCTCAAATGCAATTGAGTGGTCGACACTCTACAGACCTCAATTATCAGGCTCTAAACAGAATGAAGATGCAAATATGGAAGAACAGAAAAAAAGAGAAAAAAACTTTCCCCCACCACAACCTCTGAATGCACTATGGCCTGAAGCCCTCTCAGTCCCCTCTCCCAACCTAATGAAGCCTGCTAGAATCCCTGCGAATGGAGCAGGAGAGTGGGTTTCACTCGCACTCTCCTGGTGAACCTGGGCAGGCGCTTGATTTCTCTGAGTCTCATTTCCTCATCCGTGAAAAGGAGACACAGCCCACCAGGGCGGGCTGCTGTGAAAAGGCATTGAGCTAAAGCAGGTGGCCGTGACACAGCAGGAGCTCAGCAGGTGCAAGTCTCTTCCGGTCCAACCCTGAGGCCACGTCCAGATGCTTTCTGGCAGGACAGGTAGGGGACCGGTCACTACCCCAAAGGTGATGGTGCTAAACACAGAGGAGCAGGAGAAAGACTCTACCCATTTGCCTAAGTGACTCAAGTACTTTTCCTCAGACCATTCGGATACTACGGCAGGCGCCATGCACCCCGCCACCCCCATTCTTTGCAACTTTTAGCAACTTCAAGAAAGCGGAAGTGACTACCACTAGTTTTTAGCTACCGTTTGAAAACCATGAGTCTGGCTGCAAACGGAAGAAGGGGAAATTGTAAATGAGAAAGGAAGCCATTAAAAACGAAAACTACCTCTGCCGCTCTCCCTCCACCAGCTCTGCACTATTGCCTCTGGTTTCTGACTTAGCTGTGGTGTTTTAGGGCCTTCAACACCAGCCACCCCTCAAGGGCCTGCCAGCCCCTTCCTTCCCCTGCTTGGACAGGCACTAACTGCGGCTCCCACAGAGCCATCCCCACTGCTGCACGTATCCGCCCAAGCACAGCTCTGCCGCCAGGGAACCGGTGGGCCCATGCTTCATCTGTCACCCCTTCCCAACCTGCGCTGACCCACGAGCACCCAGAAATGGAGGTCATGGGCACAGATGCCTCAGGGGGCCTCCAGAAACAGCTGCCTGAGCTGTCCCAATGCTCAGCAGAAGCTCCAACGCCTGGCCCCCTGGCCGGTACCCTAGGAAGGGAAAGAGCCTGCTACCAGCAGCAGGCTGGCCAGCACCCAGCTCCTTAAAGGGCCCAGAGTCCGGAGGACAGCAAGACCATCTCCCTCTAATGTCCCCCAAGCCTCTGTCAGCTCTCAGCCAAATCTGAAAGGGGGCTGGGAACACCCAATTCCAGGGATGCAGTGACAGTAATGGCAACCCCACCACCTCTGGGCAGGACCTACGGTGTGTGCCGGCTGCAGAATCCGGCATCACCCACCCAGCAAGGAGGAACCAGGGACACCAATTTGATAGAAAGGGCCACTGGGGCCAGAGGAGAAGGGGGAGCGGCCCAAGGCCCAACAAGATGATGAGCTAGGGCTTTCCTGTGGCTTGGGAAAGCCTTGGGGAGGGTCCCCACTTAAAGAGAACCCTCAGTGCCTCCCCCTCTGGCCCCAGAAGCACACCCTCCCAAGGGAGCTAGCAGCCCTGGTCCAACCCCAGAGGATGGAATAACTAGGAAACAGAAGAGTCTAGAAACACTGGCCAAGGACTGGGACGGGGACTTGAACATCCACATTCAAATCGTCTCCTGAACTGGCCACAGGTTTAAAGGAAAGAAAGGAAAAGACCAATGAACGGATTTGAAATAGCTCTTTGGAAAAACAGAAAGGGGCAGAGTTAGGGTTACAGTGTGATCCAAAGTCAGAAAAGCTTGCATTCCCATTTGACCTCCCCAAACTGAAATCTCTGTGGCCTAGACCAAGGATCTCACCCCACCGAGCCCCAGTTTCCTTATCCGGGAAATACCTCACAGATGGGGTTACTATAAGGCAGCACTCTCTGGAGAAGGACCCACAAAACTGGTGTGCAAAGGGAAAACCACGGTTTGGCATGGAAAGGCAGGTGAGCCCCATCAAGCCGGGTGCCGAGTGATTCCCACTCTGGCAAGGCCCCTCACTCTCACCAAAGCTCTCAGGCCTCTCTCACCTCATCTCTTGCTACCTCCCGCGTGGGCGTCACACCTGACTGCCCTCAGCCGGGGCTGGGCTGCTCCCTCCTCCTTCCCGGAGCTCTTCGAGTCTGACTAGCTCCTCCTGGGTCCTTCAGGCCCCCACACAGACACCACTTCCTCCAGGGAGCCTCCCCCCCGCATCTGTGTTAGAGGCCTGCTCCACGCCGCTTCCACAGCATCCCGCAGTCACCCTGGAACAGCATGTGAGCCTCGGCTCTGTGACAGGATGTACCTGTTCAGTCATCTGCCTCCCCCTGAAACATGCCGACTTCCCAGGATCTAGCATAAGGCCAGGCCCAACTAAAGCTACTTGTTGAATTAATGAAAACTGAAGCCAGAGAAAGGTGTTCTGTTAAGAGCACTGGGCCACACATCCCACAAAAGAAAAAAAATGGGCAGGGGGACCAGACAAGCAGGTTCTCCTCTAATGGAAAGAAACAGTAGATGAACCAACAAAAGCTAATGGCCACAAAGATGGTGGTGACTCGCAATACACAACTCACCAACTCACAGCTCATGAGTCACAACAGAGCAAATAAGCCACAACGACACACCATACCCCAGCAGTGGAGCAAAGTTCTCCTCCTCTGCGCTGCTAACATTTGGGCTGGACGGTTCTTTTCGGTGTTGGGGCTGCCCATGCACTGGAGGACACTTAGCAACATCCCTAGCCTCCACCTCCACTCACCAGATACTGGCAGCATTCCCCCCAGTTGTAACAACCAAAAACATCTCCAGATATCGCCAATCGTCCCCCAGGGGACACAATCGCCCCCAGTTGAGAGCCACTGCAATGGACATTCCCAAATCAAATAATAATCGAAAGAACGGCCAGGTGTGGTGGTCCATGCCTATAATCCCAGCTCTCTGGGAGGCTAGGTAGGAGGACTGCTTGAACCCACGAGTTTGAAATCAGCCTGGGCACCACAGCAGGGCACCAGAGCAAGACCCAGTCTTTACAAAAAATACAAACATTAGCCAAGCGTGGTACAAAAACACAAAAATTGAGCAAGCATTGCAGGACGTGCCTGTAGTCCTAGCTACTTAGGAGGCTAAGGTGGGAAAATCACTTGAGTCCAGGAGTTCAAGGCTGGGCAAACGAGCAAAACCCAGTCTCAAAATCATCAACATCAAAACAGCTACTGATTGCAGAGTGTCATGTGCCTTGCATTCTGCCACAGGCTTCTACAAACCCTGCACTTAATCCCTAGATCCACCCTCTGAGGAGAGCAGTCTGCTATCCCCACTTACAGACGAGGAACAACTTGTCCAAGGTCTCGCTTGGCAGAAGCCGGACTCGGCCTAGGTCTGTCTGGCAAAAGATCCTCTAACAATTAGCTGGACTGCCTTCTCATGATCCCAATCCCAGAACTAGAGTTAAAAAAAAAAAAAAAAAAAAAGCATAACATTTTCAACAGCACAAGCAGCTCCAACAGCCATCCCACCACTAGTAAGCACACGTGGCCGGGCGCCGTGTCTCCATGTGTGTTGTGCATGTATGTAAACCAAGTCCTCATCCTGTGTTATCCAGGCAATCTCGAGTCCTTGCTGCATTTGCAGCGCACGCTAACAGTTAGACCCTCGCCCTTGGGCTGGATGAAATCCCACTGCAGTTTCTCTACAACTGTGAACCCAGTACCGCACCTGACAGTCTACGCAGCTTCCTTTCCTGAAACATCTTGCCTTTCAGGCGGGTGTCTATGGTCATGTCTGTGTGTACTACGAGCGAGCAAGAAAGACCCCAACCAGAGGTCCCATTCGAGGCCTGGATAAGCACGCCGGGCGGAACTACTCTGCCCCTCACCCTCCCAATACATCTGCACTCAGGACTCCGACCTTCCTTCCTTGACATATCTGCACGTGCTGCTCCTTCCCCCCCCGGAAGGCCCTTCTTCCCACTCTCCATCTGTCACCTCCTACTCATCCTTCCTAGACAGAAAAAGCCGTCCGTCCAGTCAGTCTCACCAGTGCCTCCCGCTCTGTGGCCCCCTGCAGCTCCCTAAGTCACCTCGATCACGACACGCAGGAATTGTGACTGTCCGGCTCTGCCTTTGTACCCCCTCCAGGGACCGGCCCCACCTCCAGGGCAGGGCCTAGGGCTGATGCCCCC
Source organism: Homo sapiens (assembly GCF_000001405.40). Classification (NCBI taxonomy): domain Eukaryota; kingdom Metazoa; phylum Chordata; class Mammalia; order Primates; family Hominidae; genus Homo; species Homo sapiens. The sequence goes on from NC_000019.10 coordinate 55,257,810, forward strand.
TCCTCGGTGCCCAGCGCCAGGCTCCCTGCCTGCCCTCAGCAGGCTTCATCTCACTGAAGCAGGCCCGAGTGGTGGCTGCTCCAGAGAAGCCCCGCTCCCAGGTCCCTCGCACAAGAAGCCGGAGGCGGGAGAGGGTCGGTCAAGGTGAAAACAAGCCCCGCTCCTCCAGTCCTGAGCTCCGGGGATCTAAGGAGGCTGCGCCACGGAAGAGGTGGCGGGGCAGAGATCGGGGCGAGAGGGAAGGGTGTAAGCAGGCAAAGTCCAGGGTAACCAGGGAGAAAGACTCCTGGGGGGCCGGGGAACCGGCCAGAGAGGCAAGAGAGCGGAGCTGAGGCTCAGGGACTGGGGAGCGCAGCTGCAGAGAGCGAGTGGGAAAAGGCCGAGAGCAAGAGACTGAGACTAGGGTGGCGGCGGAGCTGAGGTGAAGAGATTAAGAGACTGGGGAGGGTCGAGGGGGAAGAAACGGGGTGCCGTGGAGAGGAAACCCGAAGGAAGGAGGGAAAGGATCCGAAGCAGAAAAGACCCGCGGGGGTCCCGAGAGGGAAAAGCCTGAGGGGACGCGGAGAGGGGAAGACGTGGGCGCCTGGCCCTGGAGAGAGAGGGTCGGGCGACGCGGGCCGCTCACCTGCGAGGGGGGGCGGCGGCTCCTCGCACTCGGGGCTCATCGGGGCGCCCCCCCCCGCCCCGCCGCCGGCGGCTCCGGCCCCTGCTGCGGGGCCCGGTGAGTGGGGGCGGGGGCGGCGTCGGGGACTCGCGCAGGCGCCGGGGCTCGCGGGGTCCGCGCAGGCGCCCGCGGGTCGTGGGGTCCTCGCGCGCCGGGTCCTGCAGAGTTGAGGGGGTCAGCGCCGGGTGGAGTTGCCGACGGGCGGGGGGCGTCACTAGTCCGCGTAGGCACCTCCGGGGTCCGCAGGCGAGGTGGGCGTGCGGGCCGAGGCGGGTTGGCGAGCCGGGTCGCGAGGCCCACGCAGGCGCCTCAGCCGGGAAGACGGGGGAAGTTGCCCCGGTTTCCACAGTCCAACCGAGCGCCCCACGGGAGGGGAAGGCGACCTCCTCCGCGGTCCAAACGGGCCGCAGAGCCGAGCAGCGACCGACGGAAGCCGAGGCCTACTTCCTTAACCACCCCTTCCCCAAAGCCGCTCAATCTCCGGGCTCTGCGGCCGGCCTCAGGGCCTCCGACGCCCGGCTCCCTCCGCCACTATCCCACAATCCCCCTAGCGCAGGACGACGCAGGAGGCCCCGCCCTCCCGCGGCTGTGTTGGTGCGCAGGTGCGGGGGGCGGGGTGCACGCCTGGGCGGTGCAGTGCGCGTGCGCCCGGGCGCTCCCGACACCGCCCACTCTTGAACCCCGCCGCCGCAGACGCGCTTGCGCCCGTTGGTGCCAACGGTCTGCCCCGGAATAAACCCAGACAGCTCAGTGAGCCGCAGCTGCGCACCGGCTCCGTTCCAAGGCCCCGTGAATATTCCGCTCCAGGATTTCCCTTCCCACTCGCTCCGTTTGGAAATCCGTTCGCTGTTCTGTCTCCTCTAATCATAGTGGAGCTTTGGCTCCAGGGTCGGGCTCTTGCGAAATCCAGACCTGGTTTTCGCTCCAGCCAAAGCCAGGCGCCTTCGTTCCGTCCGGCTCTCGCGCTTAGCCGCCTCCGAGCCTCAGAGGCCCTCAGTCGTTTCCGTCTGCTGGCGATAGTCCCGGCCGGGTCGCTGGTGTTGCCAGTTCCGCCCAAAGCAGCTTCTAATAGCATCAACTGAAAGAGACCTCCTAGACCTTGTGTCTAGATTGATGAAGGTCCCTCTGGCTTTGAGCCTCGGTTTCCCCAACTTTAATAGCTCCCCTCTCTACCCATGTTAGAGGCCTACTGTAAAAATCGTGTGGGCGCGAGGAACTTTTTTGTTTTTGTTTTTGTTTTAAGACTCCGAATTGGCCGGGCGCGGTGGCTTACGCTTGTAATCACAACACTTTAGGAGGCCCGAGGCCGGAGGATGGCATGAGACCAGGAGTTGGAGACCAGCCTGGGCAACCTAGGGAGACCCCCGTCTCTACAAAAGAAAATTTAAAAAATTAGTTGGGCCTGGTGGCCCGCGCCTGTGGTCTCAGCTATTCGGGAGGCTAAGGCAGGAGAATCGCTTGAGCCGAGGCTGCAGTGAGCCGGATTGCACCACTGCACTCCATCCTAGGAGACAGAGCGAGAACCTGTCTCAAAAACAAAGGGCCCAGCGTGGTGGCTCACGCCTGCCTGTACTTGAGCTCAGGAGTTCAAGACCCCACGCCTATAATCCCAGCACTTTGGGAGGCCGAGGTGGGCGGATTGCCTGAGCTCAGGAGTTTGAGACCAGCCTGGGCAACACAGTGAAACCACGTGTCTACTAAAATACAAAAAATAGCCGGACGTGGCGGTGTGCGCCTGTAATCCCAGCTACTCAGGAGGCTGAGGCAGGAGAATTACTTGAACCCGGGAGGTGGATGTTGCAGTGAGCCCAGATCAGGCCACTGCACTCCAGCCTGGGTGACAGAGCGAGACTCCGTCTCGAGAAAAAAAAAAAAAAAAAAAAAGAGCAAATTCACCCCTCCTTTGCCCTCTTTGTTCTATTGAGACCCTCAATGGATTGGATAATGCCAGCTCACACTGGGGAGGGAAGATCTTTATTCAGTCTACCGATTCAAATGCTAGTCTCTTCCAGAAATACCCTCATAGACACACCCATAATGTTTTACCAGCTATCTGGACATCCCTTAGCCCAGTCAACACCTGAAATGAACCATCACAGAGAGGCATTTCCTTTTCTCTTTTTTCTATAGAGATGTTTTGTCTTTTACCCAGCATTTGGCTTCCTTGTTTTCTCCACAATATGATGGCATCATTGCCACACTGTTTTAACACAGAGGTCAGGAACTGAGGGATAAGGATGTGGCTATAGTCCCTACCCTTCAAATGGAAGCTGGGAAGCTGTGGGGGCTTTAATGACTGAAGTCTGGATTTCCACCCAGCAGAACTCACAGATATACATTGTGTTTGCATTAGAATTGAAACTTTTTTTTAAGAGACAGGGTCTGGCTCTGTCGACCAGGCTGGAGTGCATGGCACGATCACAGATCACTGCAGCCTCGAACTCCTGGGCTCAAGCAATCCTCTCGCCTCAGCCTCCCGAGTAGCTGGGACTACAACTGGAACTTTTTTCTTGAGACAGGATCTCAGATCCTGCAGCTACCTCTCAATTTATCCTGGATTTAGGAAGAGGAGTGATAAAAACCAATCCAAATAGACTCAAAAATCCCAGATCCACCAGAACAATCCACACAAAAGGAATGAGTCTGACATCAAATTGTCCTAGGAAACCAGGATACAAGAAAGAGGAGGATTGGCCGGGCATAGTGGCTCACACCTGTAATCCCAGCACTTTGGGAGGCCGAGGAGGGTGGATCACCCTGTCAAGAGTTCAAGACCAGCCTGGCCAAGATGGTGAAACCTGGTCTCTACTACAAATACAAAAATTAGCCGGGCGCGGTGGCAGGCGCCTGTAATCCCAGCTACTTGGGAGGCTGAGGCAGGAGAATCTCTTGAACTCGGAGGGTGGAGGCTGCAGTGAGCCAAGATCGGGCCACTGCACTCCAGCCTGGGCAACAGAGTGAGACTCCCGTCTCAAAAGAAAAAAAAAAGAAAGAAAAAGAAAAAGAAAGAGGAGGATCGCTCTGGAATTAGTCCAGCTGTGAATCCTGGCTGTGAACTTGGTCAGGGGTCAGCCTCCTCTGAGCTCAGCCTCCTCTCTGGAAAAACAACAGCTTTCAAAGCTCTTGTCTACAAATGACAAAATTTCTTGTAGCTAAACAGAAAAGGAATTTATTAAAGGAATTGAGGCAGCCTCCGACACCCCCACCTCCCGCCCCAATCCCACGTCTCTGAGAAAGCTACAGAATCCGCTTGGCGCTTTGCAGTCAGGAATGAAGCCCACACCCAGCCACAGGCCTGCTCCTGAGACACAGTGCAGCCTCCATCAACGGCACCTGGCTCAGACACTCCCGCCAGAATCTCTGCCAGCCCTGTCCAGAAGCCAGGTGTGGCTGCTCCTGCACTAGCCAGAAGGGAACCTGGGCAGGGGCCCCTCCACCGCCAACTCTTGGCCCGACGACCGGCGGGCTCTGATTGGTAGAGGAGCTAGACCACCAGCGGGTTCTGATTGGTGTACAAAACAGATTCCCAGAGAGAGTTCTGATTTGTGGAGCTAATGTCACATGATTACCCTACAGCAAAGGATGCTGGGAAGGGAAATGGCGGCTACCCTAGGGAAAATTTAGATGTCTAACCTGGGAAATTCCTCAAACCTAGAATTCAGGTTTGCCAGGTGGCCGAAAAAAGGACAGATGTCCCACACACTGTTGCTCAGGAAAGACAGGGAAGAGTAAATGACACAATGGCTCTATAGATGATAAAGAGCAACACTTTTATTATTCTTCCAGTGGCTCCCCAAGTCCCTTAAACCCGTGCCCCTCCTCCCGTCCCCCATGCACCCTCCAAAGGAGATGACAAAGGCGGCAGTGAAGGAGGAGAAGGAGGAAGAGAAACACCTTTATTGGAAGAGCTGTGTGGACAAGAGAACGGGGATGAGAGTGAGAGCATGGGAGGTGGGGTCCAAGGAGCTGGTGCCTTTCTCAGCGCCCCTTCCAGGGACTGCACAGAGACGGGCTGGCACACCCTGGGTCCAGGCACCTAGGCCCTGCGATCCCTTGGGAGAGGGCCTTGTAGGTGGGGAGGGAGGCAAGAGGCCTGGGGTTCCCACGGAGAAGGGGGCAAGAAGCCACCTGGTTTCACCGATCCATGCTGTCGTCCGCTGGGCTGGAGAAACAGGTCTGTAGCAGCTTTTCACAGAACTCCAGCTCCTCCTGGATTGGGCAGGGGCAGGGAGCAAGGGGCCTGAGTGCAGAGGCCGGACCCTGCCTCCAGCATTCTTGGCACCCAGAGGTGACTCCTCTTCTCTCCTGGCCACCACCCACTCCCCCCCACCAGAGGTTAGGCTTTTTTAATCACTGCTCAGATCCATGATTCACTGTCTTCACACTGGTGTCTGAACTACTTGAACTAGAACCCGGGGTCCCCCAGACTCGTCTCACTCCATTGGTCTGCCTCATATCAGCACTCTTGGGCTCTTTCTAACTCCCAGATATGGACCACTGCTCAAAACTTTCTGCGGATACAAACCCCAGAAACCATGAAAGAAAGCACTGAGAGGTTAAACTACGTAATATAAAAAATACTCCCATGGCAAAAAAAGAAAAAGAAAACGAGGTTGGAGAAAAATATTTGTGATTCATAGCACAAATGGCTAATATACTTAACTCTTAAAGAGCTTAAAAAAGTCATTCGCAAAAACCATCACCCAATAAATAGATAAGTGGGCAAAGGATGAGAACGAACAGTTCACAAGAAAGAGAAAAGATGCCAAATTTCACTCATGGGAGAAATGTAAACTGGACTGGAGTACTACTTTTCAACAATCAGTTTGAAAAAAGGTCAAATGGTTCATCGAGGCCACTTTGTCCTGACCAAGATTTGGGGAGTTGGGCACCCTCATGACTGGAGTGTCAATGGTTGAACTTCTATGGAGAGCAGCTTGGTGATAGCTAATGAAACGGCCCTTAACCCTTTAACCTTCACCTTTAACATACCTGACCCCAGCCATTTCCCTTCTAGAAATTGTTCTACAGACATATGTAATAACATATACAAAAGGTTATTCTTTCAGCAGTGTTTGTCATAGCGAGAGTGTAGAAACAACCTGCATATCCATGCTACAAAAAAGAGCCCATCCGCACTGTACAGCTGCAAAATGAAAGAGCCACAGGCGAGACATGCAATGCCCACAAAGCAAGGGGCAGAACAGCCATCACAGCACGGCAGGCTTATTTTGCATAACATAGAGAAAAAGGAGAATTCACATGCACCTTTGCTCGTGTGTACCTAATATTTTAAGAAGGACACCTGAGCAACTGGGTAGCCAGAAGGAGGGGCAGGAGAGAGACTTTTCACTGTTTACCCTCCTGCGGGTCTTGTATTTTCAACCATGTGACTACGGAACCTATTCACAAAGCATTAGTAAAATCTGTTACAAATCTAATTTGAATGTTTCCACGGGTGTATACATAAGTCAAAACTTCTCATGTAGTACACTTTTTTTTTTTTTTTTTTTGAGATGGAGTCTCACTCTGTCGCCCAGGCTGGAGTGCAGTGGCGCATCTTGGCTCACTGCAACCTCCGCCTCCCCGGTTCAAGCGATTCTCCTGCCTCAGCCTCCTGGGTAGCTGGGATTACAAGCACCTGCCACTATGCCCAGCTAATTTTTTGTATTTTTAGTAGAGATGGGGTTTTACCATGTTGGCCAGGCTGGTCTCGAACTCCTGACCTCATGATTTGCCTGCCTCGGCCTCCCAAAGTGCTGGGATTACAGGCGTGAGCCACCATGCCTGGCCATGTAGTACACTTTCAATACATACAGACACTTGACAGTGTCTACACAGGAATGAATCTAATAGAATATAACGTCCCAAGGAGGTGGGTGCGTTTGCTAAGCTCGGCTTTGCTGAAGCACCAGCATTGATTCATTCACTTCAACAAATTAATGCATTACTTAATCAGTTAACTATTTGAATTTTAATTAGTTGTGATTTAGCATTTGTTACTTATCTAGTTATCTAATGAGTTATTTATTTGCCCCTTATCTAATTAAATATCTGATGACTTGTTATTTATCACTTGTTATTTACCCAAAATAATTGGTTATTTTTTGCCATTTGTTATTTCTTGTCAATTTAATGAAATAGTTAAATCATTAAGACATTTGAGTGATATTATATTCAATTTACATTTACTTAATGTAAAACAACTGTATTGGGTAATTTAGATAATAATTCAATGATTGGGCAACACTTTAAGAATCTCCAAGCTCCTGTCTCCTTGCTGTCTCTCCTACTCTGACACAGCACGGGACGAATGCTAGGCATGAAATAAACATCTGCTGAATGGAAGATAAGTGAAATGCACGAGAACACGAATGAAAGCCTGAACCAGCGGACCCAGGAGCCCCCAAGGGCAAGGACTGGCTGGCTCTGCCCCTACTAGGGTCCCCACTACCACACTTGGTCTAACCTGGGGAATTCCTCACCCCCCAGGCCCCTCCCCCTCACACCTGGTCCTCCTCACACCCTGTCCCTTCCCCAACTCACCTGGTCCTTCTGGAGCCGCTGTCCCCTCCCCCGGCACACGATCCTCCTCGAACCCCATCCCCTGCCCCTCACACCTAGTCCTCCTTGCACCCCGTCACCTCCCCGTGTACCTGGTCCTCCTGGAGCCCCTGTCCCCTCCCCCTGGCACCTGATCCTCCTCGAACCCCATCCCCTCCCCACACACCTAGTCCTCCTGGAGCCCTTGTCCCCTCCCCCTTGCACCTGGTCCTCCTTGCACCCCGTCCCCTCCCCATGTACCTGGTACTCCTCATGCTGCTGCAGCAGCTGACAGCGGTGGCGGAGGAGCTCCTCCAGGCCCAGTTCCGGCTCCCGACACTCGCGCACACCCTGCGGAAAGTCTGTCACCAGGCTGTGAGGGACATGACAGCGGCCCTTAGGACCTCCCTCTAGAGGCCTCACTGACCCAACCCTATCGCCCGCCCCGTCCCCTGGCTCACTCAGGAGCCTGGCAAGTCGCTGCCCCACAATGGGCCTCCATTTCCCCATCTGCGGAATGGACCTCACGCTGCCCCTGGCCCAGGGTGGGTGCTGAGGGGCTCAGCACAGGGCCTGGTGCGTGTCAACTCTGGTGTGCTGTTGAGAGCTCCAGCATCATCTGATTAGACACTAATCCACTGGTGGGGGCGTGTACAGAAGCCTCTCTCCCTCCTGCAAGGCCTCTGTGCCAGCCCTACTGGTGAGGAAACTGAGGCTCCCTGACTCCTGCTCCTTTCTGGCCCCACACCCTTCCTCTCTACGGGAAGGTCCCAACTCCTGAGTCCCTACGGGCTGATTCCTGAGCCACCCCCACCTTGAGAGGACGGGGCCCCCACCCCAGGCCCCGTCCTCTCAAGGAGCCAAAGTACCTGCACAGGGCTCCAAGCACGTGCTCGTGGAAGGGGCTGTGCTCTGTCCGCACCAGGGCCACCAGCTGCTGGACCATCCCCATGGAGCACAGGGTCCCTGGGGGGAGGGCTGCAGGGGTCAGAGGGGCAGCCCCACCCATCTCCTATGCCCTCCCCGGGATGCCTGTTCCTCCCCTTCTCCCACACCTGCACCCACCCCAGGGCGTCTGCTCCCCACTCCTGCCCTCACTCAAGGGCTGCCACACCTTTGTGTTCAGGGTGGCCCACCAGCAGGTTCTGCAGCAGGAATGCTGATTTGACCTTGAGCTTCTGCACCTGCTGCTGCATGGCCCTCATCAACACAGAGAAGCCGTCCAGGCGGAGGAACTGCAGCAGCCCAGCCTCCTGCTCTCGGACCAGACCTGGGAGAGGGGGAAAGGTCCTGAGCTTGCAGTCACCACCACCACCACTGTCATCACAAGCACCATCACCAACATCATCACAACCACCATCACCAACATCATCATCACCACCATCACCACTATCTTCACCACCATCACAATCATCATCATCACCATTCTCATCCTCACCACCATCACCATCACCACCATCCTCACCACCACCACCATCACTATCACCATCACCACCACCACCATCACCACCACCATCATCACCATGACATCACCAACATCACCATCACTATCACCATCACTATCACCATCACCACCACATCACCATCACCGCCATCATCATCACTACCATTAACAATATAATTATCGTCAATCATCGTCACCATCATCACCACCAACCACTATCATCCCTTGCCATGGGCCTGCATATGCAAGCATTATCTTTTTTTGAAGTATGCTTTTGAGATATAATTCACAATCCACACAGTTCAGCCTTTTAAAGATATTCACAGGGTTGTATAACCATCACCACTAACTCTAGGAAATTTTCATCACCCCCCAAAGGAAACCTATGAGCAGTCATTCCCAATTTCCCTTCCCTCTGGCCCCTGCAACCACAGATATACTTTCTTCCTTTATGGATTTACCTGTCCCAGACATTTAATATAAATGTGTCCATAAAATACGTGACCTTTTGTGTCTGACTGCTTTCACTCAGCATGATGTTTTCCAGGTTCATTCATGTCGTAAGTGGTATCAGCACTTCATTCTTTTTCATGGCTGAATAACATTCCATTGTATGGATATACCATATTTTATCCATTCCTCCATTGATGGAAGCATCATCTTTTTTAATTTTTTTATTTTATTTATTTACTTATTTATTTCATTTTGAGATGGACTCTCGTTCTGTTGCCCAGGCTGGAGTGTGCAGTGGAGCAATCTTGGCTCACTGTAACCTCCGCTCGCAGGTTCAAACTATTCTTCAGCCTCAGCCCCCCAAGTAGCTGGGATTATAGTAACCTGCCACCACACCCGGCTAATTTTTGTATATATAGTAGAGACAGGGTTTCACCATGTTGGCCAGGTTGGTCTCAAGCTCCTGACCTAAAGTGATCCACCTGCCTGGGCCTCCCAAAGTGCTGGGATTACAGGCATGAGCCATTGCGCCCGGCTGTGTCATCTCTCTCTTTTTTTTTTTTTTGAGACAGAGTCTTGCTCTATCATCCAGGCTAGAGTGCAGTGGCACCATTTTGGCTCACTGCAACCTCTGCTTCCCAGGCTCAAGCTATTCTCCTGCCTCAGACTCCCGAGTAGCTGGGATTACAGGTATGCACCACTACACCCAGCTAATTTTTGTATTTTGAGTAGAGACAGGGTTTTGCCATGTTGGCCAGGCTGGTATTGAACTCCAGACCTCATAATCCACCTGCCTCAGCCTCCCAAGGTGCTGGGATTACAGGCGTGAGCCACCGTCCCCAGTCCGCAACATCTTTTAATCCTCACAATTATCCTGGAAGTGTGTGCTTTCAGAATTCTATTTTACAGATGAGGAAACTGAGGCCTAAAGAGCCAGGCTACACAGCATGCATGACCTTTATCCAGAGGGCAATGAGAACTCTGGAAGGACTCCCAGCAGGATGAGAACTGACCTTTGGAGTGCACCTCCAGTAAGGTGCCCCCTCCTGGGTAGGCTCTAGGCCTGTGCTGGCCAAGAAGGACAGAAGCTGCTAGTAGCTTGTGGCCACTAAACACCTGATATGTGGCCAGTGCAACTAAGGAAAAGAGTTGTTCATTTCATTTAAGTTCCATTCATTTAAACTTAAGGTGAAAAACTGAAGCAGTGTAAAATATTTTCCATTAAACACAACGTTGGCTGGGCGCGGTGGCTCATGCCTGTAATCCCAGCACTTTGGGAGGCCGAGGTGGGCAGATCACTTGAGGTCAGGAGTTCGAGACCAGCCTGACCAACATGGTGAAACCCCGTCTCTACTAAAAATACAAAATTAGCTGGGCGTGGTGGCGTGCGTCTGTAATCCCAGCTACTAGGGAGGCTGAGGCAGGAGAATCATTTGAACCCGGGAGGTGGAGGTTGCAGTGAGCCGAGATTGCGCCATTACACTCCAGCCTGAGCAAAAAGAGCGAAACTCCATCTCACACACACACAAAAAGAAAACCAAAAAAAGAAAAACACACACAACGTTGTTGCTCTGGCGCACTCCACACTACCCCTGAAAACTCAGCATGTTGCGATGTGCTTCATTTGTAAAATGCACACACTAGGTTTTGAAGACTTAGCATGACAAAAAATACAGTGTCTCATTAATAGTCCATATTAATTACACATTGAAATTATAATAGTTTGGACATATTGGGTTACATATTTATTTATTTTAGTTTATTTTATTTCATTTTTGAGACAGAGTCTCGCTCTGTCGCCCAGGCTGGAGTGCAGTGGCAGTTGGCTCACTGCGACATACGTCTCTCGGGTTCAAGCAATTTTTATGCCTCAACCTACCGAGTAGCCGAGATTACAGGCATGCCCCACCATGCCTGGCTAATTTTTTGGTATTTTTAGTAGAGACAGGGTGTCACCATGTTGGCCAGGCTGGTCTTGAGCTCCTGGCTTCAAGTGATCCACCTGTCTCGGCCTCCCAAAATGTTGAGATTATAGGCATGAGTCACCACGCCCAGCCAGATGTTATTTAATTAAAGAAAGAAAAAAGAACAGGCATGCATGGACTGGAAAACACAAAGACTCCTCTCATTCAATCTGTAAGCAAGGCCTGTCAGCTCTACCTTCAAAATGTACCCAGGAGAGACCTGTCCCCTTTACGCCAGGGTTTCTCCACCTGGGCACGGTTGGTATCTGGGGCCAGATCATTCTGGGTTGGGAGGCCCGTCCTGTGCATTGCAGGATGTTGAGCAGCATCCCTGGCCTCTACCCAGTAGATGCCAATAGTCCCTCTCTCCCAGCTGCGACAACTAAAAATGTCTCCAGACATTTGTCTAAATGTCCTGTGGAGGACACGATTGTCCCTGTTTGAGAACCACTGCTCCCTACCACAACCTTGATCTCTTGCCTAGGTTATCACCATAACCCCCCAGCTCACCGCCCACCTTCCACCCACCCTCGCCGCATTCACCCTCTTCTCTGTGCAGCAGTTGGGGGCAGGGATCACAGTATGGCTGCCGTCATTTTTGGAAAGAAAGCCAAAGTCATCACTGCAGCCCACACATCTCCCTTAAAAAAGTTACGCTTATTCAGCGCTAAAAAGAAATGAGCTATCAAGCCAAGAAAAGACATGGAAGAACCTTAAAAGCAGATTACTAAGCCAAAGAAGCCAGTCGGAAAAGGCTGCAGATTGCATGGTTCCAAGCATATGACATTCTGGAAAAGGCAAAACTATGGAGACAGTAAAAAGCTCAGGGGTGGGATGACTAGCGGGAGCACAGAGGATTTGTAGGGCAGCGAGATTCCTCTGTAGAATACTACAGTATGGATCCATGTCATGATACAGTTGTCCAAACCCATAGTACATACAGCATCAAGAGTGCGCCCCAGTGTCAACTATGGACTCTGGGTGACAATGAGGTGTCCATGTAGGTTCATCGATTGTAATAAATGTGCCACTCTGGTAGACTGTAACAAGGAACCACTTTGGAGTGGCTCCACAGAGGGCGAGCGAGTCCATCCCCTCCTGTCCTGGGAAGGGCAGTGGCACCACCGCCTCGGGCAGCAGGAGCTGAGGGGACGTACCCTGCAAATGGCTCCCAGCACGGAACTCCAGTAATGGTACTGGACAGCCACACAATGGCATACCCTGCAGCCACCAAAAAAAAGGACAGATGCCACTGAATGGTATACTTTAACATTTTCATGTGAATTTTACCCCCGAGCAAAAAAAAGAATGGCATCCAAGCTCCCAGAGCTCTTGCCCTGCATCGTGCACAACTTTCGCTGGGGAAGCCGACCACCACGTGGTGAGGCCGCTCACGCAGCCCGAGCTTCCTGCCAACTGCCAGCAAAACTCTGCTAGCCCCGGGGCGAGCCATGGTGGAAGCCCATCTCTAGCACCCCTTCCTCAGAGGGGGATTGTGAGGGATCAATGAGGTGCAGCGCACAGGGCTTAGTGCAATGAGACCTTCAGGGAACGAGGCCCGGCTGACGGCTGACCACAACCTCATGCAACCTCATGCAACCTCATGAAGACGCAAAGCCAGAAGCCGCCCTCCTCAGCAGGGGCCACTGCTGCATTCCTCACCCGCAGGAAGGGGAAAGATAAGCTACTGTTGCTTAAGAAAAAAGGACAGAGGCAGGTCAAGGTGCGCCACAGTCAGGATGGCCTGTGCCAGCCGTGCACATCTGAGGAAACGAGATTAATCCGTGTGTCTGTGTGCACACATACCACACACGACACACTCCACATAAGCACACACCACACACCCCGTATACACACACCACATCCACACATCCCACACACGCCATGCACATCCACACACCACACATACGCACCACACATACACACCTCATATGCACCCCACATACCCCACACATATACATACATCCCCCCAGCACACACATCCCACACACATACACATGCAACACACACACCACACACACCTCCACATATATACCACACACCACACAACCCATGTACACGCTACACTAACACACGACACGCCAAACACCCCACATACACACCATACACACCCTACACACGCGCCACACACCCACTACACACACACATCACACACACACCACACACACCCACATTTGTTCTTACAGATTTATTAAAATCTCTGGAAGCAGAAACAGGTATAACAGTGGTTTTCTCTGGAATGGGGACCAGGTTTGGGGACAGGGACCATTTGCTATGTACTCTTTTGTACCTGGTGAACGATGTGACTGTCTCACAGATTTTTAAAAATATGTAATGACTTTTTTTTTTTTTAGACAGGGTCTCACTCTGTCACCCAGGCTGGAGTGCAGTGGCACGATCTCAGCTGACTGCAGCCTCTGCCTCCCAGGCTCAGATGATCCTCCCTCCTCAGCCTCCCAGGTAGGTGGGACCAGGTGTGAACCACCAAGATGACCTAAAGACTTCTTTTTTAATGCAAGCTATTAGAAGAAAACTCTGCCAGCCCCTCTCTACCCTGCTCTGGCCCTCGGGACACCATGTCCTTCTCTCTGCCCTTTGTGGCCGAGCTGCCCCATGTCTGTCTGTCCCTGTCACCCTAGTTTTGGCTGTGACTTTCCAAGTGCCCCTTTCCTTGCCTCATCAGAATGCTTCCTTCTTCCGGAATCTCCTCCTACCCAAACCCTCCCTGTTCTCCTCCCAGCCTCTGCATGGCTGGGGCCACCATCTGCCAGGAACACAACACTGATTCCAGGACTCAGGATACATGGGGGTGAGGGAGAGAAAGAGGGTGTTGGACCCCCCTCACAGCCCCCATTTCAATGACCAGATAGGCTGCTGGAATTAAAAAATAGCCAACCTCAGGCCAGGCACAGTGGCTCATGCCTATAATCCCAGCACTTAGGGAGGCTGAGGTGCTCACCTGAGGTCGGGGGTTTGAGACCAGACTGGCCAACAGGGTGAAACCCCGTCTCTCTGTACTAAAAGTACAAAAAAAATTAGCTGGGCATGGTGGCATGTGCCTGTAAACCCAGGTACTTGGGAGGCTGAGGCAGGGGAATCCCTTGAACCTGGGAGGTGGAGGTTGCAGTGAGCCGAGATTGCGCCACTGCACTCCAGCCTGGGCCACAGAGCGAGACTCCGTCTCAAGAAACAAAAAAAGAAAAAAAAAAAAGCCAACCTCGAACAGATTAAATGTAGAGTTACGATATGACCCAGCAACTCCACTGCTAGGTATACACCCAAGAGAACGGAAAACAAATGTCCATAAAAACACCTGCGCAGCTATGTCCACAGGAGCACGAGAGCCCAGAGATACAAGGAAACCAGGGACTGTCAGCAGACAGGCGGAGGAAGAGGCAGGGCACGGTGGACCCACGCAACAGGACACATTCAGCCGCGGGAAGGAACACAGCACTGCCACCCGCCACCACTCGGGGACCTTGCAGCATATGAAAGGAGCCAGGCAGAAAAGGCCTCACGGTGTGGGATTCCGTTTGTACAAATGTCCCGGAGAGGGAAATCCTTAGAGGCAGTAAGTAGATTCATGTTGCAGGGGCTGCGGGAGAGGACGGACGCCGAGTGATTGCTTAACGGGTACAGAATTTCTGCTTGGGGGAGAGGATGAAGATGTTCTGAAATTTTGGCCGGGCGCAGTGGCTCACGCCTGTAATCCCAACACTTTGGGAGGCTGAGGCGGGTGGATCACCTGAGGTCAGGAGGTTGAGACCAGCCTGGCCAACAGGGTGAAACCCCGTCTCTACTAAAAATACAAAAATTAGCCGGGCGCGGTGGCGGGCGCCTGTAATCCCAGCTACTTGAGAGGCTGAGGCAGAACTGCTTGAACCTGGGAGGAGGAGGTTGTAGTGAGCCGAGATCGCGCCATTGCGCTCCAGCCTGGGTGACAAGAGCGAGACTCTGTCTCAAAAAAAAAAAAAAGAAAGAAAAGAAGAAAATGTTCCAAAATTAGATAGTGACTGCCGATAGCCATACCACCCCGAACGCGTCTGATCACATCTAAAATTAGAGAGTGATGATGGCTGCACAGCACTGAATACACTAAGAAGTACTACGTTGTTTTTCTGGTTTTTGTGTTTGTTTTCAGACAGGTCTTGCTCTGTCACGCAGGCTGGAGATGCAATCATGGCTCACTGCAGCCTCAACTTCCCAGGCTCAGGCAATCCCACCACTTCAGTCTCCTGAGTAGATGGAGGTACAGTCACGCACCACCACGTCCAGCTAATTTTTTAATTTTTGTAGAGACAGGGGTTTCCCTATGTTGCCCAGGCTGGTCTCAAACTCCTGGGCTCGAGCAATTCTCCCGCCTCGGCCTCCCAAAGTGTTAGGATTCCAGATGTGAGCCACCACGCCTGGCCAAGAGTACTAAGTTATACACTTTAAAAGGATGAATTGTATGGCCTATGAATTACATCTCAATAAAGCTGTTAGAGAAAATAAAAGGAAAGAGTCCAGTTGGGGCGCTAGTATAGCACATGCAGGCAGGCATCCAGCACATACGAAGAGCTCCACCAGGCTGGGATCCTGGCTCTGTGTGTCCTCTCCAGACCCCCTGGCCCGATCCCTCCCGTGTGGAGGAGACACAGTGGGCCCAACTTCAGCAGGTGTGCATAAGGATTCAGCGAGTCAACACCTGGCATGGAGAAACTGCCCCACAGATGTTGGTTTTTGTCCCGTCCCTGTGCCCGACCTGGTGCCTGTGTCCCAGGCGGCAGTATTTGGGGGAGTCCTGGCCAGCTCTGCCCTATGGAGCTGCAGAAACCTGGCCGTGTCCCTCTGCCCACACCTCAGTTTCTTCCCCTGTCAAATGAGGATGCAAACGGTCCCTACTTCACAGGCCATTAGGATAAAAAGAATTTGTGGCTGGACATGGTGGATCACACCTGTAACCTCAACACTTTCAGAGGCCAAGGCGGGAGGATCCCTTGAGGCTAGGAGTTCAAGACTAGCCTGGGTAGCAAAGCAAGTCTTGTCTCTATATAGGTTAAATGAAAAAAAAAAGAAGAAGAAGAATTCATGTACAGCAGGGGTTCTGACCAAGGGGCTTTCTACATCTAGGGGCATTTGTGCGCTGGCAGGTGGGGTGATAGTGTCTCTCCATGGCCTGGAGGCCACCCACCAGATGCTGCTCAATGTCCTGTAGTGCACAGGACGGCCCCCGAGAGAGTGAACCAGCGCCAGTGTGAACAGTGCCCAGCTGAAAAACTGCTGTGTGCAAAGCGCTCACGCTGAGGGCCAGGTGGTCTCCCCGGGAAGTGGTCACATCTGCTGCCTGGCTAGCAGGGGGTTTGGCCGAGTGCGCCACTCACTCTGCCCGCAGCACTCAGCCGTGCAGGGGTCCAACAAGCATGGGAACAAACGAGGGAAGGAGATGCCTCTCCCTCTGCCCCAGCAGATCCCGGGGGCCCACCCGGCACCCCCCCCCACCGCCAGCACCCCTGTCCCCAGCCCCACCCGGACACTCACAGGAGATGGCGAAGAGGGCCTTGACGCGCACCGTGTCGCAGGCGTCGCGGTCCAGCAGCCGCAGCAGCTTACGCAGGGCACCCAGGCCCAGCACCTGCTCCTGGATGGCTGCCACGTTCTGACTGCACGTGCCGATGAGCTGTGCCGCCCGCCACCGCAGTCCCGCAGCCCCCGCCTCCAGGTACCGGCCCACCAGCAGGTGCATGCCAGACAGCTGGCAGAAGTCTGTGCCACAGAGGGGAGCAGAGAGAGGCCAGATGTTAGGGACTGAACCGTGCCCCCCAAAATGCATGGGTTGATGTTCTGACCCCCAGTACCTTGGAATGTGACTGTTTTTGGAGATGGGATCTTTAAAGAGATCATTAAGGTAAAATGAGGTCCTTAGGGTGGGCCCTAATGCAATCTGACTGGCGTCCTGATAAGAAGAAGAGATGAGGACACAGACACCCACAGAGGGACAACATGGAGGGAGGACACAAAAAATGCCTTCTGCAAGCCAAGGAGAGGGGGGCTCAGGAGAAACCAGCCCTGCCCACACCCTGATCTCAAACTTCTAGCCTCCAGAGCCGTGAGAAAATACATTTCTGTTTTTAAAGCCAGTAGTCTGTGGTGCTTGGCTAAGGTGGCCCTAAGCTGACCACTACAGCTGCTGAGGCCGGGAGAGCCAGGCCGGCTCCCACAGGGACGCAGCTCTCTCCAAACACCCAACCAGAGGTCCCCCCAAGGCTAGTACAACTCGATTCCATCAGCATTTGGGGCATTAGGGCCCCAGGCTCCAGACTACTAAATGCCAGGACTGATCCTGGTCTTTGTGACAATCTGAATGTCCCCAGGGTCAGCAAACCACAGCCCACCTCCTGTTTTTGTAAATAAAGTGGTATTGGAGAGCGTGGCAGTTCCTAAAAAAATGAAATACAGATTCCCCGTGACCCAGCAATTCCGCACCAAGGCACAGACCCAAAAGAACCAGAAGTAGGGACTCAGATACTTATATACTCAAGTTCATGGCAGCATCATTCATAAATGACCCAAATGTCCTTAAAGGATAAAGGGATAAATATAAACTGCTCTAGCCATACAACGGAGTATTACTCAGCCATAAAAAGGAATGAAGCAGCTGGGCGTGGTGGCTCAAGCCTATAATCCCAGCACTTTGGGAGGCCAGGGTGGGCAGATCACTTGAGGCCAGGAGTTCGAGACCAGCCCAGGTAACATAGCAAAACAGGGTTTTTGCTATGTTATATACTAAAAATACAAAAATGCCAGGCCTGGCCAGGTGCGGTGGCTCATGACTGTAATCCCAACACTTTGGGAGGCCAAGGTGGGTGGATCACGAGGTCAGGAATTCAAGACCAGCCTGGCCAACATGGTGAAACCTCATCTCTACTAAAAATACAAAAATTAGCTGGGCATGGTGGTGGGCGCCTATAAGCCCAGCTACTCAGAAGGGCAAGGCAGGAGAATCGTTTGAACCCGGGAGGCACAGGTTGCAGTGAGCTGAGATCGCGCCATTGCACTCTAGCCTGGGCAACAGGGTGAGACTCTGTCTCAGAAAAAAAAAAAAAAAAAATTTGCCAGGCCTGATGACATGCACCTGTAATCCCAGCTGTTTGGGAGGCTAAGGTATGAGAATCACTGAAACCCAGCAGGTGGAAGTTGCAGTGAGCTGAGATTGCACCACTGCACTCCAGCCTGGGAGACTGACTCAAAAAAAAAAAAAAAAAAAAAAGGAATAAAGCTCTGACACACGCCACAACATGGGCACGCCGCCTTTAGCACAATCAGCCAGACACAAAAGGTCACGTTATAATCATCTATATGAAATGTCCAGAACAGGCAAATTCATACAGCCAAAACGCTGATTAGTGGTTGCCAGGGGACCGGGGGAGGGCCGGCCTAATGGGTGCTGGGTCTCCTTTGCAGGCAATGGAAAAGTTCTGGAAATAGAGGTGGTGTTGCACAACATTCTGAATTGACTGTAAGTGGTATAAACAGTCATATGGGAGGATGTTCCCCTCAGCCCACCTTCATCAGCACTGTGCATCTTCATTAAGACAGAGAAGATACACATATATATTTATATTTATATACACAGAGAGCGCACGAGGCCAGGGAGGAAGTGGTATCTTTGGCTTTCGTTCTCATTTGATTACTAATAAGGTGTAAAATTGCTGCTGCTGTGATGATTGGACACTCAGCACAGTGCTTAGCACACAGCAGCTGCTCAACAGATATTTCCTGAACAAGCAAAAAATGAATGAAAGAGCAAAGTCGTTAAAAGCCATCCTGCGGATTGGAGCAGGAGTTCTCTGCCCGGATAAGACGGGGAGACACTGGGGAAAGGTAAGCTAGAGGGTGGCGGCTGCACTGCAGGTCTTCTCGGGGTGCTGCATGCGCTCACAGAGGAGGGCTTCCCAAACTCCGTCCAGCCCCTGTCCAAAATGAAGACACCTGACTCCCAGGCCTGACACGTTACGTTTACTCTGTGCCTGGTGTTGTGCGGGCCTGGGGGTTTCTCTCGGCCCAGCCTGCGTACAAGAGGAAGTAATCAGGACCTGCCCAAACCAGACTGCCATGTAGCAGCACAGCCTGAACTATGAACCAAGGAAGTGACACCCCAAATCCACACCCTCAATTGCTACACCACCCAACCCCTCCAAATGGAAGTGAGCTCTCCTCAAACCTTCTGTGAGCTCTGCTGCTTGGAGTAAAACAGCATTTACCTCCCCATCTGCGAGGCCCACCCCAGCGCTGTTTCCTGCGCCTGGCCCCTCACTCACTCTACTCTGCCTCAAGGGCCTGGCTGCTGTTCCTGAACACACCAGGCACACTCTGGCCTCAGGGCCTTTGCACTGGCTGTTCCTACTGTCTGGAATGCTTTTCCCAGAGATCATCCCACAACTCTCACCTCACTTCAGGTCTCTGATCAAACGTCACCCCGGGGAGGCCTTCTCTGCCACCCCACCCATGCCACTTTCCCTCTTGTACTCTGGGGAGTGGCAGTGGACACCCAGAGGACTAGGAGAGAAACAGCCATCTCAGAGCTGATCAGGGAAGTGGGGGACTCCACCTGCCATGAGGGTGAGGCAGAGCCTTGCTCCTTATGGCAATGGAGGCGAACAGGCTGATGGTGAGAAGGCAGCAGGGAGGCTGACGGTGTGAGCCCCAAGAGTAGGGGCAAGAGCTGAGAGGCAGCAGGACATGTACAGAGGGGCAGAACGTCCTGGCGGGGGAAGCGGGGTACCTGCGGCATTGTCCATGTTCTCACACAGGTCGGCCAGCAGCTCCAGGGCCCCCTCTCGCTCTTGCTGGTCGGCCGCCTGCTCGGCCTCCCCAGCAGTGGGGGGCATGGGCTGTGACAGCACTCGGAGGCAGCTCTTCATCTGCTCCACCTCCTCCCGCTGGCCTCGGAAGGCAGCCGACATGGCCTCCTGCAGCCACTGACGCCTCTGGAGACCAAGGCGAGGAGGAAAGAAGGAGATCCATCAGTCATTCATTACAAAGGAACAGCCATTAATAAAGACAGCCAACAACTGAGGGCTGATGTTCCTTCAGTCAACAAATATCGGCTGGGAGCTGTGGCTCATCCCTGTAATCCCAGCACTTTGGGAGGCCGAGGTGGGTAGACTGCCTGAGCTCAGGAGTTTGAGACCAGCCTGGGCAACATGGTGAAACCCCGTCTCTACTAAAAATACAAAAATTAGCCAGGCCTGGTGGCGTGAGCCTGTAATCCCAGCTACTCGGGAGGCTGCAGCAAAGGGAATCGCTTGAACCTGAGAGACAGAGGTTGCAGTGAGCCAAGATCAGGCCACTGCACTCCAGCCTGGGCAACACAGTGAGACTATCTCAAAGAAAAAGGAGATGAGAGCTAATACGTGACTGCTGGAATTTTTGGGGGTGAGGGAGGGGAGCAGAGGTCTCCTTAGTCACAGTTCTAAGTAAATTTGAGTGAGCTATTTAATGTTTCTGTGCCTGTTTCATGCCTCACTGTTGTAAAGGTTCAATGATATCATATATGTAAGTGGGTTAGCATAATGCTCTGTATACAGTAATTGTCGATTAAACATTATATATAATAGCTATCGCTATGAATCTGCAAAACAACTCTATGAGGTATATATCATTGTTATCCCCACTTCGCAGATGAGAAAGTTGAGTCACAGAAAGGTTGAGACTTACCCAAGGTCACACAGTCAGCAATTGGCAAAGCCTGAAATCAAACCCAAGCAGTCTAGGCTGGGCGTGCTGGCTCACATCTGTAATCTCAGCACTTTGGGAGGCCGAGGCAGGTGGATCACTTGACGCCAGGAGTTCGAGACCAGCCTGGCCAATGTAGTGAAACCCCTTCTCTACTAAAAATACGAAAATTAGCCAGGCATGGTGGCCCATGCCTCTAATCCCAGCTACTGGGGACGCTGAGGCATGAGAATTGCTTGAACCGGGAAGTCAGAGGTTGCAGTGAGCCAAGACTGCGCCTCTGCACTCCAGCCGAGACTGTGTCCTCCACCCCCAACCCTGCCCCCACCAAAAAAAAAAAAAAAAAACAGCAGTCTGACTACAGAGCCTGTGCTCTTCATGAAAACACACTGCTGCCTTCAGAAGCACTGTCTGTATGCTGGGCACTGTGTGCAGCCCTACTTAAAGTAGAACCTCAGAACTACCCTATACGGTAGTTATTATTATTATCAATTTGTAAATGAAGAACTTGAGATTCAGAAAGATGAAGTAATATACCCAAGGTCACACAGCTGGAAATGCTGAATCCAGGTTAGTCTGGCTCTGGAGAGGATATGTCCCCTCAGACTCTCTTGAGATCTGACCTTCAGTCAACGATAACCCCATCTAGCACAATTTATAGCCCACAATGCCTCCACACCTGGTTTTCTGCCTCCCACCCAAGAAGACCCTAGTCTTCTTGTGGCTCCCCAAGTCACACTTCCCAAGGCAACTCTATCTGTCCCCAGGCCCCTCACCCCAGCTTCTTGGGTCCCCATCCTTTACCTCCTCACTCATCGGTTCTGGAGGAGGGTCTGGCTCTTCAGAGCCCGCGGTGATGGCCATCTGCAGCAAGCCTTGGAGGTTGCGTGGGGGCCGGGAATTGCCCGAGCCCCCAGCCGAGGAGCCGCCGCCGCCGCCCCCTGAAGAGCAACCCTGGGAGGCCGGGGGCAGCGCCAGGGGCAGGCGGCTCCCCCTTGAGCCTTCGTCTGACATGGGCCGTTTGTGAAGAAGGGAAGAATGTGTTAGAGGGAGAAGGTGGTCACCGCTGAAGCAGCTCTGGCGTCCTGATGGGTCGATTCTTGAGGGTCTGCTGAGAAGGCGGCGTTTCAGGGGAGCTCGGCGACCCCCCATGACCCCAAACCACTCTGCCCCCAGCCCACTTAACCACAGCCCCTTTTCCTTCCTTCATACCCACAGGACCCTTCCCCAAAGTCATAAGCCTCTCCTTTCTCCCTAGCAACAGGCCCCACCCACTCTCCCTGGCAACAACCCCCCTTCCCCATCTCCACTGCGTGCGTCCCGTCTCTTAGCAACCTCACTGCTCCGCCTCCGTAGCAACAAGCCCGCCCTTTGGTCTCCTTAGCAACAAGTCTTCTCCCTCCTCTCCGAAGAGGGGCGCCGGAATAAGGCGGATCTCACCTCCCCGGGTCCTCAAGCCGCCGCTGCTCCTACAGACAAAGTCGTCCGCACCTGACTCTGCTGGGCGCCGCCATCTTAACCGGAAATACGCACGGTTTCACCCGGAAGTGCCAGGCGTACCCACCCAACTTCGTGCCGTGGTTGCGGCTGAAGCTGCTTGCCCGACTCTTATCCCCTTCTCACCTGGCGGGATACTGCACTCGGCCCCGCCCCTCCCATCCGGGCCCCGCCTCCAAGCTGGGACGCCCCTTCGTGCGGGCGCCGCCCCTTCACGCTCAAGTAGCTGGTCAAAGCCCTGCCCCTGGCCCAGTTTTCGCACCTCAGCGAGTCCCGCCCCCGATACTTTTGCAAGCTCCACCCCTCTTCTAACGTGTGCCCCGCCCCCAGGTCTGACCCCGCCCACCCTACGATTCCCGCCCCTGCTCTAGGCCTTTCAGACTCTCCCAGTTGGGCCCCGGCCCCTTTACAGGCCCCTCCCACTCATTGCTGTCAGTCATCCTTAGAAGGTTTGGGACCTCGCCCCAACTAATCTGACTTTCGCCTCCACCGGGGCCACCAACCCCATCTACAGGAGCCCTGGGGTCGCAACCGTAATGGCTGGCCTGTGAGCCTTATGCCCCCCGCAACCCCTCTCTCGGCCTCAGTTTCTCCATCTGTCAAGTGGAGCTGCGGCGTGGATCCCTCTCATCACCCAGCCTCTCCCTCATGGACTCTTCCCCATGTCCTGCCAGGTGGAGAGGAGAGGATTCTTGAGGCCTAGAGCCGGAAAGCAAAGTGCCCCAGAGCCCAGCAAGATTCAGAGCGCCAGAGGAGCCAGCTTGGTGGGGAGGCCCGAGGCCTCTGTGCTCCAGAAGTGGGGTTTAGGCCTGGGCACGTGCTGGTGCGGGCCGATCTGCAGAGGTGTTGGCCCTGGGCTGGGCTTAAAGAAACTCCCGTGTTGATCCTGGATAGGAGGCGTTTTCCTCCAGGAAAAGGTTGTGCTCAACGCAAAACGGGCACACAGTCACAAACGTATCAATCACCTGCTGGGCGTGGTTGTGCAGGGGGATATTTTGGGCAGAAACAGGAAGACCAAACAGATAGGTTGTGTGTGTATGTGTGTGTGTGTGTGTGTGTGTGTGTGTGTGTGGTGTTTCTAGCACTGTGCTGTGAGATGCATCTGGGCCTGTGGATGTGCTATTATATTAGTTTCCTATTGCTGCTGTTAACAAATTACTAAGAATGTGGTGGCTTAAAACAGCACACATTTATTATCTTGCAGTTATGGAGGGCAGAAATCCAAAATGGGTTTCACGGGGCTGAAATCAAACTGTCAGCAGGATTGCATCACTTCTGGAGGCTCTCGGGGAGAATGTTTTTCTTGCCTTTTCCAGCTTCTAGAGGCCACACTCTTTCTTTGACAGGTGGCCCCATCACCCCAAGTTCTGCTTCCACCTTCCCATCTCCATCACTGACTGCTCCTCCTGCCTCCTTCTCACAAATACTCTTGTGATTCCATCGAGCTCACCCAAATAACTGGGATAATCTCCCTATCTCAGTCACATGGGCAAAGTCCCTTCAGCCATGCAAGGTAACTTATGCACAGATCCTGGGAATTAGGACACGGACATCTATGTACAAGTCTATCAGTTTATAATACATGGCCGGGGGCAGTGGCTCAGGTCTATAATCTCAGTACTTTGGGAGGCCAAGGTGGGAGGATCACTTGAACCCAAGAGCTCGAGACCAGCCTGGGCAACATAGTGTGTCCCCAGCCCTACAAAAAAATACAAGAATTAGCCATGTGTGATGGCATCTGCTTATATCACAGCTAGGCAGGAGGCTGAGGCAGGAGGATCACTTGAGCCCAGGAGGTCGAGGCTGCAGGGAACTATGACTGCCCTACTGCACCCCAGCCTAGGCAACAGGGGGAAGACCCTGTCTCAAAAAACAAAACAAAACAAAAAAAAGAGGGTGATCATATAATTTTTCATCTATAGCAAGACATTTGAGAGCAAAAAGGGACTCAATAGTTACAGAACCAGGCCAGGTGTGGTAGCTCACGCCTGTAATCCCAGCACTTTGGGAAGCTGAGGTGGGCAAATCACAAGGTCAGGAGTTTGAGACCAGCCTGACCAACATGGTGAAACCCCATCTCTACTAAAAATACAAAAATTAGCCAGGCATGGTGGCGGGTGCCTATAATCCCAGCTACTCGGGAGGCTGAGGCAGGAGAATCGCTTGAACCCAGGATGTGGAGGTTGTAGTGAGCTGAGATTGTGCCACTGCACTCCAGCCTGGGAGACAGAGCAAGATTCCGTCTCAAAAAAAAAAAAAAAAAAAAAAAAAAAAAAAAAAAAAGGCTACAGAACCAGCCTGGCTAACAGGGTGAAACTCCATCTCTACTAAAAATACAAAAAAAGCCGGACGCCTAAAATTGTACCCTGCTCAACAGGCCCCTCTTAACCCCCTTCCCTGCTGTAGTCACCTCCTCAGCACGGACATGATTATCTAACACACCATACATTTTGCCTATTGACCTTGCTGATCATCTGTTTCATCCACCAGCATGGAAGCTCCACAGGACAGGCCTTTTTGCTGATTTAGGTCACTGCCACGTTCTTACCAACAGGAACAGTGCCTGGCTGAGATTTGGCACTCATTAAAGATGTGTGGACTCAAGGTGTTGAATGGGGGACTGGGAAATCTCACAGGAGCCAATAGGCTCCTGTGTGCACTTTATTTTATTTTATTTTTGTTAGAGACAGGGCCTCACTCTGTTGCTCAGGCTGGAGTGCAGTGGTGCAAACGTAGCTCACTGCAGCCTAGAACTCACTGACTCAAGCCTCAGCCTCCCAAGTAGCTGGGACTACAGGCACATGCCACCATGCCCGGCTAATTTTTAAAAAAATTTTTGTAGGGATGGGGTCTCACTGTGTTGCCCAGGCTGATCTTCCCACCTCTGTCTCCCAAAGTATTGGGATTACAGGCATGAGCCACCTTGCCCAGCCCTGGGTGTGCTTTACAGGGGACTTGAGAATTAAATGGGTGTCTAACACTTGCGGGTACATGACATAGAGGGATCTATGGTTTATGCGGAAAGCTAATGGGGGCAGGCGGGTTACTCACAGGCAGAGCACATGCTTGTGGACCTGCTACAGTGGGGATGTATGGGCTGTACTGGGGTCCACATGAAGATATAAAGGACCCTATGACGAGCACAGAGAATATATGGGGGTCTAAAAACATAACACAGGGAAACTGAGGGGGTTCTGGAAGCTTCTCTGTAAAGAGAATCCAAAATCACTCTGGGCTGTGGGTAGATATGGGGCCTTGACATTGGTGGGGACACAGACTTACCCTTACCCTGAATGGGTGGCCTTAGGGGGCTGGGGAAACAGACATGAATTTTGGGTCAGCAACTCCAAGAATTCTTTCCCCTCTCTGTCTCTGTCTCCCTCCATATGTCCCCACCTCTCCCCAGCACGTGTCCCTCCACCTGTGTGTACCCCCGGCCCTCTCTACAGCTCCATCTGCGCCCCCTCTCCCCCACCTCTCTGGTTGGTCTTCCTCTCTCTGTCTCTCTGAATCTCTGACTCTCTCCATCCCTCTGTCGGCTTCCAGCAGCTTTCTCTCCCTCTCCCTGTCTGTTTTCCCGGCTTGCCATTCCTTCCTTCTCTTCTGTCCCTGTCCATCTCTGCCCTTCCTCCCTCTCTGCCTCAGCCTGTCTCTGGTGGTCTCCATCCCTCTGGCGTCTCTGCCTGTCTCCCGTCTCTGTGTCAGCCAGCATCTCTCTTTGTGTATCTCCATCTCTGCCCCATCTGTTGGGTCCTCTCTCTCTCTCTCCATCCTTCCCTCCATCCTCTCTCCTGCATCCTCCCACCTCCTCTCCATCCCTCCAGCTGGAGGCCCGCCCCCTGCCCCCCCTCGCTCCCCCTCCCCCCTCCGAAAGGGTTAACTTTGGGGAAGGGCCCGGAGTCCCCGGATGGTGATGTCAGCGTGCCGGAGAGAAAGGACGAGGTGGCGGGGGGAGGCGGAGAGGAGGAGGAGGCGGAGGAGAGAGGGCGCGTGGGGGGGCGGGGGGGACCTCGGCCTGCAGCATCCGCCGGCCCGCACCTCAGACCCCCCCGGCGGGGGGAGGCGCAGGAAGCGGGGGGCCGGCCAGAAACGGGCTGGGGAGGGGGGGCCCCGCAGCCCCCCTGGGCCATGCTGACTCCCGGGGCCTGACCCCCCCGGGCCAGCCCCCCCTCCCCCAGCTCCGCGGCCCGCCGACTGGGGGGGGCCAGCCCAGCCCCCTGGGGACCCCCGGAGAGGTGGGGGGCAGCCGGGGGGGCCGGGACGGAGCGGTCGCCGGCCCCCACCGGAGAGACGGGGCGACGGCCGCAGGGGGGGCGGCCGGGGGACCGGTCGGGCCGGGACCAAGGGCACCATGTCGTCCGGGGCCAAGGAGGGAGGTGGGGGCTCTCCCGCCTACCACCTCCCCCACCCCCACCCCCACCCACCCCAGCACGCCCAATATGTGGGCCCCTATCGGCTGGAGAAGACGCTGGGCAAAGGACAGACAGGTGAGCCTAGCAGAAGGGGACACCTGGGGCGGGGGGCAGGGTGGAGGTGGCGGCAGAGGCGGGACTCAGGGTATTCAAATGGCAGGGGCTGGCTGCCCAGACCCCTGGGCCCCTCATAGAGAAGGGACTTGGGATTCAGACTCCTGGGTCCCTGGATGGAGGGGGTGGGGGGCGCAGACTCAGGTCCTGGAGGAGAGGGGCTGGGGGCCTGGACTCCTGGGTCTGAGGGAGGAGGGGCTGGGCACTGGACTCCTAGGTCTGAGGGAGGAGGGCCTGGGGGCCTGGACTCCTGGGTTTCAGGGAGGAGGGCCTGGGGGTCTGGACTCCTGGGTTTCAGGGAGGAGGGGCTGTGCTTGGACTCCGGAGTCTGAGGGAGGAGAGGCTGGTGGCCTGCACTCCTGGGTCTGAAGGAGAAGGGCTTGGGGGCCTGGACTCCAGGGTCTGAGGGAGGAGGGGCTGGGGGTCTGGACTTCTGGGTCTGAGGGAGGAGGGGACTGGGGTCCTGGACTTTTGGGTTTGAGGGAGGAGGGACTGCGGTCCTGGACTTTCAGGTCTGAGGGAGGAGGGCCTGGGGGCCTGGACTCCTGAGTATGAAGGAAGAGGGTCTGGGGTCTGGACTCCTGGGTCTGAGGGAGGAGGGGCAGGGGTGCTGAACTCCTGGGTCTGAAGGAGGAGGGGCTGGGGGCCTGGACTCCTGAGTCTGAGGGAGGAGGGCGGTCGGAACCTTGAGTGTTGGGACAGGGAGTTTGGGGCCCCAGTGCTCCAGTCCCCATAGGGGCAGAGGCTGGAGGGGCTCCAGGGCCAGGGAGGGGATGGAGGCGGCCTGCAGAGTGGGGCCGGGCTGGGACCTGAGGTTCTTGCTGCAGTACAGCTGCAGACCGGGGTGCAGTGCATCCATCCTGGGAAACCTCTTCCCTCCCCACTGTCCTCTGGCCTCCAGTTCTCCAGGCAGCAGGTTGGGGTGACAGGGGCCGTGGGGCCTAAGACATTCTCCCCTTCTCTGGCATGCTGGCTCAGAGTGGGAAACAGGATGGAGGGTGGGAAGGTGGGCTGCAGCAGGCGCGTCTCCTGGAGCGGCTGTGGAAAGGGCGTTCATCCTCTGCTGTTGCTGAACGCTGGCCACCGGCCGCGGCCTCCTTCCTGCCGGATGGATGGTGGGTGGAGGTGACATGGGAGCTGAACGCCCAGAGTCTCTATGAAGCTCAGGGCCAGAGCTGGCAGGAGTGGGGACCGACTGGGCCGTAACTGGGAGCTGAGACCCTAGGGAAAAGGAGAGGGTCAAAGTCCCAGATCCTGAGTGGTAAGAGTGTGAAGGTGTTGCTGACCTGAATTCCTGAGTTACAGGAGAAGAAGGGGTCAGACCTGGACTGGGTCTGAGGGAGGAGGGGCTGGGCCTGGAGTGCTGGGTCTGAGGGAGGAGGAACTGGGGGTCTGGAGTGCTGAGTCTAAGGGAGGAGGGGCTGGGGGTCTGGAGTGCTGGGTCTGAGGGAGGAGGGGCTGGGGGCCTGGAGTGCTGGGTCTGAGGGAGGAGGGGCTGGGGGCCTGGAGTGCTGGGTCTGAGGGAGGAAGGGGCTGGGGGGGCTGGATTCCTGGGTCTGAGGGAGGAGGGGCTGGGGTCTGGACTCCTGGGTCTGAGGGAGGATGGAATGGGGGCCTGGACTCCTGGGTCTGAGGGAGGAGGGGCTGGGGGTCTGGACGCCTGGGCCTGCAGCTTTAGGGGCTAGTCAGGGCTAGGTCTGTGGCTTTGGGGGCTCAGGTCCTGGAGTCGAGGGTCCTGAGGAGAGGTGTGGGCTAGGAGACCGGACATACCCTTGGTGTCTGTGTGCTGTCTGTTAGGGCTGCCATGAAGAGAAGACCCAGGAAGGCAGTTGAGGCTGGGGGTTCAGGAGAAGGTGGAGGGTGATCTGGGGAGGGGCAAATGTGAGATTATATTCACTGGGAGGGGATTCAGGAGGAGGTGGAGGGTGGTCTGGGGAGGGGGCAAATGTGAGACTATATTCGTTGGGAGTCATAGGGTCTCCAAAAGATTGAAAAGCAGAGAATACAAGGAATTGATGGAGAGAGACAGAGAAAGTGGGGGGGCGGGGGCTTGGAGGAGACAGACTCGGGGAGACACGGTGAGGAAAGAATGCGTGGCAGGCGGGCTCCCCAGGACGGAGAGGGTGAGGGCCAGGGGGTGGCTGGCAGAGGAGAGGGGCACCTGGCTGGATGGACAGTCAGGAGGAACGGACTGGCAGGAGGGAGGGGAAGGGTGGTTTTGTGGGAGTGTGGGCTCTCAGCCCCAGGAGTTCAGGTCTGATGTGTTCAGGCCATTGTTAAACAGCCAGCCCAGGAGGAAGGAGCAAACAGGGTGGCCAAGGGGGGACATAGGCGCTGGGGACGAAGGGGACCCGGCGGAACACCCCACATTTTCACCCTGCTCCTGCAGGGCTGGTTAAACTCGGGGTCCACTGCATCACGGGTCAGAAGGTCGCCATCAAGATCGTGAACCGGGAGAAGCTGTCGGAGTCGGTGCTGATGAAGGTGTGTGCGCCTGCTGCAGTGTGCCTGCGGGTGGGGGGGCCTCCGGGGCTGAGGGCAGGGGCGGGGCCGTGCTGACCTCTTTTCCCGTGTCCCCACCCCTCTTGACCCTCAGGTGGAGCGGGAGATCGCCATCCTGAAGCTCATCGAACACCCACATGTCCTCAAGCTCCACGACGTCTACGAGAACAAGAAATATTTGTAGGTATTTATAGACACCCAGCCCTACCCCATCCTCCCTCTCCAGGTTACCAGGGTGGGACTTCTCCAGAAACAGGGCCTAGGGGGACCTGGGGGACCTGCAGCTCTCCAGGCTGGACCGCTGAAGGCCCAGTTCCTTGCCTGTTGCACAGGGAAGCCCCTGACACACAGGGAACCCCACTGTTGTCACGCTGTGTTGGGCCTGAGGCCAAGGGCAACCATCCTCCTACCGTGTCCCCAGCTCCAGCTCCTCGCCCTGTGGCACTGCATGGAATGCGCTCTGCTAGACAAGCAGGGTGCCCTCGACCAGACCCAATCTGCTATGGGCAGATGCCTCCTGTTTGTAAGGCAAGGGGCCTAGCAAAGCCCAAAGGATCTTCCCAAACCCCAACTCTGGAGCACTGGAGAGCCCCCCTCCTCCCCCGGCATAACTTCGGGTGCCGTGGCTGGACACCCCAACAATGGGCCGCCTTAGGAGGTCTGAGTCACTATCTCAAAGTCAATCACCCGCCAGGAAGGATGGGGGTGGGGGTCCAGCTGTCCAGACTCCAGAGAATGGGCCTCTTTGTCCAAACTCTGGTGACCCAAAGGACAGCTGGGCTGGGAAGCCGGAGAGGGGACAGCCCTCGTGTTCCCCCCCGGCACCCAGTCCCCCGGATGAACTGACATCAGGTCCGTCGATGCTGGCGCAGGTTTCACCACACGGGAAGCTGTCTGCCCGGCGCTCATGGGACCTGCTCTCAGGCTTTCCCAGGTGTGGTGGTAGGGAGGGGCTATTGTCCGGACCGGTGCATGGTCGCTCCCACTCCACTCTTGGCGTAGGGAGGCAGGGCCATGGGAGTTTATGCTTCGGGCAGGAATCCCAGCCATCTAAGAGCTCATAGAAATTGAGCTTTTGGGGCCAGGCGCGGTGGCTCATGCCTGTAATCTCAACACTTTGGGAGGCCAAGATGGGCGGATTTCTTGAAGAGCTCGAGACCAGCCTGAGCAACATGGCAAAACCCCGTCTCTACAAAAAATACAAAAATTAGCTGAGTGTGGTGGTACACCTGTAGTCCTACCTACTTGGGAGGCTGAGGTGGGAGAATTGCTTGAACCTGGGAGGCAGAGGCTGCAGTGAGCCAAGATCGTGCCACTGCATTCCAGCGTGGGCGACAGAGCAAGACTCTGTCTCAAAAAAAAAAAAAAAAAAACTCCAAACAACAACAACAACAAAAAAAAATGGTTGATGGAAACTGGAACCCCGTGTCCCAGAGGCTTATGGGAAGGGAGTTTGGGGGTTTTTTTGTTGTTTTGTTTTTTTGAGACAGAGTTTTGCTCTTGTTGCCCAGGCTGGAGTGCAATGGCTCGATCTCGGCTCACCACAACCTCCACCTCCTGGGTTCAAGTGATTCTCCTGCGTCAGCCTCCCGAGTGGCTGGGATTACAGGCACGCACCACCACGCCCAGCTAATTTTGTATTTTTAGTAGAGACGGGGTTTCACCATGTTGGTCAGGCTGGTCTTGAACTCCTGATCTCAAGTGATCCACCCACTTCGGCCTCCCAAAGTGCTGGGATTACAGGCATAAGCCACCGTGTCTGGCCAGAAGTGGGGGTTTTTAACTTCTAGGCGCTGATGG
Source organism: Homo sapiens (assembly GCF_000001405.40). Classification (NCBI taxonomy): domain Eukaryota; kingdom Metazoa; phylum Chordata; class Mammalia; order Primates; family Hominidae; genus Homo; species Homo sapiens. The sequence continues at coordinate 55,288,920 of NC_000019.10, forward strand.
GAGTTGTCGTCTATTGCCTCACAGAAGCTGGCTTGGACTGGTGCAACCTTGCAATCGTTAATACTCGAAAATGAATTCAAATTTGAGTTTCCTCACTCCAGAGGGAATTAGAGGCTTGGCTTTCTAGGGGCTAATAGGAGTAGGGGTATCTTCACTTCCCAGGGTCCTATAAGAATTGGGGTCTTTGACCTTCAGGTGCTAATAGAGTCGCCTTATCTCCTGAAACCATTATGAGTCAAAGTGTTGGTTCCCCTCTGAAGCTGACATGGGAGGCTCTACTGCCCAGGGCTAATGGGACTTGAGTTTGGTTTCCTAGAGGCTGGTGGAAACTGGAGTCACTTCCTCCCAGGGAGTGATGGGAACTGGAATCTCTTCCTCCCAGGAATTAATGGAAACTGGAGTCTCTTCCTCCCAGGGACCCATGGGAATTGGAGTCTCTTTCTCCCAAGGATCATGGGAATTGGAGTTCTCTGCCACCAGGAGCCAGTGGAAGTGGGAGACCAGGCCCTTTGGTCCTCCACATGCCCCTTCCAGCCCTCTGCCCCCTCTATATCCTTTAGGTACCTGGTTCTGGAGCACGTCTCGGGGGGTGAGCTATTCGACTACCTGGTAAAGAAGGGGAGACTGACGCCCAAGGAGGCCCGAAAGTTCTTCCGCCAGATTGTGTCTGCGCTGGACTTCTGCCACAGCTACTCCATCTGGTGAGTGGGCAGCTTGAGGGGGAGGAGGGGCTGAGGGCTGCCCAGCAGACAGGCCCTTGGGGGCATGTGGAGGGCTGAGCAAAAGCCATGTGGTCGGCCCCCAAACCTTTATCCCATTGAGACATAACTCATACACCAGAAAATTCCTCCTTTTAGAGTGTGTAATTCAGTGGTTTTTGATATATTTGCAGTGGTATACATCTGCCACTGTGGAATTTTAGAACATTTTCTCACCCTGTACCCATTAAGTAAGCAGTCACTCCCCATTCCCCTCCTGCCCCCAGCCCCCGGCAACCTATGTTCTGTCTGTATGGATTTACCTATTCTAGACGTTTTATATAAATGGAATCATACGATACATGGCCCTTTTTGTATTGTTTTGTTTTGTTTTTGAGATGGAGTTTTGCTCTTGTTGCCCAGCAGGAGTGCAATGGTGTGATCTTGGCTCACTACAACCTCTGCCTCCCAGGTTCAATTGATTCTCCTGCCTCAGCCTCCGGAGTAGCTGGGATTACAGGTGCACACCACTACACCTGGCTAATTTTGTATTTTTTTAGTAAAGTCGGGGTTTCACCATGTTGGCCAGGCTGGTCTCGAACTCTTGACCTCAGGTGATCTGCCCGCCTAGGCCTCCTAAAGTGCTAGGATTACAGGCGTGAGCCACCACTCCCGGCCTCTTTGCCCATCTTTAATTCAGTTATTTTTTAAAATTTGATTTAGTCTTTTTATTATTGATTTGTAACAATTTTTTATTCTAGGAACAAGAGATTACTCTAGGAACAAAATTATTCCTAAAAATTATTCTGTATGATGACAGCAAGAACAAGGGGGAAAATTTAACAAAGAAAAAAAGAATTGTTTATTCTAGATGCAAGTCTTTCATCAGTATACATTTTTAAATTATTTTCTCCAAGTCTGTGCCATGTTTTTACATTTTTATAAGTCTTGTGAAAAGCAAAAGATTTTTCATTTTGATAAATTCCAGTTTGTTGATTTTTTTATTTTACACCTCATGCTTTTTCTTTTTCTTTTTTTTTTTGAGACGGAGTCTTGCTCTGTCACCCAGGCTGGAGTGCAGTGGCGCGATCTCGGCTCACTGCAAGCTCCGCCTCCCGGGTTCACGCCATTCTCCTGCCTCAGCCTCCCAAGTAGCTGGGACTACAGGCGCCCGCCACCACGCCCGGCTAATTTTTTGTATTTTTAGTAGACACGGGGTTTCACCATGTTAGCCAGGATGGTCTCAATCTCCTGACCTCGTAATCCGTCCGCCTCGGCCTCCCAAAGTGCTGGGATTACAGGCATGAGCCACCGCGCCCGGCCTACACCTCATGCTTTTTCTGTCCTATTTAAGAAACTTTTGCCCAACTCAAGGTCACTAAGGTCTTCTGTATATTTTCTAGAAGTTGTATAGTTATAGCTCTTGCATTTAGGTCTGGCATCCATTTCAAGTTAATTTTTGTATATGGTGTGAAGTAAGGGTTGAGTAAGGGTTATTTATTTATTCATTTATTTTTAGTTTAGTTTAGTTATTGAGACAGGGTCTTGCTATGTTGCCCAGGCTTGTCTCAAACTCCTGGGCTCAAGGCATGAGCCACTGCGCCTGGCCTATGTGTCCACTTTTAAAGATTTTTTTTTTGGCTGGGCATGGTAGCACATGCCTGTAATCCCAGCACTTTGGGAGGCCAAGGCGGGCAGATCACCTGAGCTCAGGAGTTCGAGACCAGCCTGGGCAACAAAGTGAGATTCCCCCCATCTCTCCAAAAAATAAAAATAATTAGCTGGATGTGGTGGCGTGTGCCCGTGGTCCCAGCTACTTGGGAAGCTGTGGTAGGAGGATTGCTTGAGCCCAGGAGGTTGAGGCTGCAGTGAGGCAACAGAGTGAGACCCTGTCTCAAAAAAAAGAAAAGTTATTATTTTTTTCATTGAATTGACTTTAGCCTCCAAATCAGATATTAAATGTGCAACGTTTTTCTAACTGTTCAGGTACAAAATGAATGCCTTCATCTTTTAGCCTCCTTCATTTGCGCATCTCTCTCACTAAGATGTGTTTTTGGAGATGGGGTGGGGATCACGGTAGAGGGACTCAGACTTTGGGTAAAGCTTGATGATAAAAAGGCCACCTACTTAAATTTTCGGTTTTTGTCTTTTTTTATTTTTTGAGACGGAGTCTCGCTGTCACCCATCCTGGAGTGCAATGGCACGATCTCAGCTCACTGCAACCTCCACCTCCCAGGTTCGAGCGATTCTCCTGTCTCAACCTTCCGAGTACCTGGGACTACAGGCACCCGCCACCATGCCCGGCTAATTTTTTGTATTTTTAGTAGAGATGGGGTTTCACCATGTTGGCCAGGCTGGTCTCGAACTCCTGACCTCAGGTGATCCACCCACCTCGGCCTCCTGAAGTACTGGGATGACAGGCTTGAGCCACCGCACCCGGCCCTGTTTAAATTTTCCACACCTTCCTGTTGACAAGATTGTCAAAACCCTGATATTGAAACCCTGGCCTCTAGGGGGAGATATTCAACGTATTTAACAAGTTTGACCCAGTTAATGACCAGGCCAAATGAAAACTGCAGAATCCTACACTCCCTCTCTCCCCAGACACCAACCCTTAAACCTTGAGGAGTTTGGTTCAAGGGTGGGAAGGTCCCAAGACAGGAACCAAGGATTTTAAGAACCAGCTGCATATCAGCTTTACCTCAAAATAGCTCACTTTGTACATATTCAAATACTTACAGATAAACTAATATGACATCTGGGATGTCCTACAAACTAATTTGGGTTGGGGAGGAGTATGTAAGGGACAGAGATGAGATCAGATTGGCCCTAAGATGATCATGGATGAAGCTGGGCGATGGGTAAGTGAGGCTTCCTCTTACTTTCTCTCCAGTTTTGGGCACGTTTGTGATTGTCTATTATAAAAAGTTTCCAGGCCGGGCGCGGTGGCTCACGCCTGTAATCCCAGCATTTTGGGAGGCCGAGGCAGGTGGATTACCTGACGTGAAGAGTTCGAGACCAGCCTGGCCAACATGGTGAAACCCTGTCTCTACTGAAAATACAAAAATTAGCTGGGCGTGGTGGCACATGCCTATAATCCCAGCTACTCGGGAGGCTGAGGCAGGAGAATTGCTTGAGCCCAGGAGACGGAGGTTGCAGTGAGCCGTAATCGTGCCACTGCACTGCAGCCTGGTCGACAGAGTGAGACTCTGTCTCAAAAAAAAAAAAAAGGAAAGTTTCCAAAGCCAGACATGGTGATGCACGCCTGTGGCTCCAGCTACTCAAGAGGCTAAGGCCAGAGGATCACTTGAGCTGGGGAGGTCAAGGCTGCAGTGAGCTATGACTGTGGTACTGCACTCCAGGCCGGGCAACAGAAAGGGACCCCATCTCTAAGCATACACTTGATCTTAGCCAAAAGGCCGAGAAGCAATGCCCATCTCTAAAAATAAAAAACAAAATAGGCCGGGCGCGGTGGCTCACCCCTGTAATTCCAGCACTTTGGGAGGCCAAGGCAGGCGGATCACCTGAGGTCAGGAGTTCAAGACCAGCCTGGCCAACATGGTGAAACTCTGTCTCTACTAAAAATACAAAAATTAGGCCTGGCGCGGTGGCTCATGCCTGTAATCCCAGGACTTCTTGAACCCGGGAGGTTGTGGTGAGCCGAGATCACGCCATTGCACTCCAGCCTAGGCAACAGAGCGAGACTTCGTCTCAAAAAAAATAAAAATACAAAAATTAGCTGGGTGTGGTGGCACATGCCTGCAATCCCAGCTACTCAGGAGGCTGAAACAGGAGAATCACTTGAACTCAGGATGCGGAGGTTGCAGTGAGCCGAGATCATGCCACTGCACTCCAGCCTGGGTGATAGAATGAGACTCCATCTCAATAAATAAATAAATAAATAAATAAATAAGGCTGGGTGCTGTGGTTCACACCTGTAATCCCAGCACTTTGAGAGGCCAAGGCGGGCGGATCATGAGGTCAGGAGCTCAAGACCAGCCTGGCCAGCATAATGAAACCCCGTCTCTACTAAAAATACAAAAATTAGCTGGGCATGGTGGTGCGGCCTGTAGTCCCAGCTACTCAGGAGGCTGAGGCAGGAGAATCACTTGGACCCAGGAGACAGAGGTTGCAGTGAGCCGAGATCATGCCACTGCACTCCAGCCTGGGAGACAGAGCGAGATTCCATCTCAAAAATAATAATAATAAATACATACATACATATGATAAAAAATTAAAAATTTTTAAAAAGACCAAAATTAATGAATGATAATAAATGGTCTCTCATCCCCTAAAAATCCAAAAAGTATGCAGAAGTGTTCCACTGTGAGAGCCAGTCAGTGGGGCCTGGGCCTCCTGGGAGGAAGGAAGAGGCCTGAGTCCCACCTGGCTGTCTCAGCCACAGAGACCTAAAGCCCGAGAACCTGCTTTTGGATGAGAAAAACAACATCCGCATTGCAGACTTCGGCATGGCGTCCCTGCAGGTGGGGGACAGCCTCCTGGAGACCAGCTGCGGGTGAGTGGGGACTGGGCTCCCGAGACCCTGGGCAGGGGTTTAGAAGCTGGCTGGAGGCTCACATCAGCTCTCTCCCTCAGGTCCCCCCATTATGCGTGTCCAGAGGTGATTAAGGTGAGTGAGGGGCGGATAGAGGGGAGAGGGGTGGAGGCAGCAGTGAGGAGCGATGAAGTCACAACTGGCCTTCCCTTCCAGGGGGAAAAATATGATGGCCGCCGGGCAGACATGTGGAGCTGTGGAGTCATCCTCTTCGCCCTGCTCGTGGTAAGGCGCCCTCACCTCTCCTGTCATTTCTAGATCAATCCCACCTGGTGGGAGCATAGGACAGTACCTTCCATCCTCAGGTCATCTCCTGAATTTATTTATGAATTTTATTTATTTATTTTGAGACAGAGTCTTGCCCCGTCGCCTAGGCTGGAGTGCAGTGGTGTGATCTCAGCTCACTGCAACCTCTGCCTCCCAGCTTCAAGCAATTCTCCTGCCTCAGCCTCCCAAGTAGCTGGGATTGCAGGCGCCCACCACCACTTCCAGATAATTTTTGAATTTTTAGTAGAGACAGGGTTTCGCCATATTGGCCAGGCTGGTCTCCAACTCCTGACCTCAGGTGATCCACCTGCCTCTGCCTCCCAAAGTGCTGGGATTCCAGGTGTGAGCCACTGAACCCGGCCTATTTATTTATGTATTTTGAGACAGAGTCTTGCTCTGTTGCCCAGGCTGGAGTGCAGTGGTGCAGTCTTGGCTCACTGCAACCTACGCCGCCCGGGTTCAAGCTATTCTCCTGCCTCAGCTTCCCGATTAGCTGGGACTACAGGTACCTGCCACCATGCTTGGCTAATTTTTGTATCTTTAGTAGAGACGGGGTTTCACCATGTTGGCCAGGTTGGTTTCGAACTCCTGGCCTCAAGTGATCCACCCTCCTCGGCCTCCCAGAATGCTGGGATTACAAGTATGAGCCATCGTGCCCGGCAGCTGAATTTATTTTATTTTTATTTTTATTTTTATTTTTTGAGAGAGGATCTCTCTCTGTCGCCCAGGCTGGAGTGCAGTGGCGCCATCACGGCTCACTGCAGTCTCAATCTCCCAGGCTCAAGCAGTCCTCCCGCCTCAGCCTCCCGAGCAGCTGGGATTATAGGCTCTTGCCAACACGCCCAGCTAATTTTTGTATTTTTCACAGAGACAGGGTTTCGCCTTGTTTCCCTGGTCGGTCTCAAACTCCTGGGCTCAAGTGATCTGCCCACCTCAGTCTCCCAAAGTGTTGGGATTACATGCGTGAGGCCACCGAACCCAGCCCATCTCTCGAATATTTCACTGGTAATGGGAAAGATACTACATTAACCAACAGACCAAGATCCTGGAGTTCCCCCACTCTGTGGGGAGCTAACCTTTTCATTCACAGAACTGTGGGTTAAAAAGATAAAAGAACTATGGGATAGTCTCCAGGAAGAACCCCAGAAAGGAACAAGTCATCCAGGAGCACCTGGAGGGCTTGATACAATGACTGTTTACCAGCTGATTCTAGGGCATTGTGATACTGTAATAACAAGTATAACCAGGCCGGGCACGGAGGCTCACACCTGTAATCCCAGCACTTCAGGAGGCCGAGCGGAGGCAGATCACCTGGGGCCAGAAGTTTGAGACCAGCCTGGCCAACATGGTGAAACCCCATCTCTACTAGAAATACAAAAACTAGCCGGGCTTGGTGGCGCATGCCTGTAGTCCCAGCTACTCAGGAGGCTGAGGCAGGAGAATCGCTTGAACCCAGGAGGTTGAGTTTGCAATGAGTTGAGATCGCGTCACTGCACTCCAGCCTGGGCGACAGAGTGAGACCCTATCTAAAAATATATATATATAGCCAGATCGTAGGCTATCAGCCCTGCTCCTACCACAGGGCCTTTCTGCCTGGGACACTCTGCTACCTATTAGCCTTGTTGCTCACCTAGTTCATATCTAGACTTCTTCAAGCTCTCTGCTCAGTTGTCACATTTCCAGGAAGCTTCCCCTGCCCCCACTCCTCCTCCCCACTCCTGTAAGGTCAGACCCCCCTGTGGTAGGCTCCCTTCTTCCTGGCAACGATCAGAGTTGTCGCTGTGCATTTTGTTGCCTAATTCGTTGAGTGGCATCTCCCTTCCCTTCTGTATCATCAACTCCCTGAGGTCAGGGCCGATGTCTGGGGCATCTGTCTTTGTGTGTTTTATTTCATTTTGCTGGCTTGCCTTTGCAAACCTAAAGTTGACACATGTAAGTCCCCAGTGAACACCTGTAGTGAGAATAAATCAGCAGTTGTCCGGGCGCAATGACTCACGCCAGTAATCCCAGCACTTTGGGAGGCCAAGGTGGGAGGATTGCTTGAGCCCAGGAGTTCAAGACCAGCCTGGGCAACATAGCAAGCAAGACCCCATCTCAAAAGAAAGTTAAGAAAGTAGCCAGGCATTGCCGGGCGCGGTGGCTCACGCCTGTAATCACAGCACTTTGGGAGGCCGAGGTGGGCGGATCACGAGGTCAGGAAATCGAGACCGTCCTGGCTAACGTGGTGAAACCCCGTCTCTACTAAAAATACAAAAAAAATTAGCCGGGAGTGGTGGCGGGCGCCTGTAGTCCCAGCTACTCGGGAGGCTGAGGCAGGAGAATGGTGTGAACCCGGGAGGCGGAGCTTGCAGTGAGCCGAGATCATGCCACTGCACTCCAGCCTGGGCGACAGAGCGAGACTCCGTCTCAAAAAAAATGAAAAAAAAATTAGCCAGGCATGGTGGCACCTGCCTGTAGTCCCAGTTACTCAGGAGGCTGAGGTGGGAAGATTGCTTGAGCCCTGGAGGTCAAGGCTGTAGTGAGCCATGATCATGCCACCGAACTCCAGCCTGGATGACAGAGTGACACCTCGTCTCAAAAATAAATAAATAAATAAGTAATAAGTAGAAAAGAAAAAGAATACATAAGTTTTTTTGTTTGTGTGTGTTTGTTTTTGAGACGGATTCTTGCTCTGTCACACATGATGGAGTGTAGTGGCGCCATCTCGGCTCACTGCAACCTCCACCTCCTGGATTCAAGCGATTCTCCTGCCTCAGCCTCCCAAGTAGCAGGGACTACAGGCATGTGCCACCACGCCTGGCTAATTTTTGTATTTTTAGTAGACATGGGGTTTCACCATTTTGTCCAGGCTGGTCTCGAACTTGACCTCCGCCCGCCTCTTCCTCCTGGAGTGCTGGGATTACAGGTGTGAGCCACCACGCCCAGCCATAAGCAGTTTTTTTAATGTCAGGCACTGTTCTGATCATGTTATTTCACACAATTCCCTCAGCAGTCCCAGGGAGGGGAAGTGACTGGCCCACGGGCACGCAGCTGATAAGCCGCAGGCCTGGGGTCAGTCCTTGGTCTCTTAACCACCAGGCTACATAACGGATACTAAGGGCAATGAGGCCAGCTCCAAGCTGGCTTCCTGGGGCTCACCACTCCATGGGGAGAGCAGCCGAGGTGCTCTGGAGACGAGCTAAGAATGTTCAGAACTCAGCCCTTCTTCACTTGGTGGCTAAAAGCCTGGTTCTGGAGCCCATCCAGCCGAGTTCCAATCCCTGCTCCCTCTCCCTGAGCGAGCCAGTCACCCTACCTCAGTGTCCTCATCTGCACCGTGGAAATACACATCATACCTATCATTGTAAGGGTTTTGTTTTCATTTTTATTTTATCTATTTATTTTTTCATTTTGAGACGGAGTTTCGCTCTTGTCGCCCAGGCTGGAGTGCAATGGTGCGATCTTGGCTCACTGAAACCTCCACCTCCCAGGTTCAAGATTCTCCTGCCTCAGCCTCCCAAGTAGCTGGGACTACAGGCACCTGCTACCATGCCTGGCTAATTTTTTTGTATTTTTAGTAGAGATGGGGTTTCTCCATGTTGGCCAGGCTGGTCTCGAACTCCTGACCTCAGGTGATCCACCCGCCTCAGCTTCCCAGAGTGCTGGGATTACAGGCGTGAGCCACTTCCCCCAGCCCACTGTGAGGGTTTAAATAAATGCTGCACGTGAAGCCCCTGGCACAATGCTTGATGATTATTATTAGTAGTTTATTCTTTTTTTTTTGTTTCTTCTTTTTTTTTTTTTTTTTTTTTTTTTTGAGATGAAGTCTTAGTCTTGCTCTGTAGCCCAGGCTGGAGTGCAATGGCTTGATCTTCTTCGCGGCAACCTCCACCTCCTGGGTTCAAGTTATTTCTGGCTAATTTTTGTATTTTTAGTAGAGATGGGGTTTCACCATGTTGGCCAGGCTGGTCTTGAACTCCTGACCTCAAGTGATCTGCCCACCTCAGCCTTCCAAAGTGCTGGGATTACAGGCATGAGCCACCGCACCTGGCCTAGTAGTTTATTCTTGTTCCAATAGTTCCTCATCATTTGCAGATTCCATATTTGCAAATTTGCCTACCTGTCAAAATGTATCTGTAACCCAAAATAGTCCTGGAGGTGCTTTCACAGTCATTGGCAGACATGCCCAGAGCAGGGGAAACCTGAGCCGCCCACCCAAGGTGCAGGTTTCCGGCTGAGGTCAAACAAAGTGACCCTGTTTCAGCTCTCATCCTGTAAACAATCCCCCTTTCACCACCTATTTCGTGTCACGTTTTTCACATTTTTGTGTTGTTGGTGGCAATTTCGTTGTTTAAAATGGCCATGAAGCCAAGTGCTTCTGAAGTGCCGTCTGGTGTTCCTAAGCGCGGGAGGCTGTGATGTCCCTTCTGGAGAAAGCCCCTCTGATGGGCATGCTTTGTTCAGGAATGACTTGTAGTGCTGCTGGCCATGAGTTCCGCGTCAATGACACAGTACATATGAAAGGTGTCTTTAAGCTGGGTGCGGTGGCTCACGCCTGTAATCCCAGCACTTTAGGAGGCTGAGGCGGGCAGATCACGAAGTCAGGAGTTCGAGACCAGCCTGGCCAATCAGGAGGCTGAGGCAGGAGAATCGCTTGAACCCGGGAGGCGGAGGCTGCAGTGAGCCGAGGTCATGCCACTGCACTCCGGGCTACAGTGCTAGACTCCGTCTCAATAAAAAAAGAAAAGTGTCTTTAAACAGAAACACATACAAACAAGGTCATGTAATGACTGGTTGACAAAAATGTGACGAGAGGGTCAAAGGAAGCTTACTAACTATAGTTCCTCCAGTAGCCGTGACTCGTTCACTAGTTGAGAGTTTGCAGTGACTTTATAGAACAGAACTCTCAAGAATAACAAGAATCAACTGTATTGTTGTTATAATTTGTTTTGGTTTTTTTTTTTGTTTTGTTTTTTGTTTTTTTTGAGATGGAGACTTTCTCTGTCACCTAGGATGGAGTGCAGTGGTGTGATCTCGGCTCACTGCAGCCTCCGCCTCCTGGGTTCAAGTAATTCTCCTGCCTCAGCCACCCGAGTAGCTGGGATTACAGGCGCCCGCCACTTTGCCCGGCTAAATTTTGTATTTTTAGTAGAGATGGGGTTTCACCACGTTGGCCAGGCTGGTGTCAAACTACTGAACTCAAGTGATCCTCGCCCCTTGGCCTCCCAAAGTGCTAGGATTACAGGTGTCAGCCACCATGCCCAGCCTGTTGTTATAATATTTAATCCAGACCGTACCCTTCCTGGCAGGATCATTATGTCCGTTTCACAGAGGAGAGGAAACTGAGGCTCTGTGCTTGAGCATCAGGCAACCAGAAGTCAAACCCAGGCTTCCGCACCCTAAGATCGGCATTCAGAGGTGCCTTCTCTGTATCTCCCCATTCTCCGTCCACAGGCCTCAGATACCAGGGGCAACTGGGAGCTTGCAACACCCGGAAAAGCCCTCAAAGGCTCACACCATCACCTCCCATGAGTCTTTGTCCATGGGGGGTCACCTTGGCTCCCCTCCAACCCTTGCCCTGGTGATTGGAAGCATTCCCTCCCGTCCCGTATGATACGTTCGCTTGTTTGTTTCCTGTCCCCTCTGGAATGCAACTTCTCTGCTCATTCCACCACCTTTGCTGATGACTTGAGTGTCGAGTGTGTGTCAGGCAGCGTCCCAGGCCAACTCCAGGAGGGCAGGGATGTGATTTTGTCCCCTGCTTCATGGCTGGTGGCTACGTCAGAATGCAGGATGTGGTGGGGTCTATGGTCAGTGCGTCACAGCAGCCAGCCTGTAACAGTCCTGACTGTGGGCCCAGCACTGTCATGTACTAGGTCAGTTCATTCTGATGCAGTCCGTGAGGTGGGTGCTGTGACGACCCATTGCCATTTTCAGAGCAGTGACTTGCCTGAGGTCATGCAGGTATAAGCCCCAGAGCAAGGATTCAAAGCAAGGCAGGGGACCAGGTGCGGTGGCTCACACCTGTAATCCCAGCACTTTGGGAGGCTGAGGCGGGCAGATCACCTGAGGTCAGGACTTCAAGACCAGCCTGGCCAACGTGGTGAAACCCCATCTCTGCTAAAAATACAAAAATTAGGCTGGGTGTGGTGGCTCACGCCTGTAATCCCAGCACTTTGGGAGGCTGAGGCAGGTGGATCACTTGAGGTTGGGCATTTGAGACCAGCCTGGCCAACATGGTGAAACCCCGTCTCTATTAAAAATAAAAAAATTAGCCGGGCATAGTGGCATATGCCTGTAATCCCAGCTACTCGGGAGGTTGAGGCAGGAGGATCGCTTGAACCTGGGAGAGGCAGAGGTTGCAGTCAGCCAAGAACACCTCATTGCACATCAGCCTGGGCGACAAGAGCGAAACTCCATCTCAAAAAAGAAAGAAAGAAAGAAAAGAAAAGGTGTCAGCAGGGCCCTGCTTCCTCTGGAGGCTCTAGGGAAGGATCCTTCCTTGCCTCTCCTAGCTTCTGGTGTCCTTGGCGTTCCTTCAGTTGCAGCTGTATCACTCCCATCTCTGCCTCCGTCATCACATGACTGTTCTCTGTGCCTGCGTCCTCGTCTCCTCTTATAAGGACACCAGTCATTGATTTAGGGCTCAGCCTCATTCAGGTCTCTGCTCCCATTGCACCTCCTGGGAGAAGCCTCACTCAGTCGCTCGTCATTGTATAGCTATTTGTTTGGAGCTGTGCAAGGGCAGAGGCCTGTTTTGTTCACTGCTGGATCCCTGACCTGTAACGGATGCTCACCTTTTGTTGAATGAGTGAATGAGAGACAACCGTTTCGAAACTGCTGTGGGGGGAAAGCTGTCTAAAAGGAACAGCCTCCACGCTGCAATTCTAGCTTCGTAAGCGGGGCTCCAAGCTGCTCCTTGCCAAGTGCCTGCTGTGCCACGGACGAGCTAGGGGCCTTTGGCAAATTGCTGAGCCTCTCTGTGCCTCAGTTTCCAACCCCTTAAGGTGGAGATCACCGTAGTTCCCCACCTCCAGTGCTTGTGGTGAGGGTGAAATGTGCTAATGAGGGGTCCTGGTTATCTCTTGCCCAGGGGGCTCTGCCCTTTGATGACGACAACCTCCGCCAGCTGCTGGAGAAGGTGAAACGGGGCGTCTTCCACATGCCCCACTTCATTCCTCCAGATTGCCAGAGCCTCCTGAGGGGAATGATCGAAGTGGAGCCCGAAAAAAGGCTCAGTGTGAGTTGAGGGGGGGACCGGCGGAGGGGGGAACAGTGGCCGATGAAGACAGAACCCCCTAGAAAAGTCATGGGGATGGGTTTCCAGAACCTGCTCGTCAGTCCCCAGGGTGACTGGGATCGCCAGCTGAGCCGCAGCCCAAGGTCCAGCACAGCTGCCGCTCCAAACTGGGGAGGGGGCTACGCAAGATTGGGGCGGGGAGCTCCAGGCAGCGGGAGGGCGCAGGAGTAAGGAGGCGAACAGGATGCCACTGCGCATGCGGCAAAGTAATGCGGCCGGTCCGGGGTACACGGAGACCGCGCGTGCGCGGGGCGATGCACTCAGTCGCCACTAGAGGGCGATGTAATATGTCATCCTGCCCCCGGTGGGGTGGGCGGGGAGATGATCAGGGACCCCAAAACCACCCCAGTCTTTCATTGCGCGCCTACATGTGCCTACGACCTCACTTCTGCTTCTCTACGACTCACCACCCTCACAGCTGGAGCAAATTCAGAAACATCCTTGGTACCTGTGAGTATGGGGTAACTGGACTCTTGGGTCCCTGGCGGAAATAGGGGAGGGGCCAAAGCAGTAGAAGCGGCTGGGAGGGGTGGGATGCCAGGGTTCCTGAGAGGCAACGGGCTAGGGACTCGGACTTATGGGTCCTGGGGGAAGAGGACACAGCTAGAGAAGGAGTCTAGGGGTCAGAGGCAGGAGGGGCTAAGCTAGGAGTCCAGGACTCCCAGGTTTGAGGGAAAAAGGGACTGGGGGCCTGGACTCCTGGATCCGAGGGAGGAGGGGCTGGGGGCCTGGACTTCTGGGTCTGAAGAAGGAGGGGCCGGGGGCCTGGACCCCTCGGTCGGAGGGAAAAGGGGCTGGAGGTCTGGACTCCTGGGTCTGAGATGGGGGGCGAGGTCTGGGGCGTCTGGATTCCTGGGTATGAGAGAGAAGGGGCCGGGGCCTAGACTCGGATTTCGGGGTCCGGGATCATTGAGTCTAGAATGAAGAATGCTGAATCTCAGAAGCCCGGTTCCCAATAATGTTTCTCCACTTCCCCAGAGGCGGGAAACACGAGCCAGACCCGTGCCTGGAGCCAGCCCCTGGCCGCCGGGTAGCCATGCGGAGCCTGCCATCCAACGGAGAGCTGGACCCCGACGTCCTAGAGAGCATGGCATCACTGGGCTGCTTCAGGGACCGCGAGAGGCTGCATCGCGAGCTGCGCAGTGAGGAGTAAGACCCCAAGACCCCTGCACCCGTGTACCCACGTGGGGCGAGCTGCAGCAGCTCCCTGCGCACATGCAGAGTGCTGGGCGAGGAACCCTGGCCTCTCATGGGGCATGGTTTGAAGCTCCCGCCTGGGAGTGATGGAACCAGCGGAGAAAACGGCCCAGAAACACGCTGAGAAAGTATTAATAGATGCTGCGACATAGTACTTACATATACATAGTACTTACAAATAGTTCTTGCCTGGATGTTAGGTGTTACAGTGTTATTATAATTGAGTGAAACACAGCTGAGATGTACCCTAAACCAGAGAAACTGACCATACTGATACCTAGAAAAAATGGAACCATGGGCAGAAATACAGGGAGCGGAGGAGACCTCCTCTGAGCATTGATGTTGGACCTCAGCCCTCTGCTACCTCTTTCCACCTTTCCCACCCCCTGCCTTAGGGAGAACCAAGAAAAGATGATATATTATCTGCTTTTGGATCGGAAGGAGCGGTATCCCAGCTGTGAGGACCAGGACCTGCCTCCCCGGAATGATGTTGGTGAGAAGGCAGGGCTAGGGGACCAGACACCTGGGTCTCGAGATTGGAAGAGGCTGGCCACGGGGACCCCAGATTCCCAAGGAAAGAAGGGGCTGCAGGCTCTGAGCTTCCAGCTTTAGACTGCTTGACTTGCTCTTTGACATTTATCAAATCCCCTCTCCACTCTAGGCCTGTTTCCCCATGTGTGCAGTTTCTGAGGCAGTTGTACACAGCTGGGTGAAACCATCTCTTGATTGGGTTGAAACTGTTGTCCCTCAGACCCCCCCCGGAAGCGTGTGGATTCTCCCATGCTGAGCCGTCACGGGAAGCGGCGACCAGAGCGGAAGTCCATGGAAGTCCTGAGCATCACCGATGCCGGGGGTGGTGGCTCCCCTGTACCCACCCGACGGGCCTTGGAGATGGCCCAGCACAGCCAGAGGTGGGAGCCCCTGTCCCTCCAGGAGGATCCACAATCCCTGGGTCTAGGAGTTCAAGATTCTAACCCCAGCTCTACCTCAAATGTGCTGTGTCCTTGGGACAATTCACCTCCCCTCTCTGGGCCTCATTTCCTCACCTGGAAGGACTGTAGAAGTGAGGGAACATCTGTGGTTTTTGAAACCCTCCCATCTGATTTTTTTTTTTTAAATCTATCCTGGAAACAGATCCCGTAGCGTCAGTGGAGCCTCCACGGGTCTGTCCTCCAGCCCTCTAAGCAGCCCAAGGGTAAGGCCAGGTCCCCAGTGGGATTTAAGAAGGAGAAAGGGGTGGAGACATGGAGCAAAGATTGAGTAGCAGAAACTACAATTCCTGTGCAGTCTTGAGACTTGCTTCTTTGTCCCTGGAGGGCCAAAGACCCAAGGCCTCCAAAGTATTTTGGTCCATTGGCCATTTCTACCTCCTTAGGATTGCATGCCTGAAGAGATTTTACAAAAGTTAGTTGAGTGCCTGCTGTGTACTAGTATCTGCACCGGCTGGGTTTTCAGCCCACAGCATGATAGAAAGTCTTTGCTATCCTTGCTCTGGGGCCTGGGAAGGAGGATACTTGGACTACAAGTTGCAGCATGCACCGGGCCAGCGTCCGTGAGTGTGCGTGTGAGTGGGGCTCCTAGAGCCTCCTGGGAGTTGTAGTCCACTCGCTTATCTCAGTCTCCTGTCCTCTGCAGAGTCCGGTCTTTTCCTTTTCACCGGAGCCGGGGGCTGGAGATGAGGCTCGAGGCGGGGGCTCCCCGACTTCCAAAACGCAGACGCTGCCTTCTCGGGGCCCCAGGGGTGGGGGCGCCGGGGAGCAGCCCCCGCCCCCCAGTGCCCGCTCCACACCCCTGCCCGGCCCCCCAGGCTCCCCGCGCTCCTCTGGCGGGACCCCCTTGCACTCGCCTCTGCACACGCCCCGGGCCAGTCCCACCGGGACCCCGGGGACAACACCACCCCCCAGCCCCGGCGGTGGCGTCGGGGGAGCCGCCTGGAGGAGTCGTCTCAACTCCATCCGCAACAGCTTCCTGGGCTCCCCTCGCTTTCACCGGCGCAAGATGCAGGGTATGGGGGCATGAACTGCCGAGTCCTAATGTGGGGAGAGGTTGGGGCTAAAAATCTGGTTCCAGGGATGTCCGTCTGGCGTGTCTAGAGAGGAAGGGACTGGGGGCCTGGATTCCCACGTTCTAGAGAAGAGGGGGTTTGAAGCAGAGGTGCACCTGTTGGGGAGAGAGGTGGGGCCTCTAGCTCTGGAGGAGGACCCCGATTGAAGGGCACGCGCCTTTGGGGCTCTGGATTACCTCCCATTGGCCCGTGGTTTGTGAGCCCCGCCCAGGAGGGATGGCTTGGCCGAGGCTGCAACCCAAGGCTCTGGAACCCTGGGAGGGGGCGAGTGCAGGCCTGTGTGCTGGCAACTGGGATGATGCACAGGTGTTGACCACGTTCTCTGCCTTCCCCCTACCAGTCCCTACCGCTGAGGAGATGTCCAGCTTGACGCCAGAGTCCTCCCCGGAGTGAGTCTCACAGGGAAGGAAAGAGTGGGGATGCAGGGGATTCATGCCCTCGGCGCCTTCCTAACCCTCCTCCAACCACCCCCTCCCACTCAGGCTGGCAAAACGCTCCTGGTTCGGGAACTTCATCTCCTTGGACAAAGAAGAACAAATATTCCTCGTGCTAAAGGACAAACCTCTCAGCAGCATCAAAGCAGACATCGTCCATGCCTTTCTGTCGGTGAGGGGCCTGGGTCCCCATCGAGCCTGGCCCCCGCAGAACTACAAGTCCCAGCAGCCCCTGGGGCTAACCACCTTAGCATAGGCCTGGCTTCCTCCTGGGGCTCATGGGATTTGTAGTTTTATGGCCAGAGTTGGTTAGAAGTCGGTAGGCAGGAAAGATTTATCGTGGCCAGAGGCCTGGAATTGGGGAAATAGGATCCTGAATTGCAATGTCCTCAAGGATTGGTGAGTTCCCATTCCCCTACTGCGAGGTTTGAAACTAGCCGAAGAAACTTCCCAGGCAATGTTAAGGCTGCCCCATTGCTGGTCTGTGGTTTTATGCCTACGGGTGGATGGGACTTAGAGTTTCTGTGACAGATATGGCTATGGGAAGCATTTGTAAAGGGAGCAAGCAGTGTTTCATGTGGTCTTGGAGTCTGAGGCTGTCACCTAGCTATCAGAGTCCTCATGATGTTAGGGGGATGTCCAACCATTCCTCCCTTACTCGCTGATAGGATAGAGAAAGCTACAAGTCCTTGCAGGCAGTGGGGCCTCCCAATGCATTTCCTGTCCTTCTTTCCCTCCAGTGGCTCATGGGACTCGTAGTTCCTTGGCCAGAGCTGGTCGTGGGGCTGGGTATCCATTTCCTGGGCTCACCCCTTCCTGTGTTCCTACCTCGCTCAGATCCCCAGCCTGAGTCACAGTGTGCTGTCACAGACCAGCTTCAGGGCCGAGTACAAGGCCAGTGGCGGCCCCTCCGTCTTCCAAAAGCCCGTCCGCTTCCAGGTGGACATCAGCTCCTCTGAGGGTCCAGAGCCCTCCCCGCGACGGGACGGCAGCGGAGGTGGTGGCATCTACTCCGTCACCTTCACTCTCATCTCGGGTGAGTCTCTTGGCTAGGCTGCCTGCAGCCCAGTGCTGGGACTGTTCACGACAGCTGAGACAGTGTAGGGGCCCAGGAGTGCAGCAGCAGGAGGAGGAAATGGTGTTCAGCTGGTGCCGACTCTCTGTGCTCCTCCTGCCCACACAGACCGCCCCACAAGCCCATCCTCTATTTCCCCACTCTCATCAGCATTTCCCTGGCATTTACAGTGTAAATAATGAATGCATTATCTCCTTGAAGCTTCCAAGCAGCCTACTGAGGTGTTAGTAATCACCCATTTTACGGAGGAGAAAACTGAGTCATAGGGAGGTCAATGGACTTGGCCAGAGTCACACAATACACTGTCGCAGAGCTGCAGCCCAACCCAGGCCTCCCAACTTCAGAGGAGAGAGCCCAGCTCTTCCTATTACTTTAAGATGGTAGAGCCAAAGGGTGAAGACACAGCACACTGCTGTCTAATATCAGTCTGCCCAGAGCAGACATTACCAATTGATGGCAGTGCTTATTCCTGCTAAGCTCAGTGGCAGCCTCAGGAACTTGAACTCCAGGCAGCCATGACCAGTCGAGGCTTGGCACAAGAAAGGAAAACCACTAAAATACCTTGCTTCCAGTTCTGCTTTCTGTTTGGTCCCTCCATCCTGATAGTGAGCATTTGGATAGGGAGGGATATCGCCGATCTCTTTGTCACCAATATTAATATGTCACAGGTGGGAGAGGGGCTTGCCCCAAAGATTTCTAAACCAAACGGCTGTGGAACTGTGGGTGTTCCGTCACCAAAACCAATTATGACTCTTTATTTTTCTGTCCCCCTTAAAGACTAACATGCAGGCTGGGCGCGGTGGCTCACGCCTGTAATCCCAGCACTTTGGGAGGCTGAGACGAGCAGGTCAGAAGTTCAAGACCAGCCTGGCCAACATGGTGAAACCTGTCTCTACTAAAAATACCAAAATAAGCCTCGCGTGGTGGTGGGCTCCTGTAATCCCAGCTACTCAGGAGGCTGAGGCAGGAGAATCGCTTGAACTCAGGAGGCAGAGGTTGCAGTGAGCCAAGATTGTGCCACTGCACTCCAGCCTGAGCGACAGAGCGAGACTCTGTCTCAAAAAAAAAAAAAAAAAAGGCTAATATGCAGACCTTTCTCAATTTTAAGACTTTTTCTGAGGCCAGGCATGATGGCTGACTCCTGTAATCCCAGCACTTTGGGAAGCCGAGGTGGGAGGATTGCTTGAGCCCAGGAGTTTGAGACCAGCCTGAGCAACATAATGGACCTCATCTCTACAAAACAAACAAAAAAATTTATACACACACACACACACACACACACACACACACACACACACAATTTAAAAAAAAAAAAAAAGCCCAGCACGGTGGCATGCACCTGTAGTCCCAGCTACTCCAGAGTCTGACGTGGGAGGATCACCTGATTCCAGGAGGTTGAGGCTGCAGTGAGCCGTGATCGCGCCACTGCACTCCAGCCTGAGTGACAGAATGAGACCTTGTCTCAAAAGAAAAAAGAAAAAGAAAAGACTTTCTCCGATTTCTTTTTCTTTTTTTTTGTTGTTGTTGTTGTTTGGTTTTTTTTTTTTTTGAGACAGAGTCTTGCTCTGTCGTCCAGGCTGGAGTGCAATGGCGTGATCTGGGCTCACTGCAACCTCTGCCTCCTGGGTTCGAGAGATTCTCTTGTCTTAGCCTCCCGAGTAGCTGGGATTACAGGCATGCGTCACCATGCCCAGCTAATTTTTGTATTTTTAGTAAAGACAGGGTTTCGCCATGTTGGCCAGGCTGGTCTCGAACTCCTGAGCAACCTCAAGTGATCTGCCCACATCGGCATTCCAGAGTGTTGGGATTACAGGCATGAGCCCCTGTACCTGGCTCCAACTTATTTTTCTTACATTTCTGGTCCTTCATGGCCTCCGCTAGAAACTAACAGCAAGCAATAGTATCTATTTGAATAGAAACCAACACCTGTTATTTGAAGTTGAAGGTATGTGAGTTTGACCGTGATCCTTAAATAGCAGCACAGACCCATTTGCAAACCGTGGATTGATGTGGCCCCAGCGGAGCAGGGGAGACGGAGATGCAGGGGGGGTGTTGTGTGCTTGGTGGAGGGACTGGGTTCTGCAGGCTGGGACGGCCTTCCCGGTCCTGGACCCCCAGTCAGTGTTTTTCTGCCCGCCTGTGCCTCTAGGTCCCAGCCGTCGGTTCAAGCGAGTGGTGGAGACCATCCAGGCACAGCTCCTGAGCACTCATGACCAGCCCTCCGTGCAGGCCCTGGCAGGTGGGTGGTGGGGCCGTGGGTGGTGGGGGGCGTGGGTGGCGGGGGCCGTGGGTGGCGGGGGGCGTGGGTGGCGGGGGGCGTGGGTGGCGGGGGGCGTGGGTGGCGGGGGCGGTGGGTGGCGGGCAGAGGTCCAGCATGAGCAGGTGCTCTGGGGTTTGGTTTGCAGAGGACGCCCAGCTGGTGGGCTCCTTCACCATTGTCGTAGCTGAGGTCTTATCTGCAGAGTTGTGAGCAGGTTCCCCGAGAGGCTGGGGCCTGAGGAGGGTCTCCTTAGCAACCTGAGGACTGGCTCCCAGGAGTCCCTAAGAAGATGACAGGCTCTGTGTTGGGGGTCAGGGAACATCCTGCCAACAGAGGTTCTGGACCTCTGTCCAGGAGGACGGTGACCCACCGTCCTGGTTTGCTTGGGACTGAAGGGTGTTTCTGGGATGCAGGGCTTTGAGTCTAAACCCAGGACAAATTGGTCACCATCTTTGCAGGTCTCACAAGTCACCTCACCCTGGGGCTAGGGCCTAATGGTCCCTAGCAACCAGAATTCTAAGCTGAGTTCATGGGAATGTGCAAGATCTTGCTCTGGGGAATCCGGCCTTCCCGGGCTCCCAGTCCTGGTCATCAAAGACTCAAATTCTCTAGCAATCAGGAGAGCAGAGGGTTTGTTGCAAAGGTGTCTTAGTTCGTTCAGGCTACTATAAGAAAATACCATACACTGGGCAACTTACAAATAACAGAAATTTATTGCTGACAATTCTGGAGGCTGGGAAGTCCAAGATCAAGCTGCCAGCAGCGTTGGTGCCTGGTGAGAGCTGCTTCCTGGGTCACAGACAGCACGTTGGTGCTGTGTCTTCACATGGCAGAAGGGGCAAGGGAACTCTCTGGGGCCTCTTTCCTAAGGACACTAATCCCATTCATGAAGGCCCCACCCTCATGACCTCATCACCTCCTAACATAACCTCCTAATACCATCACCTTGGGATTGGGTTTCAGCACATGAATTTGGGAGGATGCAGTGTTCAGTAGAGAGCATAAGGGGCACTCGCCCAAGCAACCAGAGGTAGCCAGAATTCTCAAGGGAAGAGAGCGCCTGCCCTGGAAATCAGCCCTCATTCCTGAGACACGGGGTCACAGGGGACACAGTGAAACAGGGTACTGGGCCCCATTGCAGGGCACGTGGACAGCCGTCTGCTCTGAGGGGAGTCAGGCAGCATCAGCCTCACAGGACCCATGCCCCTTCCTGGACCCCTGGACCCCGTTGAAAGGAAACGGCCCAGCGTTGAGGCCAGGAGCCAGGGCAGCTTTGGCCTTGTCACCAGAAACTCTGAGTCCCAGGGTCAGGTCTTTTGCTCTGGAGCCGTGGTTCTCAACTAGGGGAGCTGGTTTCACCCCGTGTTTGTTTTCTATGGCCGCCGTCAACAAATGACACAGCCTTGGTGGCTGAAACAACACAAGTGATTTTCGTACAGTCCTGGAGGTCAGAAGTCCCACATGGTCTCTGCAGGCTAACAGGGTGCCTGGAGGGCTGCACCTGGAGGCTCTCTGGCAGAGACTGTTTCCTTGTGTGTTCCAGTTCCTAGGCGCTCTGGTTAAGGCCCGTTCCTCCATCTTCAAAGCCAGTGACGCCATATATCCCTCTGACTGACCTTAGCTGGGAAAAGGTGACTCAGTGGGACCTGCACAGATACTCCAAGATAATCCCCCAACTCGTGGTCCCTCACCTTCCCCACAGCACAGGATCTCTTCTGCTGCATCAAGAAACATAGTCACAAGTTCTCGGTATTTGCATGTGGACATCTTTGGAGGGGGCCGTTATTCAGCCTAGCCCAACCCCCTAGGGACATTTAGTAATGTCTGGAGACATTTTTCCTCCCCTCAACTGGGGAAAACAGGGGGATGCCAATGGCCTCTTGTAGGTGGAGGCCAGGGATGCTGTAAAACACCCTACAATTCACAGAACAGCCCCCCACGACAGCTGGGTCCCAAATGGCAGTCGTGCTGAGGTGCAGAAACCCTCTTTTCTCATGGTTGCTAGGGGCAACCGGAAAGCAAATTAGGTCCACTGGACCCCGTTGCCGAGGAAAGCTGGCCTCAGCAACCAGGGGTCTCAAAACGGGCACACCCTGGAAGATGTAGGACTAACAGGCACCCTGGGGGGCTCAGCCACCATCTCATAAAGGAGAATGGGGTGGGGGGTGCAGGCCTCCGAGTCACCGTGGTTGCTATGACAAGCCCCCCAGTTTTTGTTTTTGTTTTTTTGAGACAGAATCTCCCTCTGTCGCTCAGGCTGGAGTGCAGTGGCGCGATCTCAGCTCACTGCAACTTCCACCTCCCGGGTTTCAAATGATTCTCCCGCCTCAGCCTGTCGAGTAGCTGGGATTACAGGTGCGTGCCACCACACCCGGCTAATTTTTGTATTTTTAGTAGAGACGGGGTTTCACCATGTTGGCCAGGCTGGTCTCAAACTCCTGACCTCAAGTGATCTGCCTGCCTCAGCCTCCCAAAATGCTGGGATTACAGGCATGAGCCACTGCGCCCGGCCCACTCAGTTTCTCTTAAAAGAAAAACGAGGTCTCCGCCACGGGACCTCAGGTAACATCCTAGGCCCCATGGAAATTGCTGGAGACCACCCAGCAACCAGTGTTTCCACCTCAGTCCCCAAGAGGAGGTGGCCTCAGGACCCAGGAGACAGTGACCTGAGTCAGGCTGGCCCAGCATGAGGGGCCTGAGACCCCCCCGACTCCACCAGTAGGCTCCCTTGAGCCCAGTTCCATGGAACATTTCTCCCTAACAACCAGGGTAGGAGAGAGTCGGGGGGCCCCTCTTGCTGTGAACGTTGAGCACCGTCCTGGCAGGCTGTTTCCTAGCGAACAGTATCATAACCAGAATCTGAGAGTCTCCTAAAGTCAGGCCCGGCCCAGGCCCCCTTGGACTAACCTGGCCCCAGGGTTGCAGGGGGCATAGGGTGCAGCCCCCGTCCTAGGGGAGTCAGGCCTTGCCACTTGGGGTGTGTCCTCCGAGTAACCAATTCAAGGCCAGGTGCTGGACGGACTGGGCCTTATCAGGGATTGGAGCTAGAGCCTCGGGGTTACTGAGACCGACTGATGAGGAGACTCTGCCCCCATCCCCTGGTAATGGGAACCCCAACCCTGGGCTGCGGAACCCACGAAAAACCTCTTCCTCCCTTGCAGACGAGAAGAACGGGGCCCAGACCCGGCCTGCTGGTGCCCCACCCCGAAGCCTGCAGCCCCCACCCGGCCGCCCAGACCCAGAGCTGAGCAGCTCTCCCCGCCGAGGCCCCCCCAAGGACAAGAAGCTCCTGGCCACCAACGGGACCCCTCTGCCCTGACCCCACGGGGCCGGGGAGGGAGGGGACCCCCCTCCACCCCCCTTCCGTGCCCCCCAACTGTGAATCTGTAAATAAGGCCCAAGGAACATGTCGGGAGGGGGGTGGACACAAAAACCGGCCTTGCCCTGCAGGGATGGGGCTCCACAGGCCGTGCCCAACTGGGGGTGGTTCTAGGGGAACAGGGGGCGGGGGAGCTGTTTCTATTTTATTTATTGATTAATTTATTATTTTATTTATTGATC
This sequence comes from Homo sapiens, assembly GCF_000001405.40. Taxonomy (NCBI): domain Eukaryota; kingdom Metazoa; phylum Chordata; class Mammalia; order Primates; family Hominidae; genus Homo; species Homo sapiens. The sequence goes on from NC_000019.10 coordinate 55,312,311, forward strand.
AATCTCTCTGCGGGGTGGGGTGGGGGAGGGACGGGAGCTGGTTGGGGTGGCTTAGCAGATCCGGACAGGGCCCTCTGTCCCTGTGTCGTCCCCAACCCCCTCTTCCCGGGCCCCTCCTCCCCTGGTCCTCCCCCCACGACCTTCTGTACGGATTTGCTCTCCGGAAGGAATTCTGGTTTCGCGTGATCCTGCCTGCGTCCGTGTCTCTGATTCCGCCGGCGGCAAAAAAAAAAAAAAAAAAAAAAAAAAAAAGATAATAATAATAAATAGCCTTGATCAGGGACAGCTGGCTGGCCTTGGCCTCTCGATTCCTGGGTGCCCAGTTGCAGGGGCAGGGCCCGAAGGCGGGGACGGGGATGCTGGCTGCCACCAGCTGTTCAGAGGCCCTCCGCGCCGGCACACAGGTCCTCCGGCTCCAGGTCAGTCAGCGGCAGCCCCAGCTGGTTGGAGAGATCTCCAGTGGCTCATCTTGCTGGGTGCGGGGCACTGGGATTGGCCCCATCTTTCCTGCTTCACTGGTGAGGGCAAGGCCCGGGTCAGGGTGCCTGCTACAGCTGGACCGGCAGGGAGATGGGGGAGGCCGGCGGGGGGCTGAGGCTGGGCCACGGCTGAACACACAGGGTGCAGCTCTCCAGGGCGGAGAAGTCAACGGCTAAGAGACCGAAGAGCGCGAACAGCAGCATGGCCACGACCCACTCGCAGGCCGCAGAGACGCTACGCAGCGAGCAGGCGTGGAGGACGATCACTGCCCCAGGGTCAAGGGCCACACTGCTACCGTGACAGACGCGGAGCCCGGCCTGGTCTCTGTGCCGCCTCGCGCTGGGCGGAGGCCGTCTCTGGGTGTCCCCATCCTCAGCTCTCCCCTTCCCCCGTAGCTCCTCACAGACGGGGCCTCGCCTTGGTCTCCGATGCTCTCCAGCCGGTCTCCATCTCAAGCTGCTTGCACATGCTTTCCTTTGCGTGCACCCCCGTTACTATTGCAATCCTAATATCCTGAAATGTTTCTGTCTCCCTTCCCTGACCCAGGGAAGGGCCTGGTTGCCTCCCTACTTGTCCAGGACATCCAGCTGCCATTGCTCCTGCCTGTAAACATGCATGGTTTCCTAAATACGCCTCCCTCCCTGCCGCCAGCCTCGGACTGTGTTTTGCAACTTTCTCCTGAACATCCACCCCGCTACCCATGGCCTACAGGCCCTTCCTGCTCACTCCCAGAGCCTAATCTCTTCCCTGTAAAATCTGTTTCTCTGAGTGTCCCCTCCTCCACGACAACTCCACCATCCACTCATGTGCCCCAGCAGACACTCCCCCGGCCCTCTCTTCATCCTTCTTGGCCAGCTGGTCACCCCAAGTCTTGTCCTATCTGCCTTACCCATCTCTCTCCAGCCCTCTCCTCATGTCTTGTGCCTTTCTCTCCTGGTCTGTCCCGTCCCTCCTCTGGTTCTCGCACCCTGCTAGCTCCTTAAGACCTTTTTCTGCTCTGCCAGCCCCTGCAGACTCCAGGCCTAGTAGAGACAGCATTTGTTTTCTGGAACTTCTCTCACTGGAGCTGCTCACCACTTCACCCCTCCCAGACAGCTTATTCCATTCATTCAGGGATTTCTAAGGGGGCTGAGAAGTGGTGGCTCACGCCTACAATCCCAGCACTTTGGGAGGCCAAGGTGGGAGGATTGCCTGAGGCTAGGAGTTCGAGACCAGTCTGGGCAACAGAGCGAGACCTGGTCTTTTTTTTGAAACAGAGTCTCACTCTGTGTCCCAGGCTGGAATGCAGTGGCGTGATCTCGGCTCACTGCAACCTCTGCCTCCCAGGTTCAAGCGATTCTTGTGCCTCAGCCTCCTGAGCAGCTGGGACTACAGGCGTGTGCCACCACACCTGGCTAATTTTTGTATTTTTAGTAGAGATAGAGTTTCACCGTGTTGGCCAGACAGGTCTTGAACTCCTGATCTCATGTCATCCGCCCGCCTTAGTCTCCCAAAGCGCTGGGATTATGGGCATGAGCCACAATGCCTGACCGTAAACTTCCTATGGCTCTCTATCACCCCCAGGCAGAAACCCAAGCCTCTGATCCCTAATTTTAGAGAATCCTCAGCCCTGGCCCTGCCAGCAGCCTCACTCCTCCCTGGGCTGGTCTTTCTGCTCGGTGCGTGTACCTGCAGTGTGCCCTCAACCTCCCAGCCCACGAGCAGCTCCTTCTGCAAGGCCAGGCTCAGAATCCGGCCAGGCTCAGGCCCGTCTTTACAGACGTCCATCCCTTACGACACTCAGCTAGCTGTCTTTATGGTTCCCTCCCCCACCTACCCCACCCAAGAGACTACTGAGTCCCACAGAATGAAGGCCCCTGTGGCTAAACTGATCATCAGGGCTAGTTTAGAAGATCTGGGCTGGATCTTATCACCATCAGGGCCCCTGCAAAGGAGACCTAATGGTCTCATACCCCAAGTCACTATAGGCCGGGCTGAGGGGCCAGCCCTCTCAACTATTTTGTGAAGATACACTTTGTCACTCCAGGAAATACGATCACCATTTCCATTTTGCTGAGAAAATTTCCAAGAAACGGATGCACTTAATACAACCAACACAGGGCCTTAGCTGGTTTCTCTGTACTCTCTTCTGAATGCCTGCACACTCTGGGCCTCCCCACAAATGAGAAAGACCCCCCAAGGCTGGGTTTTCAGCCCCTCCTTTCTCTCACTCTACACTCTACCTATCAGAATTAATCACTGTAGGCTGGGCACAGTGGCCCACACCTGTAATCCCAGCACTTTGGGAGGCCGAGGCGGGCAGATCACCTGAGGTCAGGAGTTCGAGACCAGCCTGCCCAGCATGGTGAAACCCCATCTCTACTAAAAACACAAAAATTAGCCAGGTGTGGTGGTGCATGCCTGTAGTCCCAGCTACTTGGGAGGCTGAGGCACAAGAATTGCTTGAAACTGGGAGGTGGGGGTTGCAGTGAGCCAAGATCATGCCACTGCACTCCACCCTGGGTGACAGAGTGAGACTCCATCTCAAAAAATAATAATAACAAGATAATAATAATAATAGGCCGGGCATGGTGGCTCATGCCTGCAATCCCAGAACTTTGGGAGGCCAAGGCAGGTGGATCATGAGGTCAGGAGTTCGAGACCAGCCTGGCCAATATGATGAAACCCCGTCTCTACTAAAAATACAAAAGGCCAGGCACGGTGGCTCACACCTGTAATCCCAGCACTTTGGGAGGCCAAAGTGGGCGCATCACAAGGTCAAGAGATCAAGACCATCCTGGCTAACATGGTGAAACCCTGTCCCTACTAAAAATACAAAAAATTAGTTGGGCATGGTGGCTGGCGCCTGTAGTCCCAGCTACTCAGGAGGCTGAGGCAGGAGAATGGCATGAACCTGGGAGGCGGAGCTTACAGTGAGCCAAGATCACGCCACTTCACTCCAGCCTAGGTGACAGAGCGAGACTCCGTCTCAAAAAAAAAAAAAAAAAAATTAGCCAGGTGTGGTTGGCAGGTGCCTGTAGTCCCAGCTACGTGGAAGGCTGAGGCAGGAGAATCGCTTGAACCCGGGAGGCGGAGGTTGCAGTGAGCTGAGATCACGCCACTGCACTCCAGCCTGGGCGACAGAGCAAGACTCTGTCTCAAAAATAAATAAATAAAAATAATCATGATGATAAAAGCAAATCCATTTTATGGATATGGAAACTGAGGCCTCAGAGAGTGACCTGACCCATCTAGAAGTACACTGTGCTGGTGGAAAGTGCCTCGGTTCTGGGGATGGCTCAGAAATGAGTTGGAATTGAGTCAAGCCTCATGTGGTGTGCTAGTAAATGTTTAACAACTGGCTCTGGTTGGTGGCATCTGCCAATTACAGTGGTATAAATACTCCCATGATGGCTATTTCAAGCTACTCACATGATATCACAGGACATGGAGTTCGGACGAGCAGTTCACAGAATGCCTCTCAGAGCCTGCGCAAGCCACCTGCAGCCTATCACCAGCTCCATTGCAGAACCTCACGCGCATCCTGGCCGAAAGACTTTTCCTGTCTGAACCCGTCTTCACTCGTAACCACATGATTCCTGGCACAGAGCAGGTGCCCTCAAGGGACTGTTCTTAGTATATCATTCTTCCAGCGTCTATTGGTCACTCGCTATGTGCCAGGCACAGATCTAAGCACCGTATGCCTATTATCCTATCCACTCCACAACCCTGAGGTCAGCCCTGTCGTTATCCACATTTGAGGGATGACGAAACCATTGACACCGAGAAGTAACAGCCCGCGGAAGTTTCCCCCAGCTGCTGTGTGGAGGACAGGGGCTTCCAACCTGGGCAACCTGACCCCGAAGTCGGCATTCTCGATGACAAAGCCATAATCCTGTGCAAAGAGTGAGGCCCAGAGAAAGGAAGAGACATCCCCAGTGACAGACAGCCAGGCAGGAAGACCAACTCCAGTGAAGAGCCACCTCCAAGCCCTACCCCGGATACAAGAAGGATACTGGCCACAATGAGGATGGTGCAGACGCTGCAGAGGCCCAGGCGGAGGGGCCCAATCCAGGCAGCCCCGGGCTGGGGCAGCCTCTTCAGCCTCCACAGGAGGAGCTGCAGCCAGAAGTAGACGTTACCCAAGATGAAGGCAAGGAAGGCCCCTGCCAAGTGCGTAGGCCGCTGGTTCTTTTCCTGGGAGGAGAAGGGAGAAGTTGGGAGGGAGACTCTGGGAAGGAGGGTAAGGGGCACCAGAGGGGCCAGGGCCCTTCACCAATGCAGTAGACAGTGGTCACCAACTTTCCATACCCAGTGATGGGCTTATTAAGCACATCAGCTATTGTCAGCTCCACGAGAGCAGGCATTGAAATCTGTTGTTCACTGCTGTGGCCTCAATTCCTAGAACAGTGATGGGCACATAGTAGATGCTCAGTAAATATGAGTGGGATAAATCTTGCATTCTCAAGGCGGGGGACAGACATTTCCCCAAAAATTGGTCTTGCAGGTGAAAAATTCTTAAATATTACAATTGTATGTGACTCACGGATACATAGCACATATTCCATTAAAATTTTAAAATACTTAAAATTTTGGCCTGGTGCGGTGGCTCACATCTGTAATCCCAGCTCTTTGGAAGGTGAAGCAGGCAGATCACTTTGAGCTCAGGAGTTCAAGACCCACCTGAGCAACATGGCAAAACCTCGTCTCTACAAAAAATACAAATATTGCCAGGCATAGTGGCTCACACCTGTAATCTCAGCACTTTGGGAGGCCAAGGCGGGTAGATCACTTGAGGTCAGGAGTTCGAGACCAGCCTGGCCAACATGGTGAAACCCTGTCTCTACTAAAAATACAAAAAATTAGCTAGGCGTGGTGGCGGGCACCTGTAATCCCAGCTACTTGGGAGGCTGAGGCAGGAGAATCACTTGAACCCAGGAGGCAGAGGTTGCAGTGAGCCAAGATCGCACCATTGCACTCCAGCCTGGGCAACAAGAGTGAGACTCCATCTCAAGAAAAAAAAAAATACAAATATTAGCCGGTCATGGTGGCTCAGGCCTGTAATCCCAGCTACTCAGGAGGCTGAGGCTGGAGGATTACTTAAGCCCAGGAAGCAGAGGTTGTAGTGAGCTGAGATGGCACCATCGCACACCAGCCTGGGCAACGGAGCAAGATCCCATCTCAAAAATAAATAAACAAATAATAAATAAATAAAATAAATACTTAAAATTTCATGGGAAGAGGGGAGAACCAGGGGGAAATGTCTAAAAATACTCCTTAGAGGAGCAAGATAATAATAATAGGTTGAGGGCTGGGCACAGTGGCTCATGCCTGTAATCCCAACACTTAGGGAGGCCAAGGTAGGCAGATCACTTGAGGTCAGGAGTTTGAGACCAGCGTGGCCAACATGGTGAAACCTTATCTCTACTAAAAATGCAAAAAGTAGCCGGGCGTGGTGGTGAGCGCCTGTAATCCCAGCTACTCTGGAAGCTGAAGTTAGGAGAATCACTTGAGCCCGGGAGATGGAGGTTGCAGTAAGCCAAGATCTCACCACTGCACTCCAGCCTGGGCCACAGAGCAAGACTCTGTCTCAAATAAATAAATAGTTGTGGAGCACTTTGGGAGGCTGAGGTGGGTGGCTCATTTGAGGTCAGGAGTTCAAGACCAGCCTGGCCAATATGGTGAAATCCCATCTCTACTAAAAATACAAAAAAAATTTAGCCAGGCCTGGTGGCAGGTGCCTGTAGTCTCAGCTATTTGGTAGGTTGAGGCAGGAGAATCGCTTGAACCCAGCAGGCGGAGGTTGCGGTGAGCCAAGATCGCACTACTGCACTCCAGCCTGGGTGACAGAGCAAGACTCCATCTCCAATATATGTATATATATAAATATATTCTCTGTGGTCCATGGGCAATGAGTGACCTAGCTAGAGTCTTCATGGAGATGGAATGAAGTCATGTACAAAATGGAAAGCCTGCTGCCAATGGCTGCCAAATGCTCAATCAATGTGCCTAACATGAAGAATGAGTAAATCTCAGTCATTTCTTTTTGGAGACAAGGTCTCACTCTGTTCACCAGGCTGGAGTGCAGTGGCACAATCACAGCTCACTGCAGCCTCGACCTCCTGGGCTCAAGCAATCCTCCATCTTCCCACCTCAGCCTCCTGCATAGCTGGGACTACAGGTTCACGCCACCATGCCTGGCTAATTCTTTATTTTTTGTAGAGACAGAGTCTTGCTATGTTGTCCAGGCTGGTCTTGAACTCCTGGGCTCAAGCCTCAGCCTCCAAAGTCCTGGGATTACAGGCATGAACCACTGTGCCCAGCCTCACTAATTTCTTTTTTCTTTTCTTTTCTTTTTTGAGACTGAGTCTCACTCTTGCAGCCCAGGCTGGAGTGCAATGGCATGGTCTCGGCTCAATGCAACCTCTGCCTCCCGGGTTCAAGCAATTCTCCTGCCTCAGTCTCCTGAGTAGCTGGGCTTACAGGCACCTGCCACCACCCCTAGCTAATTTTTTGTATTTTTAGTAGAGATGGGGTTTTACCGTGTTGGCCAGGCTGGTCTCCAACTCCTGACCTCAGGTGATCCACCTACCTTGGCTTCCCAAAGTGCTGGGATTACAGCCGTGAGCCACAGAGCCCGGCCAGTAATTTCATCTTCTTCTTCTTTTTTTTTTTTTTTTTTTTTTTTTTTTTTGAGAGAAGTCTCACTCTTATCCCCCAGGTTTGAGTGCAATGGCTCGATCTCGGCTCACTGCAACCTCCACCTCCCAGGTTCAAATGATTCTCCTGCCTCTGCCTCCCACGTAGCTGGGATTAAGTCGCCTGCCACCATGCCCGGCTAATTTTTGTATATTTTAGGAGAGACGGGGTTTCACCATGTTGGTTGGCCAGGCTGGTCTCAAACTCCTCACCTCAGGCGATCCGCCTGCCTCCGCCTCCCAAAGTGCTGGAATTACAGGCATGAGCCACTGCGCCTGGACCAGTAATTTCATCATTAAATAAGCTGGGGAGAGGGGCTGGCAGAAAATTATCCCAACGTCCTGGAAGTCAACGAAGTCCTACATACAAACAGCCTCGCTCGTAGTGCCCCACTCAGAGAGCAAAGGAATCCAGCCGGTCCAAGGCCACTGGCCAGAGAAAAATACAAGTCCCAGGAGGGCCGGGCGGGAACCAGCCCCCGAGACAATAAGCCTATGGCCACGGGGCATGCTGGGAGTTGTAGTTCCAGACGCCGGCCGGGACAGACCCTGGGCGCCGACTGGGTCTCACCTGGAAATTGCCTACCACGGAGGTGCCCAGGGCACACAGAAGACCCGTCCATAGGATCAGCTGGTTAGGCCACCTTCTGACGCCCCAGTCCCGGAGCTGGTGGTAACGGACAATGCAGATCCACGCGGCTGGGAGTAGAGGGGAGAAGGAAGTGGGAGGGAGACCCACCAAGAACTCCTGGGACCCAGGGAGGGAAGTGAGGGGAGCAAGGTGAGGGAGAAAGTGGCAAACTCCCGGATTTTGGGGAAAGAGGGGCCTGGGGCATGGACTCCTGGGTTTGAGAAAGGAGCGGTTTCGGAACTCGCTTGGCTGGGCTTGGGAGCACTGAACCAAAGGGCTGGGCAATATTTACCCAGAGCAGCTCCCATATTGAGCACCTGGCTGAAGATGCAGCTCTGAGGGGGGAAGGATCCGCAGATGCTGGGGAAGACAAAGGGGTCATCCTGGGCAATCCAAGCTAGGGCCTCCACTTTCCTGCAGCGGCGATCCCCCCAAATCCCTACCCTCGGGCAGAATTACCTGATGTAGGGAAAGCCTTTACTGAGGTCCACAGTCCTGTTGGTCACTGCAATGGCAAAACTACGGAGGAAATCAGAGTGAGTGGGCGACTCTCACCAACAACTTTTCCTTCTGTTAACCAAACAAACAAGGACTTCTAGCCCCCTCCACCCTCAGACCAGGAGTCCAGGCCCCCAGCCCCTCCTCCCTCAGACCCAGGAGTCCAGATCCCCCAGCCCCTCCTCCCTCAGACCCAGGAGTCCAGACCCCCAGCCCCTCCTCCCTCAGACCCAGGAGTCCAGGCCTCCAGCTCCTCCTCCCTCAGATCCAGGGATCCAGGCCCCCAACCCCTTCCTCCCTCAGACCCAGAAATCCAGGCCCCAGCCCCCTCCACCCTCAGACCCAGGAGTCCATCATGCCTCTGACACTCACACGATCCAGACGCCAGAGATAGCCCAGACAGCTAGGAAGACAGGCATCAGCGACAGGTAGCCCCACATGCCGGGCTCTGCAGGTGAAGGATCGGGGCTGAGGCTGGACACCTGTCTCTCTCACACCTGAAGAACCAGCCCTCAAGGAGGGCCCAGGTGCATGAGATTGTGGCCCCAACCACTAGGCCCCGCTTGGCTCTCAGGCAGAAGTCACCTGTAGGGGTCTGATCTGATTGGCCAGCTCTCCATTTCCAGGCAATTTCCCCACCTATCCCGCAGTGTTCAACCCTATCTCACGCATTCTCCTGCTTGAGGAATTTCTCCCTGTCCTCCCAGCCCCTCCTTGCACCTCCCAGCCTCTCCTTGCACCTCCCAGCCTCCAGGACCTCCTGGAGATGCTCACCTCTCCAAGATCCCTGGGGCTCTCAGTCCTGGGACTGGGGCTGGGTGAGCTTAGGGAAGAAGGGCTGGCATTCGGGATGGGGCTCAGACAGGCCAAGGCAGAGGCAAAGTCCCAGCTGGAGCGCTGGAGGGCTGCCTGGGGTCTTGGGTCTGACCAACACTTCCTGAGGGGCTCTCTACCTCCAAACCGCCATGTCCTCCCTCCTCAGAACCTAGCAGGCAGCACCTTAGCTTCAGGGGCCCCTAACTTCCTTCCTCCAGCTTTGTGGGTTCAACGTCCAAAGTCTCAGCCCTTCCCTCCCCAGGAACCAGGAATCTGAGCCTCCAGCTCTCTCCAGCCTGGAAGACCCAGAATTCCGGGGCCCCAGTTCCTCCTAGAATACAGATATTCTTCTCCAGCTCCTGATGTCCAACCTCCCAGCTCTTACCTACTCGGGTACCCAAGAGTGAGGGCCTCAGGTCGGCCTGCTCTCTGGGTGAAGCTTCTGTTTTGGGGCTGGGAGATATGGAGCACTGACAACCCTGCCTCCTCCCCTCCACTCTCCTTCCTCTCACCCTTCTCCTTTTGCCTGCTGGAGTTCCCCAGGCAGGCTGAGCATGGGTGGGAAGGGAGCTTTCAGCGATGACATCTCCATCCGAAAATTCCCCCAGCCAGACAAAGACTGCTCCTGCCGCCTGACCCTTTTCCTTCTCTCTCCCAACAGCCATCTTCAGCTTCTGACCTCCTCCTGGCTTGGTATTTAGGGATTTGGAGTCATGGCCTCTTCCTTCTTCCCAGGACCCAGGAGTCCAGTCCCTCAGCCCCTCCTCCCTCAGACCCAGGGTCAGACCTCTAGGCCCTCCTTCCTTAGACTCCGGAGTCCCTCCTGCCTCTGACACTCACGAGGTCCAGACCCCAAGATAGCCCAGCCAGCAGGGACAGGGACAGGTAAGCCTCACATGCTGGGCTCTGCAGGAGAATGAGAGGGGCTGAAGCTGGGCCCCTCTCGCTTTCCTCTTTCTCTCTCCTCCCCTTCACACCTGAAGAACCAGCCCCTTGGGGAGGGCCCAGGTGCATGAGATTGTGGCCACGGCCTCTGGGCCCCCATTGGCTCTCAGGCAGACGTCACGGGTGGGGGTCTGATCTAATCGGCCAGCTGTCCTCCACTCCAAGCAATCTCTTCACCTGTTTCAGTGTTCAGTCCTAGCTCACACATTCTCCTGCTTGGGGAGTTTCTCCCTGCCCTCCCAGCCCCTCCGTGCACCTCCCAGCCTCCAGGGCCTCCCCAGGATGCTCACCTCTCCAAGCTTCCTGGGGCTCTCAGTCCTGGAGCTGGGGCTGGGTGAGCTCAGGGAAGAAGGGCTGGCATTCGGGGTGGGGCTCAGGCAGACATCCTGCAGAGGCAAAGTCCAGGCTGCAGGACTGCCTGGGTCCTTTGGTCTGACTGCCACTTCCTAACGGCTCTCTGTCCCCAAACCACCGTGTCCTGTCTCCTTAGAACCTCACAGGCAGCACCGTAGCTTTGGGGGACCCTAATTTCCTTCCTCCAGCTTTGTGTATTCAACATCCAAACTCTCAGCCCTATCCTCCCCTGGACTCAGATCGGAGCCTCCACCCTTGGGGACCCAGGAGTCCAAGCTCCAACTCCTTCCTCCTTCCCCAAAATGCAGGAGTCCAGGCCCCCAGAACTCTTCCCTTAGACACAGAAGTCCCAGCCACCTCCTCTCTCACTATGCCACCTCGTGTCTTTTAATGGACATAAAATCCACATAACATTAGCCATTTTAAAGTGTACGACTCGGCCAGGCACGGCGGCTCACGCCTGTAATCCCAGCAGTTTGGGAGACCAAGGTGGGCAGATCATCTGGAGTCAGGTGTTTGAGACTAGCCTGGCCAACATGGTGAAACCCCATCTCTACTAAAAATGCAAAAATTAGCTGGGTGTGGTGGCGGGAGCCTGTAATCCCAGCTACTCCGGAGGCTGAGGCAGGAGAATCCCTTGAACCTGGGAAGCAGAAGTTGCAGTCAGTCCAGATCATGCCATTGGACTCCAGCCTGGGTGACAAGAGCAAAACTCTGTCTCAGAAAAAAGAAAAAAAAAATGTGCGACTCAGCGACATTAGTGCACTCCCAATGTTATGCAACCATCGCCTCTTTCTTTTTTTTTTTTTGAGACAGAGTCTCCCTCTGTCACCCAGATTGGAGTGCAGTGGCGCAATTTCGGCTCACTGCAACCTCTGCTTCCCGGGTTCAAGTGATTCTCCTGCCTCAGCCTCCTGAGGAGCTGGGATTACAGGCCGGTGCCACCATGCCTGGCTAATTTTTGTATTTTTAGTAGAGATGGGGTTTCACCATGTTGGCCAGGCTGGTCTCGAACTCCCAACCTCAGGTGATCCACCCGCCTCAGGCTCCCAAAGTGCTGGGATTACAGGCGTGAGACACTGCGCCCAACCTTTTTTTTTTTTTTTTTTTTCTGAAACAGAGTCTCCCTCTGTTGCCCAGGCTGGAGTGCAGTGGCACAATCTTGGCTCACTGGGACCTCCACCTCCTGGGTTCAAGTGATTCTCATGCCTCAGCCTCCCAAGTAGCTGGGATTACAGGTGCCCGCCACTATGCCTGGCTAATTTTTGCATTTTTTGATAAAGACAGAGTTTCACCATGTTGGCCAGGCTGGCCTCAAAATGCTGACCTCAAGTGATCCCCCTGCCTCAGCCTCCCAAAGTGCTGGGATTACAGGCGGAAGCCATCGCGCCCAACCCGTCTGGTGTATTTTATGCTCAGTGTAATGTTTTTGAGATTCATCCATGTTGTGGCATGTATTAGTGTTTCATTCCTTTATTTTTTATTTTTATTTTTTAAACAGCCAGGGTCGGCTGGGCAAGGTGGCTGACGCCTGTAGTCCCAGCACTTTGGGAGGCTGAGGCAGGTGGATCACCTGAGGTCAGGAGATCGAGACCAGCCTGGCCAACATGGTGAAAACCTGTCTCTACTAAAAATACAAAAAAAAATTAGCTGGGTGGCCGGGCATGGTGGCTCACGCCTGCAATCCCAGCACTTTGGGAGGCCGAGGTGGGCAGATCATGAGATCAGGAGTTTGAGACCAGCCTGGCCAACATAGTGAAACCCCGTCTCTACTAAAAATACAAAAATTAGCCGGGTGTGGTGGCAGGCACCTGTAATCCCAGCTACTCGGGAGGCTGAGGCAGGAGAATCGCTTGAACCCAGGAGGCGGAGGTTGCAGTGAGCCGAGATCGCACCACTGCATTCCAGCCTGGGCGACAGAGTGAGACTCCGTCTCCAAAAATAAATAAAATAAAATAAATAAATAAAATAAAAAATAAATCCTGTCCCAGTGGGGCTGATAGAGGGCAAAGCTCTCCAAGTCCTCCTCACCCCTTCTGCTGCCAAATGCCTCTCCTCTGGGTCTCGTCTTCCTCCTTTCGCTTCTTTTTCCGGAGGTCTCCGTTTGCCCAGACATGAATCTGAGCCACCCCCTGCCCTCAGGGGAATCCCTGTCTGTGGGCAACACAGATGATCAGCAGGTGACAGCTCCTCTAAAGGAAGTCACACAAAGCTATGAGGGAGCCCAGGGGAGGGAGGGGTCCATGCTACCTGCTCCTCCGTCGGCCCTCAACACTGATCTCCTGCCCTGCCCTGTCCTGTGTTTGCCACCTGGCTGATTCCCACTTCTCTTCCAAAAACATAATAATAATAAAGACGAGAAAGCCCAGGTGATCCTAAGGAAGACTTGTCCCCGCTCTGAGCCTCCATACCCAACTCGGTGTCCTGGCACAAAGATGAGTTTGGCTCACTGGTGTCCCCACGGTGCTTATGTGACCTGCTTGGACCCTCCCTGGGAGGACAGGGGACAGGGCTCCAGCCTGCCGAGCTACTTTCAAGTTGGGAATTAGGCCCCACTCACCGGCCACGGGTAGGTTGGGTGTCTGGAGCCTGAAGGATCCTTCCAGAAGCTAGGGCTGCTGGCCTGGCTCAGCCGAGGGGAAGAGGCTGTGCTTTTCCTCTGAGAAAGATGACGTTGCACTTTCATATTGAGGAAACCGCTTGTGGTTGGTGGTGGGGACTGGTTTTTATTTTTATTTTTATTTTTTTATTTTATTTTTTATTTTTGAGACGGAGTTTCGCTCTTGTTGCCCAGGCTGGAGTGCAATGGCGCGATCTCAGCTGACCGCAACCTCTGCCCCCGGGTTCAAGCGATTCTCCTGCTCAGCCTCCCAAGTAGCTGGAATTACAGTCATGCACCACCACACCCGGCTAATTTTGTATTTTTTTAGTAGAAACAGGGTTTCTCCATGTCGGTCAGGCTAGTCCCAAACTCCTGACATCCGGTGTTCCACCCGCCTCGGCCTCCCAAGTGCTAGGATTACAGGCGTGAGCCACCGCGGCCGGCCTATTTTTATTTTTATATCCCTAGATGTCTATGTCCCCTGCCTGGAAGTTTCCCCAGAGAGGGGATGTAGACGTCTAGGAACACAGAGGTCTCAGAACCTTCCCCAGGGAGGGGATGTACACCTCTAGAGATAGATGGGTCTCGGACCTCTGTTTTCTTGTCTGCAAAACAGGGATCATGATGGTCTGCCCTCGTGCAATTGTGAGGGTTTATTGGGGTTATCCACATAAGACCCTAAAAGAATGCCTGTCTGACCGGGCCCGGTGGCTCACGCCTGTAATCCCAGCATTTTGGGAGGCTGAGGCGGGTGGATCACCTGAGGTCATGAGTTCGAGACCAGCCTGGCCAATATGGCGAAACCCCGTTTCTACTAAAAATACAAAAATTAGCTGGGCATGGTGGCGGGCGCCTGTAATCCCAGCTACTCAAGAGGCTGAGGCCGGAGAATCGCTTGAATCCAGGAAGTGGAGGTTGCAGTGAGTCGAGATTGTGCCACTACACTCCAGCCCGGACGACAAGAGCGAAACTCCCTCTCAAAAAAACAAAAAAGAAAGAAAGAAAAGAAAAGCAAGAGATTGACTGGGGATGAGGTTGCTGAAGGATAAAGGAGGAGAAAGGCCAGGCGCGGTGGCTTAAGCCTGTAATCCCAGCACTTTGGGAGGCCAAGGCAGGCGGATCACGAGGTCAGGAGTTCAAGACCAGCCTGGCCAATATGGTGAAACCCCGTCTCTACTAAAAATACAAAAAAAAAAAGAAAAAAAGAAAAAGGAGGAGAAAGACCAGGAGTGGCTGGGAGAGACTTCAGACTGCAACGTGAGTGGGTCTGGGTCTGACACTGGAGAAAGGAGATGGGGAGAGTGGAAGAATCACAGACCATGTGCAGTTCTGAGAACCCCGGTCAGGTCAGCTGGGAAATGTGGTGCAAAGATCACCCATACGCAAGTCCATGGAGACCGAAAGCAAGTCAGTGGTTGCAAGGGGTGGGAAGAGGGGAGGATGGGAAATGATTGCTTATTTGGAGTTTCCTTATGGGGGTTATGAAACTGTTTTGGAACTAGATAGAGACGAAGGTTGCACAACATTGGGACTGTGCTAGACGACACCGAATTATACTTTAAAATGCTTAGAGTGGGCCGGGCGCCGTGGCTCACGCCTGTCATCCCAGCACTTTGGGAGGCCGAGGCGGGCGGATCACGAGGTCAGGAGATCAACACCATCCTGGCTAACATGGTGAAACCCCATCTCTACTAAAAATACAAAAAAATTAGCCGGGCGTGGTGGCGGGCGCCTGTGGTCCCAGCTACCCGGGAGGTTGAGGCAGGAGAACGGCGGGAACCCGGGAGGCGGCAGTTGCAGTGAGCCGAGATCGCGTCGCCGCACTCCAGCCTGGGCGACAGAGCGAGACTCCGTCCCAAAAAATAAATAAATAAATACATAAATAAATAAATAAATAAATAATTTAAAAATTAAATTTAACTTTTTTTTTTTTTTTTTGAGACGGAGTCTCGCTCTTTGGCCCAGGCTGGAGTGCAGTGACGCGATCTCGGCTCACTGCAAGCTCCGCCTCCCGGGTTCAAAGGATTCTCCTGCCTCAGCCTCCCGAGTAGCTGGGACTAAAGGCGCCCGCCACCACGCCCGGCTAATTTTTTTTTTTTTTTTTTTGTATGTTTAGTAGAGATGAGGTTCCACTGTGTTATTCAGGATGGTCTTGATCTCCTGACCTCGTGATCCGCCCGCCTCGGCCTCCCAAAGTGTTGGGATTACAGGTGAGAGCCACCGCGCCTGGCCAAAAAGTTAAATTTAATAAATAAATAAATAAACACTTTAGCACATTGACTTTAGAGGTGTCCACATTGGGCAGAAACGGCCAGGCTCTGCTCCCCACCCCATGCTTAGTCATCGGTCAAGGCTGCATAAAAAGAATGTAATAGCAATCCAAATCAAACACTGCTGAAGGTGCTACTGCTGGAGGCTGGAGACCAGCTGAAGTCCTCCCTGCTAATCAAGTTCTTTCAGGAAGGGTGAGCCACCTGGCTACCGTACTTGCCCAATGTCACTCAGCTACCGAGTGGAGCAGCTTGGGTCTGTCTGGCTGTAAAGTTTGGTTCCTTCCTATGTGCCATGCAATGCCCTTGAATATCCCTCCTTATCTTCACCCATCCAACCTTCTCCTGAAACATCCATTTATCTGTGCATATGTTCATGCCTTTGTGCATTCCTCCAGCTAGTTATTTCTCCACTCATCCACCCACCTGCCTATCCGGCCAGCCATTTGCTCATATGTTCTTTTTTTTTTTTTTTTTTGAGATGGACTTTTGCTCTTGTTGCCCAGGCTGGAGTGCAGTGGCGCGATCTCGGCTCACTACAACCTCTGCCTCCCGGGTTCTAGCAATTCTCCTGCCTCAGCCTCCCGAGTAGCTGGGGTTACAGGCACCTGCCACCATTCTACCTAGAAGTAGAATTACTGGGTTGTATAGTAACATTTTTAGGAACTGCTAAACTACTTTCCGCCATGTGTACACGATTTACACCATTTTACATTCCTGACAGCAGTGCATGAGGGTTTCAATCTCTCCACACCGGCAACAGTGCCTGCTATTATCGGTCTTTTTAAAATTACATTACAATCTTTTTTAGGGATGAGATCTGGCTTTGTTGCTGAGGCCAGAGTTCAGTGGCTATTCACAGGTAGTGTCATAGCACACTACAGCCTCGAACTCCCGGCCTCAAGAGATCCCTTTGCCTGGCCAGGAGTCATGCCTGTAATCCCAGCACTTTGGGAGGCTGAGGCAGGCGGATCACTTGAGGTCAGGAGTTGGAGACTAGCCTGACCAACATGGCGAAACCCCGTCTATACTAAAAAAAAAGAAAAATTAGCTGGGCATGGTGGCACACGCCTGTAATCCGAGCTACTCGGGAGGCTGAGGCAGGAGAATGGCTTGAACCTGTGAGGCGGAAGTTGCAGTGAGCCGAGACTGCGCCATTGCACTCCAGCCTGGGTGACAGAGCAACACTTCATCTCAAAAAAAAAAAAAAAGAGAGAGAGATCCTCATGCCTCAGCCTCCTGGCCTCAAGAGATCCTCCTGCCTCAGCCTCCTGGCCTCAAGAGATCCTCCTGCCTCAGCCTCCTGGCCTCAAGAGATCCTCCTGCCTCAGCCTCCTGGCCTCAAGAGATCCTCCTGCCTCAGCCTCCTGGCCTCAAGAGATCCTCCTGCCTCAGCCTCCCAGGTAGCTGGAATTACAGGCCTGTGCCACCGTCCCCCATTTGATGTGTCTTTCTGATGGTAATCATTCTGGAGGGTGTGAAGTGGTGTCTCCTTGTGGGTTGAATTTGTATTGCCCTAGTGACTAATGACGTTGGACATTTTTCCATGCATTCATTGGCTATTTGCATATTTCTTTGGAGAAATGTCAGATCTTTGTTCATTTTTGAAATTCGGTTGTCTGTCTTTTTATTATTGAGTCATAAGAATTTTTTTTTTTTGAGGTGGAGTCTCACTGTGTCACACAGGCTGGAGTGCAGTGGCATGATCTCGGTTCACTGCCATCTCCACCTACCAGGTTCAAGTGATTCTCCTGCCTCAGCCTCCGGAGTAGCTGGGATTACAGGTGCCTGCCACCATACCAGGCTAATTTTTTTTTTTTTTTTTGTATTTTTAGTAGAGACAGGGTTTCACCATGTTGGCCAGGCTGATCTCGAACTCCTAACCCCAGGTGATCCACCCGCCTCAGCCTCCCAAAGTGCTGGGATTACAGGTGTGAGCCACCGTGCCCGGCTTAGGGATTCTTTGTGTTTTTTTTAGATGGAGTCTTGCTCTGTCGCCCAGGCTGGGGTGCAGTGGCGCGATCTCGGCTCACTGCAAGCTCCGCCTCCTGGGTTCATGCCATTGTCCTGCCTCAGCCTCCCGAGTAGCTGGGACTACAGGCGCCTGCCACCATGCCCGGCTAATTTTTTGTTGTTGTTGTTTAGTAGAGACAGGGTTTCACCATGTTAGCCAGGATGGTTTCGATCTCCTGACCGCGTGATCCGCCTGCCTTGGCCTCCCAAAGTGCTGGGATTGCAGACGTGAGCCACCATGCCTGGCCAAGGATTCTTTATATATTCTGGATTATAAGGCGATCATTATCAGATATAATGATTTCCAAATATTTTCTCCCATTCAATGGATAACAATCCTCTTTTGACCTAATATTCCCTCTTTTCTTCAGGATCTGACTTCTTGCATTGTTGTGGTTAGTCATTGACTCATTCAGCAATTTTTTTTTTTTTTTTTTTGAGGCTGAGTCTTGCTCTGTCACCCAGGCTAGAATGCAGTGGCTCAATCTTGGCTCACTGCAACATCTGCCTCCTGGGTTCAAGCGATTCTCCTGCCTCAGCCTCCCTAGTAGCTGGGATTACAGGCGTCGCCATCACACCCGGCTAATTTTTGTATTTTCAGTAGAGACAGGGTTTCACCATCTTGGCCAGGCTGGTCTCGAACTCCTGACCTCGTAATCCACCCGCCTCAGCCTCCCAAAGTGCTGGGATTACAGGCGTGAGCCACCGCGCCCAGCCTCATTCAGCAAATCTTTATCTCATGCCAGTGATATGCCAGGCACTGCTTTTTGATATTGAGACTCAACTCTGAACAGGACAAGGGTCCTGCCCTCCTGGCACTTATGTTCTAGCAATAAACGAATAAATAAAGAGATATGTAGTGGTAGCCAGGGGGAGGTAACCTGTGTAGCCACCAGGGGCCCCATTCTCAGAAGCGACTTGCGCTGACTTAAAGCTCTGCTACTGGCTGGGTGCAGTGGATCACACCTGTAATCCCAGCACTTTGGGAGGCCGAGGCGAGTGGATCACAAGGTCAGAAGATTGAGACCATCCTGGCCAACATGGTGAAACTCCATCTCTACTAAAATACAAAAAATTAGCTAGGCATGGTGGGACCTTACCAGGGTGAGTGGTGGGAAGAATAGTTCCAATAAGGTGAGAGAGGTAATGAGGGGACAAACTGGGCGGGGCCCGGGGGCCATTGTAAGAAAGTTAGATTTTTTTTTTTGAGACGGAGTCTGGCTCTGTCATCCAGGCTGGAGCACAGTGGTGCGTTCTCCGCTTACTGCAACCTCTGCCTCCCGGGTTCAAGTGATTCTCCTGCCTTAGCCTCCCAACTAGCTGGGATTACAGGCGCCCGCCACCACACCCGGCTAATTTTTGTATTTTTAGTAGAGACGGGGTTTCACCATGTTGGCCAGGCTGGTTTCGAACTCCTGACCTTGTGATCCGCCTGCCTTGGCCTCCCAGAGTGCTGGGATTACAGGCGTGAGCCACCACGCCCGGCCTAGAAAGTTAGATTTTAATCTAGGCGTGTGCTAATTCAGCACAGCAACTCCAGAAAACGATAAACATTTACTTCACCTGGTTTTTATGGGTCATACATTTCGGAACGGCTTAGCTGAGCGATTCTGGTTTTGGGGTGCTTGGAAGGTTGCAGTAAGACATGGACCAGGGCTGCACAGCCACCTGAAGACTTGATGGACACCGGAGGATTATTGCCGGGGTGGCCCAAGCACGTGGCTGACGAGCTATCGGGAGGCCTCAGCTCCTCTCCGGCTGCTGGCTTGAGGCTTCAGTTCCTCGAAACATGGACCTCTCCGCAGGGCAGCTCCAATGTCCTCTCTCTCTCTCTCTCTCTCTCTCTCTCTCTCTCTCTCTCTCTCTCTCTCTCTCTCTCTCTATATATATATATATATATATATATATATTTTTTTTTTTTTTTAAAGACAGGGTTTCGCTCTTTGGCCCAGGCTGGAGTGCAGTGGCGCAATCTTGGCTCACTGCAACCTCCGCCCACCGGGTTCAATGATTCTCCTGGCTCATCCTCCCAAGTAGCTGGGATTACAGGCACCCGCCACCATGCCCGGCAATTTTTTTTTTTTTTTTGTACTTTTAGTAGAGACAGGGTTTTGCCATGTTGGCCAGGCTGGTCTTGAACTCCTGACCTCAGGTGATCCACCCACCTCAGCCTCCCAAAGTGTTAGGATTACAGGTGTGAGCCACCGTGCCCGGCCTGCAACGTCCTCTTGACATGGGCATCCCAGAGAGAGCAAAGTGAAAGCCACAGAGTTTTTTTAGGATCTAACTTTTGACACACCATCATTTTTGCAATATCCTGTTGGTTACACAGCTCAGCACTGTTCGAGGTGGAAAGAGCCACACAAGGATATGAATCCCAGAAGTGGAGGATGGGGGGCCGGGCGTGGTGGCTCATGCCTGTAATCCTAGCACTTTGGGAGGCTGAGGTGGGCGGATCACAAGGTCAGGAGTTCGAGACCAGCCTGACCAACATGGTGAAACCCTGTCTTTACCAAAAATTCAAGAATTAGCCGGGCTTGGTGGCGCGTGCCTGTAATCCCAGCTACTCAGGAGGCTGAAAGAGAGGAGAATCCTTTCAACCCAGGAGGCAGAGGTGGCAGTGAGCTGAGATCGCACCATTGCACTCCAGCCTGGGCAACAGAGCGAGACTGTCTCAAGAAAAAAAAAAAAAAGAAGTGGAGAATGGGGGGTCATTGAGGGCCGTTTTGGGAGCTGGCTACCACAAAATATCAATTCATTGCAAAATTTGAGTAGGAGAATGATGAGGTGTGTGTGTGTGTATGCAATCATATATGTATATAGATATAGCTATATAGGTCCGTGTGTGTATATAAATTAATATATAGTATACAATAAGTATACTTATAGGGCCAGATACAGTAGCTCATGCCTGTAATCCCAGCACTTTGGGAGCCTGAGGCAGTAGGATTGCTTGAGCCCAGGAGTTCAAGACCAGCCTGGGCAACATGGCAAGACCTAATCTCTACAAAAAATAAGAAAGCCAAATGTGGTGGTGCATGTCTGTGGTCCCAGCCACTCAGAAGGCTGAGGCAGGAGGATGGCTTGAGCTCAGGAGGTCAAGGCTGCAGTGAGCTAGGATCACACCACTGTACTCGAGCCTGGGCGACAGCGTGAGACCCTATTTAAAACAAACAAACAAAAATTATTGAATATTTGACCAGGTTCCCGCTGAGGCTGAGCCTTGGAATCTGTATTTTAATCACATTCCCAAGGTGACTTTGACTCCCCACACCCCACCTTTTTTTCTTTCTGTGTGTATAGTTCAACACAAAAAACATCAAATTCACCATTTTACAGCCAGATGCCGTGGCTCACATCTGTAATCCCAGTGTGTGGGAGGCTGAAACTGGAGGATTGCTTGAAGCCAGGAGTTCTGGACCAGCCTGGGCAGAATAGGGAAATCCCATCTCCACAAAAAATTTAAAAATTAGCCGGGTGTGGTGGCATGTGCCGGCAATCCCAGCTACTTGGGAGGCTGAGGTGGGAGAATTGCTTGAGCCCAGGAGAGCAAGGCTGCAGTGAGCTATGATTGTGTCACTCCAGCCCGGGTGACAGAGTGAAACGCTGTCTCAAAAATTAATGAATTGGTTAAAATTTTCATTTTAATTAAAGTGCAAAACTCGGTGGTAGGTGTGTGAGCAATGTCGTGAGGCCATGCCGTGAGTTATGATCACACCACTGCACTTCCACCTAGGTGACAGAGAGACACTTATATGTGTCTCTAAATATATATATACCATTTTAACTATTTTATTTTATTTACCATTTTATTATTTTTTGAGGCGGAGTCTCTTTCTGTCACCCAGGCTGGAGTGCAATGGTGCGATCTCGGCTCACTGCAACCTCCGCCTCTTGGGTTCAAGTGATTCTCTTGCCTCAGCCTCCCGAGTAGCTGAGATTACAGGTGCCTGCCACCGTGCCTGCCTAATTTTTTGTATTTTTAGTAGAGACAGGGTTTTGTCACGTTGGCCAGGCTGGTCTCAAACTCTTGACCCCAGGTGATCCAATCACCTCAGCCTCCCAAAGTGCTGGGATTACCGGCATGAGCCACCATGCCCGGCCCCATTTTAACTGTTTTAAAGTGTACAGTTCAGTGGTATTAGGTACAACCATCACCACTATCTACTTCCAGAACTTCTTCATCATCCCAAAAGGAAAGCCCATACCTGTTAGCAGTCACTTGCCCCAGCCTCTGCAACCGCGAATTTGCTTTGTGTCTCTATGGATTTACCTACTCTGGATATTTCATAGAAATGGCGTCGTACCGAATGTGGCCTTTCATCTCCGGCTCCCTTCACCTAGCATGATGTTTTCACGGGCCATCGGTGTCCCAGCATGAGTCATTCCTTCTTATTTTATTATGCCACCTGAAGTCTGAGACCCACCCCGCCAGCTTTCAGCAGCTGGTTTCTTTCTGGGCAGTGCGGCCGGGAGCTTGAGAGTGCAAAGTGCACTAGACTCTGGAGTCCCATGACTTGGATGTTAACTCTGGGCCGGTTACATCATCTCTGTAAGCCTCACTTTGCTTATCCGTAAAATGAGCATTATAACAGCCCCTCCCTCACAGGGCTATTTGCAAAGTGGCTGCTGTGTGGTAAGAGTTCAGTAACAGCTTTCATGTTATTCCATGTTGTGAGAGATTGAGAGATGCTAGAATTCGTCCAACTATGTCCTATTGTTGGACATTCTTTTCTGTTTTTTGTTTTTTTTTCCGACATTTTGCTCTGTCGCCCAGGCTGGAGTGCAATGGTGTGATCTCGCCTCACTGCAAACTCCGCCTCCTGGGTTCAAATGATTCTCCTGCCTCAGCCTCCTGAGTAGGTGGGATTACAGGCGCCCACGACCACGCCCGGCTAATTTTTGTATTTTTAGTAGAGACAGCATTTCGTCATGTTGGCCAGGCTGGTCTTGAACTCCTGACCTCAGGTGATCTGCCCGCCTCGGCCTCCCAAAGCGTTGGGATTACAGGCGTGAGCCACCGCGCCCGACCTACTTTTCTGTTTTTTCAACAATGCTGAGTGATATGATTTGGCTCTGTGTCCCTACCCAAATCTCACCTTGAATTTTAATCCCCATAACCCCCACTTGTCAAAGGGGGGACCAGGTGGAGGAAATTGAATCATGGTGAACCCCCATGCTGTTCTCATGATAATGAGTGAGTTCTCAGGAGGTCTGAAGGTTTTATTTTATTTATTTATTTATTTATTTAAAGATGGAGTCTTGCTTGTTGTCGCCCAGGCTGGAGTGCAATGGCGCCATCTTGGCTCACCAGGACAACAGAATGAGACTCTGTCTCAAGAAAAAAAAAAAGAATAAAACCCTGGAAGTGGAATTGGTGGGTCAAAATTTTATTTGTATTATGAAATATTTCTGACTTACAGAAAAGAACAGACAGTAGCCAGGCGCGGTGGCTCATGCCTGTAATCCCAGCACTTTGGGAGGCCGAGGCGGGTAGATCATGAGGTCAGGAGTTCAAGACCAGCCTGGCCAAGATGGTGAAACCCCATCTCTACTAAAAATACAAAAAAATGAGCCAGGCATGGTGGTGGGCACCTATAATCCCTGCTACTTGGGAGGCTGAGGCAGAGAATTGGTTGAACCCGGGAGGCGGAGGTTGCAGTGAGCCGAGATCACGCCACTGCACTCTAGTCTGGGCGACAGAGTGAGACTCCGTCTCTAAGAAAACAAAAACAAACAAACAAACAAACAAAAACAGAAAAGAACAGACAGTAGGCTGGTTGCAGTGGCTCACACCTGTAATCCCAGCACTTTGGGAGGCCGAGGCAGGCGGATCACCACGTCAGGAGATCGAGACCATCCTGGCCAACGTGGTAAAACCCCGTCTCTACTGAAAAAAAAAAAAATACAAAAAAATTAGCCGGGCGTGGTGGCAGGAGCCTGTAATCCCAGCTACTCGGGAGGGTGAGGCAGGAGAATGGCGTGAACCCGGGAGACAGAGCTTGCAGTGAGCGGAGATTGTGCCACTGCACTCCAGCCCGGGCGACAGAGCGAGGCTCCATCTCAAAAAGAAAAAAAAAAGAAAAAAAAGGAACAGACAGTAAATATAATGAACTGATGAACTCATGTCAGTGGGATTGAAAATCAAATAACTAAAAAAGAAAGAAAAGAGGCCGGGCACGATGGCTCACGCCTGTAATCCCAGCACTTTGGGAGGCCAAGGTGGGTGGATCACAAGGTCAGGAGATCGAGACCATCCTGGCTAACAGAGTGAAACCCCATTTCTACTAAAAATACAAAAAATTAGCTGGGCGTGGTGGTGGGCACCTGTAGTCCCAGCTACTCGGGAGGCTGAGGCAGGAGAATGCCGTGAACCCGGGAGGCAGAGCTTGCAGTGAGCTGAGATCGCACCACTGCACTCCAGCCTGGGCAACAGAGCGAGATTTTGTCTCAAGATAAAAAAAAGAAAGAAAAGAAAAAGAAAGAAGGAAGGAAGGAAAGAAAGGGAAAGAAAGAAAGAAAAGAAAGAAAGAAATGCAGTTTTGTTACAGGTGTAGTTAAAAAAAATAGAGATAAAAAGAAAAATATAATGAACTCATGGATTCCACCACAGGGCTTAAACAAAATTTCCAAATACCAATGTCCCGTGTAGCTTTCCCGATTGCATTCTTCCCTCCCCACCCTCAGGGGCGGCCGCTTCCCTCCCCATGCTGTGTTAGTCATGCCCTTCACGTGTGTATCCTTTTGCCACATGTATCCACATGCAACCATTGTTTTGTTTTGCTTTGTTTTTTGAGATGGAATTTCGCTCTTGTCATCCAGGCTGGAGTGTAGTGGTGCAATCTCGGCTCACTGCAACCTCTGCCTCCTGGGTTCAAGCAATTCTCCTGCCTCAGCCTCCTAAGTAGCTGGGATTACAGGTGCCTGCCACCATGTGCGGGTAAATTTTTGTATTTTTAGTAGAGACGGGGTTTCATCATGTTGGCCAGGCTGGTCTCGAACTTCCGACCTCAGGTGATCCACCGGCCTCGGCCTCCCAAAGTGCTGGGATTACAGGCGTGAGCGGCTGTGCCCAGCCATTGTATGTGTTTCAAAACTTCGTGTCAATGGCATTGTAGACTTCTGCAACTACGGGTTGTCCCGGGTGATATATGGGACACTGGTGCATCTACTTTCACTGACATATGGTGTTCCCCTGTATCAATATACCAGGATCCATGTTTCCATTCTTCTGGTGATGGAAACCGTTTCCAGTTCCTCACCGTTACAAACACGATAGCGAGCATTCTTGCATTTATCTCTTTATTCCAAGTCGGAGAGTTTCTCTAGAGTGTACACCCACCCACTAGTAGAAGGACTGTACTTCATACAGACTGATACAACTTTTCCAGTTAGCTGAGTTTCCATGAAGTCCTTTATGCTTGCCATTTCCCCCTCCCTGGGTAAGGCTGCTTTTCTCTTCTGGAGCTGGTCACCTGTCCCTCCCCACTGATGACCAGGAGTTACAGTTGGCATCACCTTGCTCTGGTATGGCCACCTCTGTCCACCTCTGTCTCCTCTAGCTGCTCCATGGCAAGTCCCCAGCCCCAGTTCCCTTCTGCCGGCATGGTCCTGGTCAAAGTGATGGTCCCGAGAAAGGTTTGGTCGACTTTAGCTGTAGTGGTGCCTGCCTGAGTTAGGGGGTATTTCAGAGCTCATGAGAGATTAGGGAGGTAAAGCATGGGGCTAGGGGATAGTCCCTGTTGGAGAAGAAATAGCATGAACAAAGGGTGGAAAGCTGGAAGCCAAACAAGTGTATGGTCTATGTTTTATAGATGGGAACCCAAAGCCCAGAGATGGCAAGTCACTTCCTCAAAGTCACAGAGCAATGCAGAGACTGTCAGCTTCATCCTTATTGGTTGGTCATTCACACATTCATTCAGTACATATTAACAAAGTGCCTAGGCCAGCCATGGTGGCTCACACCTGTAATCCCAGCACTTTGGGAGGCTGAGGTGGGTGGATCACCTGAGGTCAGGAGTTCAAGACCAGCTTGGCCAGCATGGCGAAACCCCACCTCTACTAAAAATACAGAAACTAGCTGGGCATGGTGGTGGGCACCTGTAATCCCAGCTACTCAGGAGGCTGAGGCAGGAGAATCACTTGAATTCGGGAGGCAGAGAGCCGAGATCGCACCACTGTACTCCAGCCTGGGCGACAGAGCAAGACCCTCTCTCAAAAAAAAAAAAAAAGAAGGGAGCATCACTTGAATGAGCCCCTAGAGAGACCCTGTCTCTACAAAAATTAAAGGATTAGCCGAGCATGGTGGCATGCGTCTGTGGTCCCAGCTACTCAGGAGGCTGAGGCTGTAGGATCGCTTGAACCCAGGAGGTCGAGGCTGCAGTGAGCCATCCTTGCACCACTGCACTCCAGCCTGGGCAACAGAGGAAGACCCTGTCTCAAAACACAATACAGGCCAGGCATGGTGGCTCATGCCTGTAATCCCAGCACTTTGGGAGGCTGAGGTGGGTGGATCACCTGAGGTCAGGAGTTCGAGACCAGCCTGACCAACATGGTGAAACCCCGTATCTACTAAAAAAAAAAAAAAAAAAAAAAATTAGCCGGGCATGGTAGTGCATGCCTGTAATCCCAACTATTTGGGAGGCTGAAGCAGGAAAATCGCTTGAACCTGGGCGGCGGAGGTTGCAGTGAGCCGACATCGCACCATTCCACTCCAGCCTGGGCAACAAGAGGGAACTCTGTCTAAAAAAAAATTAGCCAGGGGTGGTAGTGCATGCCTGTAATCCCAGCTACTTGGGAGGCTGAGGCAGGAGAATCGTTTGAACCTGGGAAGCAGAGGCTGCAGTGAGCCGAGATCACTCCACTGCACTCTAGCCTGGGCGAGAGAGCGATACTCTGTCTCTGTCTCTCTCTCTCTCTCTCTCTCTCTCTCTCTCTCTCTCTCTCTCTCTCTCTCACACACACACACACACACACACACACACACACCAAAACACCAAAAACAGCACACCAAAACAGCACCTACTCTGTGGCATGCATTGTTTTAAGTGCCCACGATCTATAGCTGTACAGTGGAGCGCATGTCTGACAGTGATCCTATATGTGTAGACACACAAGCGCCTACATTGTGTTACCGGACAGTAACATGCTGCACAGCTGTGTGGCCCAGGAGCCGCCGGCCACCTTACAGCCCAGGTGCCAGCAGCCCTGCCACGTAGGTGTGAGTGATGTTGCTCTAGGATGCTGGCAGGATGACGACATCGCCTGAGCACGCACTGCCCAGATGGTATCAGTGTCGTTAAGGGAAGAATGGCTGTGGCGAAACAAACAAACAAGCAAACAAAGACCGCCTGTTCTGAGTGTGGAGCTTATTATTCTCGGCGTAATTATGATGAATTGTTAGTTACGTTTGCCTCTAGGATTGAGGTAGGGGGGGTGATCCCAATTAGGGGGTGCCCCAGGGGAGCGCCCCAGGAGTCAGGGCTTGTCTCAAAAGTCCCCACTCCTCCCTCAGCCTCCCCTCCCTCCATCCGACCCCGTTCATATCGCGGGAAGGTCCCACAGAGTGCGTGTGGATACTCCCAAAACGCAACGGTGTAAACGGGGAGGGAGGGAGAGAGACTGAGGAGCCCTTTGTAGCCAGGCAGAGCTGTCAATAAAGTTTCGTCGCCTTGGTAACCGCAGGCCTCGCGGGGCGGGAGGGGAGAGGGATGGCGGTGCGCGCGCATTCACCGCCTCCCTCCCGCCGGGTCTGGCTTTCTCCCTCCTGTGGCCGAAGCTTTCCTCGGAGAAATAGAAGAGGGAGGCCGCGACTCTATGGTGATGGACGGAGGCCTTACCCAATGGAAAGAGGAGCTGTCCCAAGGCCAGGCAATCATATACGACTACTGGAGCTGGCAGAGCCCGCCCTCTTTCCACTTGGACCTGAATAACCCGACCCAAACCGAGTTTCGCCCGGAGAGACTGCGCTTTCGGCCAATGAGTGCGTCGATTTCGAGCCCCAGTGTGAGCGAAGGCGGGACAAGTCTCCATGGCAGCGACTAAAGGACAGCGATGTGAACCACTGACAACAGTTCGCGGCGTTTGACGGCGGCGGGGGCGTGGCGGGGTTTTATCTGTGTATTGACGAGAGCCGGGCGCGGAGGGAAAGAGTGGGGCTTGGCCAATGGGAGCGCCGTGAGCTTCGTAGCAACGGAGGAGTGGCGGTGGCTGTGGCCAATAGAAAGCCTCAGTGGCCTTGGCGGGGCTGGCCCGGAGAGCAGATGGGAGGTGCGGCGACAGTGTTTGACGAGAGCCGAAGGAGGCTGTGGGAGGTGTTGGCGGCGGCGGCGCGGGCGCCTGAGGAGGAGGAGGAGAAGCGGGTGAGGGGCGGCGCGGGGCCCGATCTCTGAGCCCCTTCACGGCCCCAGCCCCGCGCCGCCTTGGCTCCCCAGTCGCCCCCTGCCCCGACTGCCCCCCACCCCGCCCGGCCCCTCCTCGTGTCCAGGCGCCCACGTCTCCCGGCCCCTCGCCGGGCCTCGGGCTCCGCGGCACTGCAGCCTCCTTCCTGTGCTTCCTCACCCGGGCCCTGACCCCCTTCTTACGTCCACGGCCCTCCCTGCATCCTCAGGGCCTCTCCCTGACCTCTTGTCACTCTCCAGGCCTCTCCCTGCACCCCCCAGGGCCTTTCCCTGACCTCACCCTCCAGGCCTCTCCCTGCACCCCCAGGTCTCTCCCTGCACCCTCAGGGCCTCTCCCTGACCCTTCTCTCACCCCCGGGACCTCCCTGCACTCCCAGGGCCAATCCCCGACCTCCTCTCACCCTCCAGGCCTCCTTCTGGACCCTCTAGGTCTTTCTGTGCCCTAGAACCTCTCCCTGACCCCTCTGTCCCTCTCCTGGCACTCCCTGGACCCTGAGGTCGGCCTCTGACCCTCCAGGTCCCTTGCCCTGGGCTCTCACCGCCTACCCAGGCGCCTCCCTGGGTCCCCAGGCCCTTCCCTAGGGTCTCCCTTTCCTGGATCCCCCAGGACCCCACCAAGCCCGTTTGGATCCCTGGGCCCCTGTCCGCCCTCTCAGGCCCTTCACTCACTGGACACCCAGGATCTTCTCCGCCATCCCTGGACCGCCCCCCGACCCAGGTCTCCCGTCTGGCTCCTCCCTGAGTCCCTAGGCCATTCCCCGCTCTCTGTCCTCCCTGGCACCCCCATCCCTTCCTCACACCCCTCTGAGCGCCCCCAGGCCCGGCTGCAGCCTTCTCCCTCCCACAGCCCCCTGCCGTGCCCACCGCTGTGCGTTTCTCTCCTTGCCCCCAGCCCCCTCTCCAGCTTCCCCGCTGTCCCTGGCGTCCTCCTGCAGCGCCCCCTCTTTCTCTCCCGCAGCCTCGCAGTCTGTCCCCGACCCCTCCACAGCCGTCTCTGCAGCTCCCGCTCCTTGCCCTGCCCCATCTCCTCCTCTCCTGGGCGCGGATGAGCCTCGAGCGCCGTGGTGCGGGGACGAGGCTGGCCCTCCGTCCGGGTTAGGGGTTTGGGTGGTTTTCTTCATCTCTCCGTTCTCTCCTGGCTCCGCTTTAAAAAAATGTTTTTGTAAATATTGACCTGTGCTGCCTCCCCATAGTCTTCCTTTGCTCCCCTCCCCACCCCCGCTTTTGTCCTCTGAGCCCCCCTCCCCTGGAATCCTTGGAGAGGGAGCAGGTGCTGGGATCCCTCCCCTGCCCTCCCTCCCGTCACCCGCCTCCAGGCTGCCTGGGGCTTCACCCGGAGCCTCCTGACCACTCCCGAAGGCTGCCGGGGAGGCAGGGGGCGGAGACCGAGGCTGGGTCGAGGTGGGGGTGGAGGGCGGGACCTCGGGCTGGCGGGAAGCTTTGACTTTTCCTCCTTGAGGGCTAGAGGTGAAGCGGCTCCCCACGGTGCTAAGCCTTTAGGGTGATCCCGGCTGCCAATCAGTCAGCCTTCTCTGGGCCCAAAGAGATGTGTGTGTGTAGGGGGTCTCTGTACATATGGGCAGGGGCATCTGCGTGTGTCAGTCTGAGTGTGCATGGGTGTGCATGTGGGGGTTGTGTGTTTAGGGGGGATCTGTGTCTGCGCTGCGGAGCAAGAGCAAGAGCTAAGGCGATGGCTGACATGGCTCTGGGCTTTCCCTACTCTCAGAAGTACTTGTTGCATTCCATCTTCGCCAGCGGCCTGGTGAAGTCAGCACTGCTTTTCTCCCCATTTTGCAGATGAGATCGTGGGGCTCACCAGCGTCCCCCATGGCTTCTGAGTAGCGTGGGAGTGGAGTCAGCACCAAGCCAGGCTCCCCGCGCCTGCCTTGCCCTCACCTGCTCCTGCTCTCTGCCAGAGGCAGCATGGTCCGCAGGGCACCATGGGGCCCGACAGAGTGACAGCACGAGAACTGTGCGAGAACGACGACCTGGCCACCAGCCTCGTCCTGGACCCCTACCTCGGTTTCCGCACCCATAAGATGAACGTCAGGTGAGGTGGCCTGGGGGCGAGGGTGGGCCCGAGGGGTCAGGACCCCTCCCCTTGCACCGCTGCCGCCCCTCGGCCCTCTCCTTAGCCTGGTCCTCCCCTCAGCTCCAAGTGGGGGTTGGGGCCGGGGCCCGGGAAGGCCCTGGGACCCAGGCATGCCCTCTCCCCCAGCCCTGTGCCCCCCCTGCGGCGACAGCAGCACCTGCGCTCAGCGCTGGAAACTTTCCTGAGGCAGCGGGACCTGGAGGCTGCGTACCGGGCCCTGACGCTGGGAGGCTGGACGGCCCGCTACTTCCAGAGCCGGGGCCCGCGGCAGGAGGCTGCCCTCAAGACCCACGTGAGGGCGCCCTCCCCTCCCCCGCCCTCACCGCGTGTCCTCCCCGCTCACCGGGCCTGGTCCCGCCTGGCAGACGCTCTAGAGTCCCTCAGCGCAGCCCCTGGGGCCCCCTGACTTCCTAGCCCTTGGGACCATCTGAGGCAAGGCTCAGAGAATCCTAGGAGAGGAGAGTTGGGGGGGCCCTCTGAGATGTAGTCCAACCTCTTCATTTGACGGATGAGGAAACTGAGGCCCCGAGAGGGAACATGAGGCCCCCAAGACCACACAGTGAGTCAGTGGCATGGCAGGCCTAGAGTCCTGGAGAGAGAGGGCCAAAGATGCCCCTGCCCCGCCTCCTCACCCCCACCCTCACCCTCACCAGGTCTATCGCTACCTCCGTGCCTTCCTGCCGGAAAGTGGCTTTACCATCCTGCCCTGCACGCGCTACTCCATGGAGACCAACGGGGCCAAGATCGTGTCCACTCGTGCTTGGTAAGAGGGCAGGACTCCCTGCAGGTATCCTTGGAGGAGACAGAGCTCAGAGGGGACAAGAGAGACCCTCTGTTCATGGACTGGCCAACCGGGGAAAAGCGAGGGGCCTGGTCCTCCGGGCATCCTAGGAAGGTGGTGGGGCTAATCCCGGAAGACCTTTGTGGCTACCGTGGTGCCGCTGGAGCAGGAGACCCCGGATGTGACCCCAGGGTTCCTGGGGCTTCCAGGAAAGAACTAGGCTTCTGGTCAGGGCCGTGCTGTCCTTACCTCCTTGTGACCTGAGCCCCCACCACATGTTAAACACCCCTGAGTGCAATGAGGAGCCCCTGCCCCTGCCCCTGCGGGGTTCACAGTCTGGTGAGGAGGTGGGGGGCAGACAAGTCAACATGCAGTCACTGGTCCCAGCTGGTACATGCTGCAGGGGAGCTGTGAGGAATGAGCAAGTGCTCCCAGGGCGAGGCTCACACTGACAGGGGAAGCACCCGCCTGAGGGTCTGGTGGGGCGAGTAGGGGGTAGTCCAGGCAGGAGGGATTTGGGGGCAGGAGGTGCTATGAGAGCGAGGGGAGAGAATGGGGGCTGTATCTGCTGTGTGCGTGCTGCCCTGAAGGCTTTCAGTAGAAGGGTCCTGTGGGGCTGTGGGCTGGAGCAGGGAAGCCCACCCAGGCAGGAGGGGAAGAGGGAGATCTGGAAGATGGATCGCCAATAGCCAGCACCAGCGCCCAGGAGTCCCTCCTTCCTGGGTGCCTCTGTGCCGGAGGCCCGAGTCCCCTGAACACCTGCAGGAGGCCAGGCATCGCCCACAGCCCTGCCCCCTGGCCTCTTGGCAGGAAAAAGAATGAGAAGCTGGAGCTGCTGGTGGGCTGCATTGCAGAGCTGCGGGAGGCAGATGAGGGGCTGCTGAGGGCCGGTGAGAATGACTTCAGCATCATGTACTCAACCCGCAAGCGGAGTGCTCAGCTGTGGCTGGGCCCAGCCGCCTTCATCAACCATGGTGAGGGTCAGGCAGGTGGATGGGCAGGACGGGATAGAGCCAGGCAGGGCTGGAGGGGTGTAGTGGGAGGGTTCTGCGACTGAGCTGCCGAGCTCATCTACCTCTCTTCTCTCTCCTGCCCCAACTGGCTCCAGACTGCAAACCCAACTGCAAGGTAAGGCCTTGGGACTCGGGAGGAGAGGGCACGCAGGAAGAAAGGGTGCCTGTGGCCTGGGGAAAGGGTTTTTGGTCAGTAAAGAGCCAAACACCGGCCGGGCGCGGTGGCTCATGCCTGTAATCCCAGCACTTTGGGAGGCCGAGGTGGGCAGATCACGAGGTCAGGAGATGGAGACCACGGTGAAACCCCATCTCTACTAAAAACACAAAAAATTAGTCGGGCGTGGTGGCGGGCGCCTGTAGTCTCAGCTACTTGGGAGGCTGAGGCAGGAGAATGGTGTGAACCCGGGAGGCGGAGCTTGCGGTGAGCCGAGATCGCGCCACTGCACTCCAGCCTGGGCCACAGAGCGAGACTCTGTCTCAAAAAAAAAAAAAAAAAAGAGCCAAATGCTGCCCCATGTCTCCATGGCTTCCCACGGGTCCTGGAAGGGGCAGAGTGGGTATTTGCTCACAAGGCTACCAGAAAGGAGGAAGGGGTTCCAGTTTGGCCAGCGTTGCCCGGCTGTTTGTGCAGTTGCACTGGAACCCTGGTTGCCAGCTGCTGGCCATCTTTCTTCTCTGAAAACCGAGCTGGGAGCTGTGCCAATTTGGGCAGGGAGTGTGGCAGGGAGGCAGGGCCCTGTGGTGGGAGCCCCCGGCCTTGCAGGGAACAACGCAGGCAGCTGTGGTGGCAGGAGCAGGGAGGCCAGAGAGCCCCAGGGGCCAGGACTCAGGATGCTGTCCAGACATGCCCAGGAGAGGCCGCTGGTTGTCCTGTAGCCCGGAAGCAGAAGGAATCAGGAGGGTTGGCTCCAGGGCGGCATTGAGGGTGCACCCTCTGGAGCACAGACCTCGATGGGGCACCCCGGGAGGCATGACAAAGGGATCCAGATTTTTGGCTCCAGAGTCAGAACTGAGTTGGGGTCCTGGCGATGCCACCCCTGGCCTTTGGTTTTTCATCTCAGATGGGGTTGGTGAGGATCTCTGGAACTCTGCGGGCTGGTCAAGTGTGCCGGAGGGTTTTGGACAGCGAATGCGTGGCCCTGGTCTGACACCACACACAGACGCTGGGGGGGATGGAAACAAAAGGCGGCATTCGGAGAGGCTCTGCAGGGCCAGTGTGCTCCAGCCACCTTGAGCACACGAGAGGGCGGCCAGCTCTCCAGCGATCTAGAACCATCTGGCTTCACAGAAGCCATGCTGGGCATCGACGGAGGAGTAGAATTTCCCTAGGTGTTAAAGGAAATCAGGGGCAAAGGGGGGCGTCTAGCAGGACACGGCACACCAGAGGGCTGGGGGTGCCCAGCGACGGCTTTGATCCGGCAGCAAGGCCTTGGGGTCCGGGCCAGGGAGCCATGGAAGCTCCCCCCAGGGTGTATAATGGGAAGCTTGGTTTTTAGGTCACCCTGGAGGCCCATGTGCAGGAGGCTTGGCAGGAAGGGGAGAGGCTGTAGGCAGGGTGGCCACAAAGAGGTGATGAGGGGCTGACTCCAGTAGGGGTCTCGGGGAGGCGAGGAGGATGAGGATGCGGGAGGTGGCACACTCAGAAGGCAGTGGCCGGTTGGTCTGGGGGCCGTCAGGCAGGCAGGTGGCGAGGGCTACTCCCAGGCAAATGTCAGGCTTGAGTGGATGGGTAGATGGACAGTTGGGTGGACAGTGGTCATGCCCCCTCCTAGACGGGGAACAGGGAGGAAGGCGCAGCTGTGTGGGGCTTAGGAGGAGCCTGTGGGGCAGCTCCTGGGTGAATGATCCCAAAGGCAGGGCCAGAGCACACACAGATTGGGCTGTGGAGTGAGGCAGGCCTCAGAGAAGCGGGGGCGGCCCGCAGCAGGCAGAGCTCGGACCTCAGCTGCCAAGGCACAGTCTGGCGGGGGGCAGGCAGCTCAGGAGGGGATGGGCTTGGGTGTGGCAGAGGAGGTGGGGCTTGGCACGGGGCCACAGAGGCTGGAGGGAGTGGTCACCACTGCTGGCACTGCACGCTGCCAGAAGGTCAGGTTAGATCATCGTCCTGCAGGGAGGGGTGGAAACCAGCCAGTGGGTGGATTGTCCAGGGGCTACAGGCAAAGGACAGGCCCTCGGCAAGGCAGCCGCCTCGGAATGCCACTTTTAGGGGCTCAGCTGTTGCCCCATTCCAGGAGAGGACGCTCCGGGCCAGGGTGCCCGGCCAGGTGTGGGGAGTGGGTGAGCCCTCCCCTGTGCCCTGGGCCAGGGCGCTGAGTGGGCTTGGCCCTCAGTTTGTGCCTGCAGATGGGAACGCAGCCTGCGTGAAGGTGCTCCGGGACATTGAGCCTGGGGACGAGGTGACATGCTTCTACGGCGAGGGCTTCTTCGGCGAGAAGAATGAGCACTGTGAATGCCACACCTGTGAGAGGTGGGACCGGGCGAGAGGCGGCTGGGTTCGGGTCGTCTGGGCTTCTTGAGCCCAGAAACGCACCCTCGGGACCCATCCCTGAGTGTGTCCAACCCCAGCCTCTCATCTCCCTTCCACCCGGCCTCATCTCCCCTTCACCCGGTCTCCCAGGAAAGGTGAAGGAGCTTTCCGAACCAGGCCTAGGGAGCCCGCGTTGCCACCACGGCCCCTGGACAAGTACCAGCTGCGTGAGACCAAGCGGCGGCTGCAGCAAGGCCTGGACAGTGGCAGCCGACAGGGCCTGCTGGGCCCTCGGGCCTGCGTGCACCCATCCCCGCTGCGCCGGGACCCATTCTGCGGTGAGCACCCCTCCCTGCCATCCCAGCAGCCCCTCCCCTGTCTGCTCCTGGTCATCTGTCTCCTTTCTTCTGAGCTCTCTGCCTAGCCTGGAACCCTCCCTCCCACCCTCAGTCGCTGGCAGGCCTCGCTGTTGAGCAGTTCGGCCGCATCATTCCTCTGGGGAGCGCAGGGCAGGGCTGCCTCCTTGTCCAGAGGAGGACCGGCCCAGCTTGCACTGACTTCACCTCTCCTTTGTTCCTCCTCTCCCTGCCACCTGGGCCTTCACAGCCGCCTGCCAGCCCCTGCGCCTGCCAGCCTGCAGCGCCCGCCCAGACACCTCACCCCTCTGGCTCCAGTGGCTGCCTCAGCCCCAGCCCCGAGTGCGGCCCCGGAAGCGCCGACGCCCCCGGCCCCGGAGGGCCCCAGTGCTCTCCACCCACCACGCTGCCCGCGTCTCCCTGCACCGATGGGGAGGCTGTGGCCCCCACTGCCGCCTGCGAGGAGAGGCCCTGGTGGCCCTGGGCCAGCCCCCCCACGCCCGCTGGGCCCCTCAGCAGGACTGGCACTGGGCCCGGCGCTATGGGCTGCCTTACGTGGTGCGTGTGGACCTTCGTCGCCTGGCCCCAGCCCCACCAGCTACCCCAGCCCCTGCTGGGACCCCAGGCCCCATCCTGATCCCGAAGCAGGCCCTCGCCTTCGCCCCCTTCTCCCCACCCAAGCGCCTACGGCTGGTGGTCAGCCACGGCTCCATCGACCTGGATGTCGGCGGTGAAGAGCTGTGACAGGCCGGACGGGGAGGCCCAGCAGGGAGAGAGGGTCTCTCTCCTAGCTGCTACCCAGGACCTCCAGAAGGAGCCCTTGGACCTCTGGGAGGGAGCTGACCCTTGACTCCAGCATAGCTCTGACCCTGGAATGGGGTTGGTTTGGACACCCCCAGGGATCTGAGCCCTGACCCTTTGTGACTGCTGACCCCTGAGCCACCCCCACTCCCACAGGGAGCCCCGGCCATTTGCTGCCCTCCCCACCCCTGCCCCAGCCTCAGGACTGCAGGAGCCATCCGCCCCCCTCAGCCCCTTCCTCCCCAGGGAGCAAAGCCATAAGGGGCAGGGGCCACCCCACGGCATCTCCCCAGAAGTACAGGCCTCAGGAGGAGGTGGAACTGATGTAGGGGGTGGCACTCCCCAGAGACTGCCCTCACGAGGGGACTGGGTTCGCTCTCAGCTCTGCAGCTGTCTGCGGTGGGGGGAAGGTTGGGGGGTGTCTGGAGGCATGTTCCCCTCACCACCCCCCGTGGGTCTCAGGGAGGCCGGGTGTGACCTCATCTTTCTCATGGTGCTATCCTGGTGCTATTGGGGTGGGGAGCTCCCTCCCCTCCCCCACACCAGAAAGGGGTATGTTGGGGGCTTGGAAGCACTTGAACTTTTTATTTTATTAAAACCTTGTTATAAGCAGCACCCTTGGCGGTTTTTTGTTTTGGCTTATGTTTTGAAGGGATGTGAGGAGGGTGAGACCCTCAGCTGTGCTGATGAGAGGGGGAGGAGGCAACACAGGCCTTCAGCCCTGAGAGCTGTCGGGAGAGGGATTTGGGAGCGTGATGGACTAGGGGACTGAGGCTGGAGCCCCATCCCCACTCAGGCTGTGCTTGTAAAAATGCCTTGAGACCCATACTCTCCTAGGAGTGGGTCCTCCCATTTTCCAGGCGAGGTCAACATCGTTTAGCAAGCAGAGTGACTTGCCAAGGCCACGTGGGGACTTGAGGGCCCTTCTCCCTTCTCGCGCTTCTCAATGAGATGCCCCTCCCACATCTCACTCCAAACGGAGAGAGACTGCTGGGGGCCTGGCTGAGTGAGGGTGTGGGGG
Organism: Homo sapiens; assembly: GCF_000001405.40. NCBI lineage: Eukaryota > Metazoa > Chordata > Mammalia > Primates > Hominidae > Homo > Homo sapiens. The sequence continues at coordinate 55,348,528 of NC_000019.10, forward strand.
CTGCCCAGGACACCAGAGCCGAGCCTGGGGGAGGCGGCGCTGACAGGACCTTCCTCAGCTGTGGCATCTTGGGCTTTGCCGTGTGTGAGACCAGGAAGATGAATCTTGTTTCTTCAGGTCCGCTCCAGGATCTGGATTTTGCCAGGGCGTCTTAGCTCTGCCTGCTGTCTCGTTTTGCAAAAGGAAATAACAGCGGCTGACTGTGAGCAATCCCTGATCCCAGGTACCTCCAGCTTCTCCCAGATACTTTTCTCACTGGGCCACCGAGCCCGTCTCACTTGGGCAGCTACAGGTCACCTGCTGGCTCCAGGCCCCCCATGTGCGCCTCCGCATCTGCCAGCCTTGAACAAGCTTACTGTGGAGGTGGACGAGGCCAGGCTGCAGGTATCAGGAAGCTCTCCTTGGCCCTGGTGGAGAGGGAGCAACAGGGGAGCAGTGGCCACAGCGAGACCCATATGAGCACCTCAGCGGTGGCCCTGGGAGGCGGGGACAAGGGGGCAGTTGAGAACGGGTCAAACCTTGTTTACTTTAAAACTCATTAGATACGTTGGATAATATGGCCTGTTCTATTTCTTTTGCAGGGAGAAAATTCCTCTTATAATGCAAATCCTGCTAAGCCCTGTTTGTTTTCTTTCTCATGTTAAAAATAAGGACGGAGAGAGCTCCAGGCCATCAAACAGCAGAGAGATGGCTCCACTGCTAGTCCCCAAGGATTTGTCTCTGAGTGAACTGAAGCCATGCTGTTCGTTTCTTTCCTTTTTTTTTTTTTTTTTTTTTTGAGACAGGGTCTGTGGCCCAGGCTGGAGTGCAGTGGCGCCATCTCGGCTCACTGCAACCTCCACCTCCTGGATTGAAGCAATTCTCCTGCCTCAGCCTCCTGAGTAGCTGGGACCATAGGCACACGCCACCCCGTCAAACTAATTTTAAAATCTTTTTGTAGCAATTGTGTCTCACTGTGTTGCTAAGGCTAGTCTCGAACTCCTGAGCTCAAGCGATCCTCCTGCCTCTGCCTCCCAAAGTGCTAGGATGACAGGTGTGAGCCACCGCGCCCGGCCTTTTGTTTCTGAAATTCAGGTGCTGTTGCCACAGCTCTTAGACAAAGAGGGCAGCGGAGCAGGGAGTCTCAGCTGAGGACTCATGGGTGGACATTGGAATTTCCAGGAACCTTCTGAAATCTTTTAAATGTTGAGAGTATATATTTACATGCACATTTTTTATAGGGGGTTCAGAGCGTTCATCACATTCTCACAAGTTTCTGTATCCGCCTCTCCTCTGCCCCCACCCCACCCCCAACAAAAAGGGCTAAAAACTAGTGGTGAGCCGGGTGCAGTGGCTCACGCCTGTAATCCCAGCACTTTGGGAGGCTGAGGTGGGCAGATTGCCTGAGGTCAGGAGTTTGAGACCAGCCTGACCAACACGGAGAAACCCCGTCTCTACTAAAAATACAAAATAAGCTGGGCGTGGTGGTGCATGCCTGTAATCCCAGCTACTCGGGAGGCTGAGGCAGGAGAATCACTTGAACCCGGGAGGCAGAGGTTGCAGTGAGCTGAGATCGCATCATTGTACTCCAGCCTGGGTGACAGGAGCGAAACTCTGTCTCAAAAAAAATAAAAATAAAAATAAAAATGGTGAGGGCGTTAGAAACTGGCGATCAGGGTTTCCTGGCCTCCGCACTGCTGCCATGCTGAGCTGGTGTTTCTAGGCAGGGCCTGTCCCATGCATTGCAGGATGTTGAGCGGCTTCTCTGGTCTCCACCCACTCGATGCCAGGAGCATGCCTCTGCCCCAACCAAAAATGTCTCCAGACCTTGCCTGATGTCCCCATGGCGGCCAAAGTCAGCTTCTGGCTTGAGCTGGGCAGCACCGGGTGGTGGGGGAGGGGAGACACCAGGCCCATAGTGACCGACCATTCCCTGTCCTTGTCGCAGCATGGAGGGTCAGGACAGCCTTAGGGACGTGGGCGCTCTCAGTCATCTCGCCCATACAGACAGGAGCTGGCTGGGGAGGGCAGGTGTGTCTGCTTGGCGTCCCTCAGCTGCAGGGGACCCTGGCTTCCACGAAGTTGGAGGCGTTCATGCTGGCACTTCCCAGCTGGCAGGACCTGGGGGACATCCTGGTGGAGCAGGGGCCTGGGGTCATGAGTTCACCAAGGTAGCTCAAGGACAGGAAGAAACGGTGGTGGCAGAGGGTCCTCTGGTCGAAGCCTGGGCCTGAGAACCCCATCATACACGTGGAGACCAGAGCAAGGGAAACAAGGAACTCGAAGGCTGGTGGCTGTAGGTGAAGGTGGAAAGAAGTTTAGTGAAACAGGAAATACAACCAGCACTGACCTGGGTGTGTGGCACTAGAACTGCTCTCAGCCTTTGGCAGGCAGGCAGGGCCCTGGCCAAGGACTCCCCACCCTGACCCCGTGTCTCCCTGTGGGGGCACTCTGGCCCTTTATGCTGCAAGCTAGTAACCAGATGCCTCCAAGAGCTCCAGGACTGGTTTATGGGGTCATCCCTGGGCTGTCTGTCCGGTCAATCAGTCTCACTGTCCAGCACAATATGGGGCACCAGAACTGGGCCGACATGCTGATTCGAGTGACTCAGATTGTCTCTATGGCTAGAGACCCCACACACTGTGAAGAGGGGGGCCAGACACTGTTCTAACTGCTTTATATGTTTTCACATCGCCGTCCTCCCCACAACCCTAGGAAGTGAGGTGTCATTATTATGTCATTGTTACCATATTTCAGATGAAAAGGCCACAGCGCAGAGGGGCTAGGGAACTTGTCCCAGGCCACATGGTTAGTAGCTTCAGGGCCTAGATTGAACTCATTCTCAGAACCATTCGGGCTCTGCCACCTTCAGGATGGGAAAGGGGGAAACCCAGAGAGAGGAGGCGAAGCTGCGGCCCCTAGGAGCCAGGGGACAGTGAGCAGGGGAGGCAGCGCAGGTGGCCTTCAGGATCCGTGGTCTGGAGGCCGGGAGGACGGAGCAGGTTCTGAGGGAAGAACCGCAGAGGGAGGGGAAAGTGGATGATGGAAGGATTGAAGAGATGGGGCTGGAGGAGGAGAAAGAAGAGGAAAAGGAGTAGAGAAAGAAGGCGGGAGGAGGATGTTGAGCGAACAAGGATGCAGGTGTTCTGGGTGGGGGCAGGAATAAGTAGAGTGGCCTTGGTTTTCTCTGACCTGGGAGGTTGCTGAGACTGTGAGGCTGGCATTAGGGGTCTCAGGAGGCGGCTACTGGACACCAGGGAAAGCCAGCCAGAGCACCTGGAGGAGGTGTTCGGAGTTTGCACAGGTGATGGTCCACCAGGCTGGAGGCCAGGCCGGGCAGGTCTGCCCCTGCCCCTGGCTCAGGCATCAGTGGGGCAGTGGCGGCTGCAGAGGGGGTCGGGAGTGTGAGAATGTGCTGAGATGAGGTCTGGAGGCAGTGAAGATAGGATGATGGGAGGAGGAGGAAGGAGGAAGGCTGGCCAACAGGGCAAAAATGGGTTCTAGACACGGCTCTGGGGAGGTCAGGAGGCTGCTGTGGCTGCACAGGTGTGGCACCCTGTGCTTGGGATGTTACCTGGGTGACCTCACCAACTTAGCTCCATTCTGTGACTCAGAGAGGGGTCCTGCCCCCGTGGTTCTGCCAGCGCCTCTGTGCATTCGTCAAGGCTCTGGGGACGTTGCATGAACAGGAAGCCCTCCTGTAGTTGAGTCCACACCCTGTGCCCTCACCCCATTCTTGGGTTGTGGTCAGAGACGGAGCCAGGAGACCAAGATCTCAGAGGTGGCGTCATCCTGGGGGATGGCTCATCTAGGGTGTGTCCTGGGCAGCATGGAGGGCAGGTGATGGACAGGTCATCATGGGGCAGGGAGCAGGATGGAGTCAGCCCCCTGAGCTCACCCAGCCCTACCTCCTCTGATAATGGGGCCCTGAGCCATCTTGGTTTGCCTTGGGGAACCTCGGGCTCACACAGGTCAAGAAGCTTGTCTAGGGTCACCCTGCAAGTTGTCATGATTAGTTGTAGTCACCTTTGAACCCTGGGGTTGAACAGGGCCTCATAGGACCGCTTCAGTCAGAGGATGGGGCTTCCCCCTCCTAGGAGCCCCTCTGGAAGGCTGATAGCTCAGGGAGTACCCGTTGGGAAAACCAGCACCCCAGGCTGACTGGTCTCACGGCTCCCTCAGCAGGACCAGGCTGGAACCCTAGGGCTTTGTCAAGCGGCACTCCTTGGCCTGGGGAGAGGCAAGACTTCAAAGGGCGTCTGGAACCGGAATGCGGTTCCGTGTTACTGCCGGGATGGGGAAGGAGTAAAGAATGATTCCGAGGGAGCTCTGAGCGTCCTCTGGGTGCTGGCAGTCTGGCGGGGGTCACAGGAGAAATTGCGGCGATGTGTGCGGTGGGAGAGACTGACAGCGGCCTCTGCGGGGTGGGGGTGCGGGGTGAGCCTGATGCATTGGAGAACTGAGCAGGCTGCTACGCCTGGCTGTGGGTGCGGGTGCCGAAAGCGTGGACACCAGGGGATTCTGTTGGAAATAAGCTGGCTCACATGATGGGGATCTCGATGTTCTGGGAGGGGAAATGAGCCAGGTGGGAGCGGGGTCGTGATGGAGAGTGGTGGAGAGCCCAGAGAGTGGGGGAGGAAGGGATGGAGTCAGCGCTGGGTGGTACAAAGAAGACCCCTCAGGACCCGAGATGGGATGGATCAGGGGTGGGATGGGGAAGGAGCCTGGGGAGATGGTCCAGGCAGGAGGGGAGTAGGGAAAGGACTGAGGTGAGAGGTAGGTGTGGTGATTGGAGGCAGGAGCACCTTGGAGCCATCTGGGTGGGACAGTGTTGAGAACTGGGGACCCTGGGCTGGCTCGTAGCTGTCAACGCGAGGCATCTACCTGCTGGAATGGAGAGGGAGAAGGGGGACGGGAGGCATTCGGCTTCCTGTCTTAGGGCCTTGACTGCCTGCTGCTACCTGATGGAGCAGCAGTCCCCCACCTGCCCCTTATCGGAAAAAGCAGCGTTAGCCCGGACACAGGCACACGGAGGATCCCCACCACCACCACGACGCATCGCTGGCTGGGCATTAAGAAGAAACATCAGCAACAGCATACCATTATTCGTGGCTTAGACACTGGGAGGTAGGGGTGGATAACCGAGACCCGGGGCTCCGCGAGACAAAAAGATGCAGGATCACTGCATCTTCAGAGGAAGCCGCGCTGGGGCAGTCAGATTTTGCCGGCGAAAATCCCGTTCTTGATCTGCTCGTTCCAGCTCTCCACCTGGGAAGCAGAAAGGCAGGGAGCGGGACGCCGGCTCAGCCTCGGCCGAGCCCTGCACACGCCTGGCCCGGCGCCCCCTCTGCCGACTCACCCAGCTGATGGGGCACAGCGAGTGGTACACGCGGAAATAGTACTCGCAGGGCTGCGTGCTCTTCCCGCGGCGGGTCCTGGTCTTGAGGCAGCGGTGGTAGTCTGTGGCGGGCGGGGGTCACGCGGCAAGCCACGCCCATTCCAGGACAGGACCCGCCCCTCCACTGCTCGGGCCCTCCCAGTTCTTCGCTGCTTCGTCCCGCCTCCCTCTCCCCTGGAGGCCTCCGTCCCGCCCCTCCCAGCCAGGCCCCGACCCCTACCTCCCTCACACTGCTCCTCCTACCCAGACCCTGCCCCTACCTACCTCGCCCCGCACCTTCACGACTCGGCCCCGCACCTTCCAGATCAGGCCTCGCCCCTACCAACCTCGCCCCGCCCCTCCAGGCTCAGCCCCGCCTTTTCTCGACCAGGCCCCGCCCCCACCAACCCGGCCCCGCCCGGCCTCCCACCCTAACGGTCTCCGCGGGACTTAGGGTGGGAGTGCCCCTCCCTGCCGTCCCTTGTCACACCCTGCTCCTCCCATAACCTGGCTGAGCAGGTCTCACCCAGGAAGTTCTGGTAGCAGTTACGGATCTGGTTCTGGCTGGGGAAGCGCGGGTCGAAGGGCGGCGTCGACCATTTCCCCTTGGGGGGCTCCTGGGCTTCCACATCCAACATCCACGAAGGAGGCAACTCCTGCGAGACGGGACGGGACGGGGACTCCGTGGGGCCGAGGGGGCGCCCTCGCTCCGACCCGTCTCCCCATCCTGACCCCCGCCCCTGAACCCCACCCGTCGTGCCCTCACCAGCCTGACGTTGGCGGCCACTGGATCTGCTGTGGGATGGTCCCGGGGTGCCGCTCGCTTCTGAGTCCGCGGGGTGCGGTCCCACCCGGGTCAGGAGAAACGCACCCCGCGGCCGGATTGGCTAGGACGCCCGAGCCCCAGCCAATGGGAGCCGTCGTGCACCGCGGGGCTGGTAGGGGCGCCCCCACCCCACCCCTTGCTCCCCCGACGCCCCCTCGGGGGCCTGCGCGTGCACACAGGCACCGAGGTGCGACTCGCTGAGTCTCAGGCTCAAGCTTTAATCTCTGCGAAGTTGGGCGGCTCCACGGGCTCGCCCCCGCCCCCCCCCGCCCCCCAATATATAAAGGCATATCCATAGTTCTGGTATCTACCAGAGGGGGCAAATCCCCCCAAGCGGCTTTCAACATTCCGCTTCCTACAGTCGGTGCGCACAGAACCCTCGGGGCCTGTGGGGTTAAGAGGAAAGAGCAGCGGTGGGGTCCGGGCTCCTGGGAACCCCCCCGCCCCCCTCGTCCTCCCCCCTCCGTTACCCGCCCCCCCCACCCTCCTCCCTCGCCCCCCTCCCCCCGCCCCCAGGTCTAAGGCAGATCTCCAGGGTCTTAAAGGGTACCTGGCAGCGCTGGGCTCCTCTGGACAGTTTCCAACTGAGGTTAAGCCCCCGCATCCGGCCACTCGGAGTGCTGGGAGTGCTGCAGGCTGCAGGGAGAAAGCAAGCCAGAGAGAGCTTTGGGGGACAGGGTAGGGAGAGAGGGGTACCCAGGGCTTTAAGAGCTGCAGATGCCTGGCTTAGGAGAGCGTCCCCCAGGGCGGGTCTTGCTGTGTGTTTGGCTCACTGTTGTATCTGCCTGGGGCAGAGTCTGGCAGTAGTAAATGCACAATAAATCCGAGGCGGAATCAATGAGTCTTGGCTCTAGGGGCAGACAAGTAACTGGAATCTGGGCAGGTGGTTTCACCTCTAGATCCCTGCTAAGCTTCTCTCCCTCCTGCCTGGTTAATATCAGGCCTGACTCAGGATTGTTTACACTGACAGCCAAATGTACGAATTAAGAATCCCGGCCAGGTGCGGTGGCTCATGCCTGTAATCCTAGCATTTTGTGGGGCAGAGGCGGGAGGATTGCTTGAGTCCAGGAGTCTGAGACTAGCCTGGACAACATGGTGAAACCCCATCTCTACAAAAAATACCAAAATTAGCCAGGCGTGTTGGTGCGTGCCTGTGGTTCCAGCTACTGAGGAGGCTGAGGCAGGAGAATCACCTGAGCCTGGGTAGCTTGAGGCTGCAGTGAGCTGTGATGGCATCACTGCACTTCAGTCTGGGCAACATGTGAGACCTCTTTTCTACAAAAAAATCAAAAACTTGGCTGGGCTTTTGGAGGCTGAGGCAGGAGGATCACTTGAGCCCAGGAAGATAAAGGCTGCCATGAGCCACGATCACACCGCTGCACTCTAGCCTGGCAATAGAGCTCACCCCTGTAATCCCAGCACTTTGGGAAGCCGGATGGATCACCTGAGGTCAGGAGTTTGAGACTAGCCTGGCCAACATGGCGAAACCCCATCTCTAAAAAAAAAAAAGAAAAGAAAAGAAACAGGGTGTCACTCTATTGCCCAGGCTGCAGTGCAGTGGCACGATGGTGGGTCACTGCAGCCTCGACTTCCCAGTTCAACCAGTCCTCACATCTCAGCCTCCAGAGTAGCTGGGACCACAGGCACATGGCACCATGCCTAGTTAACTTTTTTTTTTTTTGAGACGGAGTCTCGCTCTGTTGCCCAGGCTGGAGTGCAGTGGCACGATCTCAGCTCACTGCAACCCGTCGCCATGCCCGGCTAATTTTTGTATATTTAGTAGAGATGGGGTTTCACCATCTTGGCCAGGCTGGTCTTGAAATCCTGACCTCGTGATCCACCCTCCTCGGCCTCCCAAAGTGCTGGGATTACAGGTGTGAACCACCAACTTTTTTTGTTTTCACATTTTGTAGAGATGAGGTCTCACTCTTTTGCCCAAACTTGTCACCATTTTTTAATGTACCCCTTAAAGTGGCATTCGGCACATTCACAATGTCATGCAACCACCTCTACCTAGTTCCAGGGCATTTGTATCACCCACAAAGAAACCTCCAACCTGGCTGGGCACGGTGGCTCACGTCTGTAATCCCAACACTTTTGGGAGGCCGAGGTGGGCAGATCACCTGAGGTCAGGAGTTCGAGACCAGCCTGGCCAACATGGTGAAACTCCGTCTCCACTAAAAATACAAAAATCAGCCGGGCGTGGTGGTGAGCACCTATAATCCCAGCTACTCGGCTCCTCAAGAGGCTGACAGGAGAATTGCTTGAACCCAGGAGGCAGAGGTTGCAGTGAGCTGAGATCGCGCCACTGCACTCTAGCCTGGGCGACAGAGCAAGACTCCGTCAGAAAAGAGAAGAGGAAGGGAGGGGAGAGGACCTCCAACCCATGAGTAGTCACTCCCGCTTCCTCCACACTAGACCCCTGGCCTCCAACGATTCACTTTCTGTCTCTACGGGTCAGCCTGTTATGGACATTTCATGGAAATGGGGTCTTTGTGGCCTTTTCTGTCCTCCAGGTGCCCACTCTTGCCCCCCTACATCCTCCATGCCCCAGCCAGAGGCAGCCTCTTCACACATAAATCCGTCTCCATCATTCTTCTGCTCCAAACCCTCCAGCTCGCTCAGAGTCAGAGCCAAAGTCCCTAAAATTGTCTGCAAAGTCCTCCATGATGGGCGCCCCCCTGCTGCACCTCTGACCGCATTTCCCACCCCGGGATCCCCGTGGTCCAGCACATTACAAACACTCCTGCCTCAGGGACTGCAGTGGCTGTTCCTTCCGCTGGGATGCTTTCCCCCCAGATGTCCTCATGGCTTCCTCCGTCCTCTCCTCCAGGTCTTGACACAAACAACCCCAGCTCCGTGAGGGCTCCCTAGAGCACCTGGGCTGTGGTGGGGGCTGTCCTGTGCACTGTAGGTTGCTCAGCAGCATCCCTGGTCTCTACCTGCTAGAAGCCAGGAGCACATCCCACCACCACCAGCCCCATGGTCGGACACTGTATCCCCACTGCCTAGAACAATGCCTGGCACAGAGTCGGCACTCACTATATATCAGAGTGAAAGGGGGCCAGGCGTGGTGGCTCACGCCTGTAATCCCAGCACTTTGGGAGGCCGAGGCGGGTGGATCACTTGAGGTCAGGAGTTCAAGACCAGCCTGGCCAACATGGTGAAACCCCATCTCTACTAAAAATACAAAAATTAGCTGGGCGTGGTGGCACACGCCTGTAATCCCAGCTACTCAGGATGCTGAGGCAGGAGAATTGCTTGAACCCAGGAGGCGGAGGTTGCAGTGAGCCAAGATCATACCACCGCACTCCAGCCTGGGTGACAGAGTGAGACCCTGTCAAAAAAAAAAAAAAAAGTGAAAGGAAAGAGTGATCATCTCTGTCTCATAAACAGCAGAGCTCACAGTAAATAATAGCTGCTAACCCCCGCTACCTGGGCAGAAGGTTCAAGACGCCCGATTCCTCCTGTATCTCCTCTGCCTTGGTGGCCGTGTTCCTCACAGTTTCAAGTTCTAAGAGCATGGGCAAAAGAATTTCTGAAGACGACCCCACAGTGGCCAGGGGGTGCTGGGCTGGCATCCTCATGGGCTCCTGCGACACCCTCTTGGGCTGCTGGGACGCCCTGGCTGTGGCCTCCATCTTTGAGATGAGGGTCTCCGAGAGGGGCGATGGCCGTAAGTCCTCCCACGGTGAGGCGGTCAGGGGGATAGGCGCCTGGGAGATTCCTTCCCTCTTCAGACTGGCAGAGGTGGGCTTGGAGCGAAAGGGCACCTTGGGTGGCCCCTTGGGGTCCCAGGGTGGCTCCTTCATCTCGCCCCATGGCTGCTCCTTCATCTCGCCCCATGGCCGCTTGCCCTCCTTCACCCAGGTGTGCGACTCTGGCTGCTCTCTGACCACCACTGGCTTCCCCTCCAGTAAGGACAGCTGGCCGGGGCGGGAGGGCACTGAAGCCATCATTGACGTGGCCGACGCCTGCGGAGTCGCCAAGAGCCAGGAGGGAAGTGAGACCAAAGCGGATTTCGAGGGCTGCTCTTTGGAGTTGGCCGTGATCATGAGCTTGGTGAGGGTGAGCGCTTCCACAGAGAAGGGCCTGCTGTGCTCCTGGGAGGGGCCCTCGACGGCCAGTTCCTTGGCCTTGACCCATCTCTTCCGCTGCTCCAACTCCTTGGATCTCACGCCAGGCAGGTCCGGGGACCTCTCTTCAAGCTTCGCCCAGTGGGCCCAGTCCTCCAACTTCCCCTGGCCCCTGAAGGCCTCCAGGGTCACCTCCTTGGTTTGGCTAATCAGGATGTCCTTGGACTCCTTCTTGGTCACGGTGAAGGGCGACTCCGGGGACTTGGCCTGAGTCGTCATCTCCACCACGTCTGTCTCCTGGGTGCGCACCGTCACCACCGGCTCCGGTTTCCCTCCAGACTGGCTTCTCTCCAGCACGGCTCTTCCAGGAATTCCTGTTGGCAACACGTCAAAATCGCCAGGGAGCTTCCCCCGTGAGGCAGGCGGGCTCAGCGCCATCTGGTATTCGGTAGGTGAGGTTGGCAGAGCCTTCTGGGATGGGGCAGGGAGGAGTAGAGATTTCTTCTTTGGAGCAGTGGGGGACACAGCCTTCTGGGGAATGGTAGGTACAGATGGGGCCTTCTGAGATGGGGGTGGGGTCTTCTGGGGTGGGGCAGGTACGGCTGAGGCCTTTCGGGGAGAAGCTGACGCAGCTGAGGCCTTCCGGGATGGAGCAGGTATGGCTGGGGCCTTCTGGGATGGAGCAGGTACGGCTGGGGCCTTCTGGGATGGAGCAGGTACAGCTGGGGCCTTCCGGGGAGGAGCTGACGCAGCTGGGGCCTTCTGGGGAGGAGCCAATCCAGGTGGGGGTTTCCACGATGAAGCAGGTACAGCTGGGAGCTTCTGGGACTGGTCAACAAGGAACGGTGCCTTACAAGATGTGACAAGGCCAGATGGGGCCTTCTGGCAGGGTGGTGGCCCCGGCCCCTGGTGGGAGCCCATAGGCCCGGCCTTTTCCCTGCCCCTGGGGATGGAAGAGTAGGGTGTGGAGAGGCAGGCAGCCGGGGGATAGGGAGCCAGACCGGAGGCAGCAGACGACAAAGTGCTGCCCCCAGAGTCCATGAGGTCTTCCGTGTCCTGATGCCACAGGCACGGGTCCAGGGAGCTGCAGGAGCCCAGAAAGAAGCCATCAGGGCTGTCAGCTGAGACACAGTGTGAAGGGCTCTCAACCACATGTCCCTGGCCTGTGGCTTCATCAGATGCAGATGTGCAGGCCTGTAGGTGGACAGAGGGGAGAGGATACATGGTCAGGATGCATGGAGACCCCAGACCCGGGAGGGCAGACCCCTGCTCCCTCCTCCCTCAGACTCAGGAGTCCAGGCCCCAGCCCCTCCTCCCTCAGACTCAGGAGTCCAGGCCCCCAGCCCCTCCTCCCTCAGACCCAGGAGTCCAGGCCCCCAGCCCCTCCTCCCTCAGACTCAGGAGTCCAGGCCCCAGCTCCTCCTCCCTCAGACTCAGGAGTCCAGGCCCCCAGCCCCTCCTCCCTCAGACTCAGGAGTCCAGGCCCCAGCTCCTCCTCCCTCAGACTCAGGAGTCCAGGCCCCAGCTCCTCCTCCCTCAGACCCAGGAGTCCAGACCCCCAGCCCCTCCTCCCTCAGACTGAGGAGTCCAGGCCCCAGTCTCTCCTCCCTCAGACTCAGGAGTCCAGGCCCCAGCTCCTCCTCCCTCAGACTCAGGAGTCCAGGCCCCCAGCCCCTCCTCCCTCAGATCTAGGAGTCCAGGCCCCCCACCCCTCCTCCCTCAGACACAGAAGTCCAGGCCGCAGTTCCTCCTCCCTCAGACCCAGGAGTCCAGGCCCCCCACCCCTCCTCCCTCAGACCCAGGAGTCCAGGTCCCAGCCTCTCCTCCCTCAGACCCAGGAGTCCAGGCCTCCAGCCCCTCCTCCCTCAGCTCTGGGGCCTGGGCCCTGCCCCGGGTATAAGGCTGGCCTTTGGAGAGGACTGTGTCTGGTTGGCGGTGCTGGAAATGATGCTGAAGATGGTCCAGGTGGTGATGCTGGTCTTCTCTGGATGGGGGAGCCGTCTGAGCCCTTTGGGGCAGGAACCAGAGCCACACACTGTGGCAAGGGGTGGGGTGGGTTGATCTTACCAGGCAAGCGGATTTGGGTGTGAGTTCTGTCGGGGCGGGGGTCTGAGTGGGACCTGCAGGAGCAATACCGTGGGACTTTGGTGGCATCTGGGCTGGGGTCTCCCACCTTCTCCCACCCACCCACCGGCAACAAGACCCCACGCCCACTTCTTTTCTGCAGGTTTCTTCCTGACGTCAGCATGCTCCAGCTGCGACCAGATGAGGGGCACAGAGTCGCCCACGGCCTGAGACTTGAAACTGCGCTTGAGCGCCTGGAGTGGGTGAGGAAGGGACGGTTAGACAGGGGCAGCCCCTTGGGCCCACACCACCCCGCCGGCTCACCTTGGCCTTCCTCTGTCTCTGAGCAGCCACCGTCTTATGCGGAAAGTTGCGCTCAGCAACCCTGACTGGGAAGAGAGGAGACATCCTGGGTCAGGGACCCCAGGGGAGGGCACGAGGACCTACCCCAGGAGCTTGTGGAGGGCCCCACCAAGGAAGGGGGAAGAGCCAAAGGGTGCAGCTCTGTCCCTGCGACGGGGAGAACCCAGAGGTCCTGACAAACAGCAGGGCCTGCTCACCTGCATGTCTGCTGATGGGCTGGTCCTGCAGAGATAGAGGGAGGCAGGAGGGGCCCGGGCTTCCACATCTCCATAACCTACCCAGCGAGAGGCCTAGGCCCCCTCCTGCTCCCAGGACCTGACGATCCAGCTCCTCCTGCCTCAGACCCAGGAGTCCAGGCCCCCAGCCGCTCCTCCGTCAGACCCAGGAGTCCAGGCCCCCAGTCCCTCCTCCCTCAGACCCAGGAGTCCAGGGCCCCAGCCTCTCCTCCCTTGACTCAGGGGTCCAGGCCTCAGTTCCTCCTCCCTCAGACCCAGGAGTCCCCAGCCCCTCCTCCCTCAGACCCAGGAGTTCAGACTGCCAGCCCTCCACCCTCAGACCCAGGAGTCCAGACCCCACAGCCCCTCCTCCCTCAGACCCAGGAGTCCCCCAGCCCCTCCTCCCTCAGACCCAGGAGAGTTCAGACTGCCAGCCCTTCACCCTCAGACCCAGGAGTCCAGGGCCCTTAGCTCCTCCGTCAGACCCAGGAGTCCAGGCCCCCAGTCCCTCCTCCCTCAGACCCAGGAGTCCAGGGCCCTTAGCTCCTCCCTAGACCCAGGAGTCCAGGACCCCAGGCCCTTCTTCCCTCGACTCAGGGGTCCAGGCCCCCAGCTCCTCCTCCCTCAGACCCAGGAGTCCAGGCCCCCAGCATCTCCTCCCTCGACTCAGGGGTCCAGGCCCCCAGCCCCTCCTCCCTCTACTCAGGGGTCCAGGCCCCCGGCCTAGACTTTGGGCTCTTGGTCGCAGTCCCCTCTGGATCTGGCCGGAGGGTTCCTGGGGCCTGCCATGCCCTGGTCTGTGGAGCTGGGATCCCACCTGCAGGTGCCAGGTGGAGGCAGGCGCTTCGGCCAGCGGCATATCCAGGGGGGCCGTGCGCGTGGTCCTGGGGGTCCAGGTGGGAGCCGGCTCCTGAAGCAGGTTGATGAGGCGGACCCAGCAGTGGAACAGGAAGCCCACCTCGTTGTCAGGGGCGTCCAGGGCCAGGTAGTACTGGCGGCCCGAGACCAGGCGCAGCTTCAGGCGCCAGGCAGAGAGGTCATGGACGCAGAGGTGGACGAGGTCCAGGGGGATCATCCTGGGAGAGGGAGAGGGGAGCGTCTAGAGCAGGAGGGGTGGAGGGGGCGGCCGAGGGGTTGGGGGATGCGGCACCTGGTCAGCACGAGGCCGGAGCAGTCCCTGTCCTCGGCGGGCTGGCCGATCAGCAAGATGTCAGGCAACACCAGGCCTGGCAGGGAGGCGGCCACGCCCATGGCCAGCCGGTTGGTTCTGTGATTCACGAACACTGGGCCCCCTTGATGGGTCACCTGGGGCAGCCAGGGAGAGGGGGCTGGGACCACTCCTTCCTCCAGCAGCCACAGCCTGAGCCTCCCTCCTGATCGTCCCCCACACAGTGACTGCTAAATCCCGTTCCCTCTCAAGATCCCCCAGCACGGGGGGCCTTGCTTCCCCTCTGTCCCTCTCAGCCCCGGGGCACTGGGAACTGGAGACCTGAACAAAGTTACTCTCGAACATGGGCAGCGGACGGAGGGGCAGGTACTCGCCCTTCTGGAGGGTCTTTTGCAGCTCCCCCAGAACAGGGACCCACTTCGGGGTGCCCTGGAGCGGCTCAAGGCACCTCCTGTTTCGAAGCCAGATCATGGTGGCTGTGGTGGATGGGTACTGGTTTAGGGACCCAGAACCCAGGCGTGCAGGCCTCCCAGCCCCGGCCCACCAGCCTTGACCCGTGGGGCTTCACGGGTGCCTGGAGCTCAGCGTTACAGAGCGTGGAGATGCCCCAGGCTGGGAGACTCGGGCCTCCGCCATGGCCCTGCCAGGGTGGACAGCAGGGGTCTGGGGGAGGAGCCTCTGGTGGAGGGGCTTTGTGACCTCATCGGACACACAGGGGCCTCTTCCAGGAACTCTCCGGGGACTGTGGGCTCCCTTCTCCTCCAGGGATACAGCCTGGAGTTTTTTGTTTGTTTGTTTGTTTTTTGTTTTTTGAGATGGAATTTCACTCTTGTTGCCCAGGCAGTGAGCTTAGATTGCCACACTGCACTCCAGCCTAGGCAACAGAGCGAGACTCCATCGCAAAAACAAACAGCCCTATGCAGTGCGGGGCCCCAGGCGAGGCTCAGACCCTGCCTCCACGGAGGAGGCACGATCACCCAGACAGCTCTGTGGAGGCAGGGTCTGAGCCTCGCCTGGGGCCCCGCACTGCCTAGGGCTGTTTGTGATGTGATCTCGGCTCACCGCAACCCCCGTCTCCTGGGTTCGAGCGATTCTCCTGCCTCAGCCTTCCGAGTAGCTGGATTGTATTTTTAGTAGAGACAGGGTTTCTCCATGTTGGTCAGGCTGGCCTTGAACTCCTGACCTCAAGTGATCCACCCGCCTCAGCCTCCCAAAGTGCTGGGATTACAGGCGTGAGCCACCGCGCCCAGCCAGCCTGGAGTCTTGAGGGCTATGATGGGTGAATCAAAACTCCGGGCCCAGGATGGGCACCTCCAACCCCAGACTCAAACTAGTGACGACACGGGGCCCCTGGAAGTCTGTCTGGGTTATTGTAAAGGGAAAAGTAACTAAAGCATTTGAATTATCATCCCTACTCTGCCATTGACCCTTCTCTAGGCCCTGGGTAAGACCCAAATCCTTACTGAACCTGTTTCTCCATATCTCATGTGTGTGCATGTGGCGAGGATTCCTCAACACCGACTTGCAAAGAGAGCTTTGGGAAAGAGCCAGACACGGCGCAGAATCCCACTTCCACCTCTCCCTAGCTGTGTGACTTTGTGCAACAGAGTCCCCACTCCTTGTCTGAGACTCAGTTTCCCTCGCCTGTAAAACAGGGCGTATTCAAGAGTCCAGGAGGATTGTGTAAGTAAAAAGCCCACACTTAGTGCACAGCCCTGACAGGCTCAATCAGCGGTCAACTTTGTCCCCTCCTGAGGGCTTATTTTTGGAGAGGAGGAGGCTGATATTCTGTTATTCTAAAAATAGTGTTTATTATTTTTAAAATGTGTCATGCAAAATACACAGTCATGGCAGAAATTCTGTAAAATACAGACAATCATACACATTAAAAGTCACCCACAATCCCACCTCTCTCCTTTGACCTGGAGACAGTCATTGTCAACATTTTGGCGTATTTCCCTTTAGGATTTTTGTTTTAATCCATATATAGAAAGAAAAACACAAAATTGGGATCACAGCATGCAGTGGTTTTGTAGCCTGCTGTTTCATGTCAGGACATCATTCTTTCTTTTTTGAGACAGGGTTTTGCCATGTCTCGCAGGCCGGTCTCGAACTCTTGGACTTCAGTGATCCACTCGCTTCGTCCTCCCAAAGTGCCAGGATTACAGGCGTGAGCCACCATGCCTGGCCAATGTCAGGATATCTTTCTATATCCCAAGCAAGCCTCTCTCCTTAGCCTCCCTGAATGACAGTCCCTGCTCCGGGCGGCTGGGTGGCGTTCTATCCACAGATGCACCATGTTGCTTAACCCTCACTGTTGGATATCTAGATTGTTTCCAGTTTGCTATGGTGAACACAGCCATAATGAACCATCTTGACCTTGCAGCTTTGTCCCATACGGGTACTGTTGATCACAGGGTGACTTGTGGAACCTTCCATTAAATATTTATTGAAGACCTATGGGTCAGGTGTGGTGGCTCACACCTGTAATCCCAGCACTTTGGGAGGCCGAGGCAGGAGGATCACCTGAGGTCAGGAGTTCGAAACCAGCCTGGCCAACATGGTGAAACCCTGTCTCTACTAAAAATACAAAAGAAATAAATAATTAGCTGGGCATGGTGGTGCACACCTGTGATCCCAGCTAATCGGGAGGCTGAGGCAGGAGAATTGCTTGAACCCGGGAGGTGGAGGTTGCAGTGACCTCAGATTGCCTCACTGCACTCCAGCCTAGGCAACAGAGCGAGACTCCATCTCAAAAAACAAACAAAAGGCCCTATGCAGTGCGGGGCCCCAGGCAAGGCTCAGACCCTGCCTCCACAGAGCTGTCTGGGTGACCGACCCATCTCCCAGTCGCTGCCCCGCCCACTCGGGACCTCCACCTGAATGGAGGTCTCCCCTCCACCTGCCCTGCCCCAGTTACCCAAGCATCCAGCCCCAGCTCTCAGACAAATCGCCCTCAAGTGGATATGTATGACACATTTAATTCCCTGTTCTCTGTCTCACAAAGGTTTCTCACATTTTTGTACAAAAACCCAGGCTTCCCTTTCCCCTCCGTCCCCACCCCAACATGAAAAGTAATTGCTTAAATAAATAATATATGTTCCTGCCCAGGCCTAGATGGGGAAGAGCCAGGGCAGAAGTCTGTGGACAGACTTCTTGGAGACCCAAGAATCCGGGACCCCAGTCCCCTCCTCCTCGGGGACCCAGGAGTCCACCTGCCTCCCACCCCTGCTCCTGAAATAAATAAGTATAAATAAGGCACAGATGCCCCCCAGGCCT